>NC_000001.11:221309587-221934587 GCF_000001405.40 Homo sapiens | reverse complement strand
ACTAGTTATTAGTCTTTTGTCAGATGGATAGCTTGCAAATATTTTCTCCTATTTTGTATGTTGTCTCTTCACTTTATTAATTGTTTTCCTTTGCTGTGAAGAAGCTTTTTAACTTGTGGTCAATCCATTTGTCCGTTTTTGCTTTGTCTGCCTGTGCTTGTGGGGTATTACTCAAGAAATCTTTGCCCAGACTAATATCCTGGAGAATTTCCCTAAGTTTTCTTTTAGTAGTTTTATAGTTCTAGATCTTAGATCTAAGTATTTAATTCATTTTGATTTGATTTTTGTATATGACAAGAGATAGGAATCTAGTTTCATTTTTCTGCATACAGATATCCAGTTTTCCCAACACCATTTATTAAAGAGGCTTTTTTCCCAGTGTATGTTCTTGACACCTTTGTCAAAAATGAGTTCACTGTGGGTATGTGGATTTGTTTCTGGGTTCTCTATTCTGTTCCAGTGTTCTATGTATCTGTTTTTATGCCAGTACCATGCTGTTTTGGTTAGTATAGCTCTGTAGTATAATTTAAAGCCAGGTAATGTGATTTCTCCAGTATTTATTTATTTATTTATTTATTTATTTATTTATTTATTTATTTATGCTCAGAATGGCTTTGGCTTTTTTTGGGTCTGTTATGGTTTTATATAAATTTCAGGATTATTTTCTGTTTCTGTGGAGAATGTCATTGGTATTTTGACAGGAATTGCATTGATTCTGTAGGTTGCTTTGGGTGGCACAGATATTTCCATCCGTAACCGTGGAATACCTTTCCTTTTTTTTGTGTGTCCTCTCAATTTCTTGCCTCAATGTTTCATAGTTTTTATTTTATTTGTAGCTATTATAAATGGGATTACTTTATTGATTTCTTTTTCAGACTGCTTGCTGTTGCCACATGGAAATACACCTGATTTTTGTATGTTGATTTTGTATCCTGCAATACTACTAAATTTCTTTATCAGTTCTAATATTTTTTGGGTGGAGTCCAAATAAATGAGCATATCATCTGCAAACAAAGATAATTTGACTTCTTCCTTTTAAATTTGGATGCCCTCTATTTCTTTCTCTTGTCTGATAGCTCCAGCTGGGACTTCCAGTACTATGTTGAATAACAGTGTGAAAGCGGGCATCCTTGTTGTGTTCCAGATCTTAGAAGAAAGGATTTTAGTTTTACCTATTCAGTATGCTACTAACTGTGGGTCTGTAGTATATGACTTTTATTGTGTTAAGGTATGTTTCTTCTATACTCAGTTTTTGTTTTAGGGTTTTTATCATGTAGGGATGTGGAATTTTATCAGATACTTTTTCAGCATCAGTTGAAATGATCATATGGTTTTTGTCTTTCATTCTTTTGGTATAATGCCTCACCTTGATTCACTTGCATATATTGAATCATCCTTGCATTCCTAGGATAAATCTTACTTGGTCATGATGGAATGATCTTTTTCATGTATTGCTGTATTCAGTTTGATAGTATTTTGTTGAGAATTTTTGCATCAATATTCATCAGAGATATTGACCTGTAGTTTTCTTTTTTTTATGTTTTTATCTGGTTTTTGTATCAGGGCAATACTGAACTTGTAGAATGAGTTTGGAAGTATTCCCTCCTTCTCTTATTTTCAGAATAGTTCAAGTAGGATTGGTATTAGTTTTTCTTTAAATATTTGGTAAAATTCATCAGGTCCCCAGCTTTTCTTTTACTTATAATTGGCCTATTCAAGTTTTGGATTTCTTCATGGTTCATTCTTGGTAGTTTTACGTGTCTAGGAATTTATTCATTTCTTCTACAGGTTTTCCAGAGCCATGGCATATAGTTGTTCACATTAGCCTCTAATGAACCTTTGAATTTCTGCAGTATCAGTTGTTGTGTCTTCTTTTTCATCTCTGATTTATTTGGGTCTTCTCTCTTTTTTCCTTAGACTTGCTAAAGATTTGTCAATTTTGCTTATCTTCTCAAAAACTAACTTTTCATTTTATTGATCTTTTGTATTTTTTGTTTCAGTCTCATTTCTGCTCTGATTTTTATTATTCCCTTTCATCTATTAATTTTGGATTTGGCTTGCTATTGCTTTTCTAGTTTTTTAAGATGCATCATTAGGTTGTTTACTTTTTTATTGTAAAATATTGTTTTTACTTTTTTATTATAGGCACTTATTGTTATAAACTTTCCTCTTAGTACGGTTTCCTGCATCCTATAGATTTTGGTATTATATATATTATATATTGTGTTTCCATTTCCATTTGACTCAATAAAATTTTCTTTTTTTTAATTATGAAAATCTATTTTTGAAAATTGTGACTAGAAGGTAAGGTACAAGTGGGGATTTAAAAAAATATAGTTTACTTTAAGTTCCAGGATACATGTGCCGAATGTGCAGGTTTGCTACGTAAGTATACATGCGCCGTGGTGGTTTGCTGTACCTACTGACCTGTCCTCTAAGTTCTGTCCCTTCGACCCCACCCCCCAACAAGCCCTGGCGTGTGTTGTTCCCCTCCCTGTGTCTATGTGTTCTCATTGTTCAACTCCCAATTATGGATAAGAACATGCATTGTTTGGTTTTATGTTCCTGAGTTAGTTTGCTGAGGATGATGGCTTCCAGTTTCATCCATGTCCCTCAAAGGACATGACCTCATTCCTTTTTATGTCTGCATAGTATTCCATGGTGTATATGTACCACATTTTCTTTATCCAGTCTGTCATTGATGGGCATTGTTCAATAAAATTTTCAATTTCTTTCTTAATGACTTCTTGACCCACTGGTCATTCAGGAACATATTGTGTAATTTCCATGTGTTACTATAGTTTCCAAAGTTTCTCTTGTTATTGATTTCTAGTTTTACTTCATTGTGGTCACAGAAAGTATTTAATATAATTAATTTTTTTTTGTTTTAAGGCTAGTTTTGTGGCCTAACATATGGTTTATCCTTTGCAGTGATTCATGTGCTGAGGAGAAGAATGTGTATTCTGCAGCACTTGGATGAAATGTTCTGTAAATATCTGATAGGTCCATTTGGTCTATAGTACAGATTAAGTCTGATGTTTCTTTGTTGATTTTCTTTCAGAATGATCTGTCCAATACTGGAAGTAGAGTGTTGAAGTCTCTAGCTATTATTGTATTAGGGTCTATTTCTCTCTTTAGCTCTAATAACTTTTGTTTTATATATCTGAGTGCTCCACTGTTGAGTGCATATATATTTACAATTATTATATCCTATTGCTGAATTGACCCTTTTACCACTATAAAATGACCTTTGTCTCTTTTTATGGGTTTTGTCTTGAAATCTGTTTTGTCTGACATAAGCAGAGCTAGTCTTGCTCTTTTTTGGTTTTCCATGGAATATCTTTCTCTATCTTTTTATTTTCACTCTATGTGTGCCTTTATAGTTGAAGTGTGTTTCTTGTAATTAACAGATCATCAATCCATTCTATGTCTTTTTATTGGAGAGTTTAGTCCCTTTATATTCAATGTTATTATTGATAAGTAGGGATTTACTCCTGCCCTTTGTTATTTGTTTTCTCATTGTCTTTCTCTTCCTTCTTTTCTTTCTTCTTGTCTTTTTTTAGTGAAGGTAGTTTTATCTGGTGCTAAGTTTTAATTTTTTGCTTTTTGTTTTTTATATATTTGTAACAGGTTTTTTTTTAAATTTGAGTTTTCCATGAGGATGGCAAATAACATCTTATCTTGCAAATAACAACATTATTTCAAATTGATGACAAGTTAACACTGATTGCAAAAGTGAAATAATAAGCAAAGGGAAAACTAACACAAACTTTACACTTTAATTTTTTCTCCCTGCTTTTTAACTTTTTGTTGTTTCCATCTATATCTTGCTATACTATCTATTCCTTGAAAATTTGTTGTAGTTATTATTTTCAATAGGTTCATCTTTTAGTTTTTCTACTCAAGATATAAGTAGTTTGTACACCACAATTCTGGTGTTATAATAGTCTGTATTTGTCTCTGTACTTACTATTACCAATGAGTTTTGTACCTTCAGATAATTTCTTATTGGTCATTAATGTCCTTTCCTTTCAGATTGAAGAACTCCCTTTGGCATTTCCTGTAGGACAGGTCTGGTATTGATGAAATTCCTCGGTTTTTGTTTGTCTGGGAAAGTATTTCTCCTTGATGTTTGAAGAATATTTTTGCTGGATATACTATTCTAGGATAAAAGTTTTATTCTTTCAGCACTTTAAATGTGTCATGCCACTCTCTTCTGGCCTGTAAAATTTCCACTGAGAAGTCTGCTGTTAGATATATTGGAGCTCCATTTTGTGTTGCTTTTTCTCTCTTGCTGCTTTTTCAGATCCTTTCTTTATTCTTGACCTTTGAGAGTTTGATTATTGGGTGTCTTGAGGTAGTCCTATTTGGATTAAGTCTGCTTGGTTTTCTATAGCCTTCGTGTAGCTGGATATTGATATCTTTCTCTAGGTTTGGGAAGTTATCTGTTATTATCCCTCCAAATAAAATTTCTACCCTTACTTCTCTTTACTTCTTCTTTATTGCCAATAACTCTTAGATTTGCCTTTCTGAGACTATTTTCTAGATCATGTAAGCATGCTTCATTCTTTGTTTTGCTTTTGTCTTCTCTGACTGTATTTTTTAATGGTGTGTCTTCATGTTCATTATTTCTTTTCTTTCATTAATTCTGCTGTTGAGAGACTCTGATGCATTCTTCCTCATGTCAATTGAATTTTTCAGCTCCACAATTTCTGATTAATTTTTTAAAATCACTTCAATCTGTTTGTTAAATTTATCTCATAGGATTCTGAATTCCTTCTCTGTGGTATCTTGAATTTCTCTGAGCTTCCTCAAAACAGCTATTTTGAATTCCCTGTCTGAAAGGTCACATATTTCTGTCATTCAGGGATTGGTTGCTAGTGCCTTATTTAGTACATTTTGTGAGGTCATGTTTTCCTGGATGGTCTTGATGCTTGTGGATGTTTGTCCATGTCTAGGCATTGAAGAGTTGGGTTTTTATTGTAGTCTTTACACTTCAGGCTTGTTTGTATCTGTCCTTTTTGGTAAAGCTTCCTAGGTATTCAAGGGGAATTGAGTGTTGTGATCTAAATCTTTGGTCATTGCTGCCCTATCTGCATTATAAGGCACCCCAAGCCTAGCAATGCTGTGTCTCTTGCACACTTGTAGAGGTACCACCTTGGTGGTCTTGAGTAAGATCTGGGATAATTCTCTGGATTACTAGGCAAAGACTCTTGTTCTCCTCTTTTACTTTCCCCCAAATCAACAGAGTCTCCGTCTCCATACTAAGCTGCCTGGAGCTGGCAGGGAGGATAACCAAGCACTTGTGTGGCCATCGCCACTGGGATTGTGCTGTGTCAAACCTGAAATCAGCGCAACACTGAGTCTCACCCAAGGCTGTGGCAACCACTGCCTGGCTACTGCCAATGTTCATGCAAGGTCCAAGTGCTCTTCAGTCAGCAGGTGGCAAATCCATCCAATGTTGTGTCCTTCCCTTCAGGGTAGTATGCTCCCCTGTGGCCCAGGGCAGGTCCAGAAATGCTGTCCAGGAGCCTGGTCTTGGAGTGGGGAAACATGGGAATCTATCTGGTGTTCTATTTTACTGTGACTTAGCTGGCACCCAAGACACAAGACAAAGTTGTTCCCACTCTTTCCTCACCTTTCCTCATGCAGAAGGAGTCTTTCCCCCAGGCCACCACCACCTCAGGCCCATGGCAAGTACTGTTTGGCACTGCCAATATTCACTCAATACCCGTGGGCTCTTCAGTCAGCTTGTGGTGAATGCTGTAAGTCTTGGGTCTTTTCCATCAGGGCAATGCGCTCCCTTCTGTCCCAGAAAGGTCCATAAATGCCATCTAAAATGCAAGGCTTGGAATCATGGACTCCAGGAGCCCAGTTGGTGCACTACCTCACTGTGGCTGCACTGGCGCCCAAGCTGCAAGACAAAGTCCCCTTTACTCTTCCCTCTCCTTTTCTCAAGCAGAAGGAGTCTCTCCCTATGGCCACCACAGTGTAAAACGCACTGGATCACACCTGAAGCCTGCACGCCCCGGGTCTCACCCAAGGCCTCACGCAAGTACTGCCTGGGTACCACTTATTCAAGGTACCCACTTATTCTTTAGTTAGCAGGTGATAAATCCTGCCAAAACTGGGTTCTTCCCTTCAATGCAGTGGGTTTCTTTCTGGCCCAGGGTATGTCTACAGGTGTTGTCTAGTGCCTGGAATAGGGACCCCAGGACTCTGCCTGGTACCCTATTCTGCTGTGGCTGAGCTGGCATTCAAGTTACAAGACAAAGTCTTCTTTACCCTCTCCTCTCCTCCGCAGAAGGAAGGAGTCTCTCTGGGGCAGAAGATCTGCCGCCTGGGGTTGGAGAAGGGGTGACAAAAGCACTCGCTTGGCCACTCCAGCTTGTGTTTCACTAGATCATGTGCACCCCAAGTCCACTGCTTCCAGTCCAGCACAACACCAGGACTTGCCCAGAAATTGCAGTCCATGTGGCCTAGACTGCTTTTTAAGTTTATTTAGGACCCCAGAGTGCTTTAACACCCAGAGGTGGGGCTAGCCAGAACTCAGGTTCTTATCCCTGGGATGGATGATTCCTTTCTGGGTAGGGCTGGTCTAAATGCTCCCTCTTTGAGCACTGGCTAAATTTTGCCCTGTGTTGCTTTCTGCTGTGACAGGGAAGCATGAAGTTCCAAAGCAAAATTCCATAATCACTGCATTCTCTCTCCCCTAAGTGCACAGATTATCTCACTGCACTGTGCAGCGGCTGCTGGGGGATGGGAAAGGAGGGGTGTCAGCAATTCAAGACTTTCTTTCCTATATCTTTCAGTGCCTCTTTCAGGGTTATAAAGTTAAAACCATGTACTGTGATCACTCACCTGATTTTTGGTTCTTATGAAGGTGCTTCCTTGTGTGGATAGTTGTTCAATTTGGTGTTCCTGCAGTGGGGGATGATCACTGGAGGGTTCTATTTGCCCATCTTGCTCCACCTCCTCTATCGCATTCTCTTTTTTTATTGAGTGGCCCTTGGCTATATTCATAGTACCATTTGGCAAAAGGAGCCCCAGCACCTGGGAGACCAGAGGCCACTGCTCTTCTCTATCATCTGCATATGGCACTTGGCAGGGACCATTTTAGTGTTCACTGTCATAGCATCTGTACCTATAAAAGTCAAACAATCATGCTACATTGTATTAAAAAACCAACCAGTATGAAATCCCTGATTTTTCCAAACACATGTGTTATAGAAATCAAAGATGACATTAATATCTCTGTCAGAACAAGGTTTAGTTGTGCAGGCAAAGAAAGTGATCATCCTGGAGCAAGTGAATGCAAACCTGCTGCTGCTGCAGGCTCCTTGGGGATCTTTTCCATTTTTGCTTCTATGAATCTTTAGGATGGTTGAGAAGATTTGTAGTGGAAAGAAAAAGGCTTTCAGGATTTGCAGTTCCAGCACTGAAACTCTTTCCCCACATTTAGATGTCTTCGATATTTCTTTTGTCAGGTAGGGAGTGTGTGAGGCTGTGTGTATTGGTGTGTATATATGAATTGGTGTGTGAGTGTGTGTGATGTGACGATGTGCATGATTGGGTGTGTGTGTCTATGTCCTGTGTGTGTGTTTGTGGATTTAGTTAAACATTCATGCCTCGTAACAAAGTGTCTCTTCCTTCACCTTCCACTTACTTGCTTCAGGCATGATGGGTTATTTAACAGATTAAATGATTTTACTTTGATTCTTATAAATGTATTCGATTATGTTTCAGCCCCCATGGGTTCAGAGTCCTTTCTTCATTCTAGTCATTTGCACCATTCCTGCATTTTTGGCTCACTTTACTGGAAAGAGCAGAGATATAATCACGGTAGTCAAGTTTAACTGCAAATTCGTTTCCCCTTGAACTTTGAGAGGAAAAGAGAGATAAAGATCCCTGGAGAGTGAGGGTCGGATTTACTAATCTTCATCTGTACTCTGCCTGTATCATGGAGAGCATCCATCTTGGCAGTAATAATGCATGCTGTTGTACTTATTGTCTAAATGCTGATGGGCCCCAAGGAAACAAGAACTCTGTACCATTGACTGGGCCAAGTTTAGCTGATACACGGTGAATACTCAGTAAATGTTGGCTAAATGAATGGAGTGGAGTGGAAGAGAGAGGGCTCCTTTGAAACAGTTTTATATATAATGTAAAAAATAAGCTCAAGAACCATTGTTTCATTCAACAAAAATGAAGACATTAAAACTAAAATATGGTCATTGTTATTTTTTCTAAAACTCCATTTTCTTTATATATTCCAAACTTCTTTAACAAAGAAGCTATAAAATAGCTTTGTCATGATACCATCATCTCATAAAAATAAAAACATGATTGGGTTAAATGGCATTTTTTTTCTTTTTTTTCTTTCATGTTTTAAGCAAAACAAATGGCCTGGGCTCTGAAGGAGGGGGAGCTGCTCAGGGTCCACACTGTGTTGACAAAGCTTCCTTCCTGGGCTTTAGAAACAGGAAGAGATGTGCTCTGTGCTCCTTTGGGTGCTGGGACTGGATCTTATACCAGCTTACCTAACCATCAGCTCTCAGTGCTAGAGAAAGGACAGTCAATGAGATTTGAAATAGTAGCAACAAGCACTCTTTTTTTTTTTTTTTCGAGACAGGGTGACATCCTGTCACCCAGGATGGAATACAATGGCACAATCAGAGCTCACTGCTACCTCCAACTTCTGGGCTCAAGAGATTCTCCCACCTCAGCCTCCTGAGTAGCTAGACTACAGACATGTACCACCATGCCTGGATAATTTTTTAAACTTTTTGTAGAGATGAGGTCTCGCTATGTTGCTTAGATTGCTCTTGGACTCCTGAACTCAAGCAATCCTTCTGTCTCAGCCTCTCAAAATGCTGGGGTTACAGGAATGAGTCACTTGCCCAGCCAATAACAAGCACTCTTGAGTGGGGCAGATCTATTCGCCCCAACTCAATTCATTGAGTGATTAATTTGTTGAATTAGGTCTTTGAGAGGAAATGAGAGATAAAGATTATTATTATTCATTGACTTACTGATTATGTTGTTTCTATTAACTACTTTATAATTCACAGTAGTTTTTTTGTTTTATCATCATACAGTATATTTTAGGTTTTCCTGTTCTTTGGGCCTATGCCTGCTGAGAATAACAATTTCCTGTGCCTTTTGAATTTTGAGCTGGATTCTATCATGAGATATATGATTAGGTGTTTTACAAATGGTAGAGTGGGTTTATTTCTTCTGTTGCATTTTCAACATACCTAACTGCCCTTTTAAATTTCCCTTAATTCACATAACTGCTTTTTTGAATGAGAGAAGAAAGAATGAAGTCACAGAGAATTTGTGGGGAGTTGTGTTTGGTTTGGGCCACATGTAGGTGTCTGTTGCCCATGGTATGTGTTGTGGTTCTCTGCCCACCCCCACCATACCCATGTGTGCACACACACAAACACATATACTCATATCCATGTATGTCAGTCCCTTCTCTATTCACATGTAAGTCCCTTCCAAAAAGCACATGATTTTCTTTGTGAATCCTGGAAATCAAACAATCTCAGCTTCTGGTTGATTTTCATGTGACAACTTAAATTTTTTTAAAAAAAGAAAGCCCATATATCTGTTTATAAAACATGGAACATTCAAAAATGGCTCAGATGTTAAAATTAAAACAAAACATAAGTAAAATTGACCTTCAACTTGGCTAGACTGGAAAAAACATGAATAAAAAAGAAGTGGTAGCAAAGAGCTAACTGGACTGAGAATGGTGAGTGTATATTGGATTTGGTAGACAAGCCCTGAGATTCTTTATATACTACATTAATACCTCTGAATACTTGCATTCCCATTCTGAGGTTTTGAATGGATTTACCTTGTGCTGTAATTTAGATTTGAGGGGTACATGCCTAGAGCCTCACCATGTGCAAATGGCTAAGGTAGGCTAAGGTTGGAAATTGCTAAGCAAGTAGAAGTAGCAGCTTCTTCCTTCAGGGAGCCAGAAGCCAGTCACCTGCTTAAAGGGTGCAGTGGCTACTCTCATATTCAGAGTAAAAGGTAACGCTGGCTTAGGAAGGTGTGCATGATCCACAGCCTGCACCAATTCCTCGGTCTCTTCCTGTATGACACTCCCTTCTGCCTTGCATTCTCTGGCTGCCTGGCTTTTTCTCATCTCTCCAACAGGCCAGGTTCTTCCTACCTCATGACCTTACACTGGCTATTTCCCCCACTTGGAAAGCACTCACCCCAGATCTCTGCCAGGCTGCTCTTTCTTATCCTTCTGGCCTTAGGTTAACAGTCGCCTCTTCAAAACGAACTTCTTTGACCTCCAGCTCCTCACGAGCCCCTAACACTCTCTTTATTTTCATCATAGTACTCCTCCATGACATTAAAAATGGTTTTTAAGCTCAGTAACATCAGGGACCTCATCTCCCTGCTTAGCTGTATCCTTGCCACGTAGAAGAGTTCCTGACTCAGAGCAGCTCAATAAATGTTTCTTGCATGAATTATTGAAACCACACTTTATTCCTCAGAAGCACGGACATCTCATTTTTCTCAGCACTCTGTCAAAAGAGGCCATGTTATATGTTTTATTAATTTATTTTTCTTTTAATTTGGGTTATAGTGAGTTTGCCACATAAACGTTTTGAATTCTTATGTATTCAAATTTAGCCTTCATGGTTTCTTGTTTTGGTGGCATGATGAGAAAATATTTCCATTTCAGAATTATAAAAATATCCACTTAAATTTTCTTCTAGTGTTTTCCTGTGCTTGATTTATATTTAAATATTTAATCCATCTGAATTTATTTTAGAATAAGATACATGGTAAGAATCTAAATTACATTTTATTCAAACTGCTAGCCAGTTGACCCAACATGATTTATTGTATAATTTAGCATTTTCCTACTGATTTAAAATCACAACTTAACCATATGCTAAATTCTTCTATCTGTGTCTGTCTCATGGATCTGCCAGTCTTGTTCTGCCCCAGAACCAGATTTCAGTTATTGTAGCTTCATTATAGCCCAGCTTCTTACGTGATAGAATAAGTGTCTCTTCTTCTAATCTCCACCATTATTGTCTTTTTATATATTTTTCCTGAGATTAACTTTAGAATTATTTTATCAATTTAAAACAAAGTGTTAGTGAGATTTATTGGGATTGCCTTAATGGAATGTGTTATTATATATTATTATTTTTAGACTTGCTCATCTAAGAATTTGGCATGTTTCTTAATTGTTTGCAAACCTTTTGTGTGTTCATTACTTTATTTTTATTTTCTTCTTATATTTGATGATCTCTGGAGAATAAAACACCTTTAAAATTTTCCACTCAGTCCTAGTTCCATATGTTTTCCATGGTTTGCTTTAAAGTGTGTCTCTCTTTCTAACCTACCCATTTTCTTTTGGAGTCAGGTAAAGTGAGAGTCACAGATAATGTTCTGAAGGTGTTGAGAGACTTCCTGTTTGAAAAAAATTACAAGAGTCTTCCATGATTGTCAAGGTTGTGGAAAGCAAAGATGAGCTTGCCGTGACCCAGCCCTCAGGTCAACAATAATCCACAGAAGGTCAAGTGTTTATCATCTCCTCTCATTTTATTTAAAATTTTTTTTTTTTTTTTTTTTATAGAGACAGGGTCTTGCTATGTTGCCTAGGCTGATCTTAAACTCCTGGCATCAAGTGATCCACCTTGGCCTCCCAAAGCATTGGGATTACAAGCTTATGTTAATTTTCTTGAAGCAGGTGATTTCTTTGTCACTCTTGAGTTTGCTAACATAAGAAAAACATTCATTTTGAACTCACCTTTCAGGCCAGGGCACGGTGGCTCATGCCTGTAATCCCAACACTTTGGGAGGCAGAGGCAGGTGGATCACTTGAGGTCAGGAGTTCAAGATCAGCCTGGCCAACATTTCTCTACTAAAAATACAAAACATAAAAAATAAAAATTAGCTGGGCCTGGTGGTATGCACCTATAATCTAAGCTACTCAGGAGGCTGAGGCAGGAGAATCTCCTGAACCTGGGAGATGGAGGTTGCAGTGAGCTGAGATCGTGCCACTGCACTCCAGCCTGGGCTATAGAGTAAGACTCTGTCAAAAAACAAAAAAAAAAAATGAATTCACTTTTCAGATGCACCAAAGGCTTGACTCTGGGGGACATAAATGATGTTGACACCTCATCAGAAAATTTCAGTGAAAATATGGCATGGGGATAAACAAAAGCAAATGAGGTTAAGCTCTGTGGGTAAGAGCTCAGGCTCTGGACTTGTGGCCTGTCTTGTTGTTATTTCTGGCTCTGTCATTTACCAGCTTGTCCTGGGCCAGGTGCTTTACCTTTCTATCCCTCAGTGGCTTCACCTGTCAAAGGGGAACAATAATTGTCCTTCCTGCATGGTGTGCTGGGAAGATTACACGGGATATTCCCTGTATGTGCTTAGAACCATGTCTCATTCCATACATGATGATCAGCATTTGAGTCACTCATTCAGTTGTTATGCTAGCCTGGGAGATCCTTATGATCAAGGAGTATTCTCCTGCGTCTTATCAATGCCAATTTGGTTGGTGAGAAAACAAAATTGGTTCCTAGCCAGGGCCACTGTTTGTGTGGAGTTTGCACATTTTCCTGTGGCTTTGTGAGTTTCATTGGGTACTCTGATTTCCTCCCACATCTCAGCGCTGCGCCTGCTAAGTTCCTTGGGGTATCTCAATGGTCCCAGTGTGAGTGAGCGTGGTTGCGTGTGTGCCTGTGTTCTGTGATGGAATGGTGGCCTGGCCATGGTGGGTTTTTGCCTTGCATCCTGAGTGCTGGGATAGGCTCCAACCACCTGCAACCCTGAGCTGAAATAAGTGCGTAAATGATTATCTTGTTTTCATTAATCTCTCTTTAATGTATGTATAGCTCACATTTATTTCAATGTTTAATATTAGAAGTGTTTTGGCCTTTATTTAGAAGTTTGGTGATGTTTTTGTGACAAGAAATATGCCTTAAGAACTGAACTCTTGTTTATATTAATTCTCCTATGGTAAAATTGGTTTTATTTTATGTTGTTCTATTTAAAGTAGCAGTTTCTAGGAGCCTATCTATGACATTAGTTGAGGATTTATTGTATTTACTCATGCATTGTTTATCAGTGACAGATCACTTTGTATCTTCTTCCTTTGGTCTTTTGTTTCTGTCTCTGCTGGCTCTTCCTACCTTCCTCCCTTGAATATTCTCCATAGCCATCACCCACTATGGACTGCACATTGTCCAGCTACCACCCTGTCTCATTACTGCCCAGCTCCATGGACTTATAAACCCACTCCTGTCTGCTGTTATCCCTCTACACCATTGAATTTCCTTTTACTGAAGTCCCTAATAATTAATAAATGGTCAAACCCAATGGATCACTTTCAGTCCTTTCTTATCTTACTTTGTCTGTGTGAATTTACACTAGATCACAAACTCCATGAGGGAAAAGATATTGTCTTATTCACTGTTGAATTGCCAGTGCTTAGAATAGTCTCTGCCTATAATAGATACTCAATAAATATTTGTTGAATGAATAAGATTATAAATATTATTTACACTCAGTCAGCCATTCCCTTCTTAAAACATTCTTTCTGTCTTCATCCATAGAAACATCATATTCTTACTTTCTTCTGGAAATTTCTTAGTTTCCTTCCTTTCTTTGTATATCCCTCAAATGTTAGTATTCTTCAGAGTTCAGCTCTTACCCCCCTCTCTTCTCTTAAAAGCTTCTTGGGGGACTTCTTATATCTATGTCTTCAAACATCATATATATACGTGTGTGTGTGTGTGTGTGTGTGTGTGTGTGCATTCTGATTACTTCCACATCTTCATCTCTACTCAAATTAATTTTAATATCTTTAGACAATGTAGTCAATTACCTGTAGAATGATTTGATATTTCTCTGGCGTTTAAAAATATATATCCAGGGCTGGGAGCGGTGGCTCATGCCTGTAATCCCAGCACTTGGGGAAGCCAAGGCAGGCAGATCACCTGAGGTCGGGAGTTCGAGACCAGCCTGACCAACATGGAGAAACCCCATCTCTACTAAAAATACAAAATTAGCTGGGCGTGGTGGTGCATGCCTGTAGTCCCAACTGCTCAGGAGGCTGAGGCAGAAGAATCGCTTGAACCCGGGAGGCAGAGGTTGTGGTGAGCCGAGATCACGACATTGTACTCCAGCCTGGGCAACAAGAGCAAAACTCCGACTCAAAAAAAAAAAAAACAAAAAACTATATATATATATATATATATATATGTATATATATATATATATACATACACACACATATATATATATATACATATATATATACACATATATATACACATATATATACATATATATGTATACATATATATACATATATATATATATGTATCTCCAAAACGAAACTTTTATTTTTTTCAGAGCTTTATGTAGAAAATGTGAAATGAAAAATAATTAGTTGGAAGCCAAAATATCACCATAATTGCTTAGAAATGCTAAATTGGAGGGCACTATTTTGTGTGAGTGACAGATGAGCCCCAGAATTATACAGACCTACTTCTTCAGTTCTGAACCGAACAAGTTGAGCATGGAATATATTTAGTTGCAGAGAAACCACATTCTCTTTTTTACAGGTGTTATACAATCCTACACCAATATGACTGTGGAGCTGCTGAAGGTTAAGAAGCTGTCTCCACCGTATGTTCTTAAGTAATCATGAACTAGCTTGAGAACATTTGGTGGTGGCTCATTCTTGAGTTTGAGAGCAAAACAACTAAACCCCAAGATTAGTTATGCCATCATTCTCTTCTTAAGGATATACAATGGAGTTTGGGGCAGCTAATACACTGTTGACAATTTTGACATTAACAATTTACTTCCCTAGTTTTCTGAGATACACGTGGATCTCAACTCTTTTGAAGTTTAAAAACAGCAAGTATTGTACCTTCCCTGAAGTCTAAAACAATGGCAGAAAGAAAATTTTATTTTTTCTATAATAGAATCCTTACCACAGCTGTGCTTACTAAGGACTCTGTGGCCTGCCAGCATCTGCTCAGTCTCTGCATGGGTCACACATGTGTACTTAGGCCATTTGCTAATTTAATGTCAAGCTATAGCCACCAGCACCTCAAAAATCCTCTCCTGAGATGCCCATGCCTTTGCAGAGACCCTGTTCTTCTACACCTGTCCCTAGGAGCAGCCTCTGCTAATGCAGACAGAGCTGGAGGCTGAGAATTGTCTTTATGAATGATAAAGAATAATTTGGATAATATGACTTTTGTGTCAAAGGAGCTTGCAGGCACAACCTCAGAACTAGGAGAATTTACCTTGTGGATCAAGGCTGTGCCAGGCCACGGCAGGCCTTCCCACATGGAGGGGGTACCCAAGAGGAGAAGCACAGGTCCCTTGTTTACCACGTCAGGCTGGCTTTTTAAAGGAGAAGGATGGAGTTGCTTAGATGGACATGCCTGGCTTATTTTCCCAAAACTATCCATAGGAAATTCACTCTACTTTTCTAGGCGAGGAGTAAGGGGTAAAGCAAGAGGCTTGGTATGTTTAGAATAAATCTCTCTGAAGCAAAATTAGGAGAGTGGGGAACAAGCATTTCCCTCTAACGCTGTGCTTCTTCTAAGAGGTGGTTAAAGTATGACCATCCACTCAATCACCTGTGACCATCCACCTCAGCACTATAGCTGTGTCACTAAGCACTATAGCCATTAGGCACATGTGGCTACTGAGATCTTAAAATGTGGCTACTACAAATTTAGCTATGTTATAATTGTAAAATATACCCTGGATTTTTATTACAAAAATGCAATATATCTCATATATATATATATATATATATATATATATATATATTTTTTTTTTTTTTTTTTTTTTTTTAGGTGGAGTCTCGCACTGTCATCCTGGCTGGAATGCAGTGGTGCAAGCCGACTCACTGCAACCTCTGCCTCTTGGGTTCAAGTGATTCTCCTGCTTCAGCCTCCTGATTTGCTGGGATTGCAGGTACCCACCACCACGCTCAGCTAATTTTTTGTATTTTTAGTAGAGACTGGGTTTCACTCTGTTGGCTAGGCTGGTCTCGAACTCCTGATCTCATGATCTGGCTGTCTTGGCCTCCCAAAGTGTTAGGATTACAGGCGTGAGTCACTGCACCTGGCCTCATTAATATTTTTATATTGATTGCATGTTGAAATGTGTATTAGCCAGGGTTCTCTAGAGGAACAGAACTGATAGGATACATGTACATATGAAATGGAGTTTATTAAGGGTTATTGACTCACATGGTCACAAGGTGAAATCCCACAATAGGCTTCTGCAAGCTGAGGAGCAAGGAAGCCAGTCTGAGTCCCAAAACCTCGAAAGTAGGGAAGCCAACAGTGCAGGCTTCAGTCTGCAGCCGAAGGCCTGAGAGCCTCTGGCAAACCACTTGTGTAAGTCCAAGAGTCCAAAAACTGAAGAACTTGGAGTCTGATGTTCAAGGGCAGGAAGCATCCAGCATGTGAGATAGATGAAGGCTGGAAGATTCAGTCAGTCTGGTCTTTCCACGTTCTTCTGCCTGCTTTTATCCTACTGCACTGGCAGCTGATTATATTGTGCCTACCCAGTTGAAGGTGGATCTGCCTCTCCCAGCCCACTGACTCAAATGTTCATCTCCTTTGGCAACACCCTCACAGACACACCCAGGAACAATACTTTGCATCCTTCAATCCAATCAAGTTGACACTCAATATTAACTATCACAAAATGAAAATACTTTGGATATATAAGGTTAAATAAAAAATAATATTAACATAAATGTCACCTATTACATACGTGGCTTGCATTGGACAGCACTGTTGTAAACCAATGGTTCTTCAACTAAAATGAGGAATCTATTGCAGATTGATACTTTCATAAAATTCAAATTAAAATATCTTTCTATAAAACATTGTAAACCTTTACTCTGGATCCTGTACTTATTTTATTGCCCGCTGTTAAAAAAGAGTTTGGTTCTGACTCTCATCTGAAGAGCTTACTAAGAAGTATGAGTAGAAATAGTTCTAGATGTCTCTTCCTTTCATAGGACCCATAAGTAATAAAGTCCTATCAGTTCTTCCTCCTGTGTATCCTATGTGCATCCTCTCCTCTTCATTCCCATTGCATCTTCCTTGGAGAGACCTTTATTTCCTTCCAGGATTATTGTGAGTGACTACTAAAAACTCTCATTGCCTGCACTCTCATAATCCCTTTATTTAAAACCCTGCAACTACTCCTCATGCCTCCTGGTCAAAGTACAAAATTCTCCTGGGACCCTCAAGCCACAGATGAATTGACCCCTGCCTGCTGGTTCAGGCCACCTTTCCCCGATTCCACACTAGAGTAGCAGCCAGCAATTCCTGATCTCAACCATGTCATCCTCTATAGAAAACACGATCTCATGTAATCCTTGGAAGAACCTGAAATGCTGGCAATATTTTTCCTATGTTACCGATTTTTAAAACCAAAGATCAGTCTAGCAGAGTAAATTGTTCAAAAATACTCAGGTAGTAAGGAGCAGCGTTAGAATTTGAACTTGGGTCTGTCTAATTCAAAAGGCTATGTCCCTTCCACATGACATGGTGCTGCTTGGAGTTCCTCTAGCCCCCTCTTGTTTCTGGCTTTAGCACATGCTATTCTCTCAGTTCTCCGTCTTCTACTTCTGATCCATTTAGGCTTTTCTTGTAATACCTGAGCTAATCTTCAACCACCACCTGGTGCGTTTCTTGAGACCTCCTGACCCCCAAAGCCTAGCTTCTTCTGGGACCCTTTCAGCTCCTTCATAACACTAAACACACCACTTGGTAGTTGAAGGTCTTATTTATTTCCCCTTGTGATTCCTCCTGATGCAGAAACCATCCTCTATGCTTAGCACTATGTCTGTTATGGGAGATGCTTAATAATTAATTCATTCATCTTTTCATGTATCCAACTAATAATTATTAAGACAGACAAAGGCCCTGTCTTCATGGAGCCTACCTTGTAGTGAAGGGAAATTGAAAGAATAAACTGAAAATTTAAAAATGCATGTGTGTGTGTGTGTGTGTGTGTCTGTGTGTGTGTGTGTGTGTGTGTGTTCTGCTTGCTTGTTCTTCCTCTAGGTGTTTTAGTGCACCACTTACCCTAATGATATTCACCAAGGGTGCTCAATTTGTACTGCTCCAGCCAGCTGCTGTGTGCCAGCGCAGCCATCTGCTTTCTCCCGTTGCCATCCCCAGGCGGGCAGCCTGTCAGACAGGGGCATGGTCGTTCCTTCTTTTCCCATTTGTTCAGTGTCTCTGGATTCAATTTTCTCCTTTTCATTTGGGGAATGTCTCAGGCGTGCCCAGGAAATGTCCTTCCAGCTCCTCTCCATCACCCTGTCATATGTCAGATGTGCTCAGCAAAATTGTCTATGCTCTTGAGGACAGGCTGCTCGTGGACCATGGAGCCTCAGCCTCATTCTCTGCATCAGCCAGACTTGGCATAAGCCATGACCTGTTTCAGCCTCAGTTTTCTTGTCTGTAAAATGAGAAGATTAAACTATTCTAAAGTTGATGCTTGGCATGCTTTTCTCTTCCCAGGAGTCTTGTGTAAAAACTAAACAGATACAACAGATTTACTCCTCCGTCAGCAATATTTACTGAACACCACTATGTTCCAGGCATTGTCTTGGGTGCTGATTATGAAGCAATGAACACAGCAGTCTTGATTCTCTTGAGGCTTATGCCCTGGCTGGAGGAAGCAGATGGACAAGTGAATGCATGGTTATGTCAGGTGGTGATGAGAATGTCAGAGTACTATACCCAAGGTAAAGTGGGTGGGGAGTGTCAATGGAGAAGTGGATGGAGGCTATTTCATGTGAAACAGATAAGGTGACCTTTGAGCAGAGACCTGAAGGAAATGAGCACTACTTGGAAATCTACCCCACTAGTCGTATAGAGTCCCCAACCATATGCCCTGCTACTCATGCCATACATCTCTCCCCCGTCAGTCTATTATTTCAAGCTTATGATATACATGGACATTCTTTTTCTCAGGAAAGCTCTCAGAATGACAGAAAAGTCCAGCGGTTATGCTCAACACTCTTCAACATCCCCAACTCCACTGCACACCTGCTCTTTCTTTGTTCCTTGTCTTGCACAGAGAGGAGAATGACTGGTAACCAGGAGTAGCCCAAACTCACGTCACAGCCTGCTGGGACCAGGGGAAGGAGGTGCCTTCACACAGAACAACCCCTTCTTGTAAACATTCTCCCCCACCATTCAGAACATTTGAGCAGTTGTTTATAGGAGATAAATATTGACACAGAAGACTGCAGAGAAGATTTGCAACGTGCTTCATGGGGCAAATGGGTATGGTGGGCTGTCTGTCCCCTCAACCCTTCTCAGCTAAGCCCACCTACTCGTGGTGCTGTCTACTTCAGGAAAATCACTAAGTGACTCATGTGTCCTCATACTTACCTTTCAGACCATGTCCCACCCCTGAGGAGTTTTTCAGAGAAGGATGGTAAAGTGAATGGAACTTCTTATCATTGACTGTTTTCACTACTCCTTCTCATTAACCTATATGGAGCTTCAGTGCCATTCATAATGTTCACGGTGATCTTAGCACAGCCTTTCATTTGGTGAGGCTACTAGTTATAGTTACTTTTTAATTCCTCAGTAGTTCAATGGCAGAGAGTTAAGCTTTGACAGGTTCCCCATCTGCTTCCTCTGTGTGCCCCCACACTAAGAACCCCAAATAAAACTGAGCAAGATAGAGCCATGTTAGGTAGAAAGAAACAGCCCGGAGTCTTTCATTCATTTTGACAACTCTTTGACTAAACTAATACTAGATCAATTTATTAGTTTAGCCACTAGTGGGCTTGGGGCACACAATTTACCTGCATTGAAGAGAAGCTACAGACTTAAGGCATCTTGGTCTCCCATAGGTAAAAAAAAAACCACACACACACACACACACACACACACACACACACACACAAATATTGAATGAGATTCTTTTGCCCACCCCCAAATCATTTTTCAGAGTAATTGTTTCAGGTCCATTTTATTTTCCTCTGCAGAGCAAACCAGTGAAAAAATGGCCTTCGCACTCCTGAGAGACCTTTCACCGGGCTTTCTACTTTTGAATTCTCTCCATAGCTGGTTTCCTCTTAGGCCTCGATAGAGCAGGTGAATATAAATGATTGTTCAGCTGAGGAGGGAGGGGACATTTCATTTTCCTGTTGTAACTGAGGAGAGGAGAGGAGAAGAGGTGATGTGCAATGTAAAGAATCGGGTTTAAGCTAAGGTCCTTGAAAACAGTGGGAGCTAGAAATCAATTAAAGAAAGAAGCAAATAGTGACATTAGCCAATATTCATTGGGTCCTTAGTGCATGCTGGGTATGCAGTAAGGATACTACATTTTAAATGTAAAATAGAGCACGTAAACCGTGACCCATTCACAGGATACTGTGAACACTGTGCATGCACTATTCAATTTCCCCCATCACAATTCTCTGAAGTAAAGACAACTGTTACCCCCAGTTTATAGATGAAGAAATGGAGACAGCAAGAGATTAAACAACTTGCACACAGTCATGTGCTTAGCAAGCAGAGCAGCTGGGGAGGAACCTAGCTGGTTCCAGGGCTCCTGTACCTCACCTCTGTGTAGTACCTCTTTGCTGAATGGTTTGCTATGTTTTGGGGATGCCTGCCAAAAAAGAACAGTTCCTGATGGCTCAATTTTCATTGCAGTCCCTGAATCACACAGGTATGCTGACTACGTCTTTTCCTGGTACAAACCATCATGGGGGAAACACACAGCAAGAAGCATCTTCAGGTCACAAGATAGGTAATACCATCTACCTGAATTTTTTCAAAAGCAGCAGAATATTTAGTTTTCTATTTCAGTGGCTTCTAACAGAGATCATTGTTTGCACAAGATTAAATGTCTGCAGTGGTCGTCTTATCTCAGTGTGTGATATGGGAAGATGGTATATGTGGCAAGGTTTGCTTAGGTCACCCTTGTAGAAAGTGGCCTCAGTATGATTCAGAGGTGATTGGAATCTGGGAAGGATCTTAGAGTAGGAGATGGATTTGTCTCCCCAGGTTTTATGGCTACAATGAGGCAATAAGTATATTTTGTTGGGGAGAGAAATAAAACAAGAAAACTTCCGGATTTGTAGATTAAAGCTGTGGGTTTTCAAAAATTCACTGTAAGCTCTGACATGAGGTTGACAATTTCCTATTCTCTGTTGCTGGCTTCTTCTGTGATAAAAATTCAGGATTGGAAAAGGTATTACTAAATATTGGAGAGAGATATTAAAGAAATATCTTTAATAAAGAAACCTATACACGGTTGATACTTTCTGCAAGAATTGAAGAGATATTTTTTAAAAGCACAGATTTAACAAGAAGGTGAGCACCTAAGTACTGGGCATGTGTAGAAATAATGTGTGTCTTGGTTAAAAATCAAAGCCAGAGATTTCTGTAACCGTGATGGGTAAGAACTATAAAACCTACCATTTAAACTTAAAATCTATTTGATATATAATTAAAATTAAAAATGTTAATATTTATTTAGGGAAGATAGTCCCTTTGTTCTAGGACCAGTTGAAATACACCAATTGGTTACCAATTGTTCCTCAAGTTTTGAGGCAAAGTTCAAGTGTCATTAATCTAAATCAAAATATTTAAGATTGAAAAATAAATGTCCTGCTTGGTAACATAGGTAGTGTAAATTGTTGTGCATGGCTGGGTCAAAACTGTATTGATTTTCTTTCATGCTCTAGAATTTTTAAGAGGAAAGGAAATGGGGAGCATACAGTTTTGGGGGACTCTATGTGAGTTTAGAGTACCCTGTGCTGAAAACTATGGTGTGTCCTTACAGAGTCAGTTCTTACAGGTATTTTGGCTAGAGTAGTTACTTATAGGAACTGAGTATTGACACAGAAGACTTTAGAAAGGACTCACCAACATGCTGTTCTCCATTCACTGGTGTAGAGAACTGTCCTGAGTTCATCACAGCTATTCCCAATGGAATGGTTTTTGTCCTAATGGTAGGGTTATATCAGATAGAATGACCAAGCTTTTGGAAAGTGTACTGATGTTGTGATATCATATTCTGATAAGATTGTTCTTCTGAGGCCAAAGAATGAGGCCATGCTTCTTGGGGGATTCCCTAGAAGGGTGTGTGGGGGTGGGAGACTCATCATCACTCATCCTGGGTGGAGGCAGATATGAAGGAAATAAGAACTTGAATGATGAAAATTACACAGTGAAGTGGACATTTTTCCTGCCTGGTGTAGGGGGGTCTCAAGAGGTAATGTGAAGGTGAGACACAGATATATTTAGTGGCCCTGTAAAAAGAGGATGATCTAGTCCTGCCATGCACTCATTTATCTTATTTTCAAGAGGTACATATGGAGTGATTACTACATGCCAGGTACAGGAAAACAACACTGAAAAAGTAGACACAGCTTCTATCCTTGGAAAGCTTATTGTCTAGGAGAGGGAGATAAGTATTAAATGGCTTTTTAAAAATCAATTTTATTTGTCTATTTATTATTTCTAATTGTGGTCAAATACACATAAGTTTTTACCATCTTAACCATTTTTACACGTCCATAGTGGCATTAAGTACATTCACATGGTTGTGCAATCATCACCACCATCCATCTCCAGAGCTCTTTTCAGCTTGCTGAACTGAAACTCCATACCTGTCAAACAAGAACCCCCATCTTCCTGTCTTCACAGCACCTGACAGCCAGCATTCTACTTCCTATCTCTATGAATTTGACTACTCTACATATCTCATACAAGTAGAATCTTCTATTTGTCCTTTTGTCATGAGCTTATTTCACTTAGCATAATGTCTTCAAAGTTAATCCAGGTTGTGCATGTGTCAAAATCCCCTTCCTTTCTAAGGCTAAGTAATATTCTGTTGTATGAATCCACCACATGTTATTTATTCATTTATTTGTTGATGGACACTTGGGTTGCTTCCACCTTCTGGCTATTGTGAATCATGCTGCTATGAACATACAGGTGTTCAAAGGTGTTTGAGTCCCTGATTCTACTTCTTTTGGGTGACAAATCGCTTTTTAAACATGAAAAATAAAAGCACAACTATGAAATGTGAAATGAAAGATCACTGAGCAGTGACGGTAACACAGGGTGCCTTGACCTGATTAGGCAGTGAGAGGCTTATTGGGGTACATTCCTGGAGGAAATGACACTTGAGACAAGGCCAAGATTGGTGTCGCGTGAACCAGGGGAAGGGGAAGAAGCAAGAGCCTTCTAGGTTTCTGCAGGAGCAAGCCAGAGACCTAAAAGAGCACACGACTCAGAACCTCGAGGAATTCTATGTGTGGATGGATCAGGAGGAAGGTTAAGACTCCTTAGGACCCGTGTCTGTGGGCTTTAGGAAAAGTAAAGAGTGCGAATATTTGTAAGTCTCAATTTGCCAGTCTATTTTCATTTCTTTATCTTTGACATTCAAAACAAAATCTTTTTTAAAAAGTGGACCTTGTCCCAGGTTTGCTGTGGAGAGCATTAAGGAAAGCACTTGCAGGGAGACAAGAGCCTCCAAATGAGCAGAGATGGAGACCAGACCAGTGGCAGTCCCACAGGGACCTTGGTGATGGAGGGGTAATGTGGTGCTTGACCTTGATGAAGGGGCCACTGCAGAAGAATCCTGAGGCCCCTGGGGGCCTCTGAGAATAACTTGAGTAGCCCTGGAAAAGCGCCCTCATTTTCCGTCATGGGTGGATAACACTTGGCAAGTTGGTACAGATGCACATTGCATCCCTTTCCAGGTTGATTCATTTATTATAGGGTGAGGTACATGCTTTTGTGGCCAACAGAAGGTGGAATTGCTCACATTCCATAATCTATAGCACTTAATACCAAAGGAAAACATATGTAACAGTTTGCTTCTCTTATTACAAATTTCAAGGCTATCAGTCCATATATTCTAAATAGTGGACATATTCTCTTGGTTCTTAGCCTCAAGCAATTGACTTTTGGACCAATATGTTTTAAAAATCATTGGTTTGCAGCCTTAAAACACTGCCTCAGTAACAAAGCATGAGCCCCTTTGGCTTTGGCCACTGAGAAACTCAGAATCAAATTCAGTGACCATTGGCGGAAATCAGCCCCTCTCAGTTACAGGGGCTTTCTTTGCTTCTGTTTCCTTTCGGTTTCAGCTCTAACTTACAACTAACTCCTCGGATTTACATACATTGTGACGTTTCAAGTACTGTGGAAACAGATCAGGCTCACATAGCAAAATAATTCTTATTATCTGTACTAGTAGAAAATTTCAGCTACTGACACTCATTGGATAGCCTAATATTTTCCCTAAATGTTTCAATTCTTCTCTTTAATTGGAAGCAGAAAATCTTAGCTGAGCCCTGGATGCCTGCAGGATGTAAGTAGGACATTTTTAGTAAAATTGGTATGCTAAGATTATAAACATAGAGAACATTTCTAGATTACCTCAAGAATCACAAAAACCAAGTTAATAGTACACCACCTTATTGATGGGAAAACACGGATCATATTTAAGTTTGGGGCTGTCAGAGGAGTCAACTATAGTGGTAGATCTATGGGTTTAACAGTCATATATGTTCATAGGAATGATGAGCTTAATTTTCTGCTGTTGGTAGTGTGTGTGTGTGTTATAGGTGCACAACATGCTCACACCCACATAATCAGTTATCACTTAATCAATTAACTATTGGGGCAAGCTAGTCAAATTTAGTGGTATGCTGGAAGCAGCAGTAGTGGCAGCTGCATTTTGATCTGTGCATCCTCGCCCAAGGAAAGGAATTTACAGCCAATATTGGTGCATTAAAATCATCAGACACTGTAACATTAGTTGGCTTTGTGGTAACCTTATAAAGGAAAGGCAACCAGCGCTAAAAAGGTTTTTAAAGTATCTATTTGCAGTCCCCCTCCACTTTCTTAACCATTACCTGGTAAAATCCCTTTTTCTGCCGACACTGTTTATCAGATTATGTATCCTATAAAAGTAAAACACTGCCCTTGCCTGGTGAGAATATATTCTGTTCATAATCCTGGTAAGTTTACATAAGTGGATGCATAAACTATGTTCTGCACACTACAAGTGATTTGAATGCATACGGGATGAGGTAAAGAAAGGCTTTGTTTTCCTACTTAACATACTATTGGGAATCTTGGAGTGGAGAGCAATGAAGCAAATTATTACATCCATGAATCTCAGAGAGGTCATGGGGACTCAAGGGAGTGAATCATCTCATTTATTCAGCAGTGCGGAGTTACAAACATCTCGATATCGCGATTGTTCACGTAACTGAAGGTCGTTTCTGTGAATGCCAAAACTTTCAAATTTCTTACCTTTCTGAAATAATTTCTAAAGGTATGCATTGCAGACCTCCTTATCTTCTTAAGTGTTTGCAGACATTTGTGACATTTTAGAAACTTATGATTATTGTTTGGGGTAAATGCCTACTGATATCACTTTTACGTATAGCAGCTGCTTCAGGGGTGGACATGGGCTGCCGTATTTGCCCTGGGGTGCCATTCTCTCCAGTCACAACTGGTGGAACTAGAAATGTGTACCTGAATCAGTCCAATCCGACAAATTTTTTTTTTTTTTTTGAGAATTCAGATTTGAGGTACAAAGACACTTAGGTAAGGAGATGCAAGGTGAAAACTGTGTTAAGTCTTTCAAGGCTGCAGTCACACCAGGGCCAGACAATGCCATATGCAAGCTGAACAGAAAGCACGGGTAAGCAGAAGAGCAGATTATGTAGACAAGAGATGGTGCACAAACAAAGAGGCCGCCTTCAGGCAGGGTAACAGGGCCACGTGACCCAAAACTGAAGGACTTCCGTACAAAGAACTGCCTCTAGGGTTTTGTCTTGTTTTGTTTACCATCAAAGAGAATTGATGAAATTGTCAGGCACTTGGGAACTCCCTGACATCCACTTCATCTGCTACTTTATTTCAGGCTCCTTTCCTTCCCTGAAACTATTCACTGGGTTCCTAACACAGTCCCCACGTTCTCTAACTTGGCCTTTGTGTATGCTTGCTATTCCTTCTGCCTGAAAATTTCTTTTCTTCCTCTTAGCATGTTCCCTGTGTGCAATTCTGCTAATGCTTCAAGACCCAGATAAAATAACATTTTCTTTAACAAGTCTTCCTTGGATCATCAAGCCAAGGGAAACTCTCCCTCTCTTGAAACAATAGCATTCTAGGTCAACCTCTGCCATCATTGCTGCCGCCCTCTATCTGGTATTAGAACAATCCACACACATTCATTTCCTCTGTTAATTCATTACTCTCCTCTGTGAACAAGATCTCTTTCTGATTGTCAATGGACTCTCCAATACTAGTGCCTTGCACAGAACACAGCACAAAGTAGCTGTCCATTAAATTATGTATTTTTTTTAGGAGACAGGGTCTCACTATATTGCCCACACTAGACTCAAACTCCGGGGCTCTGGGGACCCTCCGGCCTCAGCCTCCAAGGTAGCTGGCACTATGGGCTCCTGCCACTATTTCTATTACAATGAATGAAAGAATGAAGATCTAATCAGCTACAAGAATTCAGGATTGGTGTTTTTGATTTATACTAAATCTTGCCATAATTGGATAAAATCATGTGCTCAGATATTCCTTTCTTTCCCACAGCTACCCATCTTTGAAATAAACTATATGTGTTTGTCAAGCCATAGGGGTAACCATTTTCCCTTTAATCTTATAATAAAAAATGAAAAAATCCTAGCATCATCTGATTTTTGAGCTGGAGCTGTCTTGCTGTTTCCAGGGTAATCAAGTGGGTCCCGAAGGAGCTGAACACATGGTTTAGAAGCTCCCCAGGGCTGGGGCTGAGTCCAGAGCAGGAACAGGTCATGACGAAAATCTGTGCTGGGTGACTTAGCAGTTATTTCCCATTGATCATTCAGAGCTCTGTTGATGAAAGGAGCCAAATAAAACACTTTTGAAGTGGTAGCATTGCAAAGAGGGGGTGAAGACTGAATAACTTTGATTTGCCCCGTCTCTTATTTGATTAAAAAAGCTGGAAAGGAGGGAACAGGAAAAAAGGAAAAAAAATAATTATCCCAAGCTCCCGAGCCAATGACGTCCTTGCTCTCCCTGTGCACTAAGTGCAGCAAAGTGCATAGCGAATGCATAAGCAGGAATTTTTAATATGCGTGATATAATTAAGTGGTGTTGGTTCACTGATTTCCTAGCATTATTCTGCACATCTCTCTCAAAGGAGCTATCCCAGTGAAATGAGATTTTAATAAAAAGAAGCTGTATGGTATATTGTTGAACATTCAGGACACTTCTGCCTTTCCCGGTGATGCTGGGCTGAGAACACAATCCTATTTGAAAATATGATGTTTACATACAAATATAATATGCCAGAGCAAAATAATATAATTTCTCCCCACAATCAACTGAACACATGTACTTTATTAAGCTGCCCTTTTGGAGGACGTTTTTTCCCCTAGATGGGCCCTGTTTATTTGTTTAGGTTATTTTCTCCAGCTGTTGCATCGGAGCTTTGTGTAATTACCTTGTGCCCCCAAGGTGAATTGTTCTTGAAAACTTAGCATCAATAATTTAGTTGGTGCTATGGTTTGGATAGAGTTTGTATGGTCCCACCAAGCCTCATGTTGAAATTTATCCCCAGTGTTGGCGATGGGGCCTGGTGGGAGGTGTTTGGATCATGGGGGTAGATCCCTCATGACGGGCTTGGTGCTATCCTCAAGGTAGTGAGTGAGTTCTCAGTCTATTCCCATGAGAGTGTTCCCTCAGTTGCTGGCTGTTAAAATGAGCCTGGCTCCTTTCCTCTCTCTTGCTTCCTCTCTTGTCATGTGATCTATACACACCAGCTTCTCTTTGCCTTCTGCCATGAATGGAAGCAGCCTGAGGCCCTTACCAGAAGCAGATGCTAGCACCATGGTTCTTGTACAGCCTGCAAGCCTGCAAAACAAATCTCTTTTCTTTTCTTTTTTTTTTTTTTTTTTTTTGAGACAATGTCTTGCCCGGTAACCCAGGTTGGAGTGTAGTGGTGTGATCATGGCTCACTGCAGCCTCAACCTTCCAGCCTCAAGTTATCCTCCCACCCCAGCCAACTGAGTAGGTGGGACCACAGGTTTGTGCCATCACACCTGGCTAATTAAAAAAAAAAATTTTTTGTGGAGACAGGGTCTCACTATGTTGCCCAGGATGGTCTTGAGCTCCTGGGCTCAAGCAACCCTCCCACCTTGGTCCCTAAAAGCACTGGGATTACAGGTGCAAGCGACCACGCCCAGCTAAACCTCTTTTTTTGATAAATTACCCATCCTCAAGTAATCTCTTATAGTAACATAAATGGACTAAGACAGCTGGATTCAGGGTAGTTCCCCGCAGCCTGCTCTTTGATGCTTGCAAATCTCCATGGATGCAGTTTTCACAAATTTAACTCACATACACTGCTATTGAAACCAATCTTATTCATTTGACATTAATATGGATCCTTACAGTGAGGCAGATATCAGAATGATTTTCAATTTCCACTCTCTTCCTTTCCTGACTAAAGGCCAAGACTAGAAATTCCTTGGCTGTAAGGGTGTAAGCTGTTGCTAGTCTCCTTGTTAAGTAACACTGTGCAGTGTAATGCTGGTCTTTGAATAGCTCAGCAGTCTTTATAGATGTTACGTAGATTGATGCTCACCTAGATATTGGAGAGGGGCAAAAAAGCCAAATATCTTTCTGTTAAGCGAAAGTGCACTTGCTCCTCCCTCCAGCAGCCTCACCAAGTTATGGAGGCCTTTGATGCATCAACTTCCATACGCCCAGCCCTCCCCATCCTAAACCAAGTCAAGAAACTCTGTGTATCTCTCTCTCTCTGTCTCTCTCTCTCTCTCTCTCTCTCACTCTGTGTGGGTGTGTATTGAGAGAGAGATCGTAAAGACAAAGAGAGTGAATGACGTTTTTGCTTGAGAGCTCCAAAACAAGGAGGTTAGGTCACTGGTAAATTCTTACAAGCCATAAGCCATGTAGACTACTAGAAAGAGCTCAGAGCCTGGAGATTTGAATTTTAGTCCTTTTCTGTTTTCAATGCATTTAACTGTCAGGATTTTCCTTTACCTCTTTTTTACCTGTCCATGGGAATAAAGAGAGGATTTTTGTTGTTGTTATATATGGATGTGCTGGGTAGTAACAGGGAAAAGCTGGTTTAGGGAGAAAGAATACCTTCAGAGTGTGCTAAGCAGGGAAGTGGAAGCTTGGGGGGTGAGAGGGAGCACATCGGCAAGCACAGAGAGTGGGGCTAGGGGAGACACAGGAGACAAGAAGAATGAGGGTGGACTCTGACGAGGGTGGAAACTGAAGCCAAGCAATGCTGAGTGATGAAAGAACACTGCCCAATATGTGTAGTAGAT
Source organism: Homo sapiens (assembly GCF_000001405.40). NCBI lineage: Eukaryota > Metazoa > Chordata > Mammalia > Primates > Hominidae > Homo > Homo sapiens. The sequence goes on along the minus strand of NC_000001.11, from coordinate 221,905,189 downwards.
TTCAAAATGGAATTGTTGGTCCTACCATGGAATTGTACATCCTTCCCTTGGGTTATGAATCTCCTTCTGAATGACTATTGTATTGGAGATGCTCCCGTCTCAGATCCCTAAAGCCTGATAGGATCTAGAACCAGACCAAAGAGGGAGTGGAGCAGGGAGCTGTGATTAGAGCTAGTCAGGCCCCCTGGACTTGATAGTAGCTGTCTCTACTCACAGTGCAGGGAACAGCTAATGGGAGAGGATGATGGACATCCCAGCACAATTCCCAACATGTCTCATTGAGTGCATGAGTGAGGGATTTCACGTAACGAGATTCAGGGTAGGGCTCCAGCTGTCAGAAGTGGCTGAGGGTGATGGTGGCCAAAACACCAAGGCAGGCTCAGTGTTTGGAGGTGAGTGGTGAATATTAGAAATCAAGACCCAGGCAGAAATATAGTCTAGAAACTAGAGCCCCAGAGAGGCTTGAAGGTGTGATTTGAAGAAATATAGTAGGTGAGTTTATTTAAATATTTTAGTATTATTATTATTGTGTTTATCATCTAAATCTCCCCACTAGAATATAAGTGCCACAAAGGCAGGGTTTTTTTGTGTGTTGTTAATTGCTATATTCCCAGTGACGGTGGTGGTGGGCCGTTTGGAGTGGCCACTGCCATTGCACCAGCTGCAGCAGGGAGGTGTGGGTGGTGGTGGCAGGAGTGACTGCAGGGGCAGAAATGACAGCAGTAGGTCCACTGTGCCCTGCATCCCTGAGGCAGCCAACTGTGCCACCTGCTAGCAGGGGAGCAGTGTGATTGGGCATGAAGGGGTGGGCAGAAAAGGGCCCAGCAAGGACCTAGAGCCCCCCTTCAGGCTATGAGGAAGTGTGGCCAGAGTGCACACTCCACAGAGCAGGTGGGACCCCTGCCCTCTCAGGTGCAGGACCCAGGCGTTCACTGCACTCTGCACCCTCGGGGACTGAGGAAGGCCCCCTCACTTGCCCAACAGACTCAGGGGTGTCTGCCTCCACTTCTTGGCCTCTCCCAGCTCCCAGCACCTGCTCTGATCTTGGAGCAGGGTTGGAGTTGAGCCTGGGTGCTGTCACAGCCTGGCCAGATATGCACACACGTGGGGCAGCACTGACACACCAGCCCCCAGTCGCCTTGGTCCCCTCCAGACTTTGGGTGCTAACAAGCTCAGTGGGGAAGCTGAGGGGGTGCTGACGGCAGCTCATCACTGGGCTGCAGGTGCCCCTTGGTACAAACAGCCTGGGCACCATGGGTGGTGGCAGGAGGCAGAGAGGCTCCTGGGCAGAAGGGGGAGGGTCCTCAGTGAGTCCCCACCTTCAGGCCACGGAGGGCCTGAAGGTTGGGGGCTGGGCTGCCAGTCCCACGGACCAGAGTGGGAACTTGTGGTGCCTTTTCTGGGCCCACCCATGGCTGCCTATTGACCAATCGGCACTCACTTCCTCCCCACTGAGGCCCATAAAAGCCCCGGTTGAGCCAGAACTCGACAGAGGACAGGAAGACCAGCTGCAGAGAGGAGCCACCTTCTCTGCTAGGAGCTGAACACCTGATGGGACATCCTGGCTGCAGAAAGGAGCTGCCCCATGTGGGTCTTCTCTGAGCTGTTCTATCACTCAATAAAGCTCCTTTTCATCGTGCTCACCCTCCTCTGTCTGCGTACCTCATTCTTCCTGGTCATAAGACAAGAATCTGGGACCTGCAGAATGGTGAGGCTAAAAGAGCTGTAACCCAAACAGGGCTGAAACATGCTCCTTGCTCACCACATTGAAGGTGAGGAGAAGGGGAGATGAGCTGTGGCCCTTCAGGAAGCCCAGACCTGGGAGCTCCCCGAGCCAGGGCTGTGACTCCCTCATTGGGGCCCTGTGGTTCCTGGCATCTCCAAGCTTCCAGGTGTCACTGCATTCCCCAGAGTCAGCCAAGGAAGCTGCTTGCAGTGCACCTGGTCTAGCCACAGCCTCACAGAGAGCCGGTGCTCATGCCGGCACCTGGAGCTGCCTGCCCCCAGCAGCAGCCAGCATGTCTGACTGTGCAGTGGCCAGACCCCACAGTTGCTCATACACCCCTCGCTGCTCCATGCCTGACTTGCAGTCTCCCTTGGAGGCATGGGATCCAAGCTGGTAGCATGAGCTAAGCACAGCCTGCCAGGCCAAGTAGGTGGAATGAGCCCAGTGGGCCCGAGCAAAACGTGGGCAAAGGTACCATTGACCACAGGTTTCCGGCCAGAAAAGCAGCACCCCAAAGATCCCATAATACCAATACATGGAATGTGCCTGGCACCTAGGAGGTCCTCTATAAATATTTGTTGAATAACTGAATCCAGATTGTCCTGGGAGATGGGCATGGGTGTGTGGTATGTGGCAGGGGGGTGTCTGAGTGTTTTCATGAAGAACCATGGGCCTCTGTGGTGTGGGGTCCCTCAGTGGCTGGCACGCCATGTTGGGGTCATTCACACAACATTTTCAGCCATGGCGTTACCCTTCATTAAATCAGTATCATTGGCCAGACGGAGGGTTGATGCATGGTCACTGTGGCTTACAGACAGGCCTTTGAATCAGTAACTGCTAAGCAAAAGCAGCCAAAATTCAGGTTAGAGGTCAAAGGAGTAATTTAGGGCCAAAAAGTTTTCATTTTAGTTTGCTTCCAGTTTTCTATCAGTGAGTAACATGGTAGCTTAACGTCAATAACCAGGAGGGAGAAGGGAGAGATGTAACTACAGCCTGGTGGATTTCCACTCTGGATAATCTGCTTCTTAAATAGACCAGGAGATGAATGTGACGTACCCAGTTCCATTTTGTCTGTCTCCTGTTTAAGAGTGGGCGAAGGGTACTCATAGGGACAGCTTTGGGGCTAAGCTAATTAATTTTCTACGTTCCAAAATCTTAAGACTCAAAAAGACCTTAGCAGACACTTAAGAGGAGGGTGGTTGCAGGAACCCTGGACCTAGACCCTGTCCTGACTCTTATTCCTAATCTACCCTGGGAGAGATCAGCTAAACTTGCCAGTCCTCCATTTTGTTGTCTTTAGAGTGGGGATAACTAGTTTCTCTTACAGTTTGTTGTGAGGATCAGAGAGGACAACTCCTGTGGAATTCTTATGGGATTGTGAAGGATTATCAATACTTATACATCCCAAGTTGAATTAATCAGCAGCAAATGTATTTAAATCAATATTTTTCTGGCTTTAGTATTGGGACTATGTATGCATGTGATGTAGATGAAGTAAACCCCCAAACTCTTTCACCTGAAACATTCAGATAATTGCATTATTAGCATTATTACTTGGTAGTGGGGTGAGGAAGGGGGAGGCGGTTTCGTGGACTGTATGTAGCCCCAGTGTGAGTACTGTATTCTGAGGCAGTGTCATGGATTCCTGAGGGAGGTCGGGGAATTGTTCCTGGCCATCTCTTAAAGTTAGAATAACAGTGACTGTCACCTTCACAATATCAGTAATTGTTATTTCTATTTACTATTAAAGGCACTTTATGACTTTATTTTTAGTTTTGAGACAGGGTCTTGCTGTGTCAGCCAGGCTGGAGTACCGTGGTACAATCATGGCTCACTGCAGCCTCAGCCTCCCAGGCTCAAGCCATCCTCCTCTCTTGGCCTCCTGGCCTGCCTTGACCTACCAATGAGTGCCACCACACCTGGCTAGTTTTTAACTTTTTTGTAGCGATGAGGTCTCACTGTGTTGCCCAGGTGGGTCTCAAACTTCTGGTCTCAACTCATCTTCCTGCCTCAGCCTCCCAAAGTGCTGGGATTGGGTATGAGCCACTGTGCTTGGCCCAGCACTTTATTATTTATTTATTTATTTATTTGAGATGGAGTTTCACTCTTGTTGCCCAGGCTGGAGTGCAATGGCTTGATCTAGGCTCACCACAACCTCCACCTCCTCGGTTCAAGCGATTCTCCTGCCTCAGCCTCCCGAGTAGCTGGGATTACAGGCGTACACCACCACACCCTAATTTTGTATTTTTAGTAGAGACGGGGTTTCTCCCTGTTGGTCAGGCTGGTCTCAAACTCCTCACCTCAAGTGATCCACCTGCCTCGGCCTCCCAAAGTGCTGGGATTACAGGTGTGAACCACCGTGCCCGGCCCAACACTTTATTTTTTAAAGCAAAACTTACACCCTGAAGTTACTCTGGTAGATTCCCCAGAGAGAGCTTTTCTCCTTACTGTGCAGCGAGACTCCCAAGCGACCATGGAGCTCCCGCTTAATAGAAATCCACTTAATAGAGGCCCACAGTGATCAATTTATGAATGATCACCAACTCACCCTCCTCACACAAGAGGTTGGGCATGTCTCTGCTCCCAGCTGTTCTGCTGTGGCTATGAGCTGGAGTTCCCCACTCCTCCTGTGTCACACTATTTTTAAAGTTGTTGCTATTTTGGATAAGACTGTTGATATTTTCTTAGAAAAGTTACCATTTTTTTTTTCTTTCCTTAAATAAGGAAATACAGTACTCACAGTAGGGGTACATACTGTCCACAAAACCACCTCCCCTTTCCTCACTCCACTATCAAGTAATAATGCTAATAATGCAATTATCTGAATGTTTCAGGTGAAAGAGTTTGGTGGCATAATTTCTTTCCTTAAATAAGTGCCATTTAATTACAGTCAGGGTCCAGAACTTTCCCCAGGGTAACCTCTCCCTGAGAGTCACAAAGGAAATCAGTGGATAAACAAGATTTGTTTCTGTACCGTCCAAATGCCCCGAAGATGGATTCTTGCGTCTTTTCTAATCTCTGTCCTGTGGCACATATTTAAAACCTAAATCTCTCCCTCTGCTTTCCTGTCACACACAAACATGTATGATCTCATGGCAAGTTTTAGAGACAGGACAGGTATAGTCATAACCACTGGACACATGAGGGAACTGAGTCTCTAAGTGTCGAATGAACTTTTCCAAGTTACACAGCTAGTAAGCAAAGTGGGGGATTGAACTTCAGGTGTTACGGTTTGGTGGTGGTCATTGTGGCCTTTGCAGTGTGTATTTTGACTGCACCACATGATATCAGGAGGTGGCATAGCTAAGAAGTTACAACTGCAGGAATCTGGAGATGGCCTAGTTGTGACTTAGGGCATGTAATCAATCTCTCTGCCTCAGTTTCCTCACCTGTATGTGAGGATAATAATAGTCTAAAACAGGACACAACATGTAAAATGCCTAAAACAGGATAGAACACATTTAAAGCATGTAGCAATTATTAGTATTTCAATGTTTTCTCAATCTTTTCTCCCATTTAAATGTCTTTACTTTTAAATTAAATTTTTTATTTTATTTCATTTATATCTATTAAAGTTTTGATTTTGATTTTCTAAATTGTAATGGATTCATATGGATTGAAAATCCAAATTACCAAAATGTATACTCTGCAAATTTCCTCTTTTACTCCTGTTTTCTATCCTCCTAGCCTCAAAGCAGCAGCGACTGTTACTAATTTCTTTTTGTGTGTCCACCCAGGGATTTTCTTTGTATATACGCAGGGAAATATGAATTCTTATTCTCCGGACCCACAGACTTTTACATGAACTGTAGCATACTCTACATGTGGTTTTTTGTCTTTATTTTCTTTCTTAATACTAATCTTGAAGTTGTTTACATAGCCATATATGTAGAACTTTCTCATTCTTTTAAGTTTAATTTTACAACTACATTGTGTTCCATTGTATGAATGGAGTATAATTTAACCAGTGCCTTCCTGATGGACAGTTACGCTATGCCAAATCTTTTACTATAACATACTGTGATGTAATTAATGAATTTGCATGTGTCATGTTGCATGAGTGTATCTGTAAGACAAATTAAGTGTCATTTTATTCAATGGCTGTGTTTACTTCTAATTTTGTTAGAAACCATTAACCAAATTGCCTTCTATAAGATTATATTAATTTATACTCCTGCCCACAATGAATAGAAGTACAAGAGTGGCTGTTCCCCACAGCTTCATCAACGCAGGGACAATTACGTATATTAGAATTTTAAATTAAATTAGGAAAACGTATCTTGAATGGTGAGTTTTCTTAAAAACAAGGTTGAATACTCATTGTCATCTGTTTTTCTGTCACTAGGGAATGTTTTAAATGCCTTACATATACTTTACGTATGCTTTACATATACAAAGTGCTTACATGTTCCTTATATTTATTCCTAGAAACTTTACGACTTTTTGTTGCTAATGTAAATGGAATCTTCCATTATTTTCTCTAATTTGTTGGTGTTTGCATATACGAAAGCCATTGATTTCTACATATTAATTTTGTCCTCTGTAACCTCACTGACTTCTCTCATGTGTATAATGCTTTTTCAGTTGAATCTCTTAGAATTTTTAGATATAGAGTTACGCCTGAAAATAGTGATAATTTTACTTTCATCTTTCTATGTTTTACCCTTGTCTTGTGTACTTTCATTGACTAGTAATTTGTTTTTATTCCTGCATTAAAGGAAATATTCTAGTATTTTCCATTAAGCATGATGCTGGCCATTGGGCTCCCGCTCTGCCTCCTGCTCTATATAAATACACACACACACACACACACACACACACTCATGTACATACATGTATACACACACACATTTTTCTGACACACGTGTATATGTATATGTCTTTTTCTGTTCCTATCTTGATGACTTTTACCAATTCAATTTTTTGTGTAGTGTTGAATATCTTTTCTGCATCTGAGATGATCATTTGGCTGTTCTCTTTAAATCTATGCTTATGGTAACTTTTATTAAAATATTTCCTAATTTTAAACTATCCTGGAACAAATTCCACTTGGTCATAGTATATGATCCTTTAATGTGGTACTTATTTCAGTTGGTGGTATTGTTAATATTGATGATTTTTGTATCAAATTAATAGTTATCACTTTTTGTGTACTGTTGGTTTTTGTTGTCAATGTTATGCTCAATTCTTTTAACGAATTTGGAAAGTTTAAAATTTATGTCAAATTTATTTACATAGAATTGAACAGGTAACTCTTTTGTGATTCCTTCATTTTCATCAGTTTCTGCAATTATTTCCCACATACTAATTTTGTATTCTGTTTTTATGAGCTAATTTTTTTCTTGATTAAGCAATCTATTGATAACTAGTTTTTGATTTTTGCTTTTTTTGGTATGTTTATTTTTTTCTAAGATCCAGCTTTTGGATTTATTTCTTGGTTCTGCTATCTCATTAATTTCTGCTTTTATCTTTATTAATTCCTCCCTTCTGTTTCCCTTCAGGGTATTTGTTTGTTCTTTTTCTAACTTCTTACGTTGAAGATGACATTTATTTTCATTCTTGCTTGCTTTCTTATATATTTAAAGGTAACATTTTATAATTTAAGGGTATACATTACATTTTACACAATTTAAGGATAAGAACATCCTCACTTTGAATGCATAGCATGTTACACCAAACGTCTGTTCCCTGACCCTTTTCTCCTTAGCATCTTCTGCAGTGCCTGTCATGGTAACAGGCACACGTACATTCTCAATAATTATATGAATTGATAAACACACAGTAAACAGATCCATGACAGAGGTGCTCCCTCTCCTTGCCCTTCTGCCCTGCAATACAAGTGTTGTTGCATCATATTTATTAGTATGCCCATGGGCTTTTGCGTTAGCAGAGGCATGAGAGTGCTTTAGCCAAAATGATTCCCTCCTTGGCCAAGAGTCCTGAAGATTTGCTGCTTGATTTTTGCAAGGGAAATATATTTTGATAAATGATTTGAGTTGGCACCAGTGATTCCAGAGTCGTTGCTTAAGGCTACAGGGTTTAGATCCATCTGCAGATATGTGCAATCAAAACCACAGTGTGTGTTTACACAGGATCTATTTTGGTCCTTAGACAGACTATGTCTTTTGCTCTCTTATTCCAGAGAGGCAGTAGGAATAACATCAGGGACACAGGAAAAAACTGAAATTCAAAATTTCTTGCCGAAAGTTTTTTATCTTCTGTCAGTGATGGAAAGGACCAAGTTGTGTGTAATCTGTAATCTTTTCCACATTGAATGCTTTCATTTTAAATAATGTGTGTATCTATGCATGTGTTTGTGTATGTATGTATGTGTGTGTAAAATCACCTCTGAGCATAATTTACATAAAATTCACCAATTTTCAGTGTACAATTCAATGAGATTTGACAACTACATACAGTTATGTCAGTGCCATGAGTATCATGGTGCAAAACATTTCCATCACCCCAAAGAGATCTGTTATGAACTTTGGAATCATACAATTCCCCATACCCTGGCAACCATTGAAACATCTTCCTTCTATCACTAAGGTTTGACTTTTGCAAAGAATCCCATATAAATGGAATCATATAGTATGGAACATTTTGTGGCTCTCTTCTTTCACTTGGCATAATTTTTTCGAGACTCATCCATGTTGTTGTATCTATCAGTAGTTTATTTTCATTTTTATTGCTAAGAAGTATTCCATTCTATGGAGATACCAGTTTATATAAACATTCACCAGTTGATGCATATTTGGAATCTTTATAGTTCTTGGAATTAAAAATAAAGCTACTATATAAATTCACATTAGAATCTTTTTGTGGACATATGTTTTAATTACTCTTGGGTAAATGTCTAGAAGTAGAGCTGTGGATCATATGTGTACATTAACGTCACAAAAAAATTATTTTCTAAAGTGGCTGTACCATTTTATGTTACCACTGGCAAACAAAGTGTGTTCCAGTTCTTCTACATCCTCAACAATACTTAATATTTGCCTTTCTAGTGGGAATAAAATGGTATCTCCTTGTGGATTTAATTTGCCTTTCTTTAATAAATAATGGTGATGGGGATCTTTTTACATGCTTGCCGTTTGTATATCTTCCTTGGTGTAGTATGTCTTCAAATCTTTTGCCAATTTTTAAATTGGGTTGTTTGCCATATTATTATTGAATTGTAGGAATCCTTTTACATTCTGGGTATAAGCTTTTAATTAGATACATGTTTTGCAAATGTTTTCTCAATCTGTACCTTGCCTTTTCATTTCATTTTGTGTCTTTTAAAAAGCAAAAGATTTTGATTTTGACACAGTTCAATCTATGAATGTTTTATAGTGTACACTTTATGTATTTTATTTATGAAGTCTTTGACCAACCTAAGTACATGAAAATTTTCTCCTCTATTTTCTTCTAGAGTTTATATAGTTTCAACTTTATATTTAGGTTGTGATCCATTTTGAGTTAATTTTTGTATATTTTTGAGGTAAGGGTTAAGGTTCATCACTTCCATGTGTGGATATTTTAATTGTTCCAGCATCATTTGTTATAAAGAATATCCATTTGCACCCCTGTTGAAAATCAATAATTATATGTGTTGAATTTGTTTTGATTGCATAAATAATTATGTTGTCTACAATAGAGATACATTTTCTTCTTTATAATCTTTATGTTTTTATTTATTTTTCTTGCCATATTAAACTGGCCAGGACTTCCAATACAAAGTTGCATTTTGTTGACATCAGACGTTCTTGGCTTATTCCTAAATGTAAGGGGGAAACCTTCTTAACAAAGAATGAATTTGTTGTAAAACAATCACTACAGTGAAGCTAACTAACATATTAATTACCTTATCTAGATACTTTGTGTGTGTGTGTGTAGAACACTTGAGATCTACTCTCTCAGAAAATTTCGAGAGCGCAATACATTATTCTTAACCATAGTCACTCATGTCTTTTCTTATAAGTGTGCTAATCCCATCATGAGGGCTACTTCCTCATGGCCTAATCACCTCGCAAAGGCCCCCATCTTCTAATACCATCATATTTGAGATTAGCATTTCAACATATGAATTTTGGGGAAACACAACTAGTCCATAGCCCTTCCTGCCAATGTGGTGAGAGGTAGCTTCAAAGCTAAAATAGCTTTTCCCAAACATGCCTCAGCCTTGGTTTTCCTTTTACTTTATATTTTTCTTTAAATAATTTCAACTTTCATTTTAGATTCAGAGTCTACATGTGCAGGTTTATTACATGAGTAAATTGCATGATGCAGAGGTTTGGGGTACCATTGATCACATCACCCAGGTAGTGAGCATAGTACCCAATAGTAATTCAGGCCCTGCTCCATTCCCTCCCTTCTCTCTCTAATAGTCCCCAGAGTCTGTTGTTGACATCTTTATGTCCATGAGTTTCCATTGTTCGGCTCCCGCTTATAAACGAGAACATGTGGTATTTGGTTTTCTGTTCCTGCATTCATTTGCTTAGGATAATGGCCTCCACCTGTACCCATGCTGCTGCAAAGGACATGATTTGCTTCTTTTTATGGCTGCACAGTATTCCATGGTGTATATGTACCACATTTTCTTTATGCAGTCCACCACTGATGGACACCTAGATTGATTCCATGTCTTTGCTATGGTGAATAGTGCTTGCAATGTACACATAAGTGCATATGTGTTTTTGGTAGAATGATTTTTTTTTCTCTTGGATATATAGCCAGTAATGTGATTGCTGGGTTGAATGGTAGCTCTGTTTTAAGTTCTTTCAGAAATCTCCAAGTTGCTTTCCACGGTAGCTAAACTAGTTTATATTCTACCAACAGTGTACAAGCATTCTCTTTTCTTCTTAGTCCTGCCAGCATCTGTTGTTTTTGACTTTTTAATCATAGCCATTCTGACTGATATGAGATGAAATCTCATTGTGGATTTAATTTGTATTTCTCTGGTAAGTGATGTTGAACATGTTTTCATATGCTTCTTGGCCACTTGTGTGTTTTCTTTTGAAAAATGTCTGTTCATGTCTTTTGCCCACTTTTAAATTTTTTTTTTTGTTCTTTATAGATTCTGAATATTAGGTCTTTGTTGGATGCATAGTTTGTGAATACTTTCTCCCATTCCGTAGGTTGTCTGTTTACTCTGTTACTTCCTTTTGCTGTGCAGAATCTCCTTAATGTAATTAGTTCTCAGTTGTCAATTTTTGTTTTTGCTACAATTGCTTTTGAGGACTTAGCCATACATTATTTCCCAAGATTAATGCCCAGAATGGTGTTTTCTAGGTTTTCTTCTAGGATGCTTATAGTTTGAGGTCTTATATTTAAGTCTTTAATCCATCTGGAGTTAATTTTTATATATGATGAAAGGTAGGGGTCGAGTTTTATTCTTCTGCCTATGGCTAGCCAGCTGTCATAGAACCATTTATTGAATAGGGGAGTCCTTTCCTCATTGCTTATTTTTGCTGATGTCATCAAAGATCAGGCAAAGGTGTGCTGCAGGTATGCAACTTTATTTCTGGGTTCTCTATTCTGTTCCATTGGTCTATGTGTTTTTTGTTTGTTTGTTTTGTTGTTTTTGCTTTTTTGAGATGGAGTCTCACTCTGTTGCCCAGGCTGGAGTGCAGCGGCACCATCTCGGCTCACTGTAAGCTCCATCCCCTGGGTTCAAGCGATTCTCCTGCCTCAGCCTCCCCAGTAGCTGGGATTACAAGTGCCCACCATAACGCCTGGCTAATTTTTGTGTTTTTAGTGGAGATGGGGTTTCATCACATTGGCGGGGCTGGTCTCGAACTCCTGACCTCAAGCGATCTGCCCACCTTGGCCTCCCAAAGTGCTGGGATTAAAGGTGTGAGCCACCGCACCCAGCCTATAAGTTTGTTTTTGTACCAGTACCATGCTGTTTGGGTTATTATAGTCTTATAGGTTGAAATCAGATAATGTGATGCCTCCGGCTTTGTGTTTGTATAGGATTGCTTTGGCTATTTGGGCTCTTTTTCGGTTCCATATGAATTTTAGAATAGTTTTTTTTTTTTCTAATTCTGTGGAAAATGCCATTGGTAGTTTGACAGGAATAGCATTGAATCTGTAGATTGCTTTAGACAGTATAGCCATTTAATGATACTGATTCTTCCAATCCATGAGCATGGAATATTTTTCCATTTGTTCATGTCACGTATGATTTCTTTCATCAGTGTTTTGTAGTTCTCCTTGTGGAGATCTTTCACCTCCTTGGTTAGATGTATTCCTAGGTATTTTAATTTTTTGTGGGTATTGTAAATGGGATTGTGTCCTTGACTTGGCTCTCAACTTGGACATTATTGGTGTATAGAAATGCTACTGATTTTTGTACATTGATGTGTATCCTGAAACCTTCCTAAAGTTTATCAGTTCTAGGAGCCTTTTGGTGGTGTCTTTGGGGTTTTCTAGGTATAGAATCATATCAGCTGTGAAGAGAGAGAGTTTGACTCCCTGAAGAGGCATCCCTATTTGGATGCCTTTTATTTCTTTCTCTTGCCTGATTGGCCTGGCTAGCACTTCTAAATACTATGTTGAATAGGAGTGGTGAGAGTGGACATCTGTGTCTTGCTTCAGTTCTCAAGAGAAATACTTTCAGCTTTTCCCATTCAGTATAATGTTGGCTGTAGGTTTGCCATAGACAGCTCTGATTATTTTGAGGTATGCTCCTTCAATGCCTAGTTTGTTGAGGGGATTTCCTTTTAGAAAACTCAGAAACAGGTCCTGAGGCTGAAATCTTTGTCCCAGAGGTTCCCCCCACCCCACCCCTTCCTAATATCTTGTGACCCAAAGCTTCCTCACAGCTGGAACTAATGCTGCTATAAATGCCTAACTTCTGAGGCAGTTTAGATATAAAGAAATAATTTCACAGAAGTTACTAATGTGGAGGTTGTCACACTCAAGCTGAGAAGTCTCACACAACTGGAAATGTGTAGCTGATTCCCAGAGGCTTTGATACTGTTTGGGGCAGTCTCTAAGGCTAACCAGACCATTTGGATGTGCAGGATAAAATACCTCCTAGCTTAATAGAATGGACAGAACCTTGTTAGACTTCAGCAGGAATTTGGTCCTTCAACATGAGGAGCTTTCTCAGTTGGGCAGTGTGATGGTTAATTAGGAAGGCAGAGGTAATTACGGAGCTGACTTATTGGAATAGCAGCTGCTAAATGACAGATTTCTTGTTCATCAAGCATCCTGAAGGTGGTGTCTTGGTATTTAGCTTCTTCTTATGTGGATAAACAGAGACTAATATCTGGGGACACTACCTTGCCCACAATCTTGTTCCATCCTTTTTGGGATCTTATTTAATGTACAATGTTCAGTGGTTTAAGGTGAGAGCAGATCCATTCACTGGGCCTCATATACTTGAAGTTGTATGATTGTCAAACTTTCTGTCTGCTGGCAAGGCAGAGAGGGATAAGAGAAAGCTGATGAAAATATCATAATTCTGATTCAATTAGTCAGTCAGCCTGGTCAACAGAAAGATGCCTACAGATTTTAATTGGCCTCGGGGGAGGAGAACAGAATGTTCTAAGATGTCCTTGTTCACCCTGATATTGCATTATCTGGGCCACAGGGCAGCTGCAATCTTTCCCCCAGGGCTCAGGATGTCTGCCTAGAAATAAACTTCAAATTTAGTGTTAACCTTTTTACCACCATGTTGCTTCAAAACAGATATTCTTCAGTGGAGTTAGCTTTAGAGATGTAAAATCTGTCCCATTTCTAAGTAGGTCAATATTATTCCTAGAATACTAACCCCAGAGGACACTGATGTTGGGGGATGAGCAGTTCTATCTAAGCAGGGGGGTCAGAAATTTGGGTCTGTGTTCTCCTGCTAATTTCACCCATAATTCCAGAAACCAGTGCTTTCACTTCTCCATGCCTTGGAATCTCTGTCAATGAAACAGGAATGGCTGTGCTCTCTTGAAAAAATAATCTGCTTTGAAGTCATAAAATCCAAAGTACCAACCCTCACTTGTTCTAGGGGATGAAGGTGAAAAGGTTTCGTGATCAAATGACACTGTCATATTTTAAGAGCTTCTTTTCTACGTACATTTTCAAATCATGAAATTCATATGCTGTGTTAGGGTAAGCTAAGTTTTGCTGTGGCAATAAACTCCCAAATCCCAAAGGCTATTCCTCACTTTCCGAACAGTCTGATGCAGGTCAGGCTGCTCTCCTTGGTGGCTACCCTTCAACAGTGATGAGACATTTAGGCTGTTTCTATCTTGCACCTTTGCTGTTTCAGAGTTCTTTGTTTCCAGGCATAGTGGCAAGAGAGAGGGCATGTATGGAACTCACCACCCTTCTTTCCTACCTCAGACAGAAAGTGCCAAGCATTACTTTACTCACACACCTGCCTGTGAACCAGAGTTAGTCACATAACCCCATCATAAATACAAGGGAGGCTGAGAAGCATGAGGGAGCTTGTGGAATATTTGGGGAGTGCTGGTGTTTGTGCTACATATTCTAGGAGTGTTATTATTGTTTTATGTCCAACCCAGGCAAGGATTCAAAATGAAGAAACATTTATTCAACAAACTTACCAAGTACTACCAACTAGAGATATAAAGATAAATGAGACCCAGGTCCAGCCCAAATAATTCATAGCTGGGAGATGGGCATGGGGAAAGATGCAAACAAGGAAATTATTGGGAAATTCATAATTGCTTAGAGGTAAAAATGAAATGTGTGGGAAGACAGAGTAGGTAAGGCTCTACAAAAGAACTGACTTGAAAGATGGTCCTTAGGTTCTGGAAGGAGGACTAGGAGTTTACCAGATGGTGATGTTGGGGTGGATGGATTCCATAAGAAGGAAAAAGGAGCTTAGGGTCAGACTTCCTTTGTTTTCAAAGTCAACATGGGAGGCCCCTGCAGTCCACTGCACTAGGCCTGTGCTTCTTAAAAAAAAGTAAAAGTGAGTAGATGCTGAAGCCTCAATTTTACAGTTTCCAAATGAATAGTAAGAATAAAAAGGCTTGAAAAAGAAAGTAGATAAAATAAAGTCTTTGGAAACAGTAAGAGAAAGGCCTCGCAAATCATTCCCTGCCAGGCTGGCTCAGTAAAATTTTGGGTGGCACAAGTGGCCCTATCTGCTATCAAATTCAATTATTTTGCCAGCAAAGCTCTAAGAATGGTGATAGCTGCTTTTGCTGGAGGGTTTCTCTTATTCATTATTTACAACCCCATCATCCTGGAAAACTGATATTTTGGCCTAAAAAATTAGGATCCAAGGCCAAAAACATTATTTCCAGAAAATGACAGGACATATAGTAAAAACTTCTGGATGGTACAAGCTCCCCAAGGGCTTGGATGTCCACTTTTTGATATGGGGCCTTCTAGAAAAGGTTATTGGCCATAATACCTTACATTTGCATGGTATTTGAAAGATTGCAAAGCATTTTTAAGTATCCATTAAGTGAGTTAATTAAAAAAAAAAGAGAGACCAGTATTGAGAAGGGCATGGGAAACTGGTAGTTTTTTGCATTATTAGGAGAATAATGCATTATTAGGAGAATTGCTGCCCCCTTTTTGGAGAACATTTTGGCAATGCCTACTTTTTAACCTAGCAATCACACTTCTAGGATTTATCCTTGAACTATGTTTGCACTAAATCAAAAGCCCAACATGAGTTCATTTGCAGTATTTGAAATTTAAAAAGGTAGGGAGAAAACTTACTATCTATGAAGTGGGAATATCCAAATAATTCATTATGTACTAGAACTATAAAATGCTATACATCTTGAAAAATGAGAAAAATCTGATGCCTTGACATGGAAAGATGTCCATGAGGCTGCTTAATAAAAGTTCCAAGCACATGTGTGTGTGTGCTTGGCTTGCCCAAGCCCTGCACCTCCTAAATGACAGCACCGGATTCAAATCTAAATAATCTCAATTTAGGTCCTGGATGCTTTGCACTTTATTTCACTTCCAGCACCCATGGGGTAGGATCTGGACATGAATGAGACTTCCTACCAACCAGCTCCAGGAAGTTGGGAAAAAATAGAAAAATCCCGTGGAAATAACTCTTGGTTAAGAAGAATAAGATTTGGGCTTCAAGCTCTGCTCTTTCACTGTCAGCTGTGTGACATGCCACAATCTCTTTGCCTCTCTGGAAACCACCATTCTTCACCTTCCTCATCCCTACCTCCTCCACTTCCCTCTGTGCTGTTCTATATGGGGGAGCTGGAGCCACAGGTGGTTCCTGAACCCTTGAAATGTGTCCAGGATGACTGAAAATCTGAAAGTTTAATTTGATTTTCATTTGAATGAATTTAAAGTTTATTTAGCCACATAGGGCTATTGGGATGGTTCTGGGTAGTACAGGGCAGAGTGATTCTTAGGAGACACCCCAGCAACCCGAGAATCATTACATAACAGGGAAGAGTTATTTGATCACACTGTGTGAAGGCAGATTTTTTAAACGTTGGTTGAGAAGCACTATGTGCAACATAAAGTTAAAACTATTCAGTGTGGCAATCACCAAGATGCCACATTTCTAGACCGGTTCCAGCCATACCAACATATTCATCAGGCTCCTAAGCCCATCCTCCTTCTCACACTGTTCCCTCTGCGTTAAATGCTGGCTCCCATCCTCCTTCTCACACTGTTCCCTCTGCGTTAAATGCTGGCTCCCATCCTCCTTACCTGGATCCTACCCATCCTTCCAGGCACAGGTGAAGGTACCTTGTTGGTGAAACCCTCTTTGACCTCCACATTCACTCTTCAACTCGCCAGTGAGGTGAATCACCCTCTCCCAGCATGGGTTACATTCACCTCATTACAGCACGGTTGTGGATCCAGGTCTAACATGGAGACAGACAGTGTAACGCGGCATGCGGAATTCTCTGATGGAGACAGATCCAGGGTGCTCTGGAGACCCAGAGAAGGGGCTCGTCAAGCTAGGTTCGAGGGAGTGGGTTCTCAGAAAAACAGATGTGAAGACAGAATGTGTGCAAGAACATTTTGTTAGGGGAAACACCTGTGAGATAAAATAGCCCAGGAGCGTGGAGAGGCTGAAAGGGCCATCAGACCACATCACAAACGCATGATGGATTTTAGAGCCCCGTCTGCGCTGAGTTAATTATGGTCCCTGATGTTGCTCCCCGATGTCGGAGATCTGAGAAGTGCAATTATAGCCGCCACAGAGGGTGATGCTCTAAGTAGAAATACCTGTGAAATCACTTTGTGTGTGATTAAGCCTCTACAAATAACCGTTGTTTTTATCGTAGACCTCTAGGAACAATTATAATAGTAACATCAGGGGAATGCCTCAGAGTTAGCTAGAAGGCCAGCAGATGGAAATTAACCAATTAAACTACAGATGTTGTTGGTGAAATGGTGTAAAATATGGTAACTTTAATTTTGCTATCAAAAACTCGATCTTGCTGAATTTAGTTCTTGGATTTGGTGACTGGTGAGGTTGTGGAAATGCCTTTTCTTCCAGGTATTTAAGATTGAGAACAATCAAGTAACAAGTGTTAAGTATCCACATGTGCTTCTCAGAGAGTGCCATGAGGAATTAGAACTATAAGGGAAGCGAGTGCTTTTGAGGAATGTATTATGCTCTTGGAGAGATGAGACCAGTGTTTATAAACAACAGAAACATCAACAAACAATACTAGGTAGGTACAGCTTTGTAATCTGAAGAGATTATCCTGTTCAGGACAAAGGAAATAGAATCTTATTCTTGATGAGGAATCAGCCAGAACCCACCCTAAGACTCTGCTATATCACATCTCTATTCAGGGTTAAGTAATTGACCCACTCCAGAAATGACGAAAACAAAATAAAGGTGAGAGTGAAGTCAGTGAGATGAAATGAATGGAAATCTGAAATGAAAATGTTATCATTAGGTGGCTGAGTAGGATCTTCCTTGGGGTTCTGGAAGCAAAGCTCCACCTGTCACTTGAGCTTCTCAAATAAACTTATGTTTCACGCTGAGTTCCTGAGCCACTGATCTGAGCATTACTCACTCTGTCCCTCATGTTTCCCAGGTGAGAGGTAGTTTCTATGCTCTCCCAACCATAGATGCGGCTAATCAACAGGCCCCATCTCCAGCCCCAGCCTCAGATTCCCTTTTTGGGCAGAGGGAGGCTTGGGCTGAGTCATCCCAGGGATAAACGCTGTAGTCACTCTAGGGAGGTGTCCCCGGCTGCCCCTGCTGGAGGGCAAACAAGTGAGTAACCCAGCCAGTGTCACATGGTCCTGGAATGGGGCTGGCTTGTGCCTCTGCCAGGTCCATGGCAATGAAGGAGTTTGCTCACAACACACACACACACCCTGACCCCTCTCTTGAGCGGGAGTGAAAGTCTGTGTGGGGGCGAGAGGTGTTGTAGATTTAACAACTGAACGTGCATAAGGAAAGCTTATGACCCAGTGGACAGGCAATGGATGCTGATCTAAGAGAATTCCTAGAGAAGAAAGTTCCTAGAGGAACGCTGCCTAGGAAACTCCCCCCAACCCACCCCTTCCCACATATTTCCTGGCCCTTGTCAACACACCTCCTGTGGCCGACAGGAGATGCCAGCAGCTTGCTCACCCAGGACAGAGAAGGAGAGACAGACAGAGCAATCCTTAAGATGCAGGATGATGCAAAGGCTAAAAGCCACAGTCAGAATCCAAGTCAGGAACTCAGGTGGCCAAAATTCTTCCCCTTGGGATGAGTCAGAGTGGCTAAAGTTTTGGGGAGCTGCACAGCAGATGTAGCCTCCTGTGTGCAATCTTACCCCAAGGGAATTTTATTTCAGGCCCCTTGTACTAACAATGGTGAGATATGGATATTTGTCGTAGGCTTTAGAATATTCCTTCAACTTGATCTTCCATGTCACTACTTTGAGTCTCAAATATGTATGTGAATCTCCTAAATTCTCATATTCTTTTTATTCCTCCCTCCTTCCCTCTCTTTCACACCCCCTTCTCCCCCTTTTTCTCTCCCCCTCTCTTTCCCTACCCCTTTTCCAAATTGACATCAGTCCCATTCGTTCAGGCACTCCATTTCTTTAGGGTCATCATTTTAGGTGGTCTGCTTGTTCTTTCTCCCTCTGTCTACTCCACCTTCAGTGCACTGCTATTCTTCTTGGTCTGTTTAGGAGCTTGGGTCCAGGATGTGGGGTTGTCTAAGCAACAGCCCATCAGCAGTTGGTAGAAGGTGTGGAGGTTGCCTGTCTCAGTGGTCTGTGTGTAGAAGCATGCAGGTTGCCAGCTCCAATAGTAAGCCATTCTGTTGCCTAATGTTAGCTATAAAGGCTAATGCTCTCCCAATCTTGGGGGTAGGGAGAACACTACCAGTAGCTTCTGAATCTGAGAATGGTGATCAATTCTAATAACTTGTGTATGTGTGAACTTTGACTTTCTGAACTCTCTCCTTTCTTTAGCCAATTTTTTTCAGCATTTTTTGTGTGCAAGACACTCCTATCTATTCTTGTAACAGCCTAGCAACATAGACCAATGCAGGGAATACTCTGCTCATTTTACAGTTGGGCAGACTGAGCTCTAGGCAGTTAATTACCTAGATTCTTGGTAATGGAATATAATTTACAGATTTGATCTTTTGGTCCATCACCACCAGAGACTCTTCTAGAACAGGTAAGATATACAAAAGTTTATATATAACAAGGTGCATATATATATACATATGCATATATATGAAGATATATGTATATATATGTATATAAACTAGCACAGGGAATTCTGGTTTAGGTGCTAGAAAACCTGGGTTTCAAATTCAACTCAGCCCTAACTAATTCTAGGGCCTAACAATCATCTCATTTATGTGAGCATCAGCTTCGCAAAAAATAAAGTGATCAACTTAGATAATTCCCAGAGTGTCTCTAAACTCCATCTTTTCAAAAGTTAAAATTCCTAGAACTAAGAAAGTGGTTTCAGAATGAAGGTTCTGGGCCTCTCCATCTGGCCTGACTGTGGTATGACTTGGAGCACTCTCCTGCATAGCTTCTGGCTGATAGTCCTGGTAAAGTAGCAGGACTATTTTTCCAGGTTGATCTCTCCAGGTAGATACAACAGAAACATCCTGAAGTGTCCTAAATTGAGCATGTCCATGGGTCCCCAAATTTCCCACAAAACCTCTTCCCTGGCCTACAGAAGATCTTCTAGAGTGAAGAGGTCTTTTGGCATTGTGCTTGATGTTTTTACTACCTGGGATGTTGAGTTACTAGTGTTCCATGACTTGATGTTCACCTACCTGAGCAGGTCACTCGTTAGCACTCATTAGAACATTGACACAGATCAATTAATGAAATTGGTGCAACGCCACCTATTTAAGTGAATACTTTTTCAGAGGAAATTGGACTCAAATAGTGGAGTGAAGAGGAAAAAGGCTAGAGGGGGGTGTGTAAAGAGACTCCGGCAAGCTCCGTGGAGTGGGGTGGCTAAAGATAATGTGGGCCAGAAGAAAGGCTTCACTGCACTCATGCTGCCTGCAGGAGTTTGGATTGTGTCCAAGCAGATCAGTTTCAGTAGTGGCTAAAATCTTGGGCCTGGAGGAGATTCTTGGAAATTTCTTAGCTCAGTGCTCTTGTCCTAGACAAGAAGTTGCCTGTGTCATCTAGAAGAGAAAATTATGTTATCTGTCACTTATTGAATGTCTGCTATGTGCCAGATATTATTTCTAAACCTCACAAGTATCCTGAAAAATAGGTATAATGTATTTGTTTTATGTGAGAACCACAGGATCAGGGGGCGATACTTTCCCAAAGCCACTCAGCAGGGGTGAAGGTTTCTCAGACCTTGAAGTTGGTGTCTTTTCTGCTCTGCCAGAAGCCCATGGGTAGCCATATTAGCCTTACAGACTTCCAAGGAATGGTGGTAATGTTTCCCACTGACTCTTCAGACAGCCAGTAATACTGATATCAAGGAAGAAACTCGCACTAGATTGAAAGCTCCTCCTACCCCACACAAGTTATTCCTTTTTTTAAATTACGTCCACAGTAAAGATAAAGCCCAACTGATTAGCATTCTTTCTGTGATTCCACTTCAAAAAGATATTCTTCTAGGTCCTCGTTTTGTGGACATAGACCTTTGGCTTTAATTGATGGTAATTATGTTTCTGGTGCTGTTGTTGAACTGTGGGTTCTTGGGTGAATCTGGACAATGACAGTGAGTGGTCTCTCTTGGTGAAAGTCCAGCCCACCCATGGAGGCTCACCAGCGCCTCTACATTGTCTCCCCAATCTCTTCTGTCTCACATGCTGTTTCGTACATATTTATTATAAGGCTTGCAATACTTTACTTTGTACCATATGTGATGATTTATTTTGTGTCAATTTAAGTGGGCCATGAAGTACTCAGATTAAGCATTGTCTCTTGGTGCGTCTGTGAGGATGTGTCTAGATGAGATTTGTATTTCAATGAAAACATTTAGTAAAGTAGATGGATTTCCCAATGTGGCTGGGCATCGTGCAATTTGTTATGGACTTAAGTAGAACAAAAGGTAGATGGAAGAGGAATTCACCCCTTTTATTCCTGCCTCTGTGTTTGAGCTGGGACATTTCATATCCTCTTCTTTCACCGTGAGACTGTGATTTACATCATTGGCTCTCCTGGTCCTCAGGCCTTCTAAGACTGAATTACATCACCAGCTTTCCTGGGTCTCCAGCTTGCAGATGGCACACTGTGGGACTTCTTAGCCTGCAGAATCATGTAAGCCAATTCCCTACGTGCGTGTGTGTGTGTGTGTGTGTGTGTGTGTGTGTGTGTGTGTCCTCTTGGTTCTGTTCCTCTGGAGAATCCTAATACATATAGTAATTTATCTACTAGACTAATTGCCATTATTAGGTAGAGAATGAGTCTTCCTAATGTAACAAGGTAATTTGCAGCAAGATTAATGGTCTGTGTTGTTCTTGCTGATGTATGTTTTCCCCGCTTTACATTCTAAGAAGAGACCCAAACCTTTGTATGCATTGTCTTGACTGAGTAGTTATTAGTGGCTTTTGTGGTAGAGGGCCCAAAGCAGATGTTGCCAGACTCCCAGAAGATGACCTCTAAGGAGTTTTCTGACAGCAAATCTCATCTGTACAAATTAGAGGAAAATTTTTCAGAGCACAGGGGATCTAACATTTGAAATGAATAGAATATTCTTGCATGAGAAGGGAAGTGCTTTTCTTGAGAAGAGGTAGGGTTCTATAGTTTCTGTTAAGTAGTGGGACCTAGCACCTGGCTTCCATAAGAGATCCTGAAGGGAGGTCAGGCTCTCAGATGGAAATGGTTTCTTGGTCACTTTGGGAGGTTGGTCACTATCTGAGCAGACATTCCTGTTCCCTAATTTGGCAGATGACAGCAGAGCTATTCACCTTCAAAGGACAATAAGCAGGTCATCAATAACCAGTGTGGACTAAAGGCCAAAGGCCCTTTCTAGAAACCTGGACTAGGTAAGGCCTCCAAGATTCTTACATGGCTCTAAAAGAAAAAACAGCCTTCCTAAACATGTCATGGTAAACATTATGCTTTTGCAGTTACCTTGACCAGTGAGAGTTTAAAAGCAGATTGAATTTTTCTTAAAACAAATAAGAGTTTTACTCTACCTTAGATGAGAGTAATAAAGTACAGTGTCATATCTAACACCCTCATCTTCCCTTATCCTACCTTGACCACCATACTGACTCTCTGGTTCATAATGGCTGCTTAATATATCTTTTGGGTTACTGTTTCAGGGATCCCAAGACCAACTTGAGTTCCATGATTCACTAGAAGGACTCATTATATTCACAGCTAAGGTTTATTATAGGAGCAGGAGAAGGATATGCATTGGGTAGAGTCTACAGAGGTCAGACATAGGCTTCTGAATCCTTGACCATGTGGGGCTACACAAAACATGCTTTTTCTCTAGAAATAAATTACAGGTGCATGTGCAGAGTGTCTCTGTCTAGGGAAGTCCATTCTAGTTTCAGGGACTGAGGCTTTTAGTGGGGGCTGGTCATGTAGGCACATACTTGTATGTGACCAGTCATAGTAATCAAAACTCAGGACCCAATGTGAAACCAGGTCCATCATAAATCTTGGTAAACAACAATGACAAATCTTGACACGTACAGCATGCCCCCTTCTCCAGGCATACACAATATGAAAACGCCAGGGGCTAGCCAAGTGTGAATCATGATTCTAGGCCCTCTAGGGACATGCAATGACTGAGCACCCAGCTCTTCTATGTTAATTCTTTCCTCATAGTTTCATAGTAAACATGTGAAATTTATAAAGATATATAAAGAGAATTATAAAATCACCAAATATTTAAATACCACAATCTCACTAGCTGTCTTTCTGTTCGAGGTCATTTTACATGCACAAACACATACACACATATACAATTTTTAAAATTACTTCATTGCATACCGATTAACCTTAGAGAACAACAAAGTTTCATTGAGATGTGTTGCTGACATCAAACATGCCACCTCAGTCCCTAGGGGACCCTCACAGCTGTATTTATTACCCTCCCAAGTGTGTTCTTGGAACTTTATACTTTTATCCTACATCTTAGCACTTTGCATAATCAGTGCCCACATATTGATGCTTCCCCTTATCCAGAAGGGGAGTTTCTTGACTACCTAGACTACATATTACTCGTAGATATAATCTCAGTGCCTGGCCTATGACCTGAGAGCTACTGGATAGTCAACAAATGATTTTCAAATGAATGAATGAGTGAATGAATAAATTTTTGTCTGCCAACTTCCAACCTCCAATTAAGATTCCTTCCTCAGTAAAATGTCTTCTACCTATTATGCTACCTTTGCTTTTCAACCAGAACTGAATATTACATATAAAATCTCCAGGCTTTACTGCAGTGTTATGTTGAAGTCTTCTCCCAGGCATTTTACAGTTGGTAGGAGAGATACTATATCTTTGCATAGCATTAGGTCGGGAAGATTTAGTCTCAGCCACCTTTTCACATGCCTGGAATGTGATAAGTCTGCATAAAATTCAGACCCCAATTTCAAGCATAGTTCCCCACGACCCTATCTCCCCCACATTTTATCCTCACTTCAGTGGGCAGGTGATGGCAAGGGTTTTGATACTTCCCTTCTCCCCACCCCATTTTTTATTTTTTTTGACTTTGGCTTTTTAAAACTTTGACTGTTTTCTAACATTCCTTTTTCCTGTTTCCTGTTTCCTGTTTTTCCTGTTTCCTATAATGTAAATATTTTTTATTTTTCAGTGAAGCACCCATTGATTGCCCCTTACTCTAGGGATTTACAGCTTTGTGCTTGTCGTGGCCACTGCTCCCAAAGTGACTATAATCCGGAGGATCCCCACGACCCTTCAGAGCAGGCAAGACACCAGCACCAGAAACTCTGAAAACCTAAAAGTCAAGAACAATGCTTTTGCATTTTCCTGTCCCTTCTAAAATTTCATTTTTAAGTGGTGAGATCTCTTTAAGAAGAGGTTTCAAAAATAATGTAAAAAGTATTGCTTGCAAGATTTGAAAATAAGCCAATTCAACAAATCCAAAATAAAAAGCTAAAAAAAAGAACAAGTTTATTTTCTGTTCATTTGGCATGAGGGGGAGATAAGGCAATATACTTTTAGTCTCAGAGTATCATGAACTTGGCCCTATTTCATAGGCCCTGACTAAAATATATTCAAAGTATGCTTACAATTCGCCCCTAAATTTCAAGGCAGAATAGAACAGTCTGTGGGTCTATTTTCATTTTTTAAATTTTTTTTTGAAAAAAAAGAAGAAAGGACAACAGATAATAGAATCCATATTAACTTAAGAAGTTTATTTTGTAAATATATCTCCCCACCATCACCATCTCACCACACCCAAACCCCTAATATATTCCAACACATTGCATTCAAATCTCAGCCTTTCTAAACCAAGACCAGTTTTAATTGGGTAAACATATTTCTTTTTATTTTATCCAACATATAACCTTTCCTAAATGAAGATTCTTTACACATAATGATCTCATATTTTTTTCTGTCTAAATCTTGGACTTCCAAGAAATAGAATCACAAAGACTCCTCTTGCCTATTTTAACCTGCTCAATATACAGATATCCAGTGGAGTGGATCATAGTAGCCTTTCTTGCCAGAAAACTGCCTGAGTCATTATCATTTTATTATTTATGAAAAATTTACTTTGTGTCCAGCACGGGCTGGAGGCAGCATAATGGAGTAGGTGGATGGGCATTTGAATCCCACAGATCTGGGTTTGTGTTCCAGTTTTGCAATTTACTAGTATTTTTAAAGTTGGCCAAGATACTTAGTTTCTATGAGCTCCAGCCTCTTTCTTTGTAAAATGGATACAATAATAATAATTTTACCAATTGAGGTAAGAATTAAAATAAGAAAATGTATGTAAACCTCTTAGCCCAGTTCCTGGTTCCACTAAGATTTAGTCAATAATTGTTATTACTATGATAAGGATGAAATGAATTTCAAGGGATGATGTATGATTCCCACTTTGAAAACACTATTCTTATCTCATTCAGGAGTTGAGACCAACATTCACAAAGCATGAAGAACACTAAAGGATAATACTGAAACAAATGCTAAGTTATTTAATTTGGTCTGTATGGATTAAAAGGTTTGTTAATAGGATTGGGGACTCAAGCATACCAATACTGAAGATTTTTGTGGACATGAAATACACAATTAGGCTAATTACATTAATTAAAAATAAACTTATTATAAACTACAAATTAAATACAAAAAGCTTTCATGTATTTTTTATTCTAGTTTGTGTATTTCTGAATTCTTGGACAGCTAACAAAAGCATGATAGCTTTATAGGGGGATGTTATTGTAAACAATCAGGGTGTTTCCCTGACTGGTGAAAGCTCACTGCATATTTTGAGGTTACGTGTTGGTTAGTGCTGAGGGCATTGGCAGGTTGATGGACTAAAAAGTTGCTTTTTTGAACAGTTTTCTTGCTGGTCTAAGTCAGTGTTACGCTGTTGGTCATAGCTTCCAAGGAAGGATCACAGAGAAGAGGCAAAAGTGCAAGCCAGCCTGCAACCCGTAATCAAGACACATTCCTAAATTCAGGCTCTCTTTTCAAAGTGAATTTTTGTTGGGTGAGGATTCAGGGAACATATTCATCAAATGCTCCAAGCACAATGTCACCCTCCCCATAATTTTAGAGTAAACAAAACCTCAATGAGTGGCAGGTATGAAATATTGTAGACAGGGTCAAGACCATTTCAGAGGCTCTCGCAGCCCCTCATGTACTCACCACAATAAAAGGAGTTGTGGCTGGCCCCTGCCTGACAGGGAGGTCACTGCCTTGAGACACGGGACCAAAGTTCAGGACAAGACTTAGTGATTGCAGCATGGTCAGGCACACAAGCTCTGCTCCCCTATCAGGCTTCGACTTGGACTTCAGTGGAGGGCTAAGCTGCTCTCCATCCCCCTACCCTATTATCTGACTATGAATTGGAACATAGATATTCACTGTCTCTGGGAAGAAATTTAGAGTTAGAGACTTTTGGGTTAGGAGACATCTTAAAGATGATCCAATCCAAGAAACTTTCTGAAGCTTGAGTTCCTTCTGTTCCATCTTCCCAAGCAGTTGATCAGCCTTTGTGTGAGAACAGCTGCTCATGGGAAACAGATGCTTCTCCAGAGGCAGACATTTCTATCTCAGGATTATTCTTGTAGATATTGATTCACTTTCAGATTAGAAAGTTCTTGGAGAGTGACTGTGCCCTATTTACCTTTGTCAGCCCAACATCTAGTATAGAATCTGGCACATAGTAAGTGCTTATTGAATGATAATAGCTAACAGTTATTGTGTGCTTAGTATATGCCAAACCCTATACCAATAGCCATCCCTGCATTGACTCATTTAATTCTCAAAATAGCCCTTTGTGATAAGTATTATTTTTAATCTCTATTTTAACAGAATTGAACGAAAAGAGACTCAGAGACTAAACGAATTGCCTAAGATCACATGCTAGCTAATGACAATGTAGGGATTTAATGCAAGTGTGTAGCTTTGAGCTTGCCTGCTTAATTGCTATTTTAGATAGATGAAAAAAATAAATTAATAAATGAGAAAAATCAGCACACTTGTAATTTCTGCCATTGATCTTTAGTTTCTCTTTGTGGCTAGCTGAGTCAAATTCTTCTTCTATATGACATGAGTCATGTTTAAAGACAGCCTCTGGTTATCTTTCCCTTCTTCCCTTTTTCAGGCTACACATCATTGTTCATATGTTCCTCATATGAATGGTTTCAGGTACCTTCATCCTCCAAATACCTTATATGGACTCAATAAATCAATTTCCTTAAAAGTATTTTTTGGCTATTAATATTGCATCTTTTACTGGGGTAATAAAGTTCTGCCCTGATTACCTCCAGCACAAATGCCTGGCTTCTCTGCAGATGCTGTAGTAATGAGCCCCAATGCCCTCCTTCACCTCATGGCCCTGGACCCAGAGTTCTGTCTGGTCAGCATGGATTCTCATAGACAATTACATCTCTAATAACTCTCATATACTTTGTATACTCTCCATGGTGCATTTATATGTAGGTATGTGTATTTATATGTATTAGATGCTAATAAGATATAGATAGATATATCAGTGTATAATTGATATCTCTCTCTCTCTCTCTCTCTATATATATATATATATATATATAGCCCAACATCTCTCTGTCTCTCTCTCTCTCTCTATATATATATATATATGGATAACTCTAATAAGATAACTATATATATACTTATTATATATTATAATATATCTTATTAGAGTTATCTTATTACAGCCTCTCCTAAGGTAGGTGGATGTAAACACCCTAACTCATGCTACATGACTTACAATGGAGACACAACCAATCCATGACAGATCAGGAGCCTGAATGAGGACTGGCTCCCAGTTTCTGGCCCCTTGTTTAGGGCTCTTTCTGTTGCACCACACAGCTTTGTAATCTAGATGTCTAGAAAGCTACTTTCCACTCTTAGCCCTGCAGCCTACTCAGTTACTGATTTAACATGAAGGGACTCAGAGCTAAGTTATAAATAAGACTCATGTTGGCCCCAGGAAGGAAGGAAGGAAGGAGATAAAGTGGTCTGCCAAACTGCCATTCCTCACGAGACCCCAGCCAGCACACCGCATCTTAACAGCCCCTGGTTTCTCAGGGTAGAGCTCTTCTTTCCCTTGCCCTCCTCTCTTCTTTCCTAATGGGTGCTGCAGTCAGGTACTTTTATATTTATATGGATGCATTTCTATTACTTTTGTATTTACACTGATGCATCTATACTACCACATCTTTCTCATGCCGCCTAAATCTCCTATGAAGCTAAAAGGAGAAAGATGTCTGGAGAAAGCATGCTCTGCATATCCACAGCAGAGGCAAACATTTCAGTGAGCATTCACCAGTCAGGGAAATACCCTGATTGTTTACAATAACATCCCCCTATAAAGCTATCATCCATACAGCAGGCCCTGCAAGCTTCCATGCCGACAGAGTGGGTTAATGAATGGAGCAGTCCAGGTGTAAGCAATGGATGGAGGAAGGTGGGGACTGTGCCACATTGAAAGATTCATGTCCCATCCCAGAGGCAGCTGTTCACTCCAGCTAGGTGTTTCTGCCAGACCTTCTGACTTGTCAAAAGCAGCCAGAAATCTAGGTTTCATAGAAAATTTCCCAAATGTTAAATGTCTGTCATGAATTCAATTAAACACAATAAATGCACCATGTGAGACGTGTGAGTCTCCCAGCTCTCAGTCTGTAGCCTCTGCAATACAGAGACTCTTACTGACACAACAGAGGCTGCTATTCCATTGTACAGATGAGGAACTAAAGCCACAAGAGTTTAAGTGTGTTGCCCACTGGCACAATTGGTACGTGGCAGAACCAGGTTTTGTCTCACTGGAGATCCCAGCTCTTTCCACCAGGTTGTATTGATTCCCTCACAAAGAAGGGCATCAGAGGCCGGGCGCGGTGGCTCACACCTGTAATCCCAGCACTTTGGGAGGTCGAGGTGGGTGGATTGCAAGGTTAGGAGATCGAGACCATCCTGGCCAACATGGTGAACCCCCATCTGTACTACAAATACAAAAATTAGCTGGGCATGCTAGTGCGTGCCTGTAATCCCAGGTACTCAGTAGGCTGAGGCAAGAGAATCCCTTGAACCAGGGAGTCGGAGGTTGCAGCGAGTCGATGTCACGCCACTGCACTCAAGCCTGGTGACAGAGGGAGACTCAGTCTCAAAAAAAAAAAAAAAAAAAAGGAGGGCATTGGAACAAGACACTCAACAAACCAAATGAGGTCTTGACACACGAGTCCTAAAAATAAGCGACATGTCCACAAGTAACTGCCTCCCAGAAATGCCTTGTTTTGGTTGGGCCTTGGCGTCCTCATTTGCTAAGCAAGGCAGCAGGACTATAGAATGGCAAAGACTTTTAGAACCAGATAGCAAGTCTTGGAGCAGAGGCTTTGCCTACTTTGTGAGGTACAGTGTCCCTGGAACCCAGCACAGTGTGTGGTATATAAAAGACCCTCAGAAAATACTTCCTGTCTGAATGACAATTTTATAAAATACATTATAAAGTACCCCCAATGTTGAAAAGAGGTTCATCCATTCCTTCATTTAAATCACAGGGAGGTACTGAGTACCCTATATGGATGTAGTAATGTTCTGTTGGCTCCATGAAACTGCTTAAATGAATCATACCTATGTAAAGAGGAGAATAATAATAAGAGCTAAGCTTTGCGATGCTTATTTTGCATAACCCAGTACTATTCCAAGCAGGTTGCATACAGTAATTTAGTTAATCCTTATAATAC
This sequence comes from Homo sapiens, assembly GCF_000001405.40. Lineage (NCBI taxonomy): Eukaryota > Metazoa > Chordata > Mammalia > Primates > Hominidae > Homo > Homo sapiens. The sequence continues at coordinate 221,875,703 of NC_000001.11, read as the reverse complement.
CCTATTGAAGTAGGTGTGATTCCTATCCCCATTTTATAGAGGAGAAGGCTGAGGTGAACAGAAGTTAAGAAATGAATGTAAGGTCACATAGCTATAGTAGTTTAGCAGAGCTGGATTTTAACCTAGACTGTCTCACTCCAGAGTCCACACTCCTAACCAAGTGCTACACACTAGTCAAGAAAGAAATGGTATTTATTAAATCCTCTGTGCACCAGGTACTGACCTAGCTAGGCTCATCTGTAAAACAGTAGCTATTTATTCCTTATAATAATCCAGTAGGTTAATACTTTTATCCTCATCTTCTTATCAAACAATATAAGCAACTTACTCAGAGTCACCGAGCTAGCAAACTGTAATAAGAGCTGGAAATGATGGCAGAGCATTTCCAGAAAAAAAAGAAAAAAAAAAAAGCCGGGGGCAGGGAGGGGGACAGCAGAGGAGAGGGGCAAGGGCAGGGAGAGTTTCAGGAGCGAGATGGTGCTTCCAGATGGGAGAGAGAAAAGCCCGTTCTCTGCTCCCATTGTCACCTTCAGCTTCCTGTGGCCTCGGCCCATGGGCAGGGTCATTGTTGAAGGCTTGACCCTCTCTCTGTGGCCCAGAGGGCAGCAGTGGCCAGTTCTGTGTCCTGCACCTCAAGCCCCTTACTTGTTTGTGCTTCTAGTAGATTATCTGGGTCAGATTCAACATGGCTTATCAAAGGCTCATTTCAGAATTATCTGGCATTTCAGTGACAACACTGATGAGCTTGAATTCCTAACACAAGGGTGGATTTTCTGTGAGATACACTTCCATAGAACTTGAGGACTGCTGCTTCCTCAAGGGGGAGGAGGCGCCACAGGAGTCTGGTCTTTGAAGTCCTGCTGACTGCAGGTTTGGGGCAGAGAGGAAATGGAGTTCACCATCTTTGTGGCAGAGGAGCACATGGCCCAGGAGCCTGGCCTGGGCTTGTGCAGTCTTCGGTGTGGATGGTAAGTGGCAGTGGCAGGGCTGTCTCTCAGAATTAAGCTGTGTGAGTGCCCCAGAGGCTGTGGCTTAGGATGGGGTGCCCTTGGTCAATAAATGAAACAGAAAGCATTGCTCTCTGTGTCCCTCTGACGCTCTGACTTGGTTGATTTTTCCAGAAACAAATCCAAACTACTACCAAAACCTACATGCAAATGGTTATCTCAATCCTAATACTAAATGCAAAAGTCATTTTGTCTAAATACTGACCAGATGTGTGACAAACTTATTTTAATGAAGGGCCTTGTGACTCACAAAGCAATAATGCATGGGTTCTGCTGTTTTAAATTACCTTTTGATGGTTTGAAAAATCCATGAGTTGTTCTAGTGGGAAGCCCACAGTGGAACATTGGAATCTCAGTTCATGGTATGATTTTTCAGACAGAGCTCTCCTGCCCTTGGAGACCACCACTCAGGGGCTTAGCAAGGCGACACTCTGCCCTACATTCTGTCCTTTTTTTTTTTCTTTTTCTTTTTCTTTTTTTTTTTTGCAGTCCTCCTCATGTCCTATGCTTTCTGTCCACTCTTCCTACCACGAAACTGGTCCAGGCCTTGTCCTCGTGTACCTGCACCCTCAGGTTAACCTCCTAACGAGATTCCCTGCTCTCCATTTCACTGTCACTCCAAGAACTGCTGCCACACAGCTCCTCCCTGCCTGCCTTCCTACCCTGTCTATGTCCTTCCATTCTGCCTTCCTGTTTCTTGTTTTTATTTTTCTTTCTTCCTGATGGATGCCCCAAACTCTGTGCCAGTTATTCTGTGGGGGTTTTCAAAATGAAGAAGAGTGAGTTTCTGCGTCCAAAAGGCTTACAGAGAAAAGGGGAAGAAGGACATGTAAACCACTAAGTGTGATGTAAACGCTGAAAATTCTGCTATATGCCAGAAATGTATACAAGGTTAAGGTGGCAAACTCAAAGAAGAGAGTGGCTAGTTATATTTAGGGCAGATGGTCATGAGAGACTTTATGGTGGAGGTAGTATTTGAGTTGAGTCTTTACAAAGCTATATGGGTAAGAGAGAAGACAGAAAAGGACATTCCATGCGGAGGAGGGCCTGAGATTTATAGGGACTTTTCACCTAACAGGACTTGAGGATAAGATGGTGAGAGATAGGACCAGAGAGTCAGAACAGGGCTAGATGATGTAGGATCTTATATGACATACTAAAGGCCTTTAGGCTTAGGCCTCAGGTGCCAGAAAAGGATTTTATGAGGGGAAAGTATATGTCAGTTTTTATTTTGATAGATTACTACACCTGTAGGTTGGAAGGTACCTGAAAAGAATAAGGCGGACAGTGGATTTAAGACTATTAGTCCTGTACCCCAGTGGTCCATGTGAGAAATGACCAAGTCCTGAGTTAAGAAGGTAGCTGTGGATTTCGAGAGAAGGGACTGGATAAGGGAGGTGAAGAAAAGCAGAATCAGGCCAGGCGTGGTGGCTCATGCCTATAATCCCAGCATTTTGGGAGGTCGAGGTGGGCGGATCACCTGAGGTCAGGAGTTCAAGACCAGCCTGGTCAACATGGGGAAACCCCGTCTCTACTAAAAATACAAAAATTAGCCAGGCATGGTGGTGCAAGCCTGTAGTCCCAGCTACTCGGGAGGCTGAGGCAGGAAAATTGCTTGACCCCAGGAGGCAGAGGTCGCAGTGAGCCAAGATCACGCCACTGCACTCCTGCCTGGGTGACAGAGCAAGACTCTGTCTCCAAAAAAACAAAACAAAACAAAACAAAACAAAACACCAGAATCAACAGAACCCAGGCTGTGATTGGCATTAATACATAAAACAAAGAAAAGAGAGGAACTGAGGTCAACTTCAAGGTTTCTGGTTTAATAAATGCCACCAGCATCCACTCAGCCATGGGAGGTAAACAAACAAGAGAGGAAAAACAGATTGAAGGAAAGAGAGTCATGGATGGATAGAACCCGAGGGCCTCAGCAGACACTGAGGCAGACATGTCCAGCAGGCAATTAGCAAAACAGAAAAGATACTCTGGTGAGCTCTGACCTCTAGCCATAGATTGAGAATCCTGGTTCAAAAGTTGTGTTGAAACAAGGAGAGTGATTGAGATCCCCAATGAAGAGCATAAAGAAAAGGTGAAAAGGGCCAAAGAAAACCTAAGGAATGCCACCCTTTAAAGAGGCAGTAGAGAAAGAGAAATCTGCAAATAAGACTGGGAGGAAAACCCAGAATGAACTCTGGCATGCAAGCAAACAGTGAGTTTTAATAATAATTGATGAAATGATCAAAAAAAGTCACAAAACTGAGAAATCATGGAAAATGAAGGCAGATTTTTTTACACCCTCTGCTCTTATCATTTTCAAAGTTCTTAGAACACTTAGAACATCAGTCAAGGTCAATTATGATTGATACCGATTATATTGCCCAAAAGTATTCTTCAGTTTTTTCTTAGGCTGTTTTTCACAATGGTGCCTGACTCTTGGGGTCCTTACTCACCCTCCTCTCTTCTGATGAAATCCCAGTCTTCTTTCAAAGTCCACTCAAAAATTATCTTTCTTGAAGTCACCCATGACTGAAACGTCTCCCCATCAGATCTTCAGTGACTCTTTTCAGAAATTGCCATTAGGCAAAGAACTGCCAGGATCTTTACTAGCAATGGTAGTTCTTCCTCCCAAAAATGTGGAAAGGCTTTGAGATAAAAGCACTTATCTTTACACCTGCAATGACTAGGACAAGAAAATGTCACTGCCAGCAGTTGATGCTTCACCAGCGTGTTGTAATATATGATGTGCATTTTACATGTGGACTCTCATTTAAATTCTTAAAACATATCCGTTAGGTCAGATAACATCATCTCACTTTGCACTGGAGGAAACCAAGTTCAGATAGGATATATACCATTGAATGACAAGAGGTTAATAAATATTGATGATGATAAAGAAAAATTATTTCTCAGCAGCAAGTACTAAAACTTTGTAACTGAGAAGATGTATTCCTTTTCTATTGCTGCTATAAAAAAATTATTGGACTGGGTGTGGTGGCTCACGCCTGTAATCCCAGCACTTTAGGAGGCTGAGGTGGGTGGATCACGTGAGGTCAGGAGATCAAGACCAGCCTGGCCAACATGGTGAAACCCCATCTCCACTAAAAATACAAAAAATTGGCCAGGAATGGTGATGTGTGCCTGTAGTCCCAGCTACTCCAGAGGCTGAGGCAGGAGAATTGCTTGAACCCTGGAGGTGGAGGTTGCAGTGAGCCGAGTTCACACCACTGCGCTCCAGCCTGGGCAACAAGAGCGAAACTCCAGCTCAAAAAAAAATATATATATATATATTAGTGCAGACGCGGTGGTTTAAAACATGTATGGTAGATACACCTGACAGCAATCAGTTAACTTAGGCATCCCCTGTATGGCAGGCACACCTGTTGGATGACAGACACACCTGATAGCAATAACTTAAGAAATGAGGGTTGCCACGTGGAGGTGGCCAGGGGAGGGTGCTAACTGAAAGTGCTATATAAACCGCATTCTTTTTTGTAAGCAGCTTTGGTTCTACCATTCAGTTTGCCACCACTGGACTGTCCCTGTATGTAGGTTCCCCTAAATAAAACCCTATGTCTCGTTTGCTGGCTCCAGGTCTCTTCCTCAGCCTCTTGAAACTGTTGCCATCTCTATTAAAGTTAATAGGGATCTGGCCTGACAAACAACACAAATTTATCTTACAGTTGTTAGGTTAGAGGCCCGACACAGGTCTAGGTGGCAAACATCAAGTCGTCACAGGGCTGTGCCCCTTTCTGGAGGCTCTAGTGAAGAATCTGTCTCCTTACCTTTTCTGGCTCCTAGAGGCCACCTATATTCCTTGGCTCATGACTTTCTTCCTTCATCTTCAAGGCCAGCATTGTCACTATTCTTTGAGCATTCCTCTGTAGTCATATCTGCCTGTGACCACAGCTGGGAAAGATTCTTTTTTTTTTGAGACAGAGTCTCACTCTGTTGCCAGGCTGGAGTGCAGTGGCGAGATCTGGGCTTACTGCAACCTCCACCTCCCAGGTTCAAGCGTTTCTCCTGCCTCAGCCTCCCAAGTAGCTGGGACTATAGGCACGCACCACCATGCCCAGCTAATTTTTGTATTTGTAGTAGAGACGGGGTTTCACCATGTTGGCCAGGATGGTCTCGATCTCCTGACCTCGTGATCCACCCACCTCGGCCTCCGTAAGTGCTGGGAATACAGGCGTGAGCCACTGCACCTGGCCGTTTCTCTTCTTTTAAGGACCAGTGTGATTAGATCGTGCCGACCCAGGTAATCAAGTATAATCTCCTCATCTCCAGGTCTTTAACTCAATCACAATTCTAAAGTCCCTTTTCCTATGTAAGGAAATGTATTCACTGGTTCCAGAGATAAGGATATGGACATCTTTGGGAGGCTGTTATTCTGCCTACCACAGAAGACTTTTCCTGGGCTTTATTTAATTCTTAAGATTGAAAAAAAAATGCAGGACAAAATAATGTCACTTTTTCCAGATCTCAGGTACCTTATATTAAGAAGTGAAATATTTTTATATTTTATATAGTTGTTTAGATACATTTTAATGAAAGCTGGGAACCAGTGAGGACATTGTAACATTGTGCTCAAATGTCTCCCAAGTCTACAGGCCAGATGTGACATATGGCTTAAGTGCCAGACCCATATTTCCAAATGTCTTCATCTGACTATGAGCTTACGAATCCAAACTATGTTTAAAGAGCTGCAAATAAATCTCAAACACAGCAGGTCCAAAACCGAATGCATCATTCCCCGGTCCTATTCTCTTTCCCCATTTCCAAATCCCAGTTAGCAGTGTCATCATTCCCTCAGTCCTCTAAACATTATGATTAACCTGAGCTCCTCTTCATCTCACACAGCTCATGGACCAATAAACCCTACCATTTCTACTTTAGGTCTGTATCTGGAATTTGGTGTTTCTCCCATTCCCAGTTATTATTAAAGATCTTCATTTTATACCTGAATTTTTTCAGTAGGATCCTAACTTATTTCTCTTCTCCAGTTTATTCTTTTTAGCCATGCCTTCCCTGTGCTACCAGCATTAACTTTCCAGAAAGATAAATCTTATCATATCTCCTGTTTTCTGAAGAACCTTCTGCAAGTCCTCGTAACTTACACAAAAGTATATACAGAAAACAATTAAAAAGCATACTCCAAAGAAAATAGGGGAGGGGGAGAAAATGCCGCTCTTCTTTTCAACCCATGTATCTGTCACAAGTGCAGTGTGACTATAATCCCTGCAGATCTTTATGTCCTTGCCCAGAAAAAGACAAACTGTCTCATAATGGTAAGTCTGAAACTCGGACAAATGTGTCATTTTCTACTAGCTCTTCTACAGGCACAGAGCCACACAGAATTGCAGACCCATAAACACCCCAGATTTTTGGATTACAAAAACAGCAAATATATGTAAATCAGCAGTACCAAATTTCTACAGAGGGAATAACTCTCCCCTAGCCCTTAATTATGAGCCCACACAAGAAAAAGGAGGGCATCCCAGGGCTTGTTTATCCTGGCTCCCACATGCAAAGGAAGTATGCAAAGCCAATAATGACTAATGTCCTCAAATATTACTTATTACTCATATAGCATAATCACAATAAATACTCAGAGGCCCACACACTATTTGTTTGTTTTGCTGTTTGAACCACAATTTAATGTCTACTCAGTGTGGCATCTCCATAAAAGAACTATTAGCTTACTGAGCTAAACTATATTTAAAGAGCAGTCAATTCTATGGATTCTTTGCTCTTAATTTGCAGCTAAGTTCCAATTAAACCTGTGTTGTATTTAATCAAGTTAAATTGCAGAGACTGTTGAGTTAGAAATAAATTTAAAATGACTGTCTGGAAGCAGTTAGACGGTGACTTCACCGATACTGATTAGAGAAGGATGTAGAGATACTTGTAATTATAGGGCATAAATCAATACTCTTTCCATGAGAAGGTACCACTATGTATGTCTAGACAACATGTATTTATTGAAGGCTCACTGCCTGGGCATTGTGGAAATCTCTAAAAATATATACGACACAGTTGATGCCAATAAGAATTGAGACTGAAGAGAGTACCCTTGCTGAGGGATATACCAATGATGCCAGAGACAGCTTAGGTAATTCCCATTGCCATAATGATCAGTTGCCTAAGAGTAAACCAGGTTGCTTGATAATTGATCTTATTTCCATCATGTAAGAGATAACAACACTTGCCCCTTTTCACCTTTATAAGTCAGTTATACAATGGCTAACACCCATAGAATGCCAAATGTGTTCCAGCACTGTTTGAAAGACTATATACATATAAATGTATTTAGTCTTCACAACATCCCTCGAAAGTAGCTATTGTTATTCTCATTTTGCAGATGAAGAAACCAAGGTACAGATAGTTTAAGTTATATGTTTAAGGTCACACAGCACTTCCATTGGTGGAGATAGCTTTATGAACTGCCCATATCTTGTTATACAATGCTGATTATTAGAGAATTCTTCCTATGTTGAGTTCAAGTTTCCCTTTAACTTCTACCCAGCTGGTCATGGTTCTGTCCTCTAGATACAAACAAAATAGATGTAACTGTTTCTCTCTATGTCAGCCCTTCTATATTTGAAGACGGTGGTTGTATCTCCTCTCTAGTCTTCTTTATTCTAGACTAAGAAACCCCAATTCTTGAAACCATTTCAAATCTATCTAGTTTGGAGAGATCATCACTCTGCTATTATCTGAGTGATGGACACTTGGCTCTCGTTGTGCAAACAACCAGAAAGTAGCCCTAGTTAGCATTAAACAGACCATTCCCCAGCTATAAAATGGAGGGCAAAAGGGTCATTTTTATAGATAACATTTCTTTCCCTACTTACCCCATAGTTGAATTACCAAGACCCATAAACACATTATCATATTTAATAAAAATAGTGTATATTATGGCTTATTACCTACCAGTCACTACTCTATGATTTATGTTTGAATTTACCTAATTATCACAACAAATATACGAATTAGATACTATTTTTATTTCTGTTCTGATGAAGAAACAGGGCATGGAGAAGTTATGATTTGATCCGATATTCTACCCCATATGACCACAATGAATAGCTATTCATAAGGGATAATACCAGAGAATTACCATAGTGACTTGAATAAGGACATATTTAAGGAACTAATAGAGTATGGTCTTTAATAGGCTCTTAAACTTTGCCTTCTGTGTCAAAGCGACATCTTGCTTTATGAATATCTCACAATTCTTGGATTTTAAGTTGTGCATAGCAAGAATGAAGCACCTCCTCAGACTCAGATGAGACCAACCACTCATGAGCCACTAGTCAATTTCCACCATCCTGGCTGATCAGAATCTGCCCCAGTGATGGGCCATGGTTCAGCTAGAGAATGAGCCCTAGGTCAGTGGGGAACAAGCTGTCAGCCAGGAACAGTATTGTAATGTGGGTATGAAATGTTTGCCTTTGCCTCTAGGCTTCCTCAAGTCTGTTTCACGATAGCAACAGTGGCATTTTGTTGCTGCAAGACATTCAATATCCTGGAAACAGTATGTATATATGTGTGTGCATGTGTGTATAAAAGTCTGGCCTTTGTAGTTACAGTGTCTATTTCACCCACAATGATAGGCTTTTAAGGTGAAAACATTCCTGTAGGTTGGCACAATTCTGACCTCATAACATGATAGTACAGGGAGAAAGAGGGAGACTAGAATTCTAAAGACAAGTCCTTGGAATAAAAAGTGAGCAAGGAGAGTTTTGGAGGTGATTAAGAAAATGAAGTTAAGGGTAGGAGGAGTATGGAGAGAGAGAAGAGAAGGAGACAAAATTGGACAATCCTAGAACCATAGAAAAGGGTGGTTAAATAAAACCCAGGTCCTAAAAACACAAAATGTCAGGGTCCTAAACACACAGCAAAACTCCAGTGCCCACAAGGCATATGGCATGATCATGGGGTGGGTTAGATAAAAACTACAGATGATGGCAAACATGCAACGTGGCTGAAAGAGGATGCAGAGGTGACTCCCCTGCCAGTAGAATGGTAAGCCCAGGATTCCAGCCTATTATCTCTATTGGTTTTAGGTGAACGCCTGCTATTTAAACTAGTGGGGAAAGAAGTTTTCACATGGTATCAAGCAAGTGCCTGCCAGGTGACATGATGGGTTTTTTCAGGCAAGGTAGAACAGTAGTAAACATGTGTCCCAATGATTCCACTCCAATATGGCCTTTACCCCCGGGTGCATGCATCTTCCCATTTTCCTTTTTCTGTGGCTCTCATTGTTCTCTTCCCTGTCACCCAAGAAGAGATGCTCCTCGTGGGGATGTCACATCATAGACATCTTCATTGTCTACCAAAAATGGGAAAGCCACCCTTTCCTCCTGAACTGTGCCTCTTAGCATTATCTCCATTGCTTATTCTAGATGGATGCCATTGGTGTTGGGTGACTCCAAATGCCATGGCAATACATTTCCAGGCAAGACAAGCATATCCCACTTTGCCTGGAGGCATCTGATCTTTCCATGCATCGAGCACTCAGCAGAGCCTCACTATGCAAGAGGGAATTGCATCTGTTTCTTTTCATGGCCACACAAAGCCAGGCAATCATTCCATCTCAGGGCCCAAGCTGGCCAGCTGATAGGAGAATTGAGAATGAGCTGGGATCTGCTCCCTGAATCATCCTTCAGCTGTCTGCACAACCTCAGAGGCAGACCTGACCTGTTTTCATGACAAACCATGATGTTAGAAGGGAAATCCAGCTGGGTGAGTCAGTCCCAGGTGGGCTCCTTAGCAGCATCTGGAGGCTTCATCCTCTGGGCTGCACATGGAGCACGCTCGGTCTGGAAGTCATTAGGAGAACATAAGCCCAGAAAACTCTGATGTCATCTTTAAAAGTGCGAAAAGCTGACCCTAACACAACTCTCCCAAACTATACGCTTCTGGTTGACCCAAATTTTCCAGCCTATGCACTAATCTTTTCACCATGGCCGTATTTGGAATCGTCTGTGTGGCGCCAAAACACACTAATGAGATGCTGCTAAGCTCAACTCCAGCCATATCCAGCTGTTTGTTGTAGCCTCCAGGTAACCTTTACCAGCTTATTTCTATGTAAGCTGGGGTTACAGGGCCAGCTCTTTTCTACATCCTTGACACAAAATGGATGCTAACTATGGGCATCAAGAGAGGCCTCTGGGATGTGGTCAGCAGGTCCCCTCTATGTGTGGGCAGGAGCTACCAAGCATGTGCCCACACCTGAGTTCAGACTGCTGCATGTTCCATCCATCTGCTGGCTCTTCCTTTTGGCAGGAGACTCACTGGAGCCTCAGCACTCTCCATGGGAGGCCCACTGGCCCATCTGCCTTGGTGACATTGATCTTGCTGTATTGACCATCCCAGGGTTGAGGGACAAATAGAACCTGGCAATCATCTTTTCAAAGTTGGCAATTTGAGGTTACTGAGTAAGTTCAAAGCAATGCTAGCAAGTTTGCTGCAAAGGGAAAGGGAAATCTGCTTTTTCTTTTCTTTTCTTCCTTCCTTTTGTTTAATACAGATTTTCAGGCTCTGTCTTTGCCCTACTGATTTAGTTTTAATAAATTCTTAACTATTTAGTTTTAATAAACAGATTAGTAACCACTGGTCTAAAATGGTCTGAAATGTTTTTCTTAGTTTTGATCTAGTTGTAAGCTTATGAATATGATTGCAGGTACAAACTCGGGTCTATAATTCTCTGATTGCTTTATTCCCTTGGCTGGGTTGACATTCTTCTTTCCGTTTGCCTCTTTGTAATGATTCAGGCATGAGAAAAAGTTGTGCTTTCATTGCTGTTGCACTTTTGCAGGCTAAGCATGCATAGAGGAGGTGACCAAGTGTCTGCACTTGTGCTTTCTCATTTGTAAAAGCAAGCTCCTAGAGCTCACCTCAGACCATGATGTATCCACAGAAGTTTTTACTGAAACAGTGTAAGAGAAAATATTGGTGATCAGTAAGTTCCAGAAATTGAGAATTTATTAAGAATATTATGGCACATCCCTCAATGCAATACTTTGCAGCTTTAAAATTATATTTGTAAATTTTGCATACATAAGCTCTTTGCATGGTAAACATCTATAGTAGAATATTAGCTGAAAAATGGTGTACAACATTTTATGCATCATATCTAAACTACTTAAAATATGCATGAAAATATATTGAAAATAGACTCACTAAAATATTAACAGTGGTTTTCTGTGAGTGGAAGGGTTTTTTTATATTTTAATATAATTTTTTAGATTAAAAAATTCTATAATGACTGTATTAGTAACTGATATTAAAGTGTCAAAGGCTATTCAACAAGTTTTACATGGATATTATGGGAATAAAATGAGATAAATGGAAAGCAGCTCAAAATATGTGGGTGAGCATTGTTGTTTTTGTGGCAATTCAACTTTAGGGAAAACAGTAAGGAAGTTTTAATTGAAAAGTTATCCAACAACAGATTACACTTTCTTCATTGATGGGTGATAGTTGCATGCCAAGTTTGCACATCACCCAGCTCTTCTTCAAACAATGATGTCAGTTCTTAGAGCACTTTAATATAGAATAATAATCTGTACCTCAGAGGTGAGGTATGCTATATCTCAAGGCCCTGACATCCATCGGGTTATTTCACATTGTCCAAAATCACTCCTAGGTAAGTGCACAGGTATTTTGCCCCATGAATGTGTACCATGGCCTGACTCACTCTCCCTCCTAGGTGCAGCCCTGACTTTGGTTATCACCCCTCAGCTCTTTGGGCAGTAGAGAAACTGGGTGTTGGATTAGCTGTGAGTGTCGCACAGTCCTCAGAGCTCTCCTCAGCACTGGTGTGAACCTGTCATGGGCACGGCCACTTTGGGAGATGACATTTGCCCAGGCCAGATGCTCAGGTCTAATCTCGCTTCCTCTTCTTTCATGTCTCTCAAGGAGTGTAATCCCACTTGCTAAATATAAACTGTATCATCTTAAAATACATATCCTCTTTAGCCAGCATTTTTATTTTTCTCCCAGATGATATTACCAAAGTTTCTATTAATAAAGATAAGGCCAAGTGGCTGAACAAGGCTCTCTACCTCTCTACCAAAGGAGGCACCAGGCCTCAATGTGGGTAGATGTGAGCTGCCCCTTTACTTTTCTCTGGGAATGGCCCACGAGACTCTGTCAGGTGGCCCTAGCCATCTAAGACCACACATGCCTGCTTCTTCTTCTTCTTGTATTGCAACCAGCCTTGACCCTCAGCACTGCACCTGGAGAGAAGAATCCTTGAAAGATGTACTGAGCAAGGTGGGATGAGTAGGAACACCACAAACTTGGCTAGACCCCAGCTATCTAGCATAGCTGTTGGCTACAATTTCTGGTCTTTACCATCAAATGTCACACTAACCCTTCCTAACACCAAAAAATGCTGGAGCAACCTAATGGCCCATACTATCCTGTGTCCTCACTCTGGCAGTGGCCTAGGGAACACCAGGAAGAACTTGATACTCATCCTCACTGATCTCTGCCGACACCATCCAAGAACGTCTAATAAACCCTACTTACTCCAATCCTAATAATAGCCACATCACATTGAGAGCTTACTATGGGCCAGGCATTTCCAACACATATGACTAATTTTTCACAACAACCCATTAAGGTAGCCATTATTCTTTTTAACAGATTCAGAGACCAAGGCTCAGAGAGATGAAGTAACTAGCCCAAGTCTGTCGCTCAACAAGGTAGAATATGGATTCAAACACAAACCCACTAGAATCTAATTTTCCTAAGCCATTTCACTTTTTCCAAATTCCAGTGTACTGTTTGCAAGCATTTTAAAGACAATTTGATAACTTTCCATGTTCCAAGGGCAGAGGAGGCAGATCAAGGATGTGCTACACTTACTCAACCCAGGCTCACTCTACACAACCTTAGCGAGCAGGACTCAATTTGCAGTCATCCCTTACGAAATTGAGATGGAGCACAATGTTACCTGAGCTTCCCCAGTGAGGATTATCCTTTTTGGGACTTAGAATATTAAGCATATTTCTTATAAGGGGAATTGAGGCTGTCTAGTATCATTCTATACCAAGGTTTATGAAGTTTGAAGGAATTTGGTTCTAATATTAACGGCTCGAGGTACCTCTGGCCAGAAAGGATGACAAATATAGAAATATCTTTCCTAAGATAACACATGGCCAAAGCATGTAAGTCTATAGAAAGAAAAGCCTCTACCAAAAGACTGAATAGTTGATGGCTCACAAAAACTGCACAAGAAATGGTAGAGCTGATTGTTATTCCAGGACTCGGGCCGCAGTTTGTCACTGCACTTCCATTGCCCAAAAACGAAGTTTAATGGATGTGGAATTATCTTAGTCTAGTTACATAAAGTATGGGGGTTGGGGAAGCAATTGAGGTGACTTTGAGGGTATCAGTGTTGCGCTGAGCTCCCTCAGGACTCTGCCTGGTATCCTAACTGGTACTGCCATTTAGATTCAAATGGAAAGGCTGGAGTAGGAGGATCAAGTTAAGTGTGACGGGAGGGCTAGGAAGGGCTCAGGGTCACAGGTTCTCCTGGGTCCCTGTTTGTTCAGGACAATCTGATAAAGGCAGGTCTCTCTAGAAGCCCAAAGATGGTACTCCAAGCTGTTCTGCAGATCAGCAGCCAAGGAACTCAACTAGCAGCCTTGACTCTGCTTTCAGGAAAAGCATTTTTTACAACACCTGTCTTTCCCTTCCTCTATCCTTGTATGTTTTGATGTATGTTGTCCGAATACAACTCAAACAACATACTGTGAGTTGAGGCCTAAATATCAAGATAAAAATAAGAGGATTCAAAAGGATATAGTCCCTAAGCCCTGGAAAAGGTTACAATCTCAGGGCATAAGACAATTTTTTAGAGAAATAAAACAAAGTATGTGATGCGGCAAGGTTTCAAAAGAGGAAGAAGTAATATTCTTGCAGAAGTCTGATTCTTATATATAATAACTCAATGTATGGTTAAAAAAAAAAGCATTACAGTTCAATGGAAAAATGTGAGATTCTCCACTCTCCATATACAGTAGCATAAAAACTATAAGCATTTTGGAAAAAAAATAGTACAGACATACAAAAAGTAAATTAGAACTGGAAAAAAGTGAATTAACTATTAAAAAGAAAACCACAGAAAAATGAGAAGACAATAGTAGAAATAAGTCATCTAAAACCTCGAGAGGTAAGAACTTTTTCAGAATAGAAGCAATGAAAGGAGTCTCAAAGCAATCTGGTCAATCACAGATTTGAGTCCTTTAACATTGAAAATTACTGTGTGCTTAAAATCTCCACTAAAACATAACCCAAATGAAAAGGGTTTCTCCAACTTCTTCAGAAAAAAACTGCAGCAAGGCAGACTGGCGAAGATTAATATCTTTATTCATCTACACAGCAATTTTACAGTCAAATCCTTTGAGGAGGGCTGGAATCACCGCAAATAAGGAATTTGGCATAGAGTAGCAAACTCACCAAGGAGAGAAAAGAGTTCATGGGAGGGTAGGGGCCAGACTCACGGACTCCTTGCTCAGGCACTGGACTTTTCCTGCTTTTTCTACTTTTTTTTTTTTTTTTTTTTTTTTTTTTTTTTTTTTTTTTGAGACGGAGTCTCGCTCTGTCGCCCAGGCTGGAGTGCAGTGGCGGGATCTCGGCTCACTGCAAGCTCCGCCTCCCGGGTTCACGCCATTCTCCTGCCTCAGCCTCCCAAGCAGCTGGGACTACAGGCGCCCGCCACTACGCCCGGCTAATTTTTTGTATTTTTAGTAGAGACGGGGTTTCACCGTTTTAGCCGGGATGGTCTCGATCTCCTGACCTCGTGATCCGCCCGCCTCGGCCTCCCAGAGTGCTGGGATTACAGGCGTGAGCCACCGCGCCCGGCCGCTTTTTCTACTTTTAATCATCTACCAGTAGCCCCACATGAGTTTCTTTCAGCTGGGAATGATAAACTATTCACCTTCTCCATATAAGAAGGAAGAACCATAGCTCAGGTGGAATTAAGTCTGAGAAAAACGTGAACATATTTTTAGAAAAGACTCGAATTTTAAAGAAGTGGTTATTTGTCCCGAAGAAAGTAGATCTCATTTATCAAGAAGAATTGAAAGAAGAAGCATAGACTGAAAAAATCCACATACAGCTATTCTTTTCCATGTAGGTATTCTAAAATACAATGCTTAAAAACAGGTAAATCAATGACTGATTAAAATCAGAGTGCTAATAATTGTAAAGCAGGAACTTTTATTTAAATCCTCAAAATGTGTTAGCATTTAGTTTGGATAATAAGAAAATGATTATACAATTATTTATTTGTTTATTTATTTATTTATTTATTCATTCATTCATTTTTGAGACAGAGTCTTGCCCTGTCGCCCAGGCTGGAGTCCCCTGGCATGATCTTGGCTCACTGCAACCTCCGCCTCCCAGGTGCAAGCAATTCTCCTGTCTCAGCCTCCCGAGTAGCTGGGACTACAGGTACCCGCCACCACGCCCAGATAATTTTTGTATTTTTAGTAGAGACAGGTTTTCACTGTATCAGTCAGGCTGGTCTCAAACTCCTGACCTCAGGTGATCCAGCTACCTCGGCCTTCCAAAGTGCAGGGATTACAGGAGTGAGCCACTGCAACTGGCCTATAGAAATATTTTGAAGTATTTCGAAGAAAGATACAATATATTCAAGGCATTATTATTTTTGTACATACACACATCTATATATAAATTTTGAGATAGAGTCTAGCTTTGTCACCCAAGCTGTAGTGCAGTGGCACAATCTCGGCTCACTGCAGCCTCCACCTCCCGGGTTCAAGTGACTCTCCTTCCTCAGCCTCCTGAATAGCTGGGACTACAGGCACGTGCCACTGCACCTGGCTAATTTTTGTATTTTTTGTAGAGATGGGGTTTTGCCATGTTGCCCTGGCTCGTCTATGAACTCCTGACCTCAGGTGAGCCACACCCCCTCAGCTTCCCGAAGTGCTGGGATTATAGGCGTGAGCCACTGCGGCGGGCCTACATACATATATGTGTGTGTGTGTGTGTGTGTGTATGTATATATACGTATATGTATCTATAAGTGTGTGTGTATGTATGTGTGTGTGTGTGTATGTGTGTGTGTGTGTACATATATATATATATACATACATATAACCTTGATGCTAATGTTTTCCTATTCTGTGATTACTTTCAAGTTCCTAAATATTGGACTGAGGTTATTTGTGTTTTTAATGCCTGGGCTACATGTAGACACACGTAGGTCATAATAGTCTGTGATGTATGCATTATCCTGGGGGAAGAGTGCAGGGTAACGAGATGAGTTATACAATTCACAGTCTGGTAGATAATGACTGTCAGACAGAGAAAAAAATGTAGCATTCAAAATCAATAATTAGATCATTTCATATTTTTAGAGGGGTCATCTTTTACAGAAAAACAATATAAATTGTTTTCCAACTCACAAAGGACAAAAAAATGAGACCCTTGGGAAATGAATTCTTCACAATGCAGCTCTCTAATTGATCTGTTTGGAATTCTTTCTTGTACCATGTTGATGCATGCTAATTGGGAGGTGTTTCTAAGTAGAATCAGCTTGGATCACAATTGATTGGATGCGGTATAGCTGGCCTGCCAGATCTGGGAGGAAAGTGTGTATGAAAGCTCTAGCTTTACAAGTCCCACTAAGAGAGCATTCATTTGGATGAGGCAGAACACAAATCTAGAGCTCCAGGGATGACACAGCCCTTGGCAACCTTTCAGAAGTGACACACCATGTCTTCATTTACTCCCTCCTTACATCCTTACAGAATGGGGCAATGGATAGTGGTAGAACTTTGCCCACAAGCACTGCCCATTAGGAAGTGGCTTTTCTCAGCCCTATTTTCCATGTTCAAAATATGCCTTATAGAAAGGTGGACTGAATAACCACTGATTTAACACACTAACTCCAGACAGCTGATGGTACACCTACACCATTCTAGCTTTGTCCTGCTGGGCCATGATTTCTTTTTTCTTTTCTTCTCTTCTTTCTTTCCTTCCTTCCTTTTTAAAATTTGTAAAATTTTATTGATTTATGTATTTATTTTTTATAGAGACAGGGTCTTGCCATGTTGCCCAGGCTACTCTCAAACTCCTGGGCTCAAGCAATCTGCCTGCCTCAGCTTCCCAAAGTGCTGAGCTAACAGGCATGCACCACCATGCCCAGCCCCTTCTTTCTTTCCTTCTTCTTCCTCCCTCTCTTTTCGCTGCCTACCTCCCTCCCTTCCTCCCTTCCTTCCTTCCTTCCTTTTCTCCCTTCTCTCTTTCTTTCTTTCCCATTTTAAGAAGTATGTAAAATTCAAAATGTTTCAGGAGGAGGGATTAGATGTACTGCACTTAAATTTATTTTATACCTTACAACAGTATTGCTAATTTGTAAGTACAAACATCCAGTTAAAAAAAAAAGAATGTTTCTCAGGCCAGGCACCTGAAAATAGGGACTAATAAGATCATCATAAAGGAGAAAAAGGAAAAAAGAGGAAAATGACCAGCCAGGCCACATTTTATAGGTCTTGTCTTTTTTTCTTGGATAAAACAGAGGGCCAACCCCTGATTTGGAGGTACTAAGTGCTTTCTCTATTAGACTAACTATGCACCGTTGTTGTCTACAATCTATATTTATTAACTGCAAAAGAGATGTGCCATGAGGATAATTTTGTGTCCCCAGAAATTTAACTGCTGAATTTGGTAGCATCGTAGCCTCATATTAAACAGGCAGTATAGTGCACACCCTCTGCCCCCACCCCAACTCCCTTCTTTATCTGGTATTTTCTTCCAAAAACTATTATTCGGTAATATCCAAAGGACATGTCTTGATATTAAATGTAAATAAGTACTTTCAGAAGCATATAGTGTATTTAATGACATTTAATAAGTTCTGGAATAGAACATTTCTTTGGCATTGTGGCATCATTGAAATGAATGAATGGTGACAAACCGTGACTCTGTGTATAACTGGGTAATTCAGTGTAGAATTGTCTATTTTTTTCCCCAGAGGAATGTGTCGCTTTTGAATCTAAAATTGACTTTAAATTTCCAGTTACTGAGAGTTTTGCTGAGAGACTAGGGTTATGCAGAGATTGTGCAAAACAAGTTTACTATATAAAAAAGATAATTACCTGTTTACCAAGACCCAATTTTGGATTATTTTCATGGGAATTCACTGATTCTTGGGTAGGGGAAGGTGAGATTGTTATAGTTTTAATTAAACTACACATTTACTTTTTCAACAATTGTTTTTAACTGAAAACCTACTATGTGCTGTACAAAGCACAGGAATTGTAGCATAAGTAGCAGAGGAATTTTCCCTCAAAGAACTTGCAAACTAGCAGGTGGCAGACAGTAATAAAAGCTGATACAGAGAAACAAGCAAAGCAGAATGAGCAATTGCGTAAAGCTGAGTCCTGGAAGGCTGCCTGTAGGGGGCAGTATGTGGTCTGGCCTTAAGGACAAACGGAATTTTCACCGGAGAAGACTGTGGCGGGGGCTTTTCAGGAGGAATGAATAGGAAGAGTACAGGAGGCTGTATAGCAGCAGGTGGCTTTGTTTGGTTGGAAAACACTCCAAGTGAAAAGGCATTGTGAAGAATGGAAGAGCTACTGAGAAACCAGCCTATGGAGTTTGGCTGTCTCTCCTAGTCACAAATAAGGAGCTGTTACTGGTTTTTGTCAAAAGAACAGGATGATCACATCTGTGCCTTAGGACACTTTAGATGGGGCAGAACAGGTACAGGGGATGTGGTGGGGGAAGAAATGACTCGATTTCAAACAAATCAAATAAATTACTTTGATGTTTATATGGTGTCTTAGTTCATTTTTTGCTACTTGATACCTGATACTAGGTAACTTATAATGACAAGAAATATATGGTCTCACAATTCTGGAGGCTGGGAAGTCCAAGTTTAAGGGGTCATCTTCTTGCTGTGTCATCCCATGATTGAAATTGTCATCCCATGATGGAAGGCAAATGGGCAAGAGGGAGCAGGATGGGGTGAAACTTGCCCTTTCATACAGCACCAGTCCCACCTCTGAGAGTGCAGCTCTCAGGGCTTAATCACCTCTTAAAGGTCCCACCTCTTAATACTGGTGCAATAGCAACTAAATTTCCACATGAGTTTTGGAGGAGACAAACATTCAAACCATAGCAGATGGATTCAATTCCAGCTTATTAAAGAGTAATGTATGGTGAAGAAATGCAAAAAAAAAAAAAAAAATTAAGAGGTCTGAGGTCTACCCCTAGCTTTGCTACTAATTCATTTTGCGTCAGGATGAGTCACTTTACGTCACTGATCCTTAATGTTCTCATCTGTTTAGGAGAGGGAGGTGTGTGGGTTACTCTATTACTAAGGTGATTTGAATGATCATGTATCATAACTACATCCATCATTTCCTTCTTTGGTATTTTTATCTCAAAATTTGCAAACTGATTTAAACAGGATATTTAGGGTTATTTATTTTTTTTTTTGGCCACATTCAAAAACAATCTGTCTTTCTTGAGATGGCTACAGAGCATTTACCTGTCAGATTTCCTCTCATTCCATCTTAAAATTTGTCACTTAAATATTTTATCAAGGAAAAAGAGAAGACAATGATCTACTGCCATCATGTCTCTATAATTTATACTCTCTAAACTTTAGAGTCTACATACTTCTATGTGCTGGGAAACTGTTCTTAAGAATAACTAGTAGCTTTGGAAAGTGGAGAGGTGTGGCATGAGGGACACCTGGTCAAAAGTAGAAGAGTGAGATAACTTGTTTTTTTGTCCATTACTTGCTTGGATAAGCCTCTGCCTACAATTTGATTTAATCATGGCTGTACTGTTAAAGGGCAATGCGCATTTTCTAAAAGAAGCCTTCAAGGACGCCTTTGATTGCTTTTTCAAGATGGAGAAATGTTACCACGATGAAAATTATGCAGGGCAAATATACATGAATAAAAGTGTTATAATGGAAGTGACTTCTATAAAATACTCAGTGCTTAGAAAGAAAGAAATGAGAATTCTGTCAATCAATCAAGTGACTACATATTTGGAAATGTCTGTAGGAGATTCCGTGTTTGTTTTTTTTAAAACTTTTGGTCCAGATGTTTATGTATGGTTTCTACATTTTATTATTTGATCTCCATTTTATGTTTATTTTATATAGAGATCTTTTTTCACCAACTCATATAGTCTACTAAGAAAAGCAATCCTTTCTGGACTAGCGGGAATTTGACACAAAGACAGAACCATTGAATGCAGTGATTCTCAACTTCTTATACTCTACCATCTTAACCAAGAGCTTGTCAGTGCAGTCTGCAACCATGCTTTTTCACAGTCAGATGTTTTCAATTTATCTTCCAATATGATGTTGACTCAAACATTTGGCAGATTTATAATTTCTCCATTCTCCCCTGCCACTCATTCTCAAGATTTACATTTTCTCATTTAGCAGTTGTAACAGCGCTTCACCCTTTCTATAAATCTTCATGAAGTTTCTAAACCCAGTGCCATGCAAATTGAGAATTACTACCTAACATTATCTTCTGAAGAACTGAGCATTACATTTTATAGTTCTGTGTTAATTAAGCCTCTGCCTGAGGGAATGAGCAGGTATGTTTCCACTTTTTTAACTTACAATGCACACAGACTAATTCTCCCCACTGAGGAACTTAGTTGGGACAAGCAAGGTCTCCTCATCCCAAGTCTTGCCTGGGATCCCTGACTTTGGCCTGAAGGCAGGAGCAATAGCTCCCTGACATTCCATTTTTGCCTTCTTCCATTCCTGTGGCTGTGGTATGGGTAGAACCCATTTCTGCCTCTGCCTCTGTGAGGGTAGAAGCTTCCTGGCCTGTCATCCTTACCCCTTCCATGACTTCTTCTCCATCCCCATTCAGCCACTGGGAACCTCACCTACCTCTGAGCTCCTCTAGCACAGATGCCCAGCATTTAATCATACTCTGCATTGTCCCTGCTTCATGAATGTTGGGTCTGATGTTGACTATTAAACTATCAAACTCCCAAAGATGGAGAGTATGTCCATATTATATTAGAGTTATTCCATTACGTATCTCAGCACTTTTTACAATGATGGTCACAGATAGATAAACCCTAAATACATGAAGGTAGAATTGCTCAACAAATTAAAAAAAAAAGAAAGCAGGAATAACTTCACTATTCACACACCTGCTGCCAAATCCACCCTCTCTGGAACTGTTCCTAACACACCGAAATGGAGGGGTTTGGAGCTGTGTTCAAGTTCCTTGGAAGAGGCTCGTAATGTATGTGCGTGTGTCTGTGTGTGTGTATGTGTATGCGCACGTTTGTTTGTCTGTGTGTGTGTGTGTGCATGTTTGAGGTTAGTCTTAGGGGTGTCTTTGCGTAAGGTACATGCTTAGAAAAATGATCTGTGATTATCTGGCACATTATGTCTATATTTAGGGGATGTAGACTCCTTATGAGTCTTTTTGTAAAGAGAGGCCTGACAACCCTACAGCATCTCTCAAAGCAAAAGCATCCCTGTGGTTGGTCACCAACTATTATGTGACCTTGAGCACATTTCTGTCTCTTCATCTATGAAGAGACAAGTTCTCATCTGAAAGTTTAAAAAGTGGACCGACTGACTCCATGTTTCCTTCTAAATTTGGGTCCTGAGTACTAGGTTGTTGCTACTGTTGTCTCCACCCTTCTTCAGAAATTTAGCAAAATGCACATGTCATGTTGGCAGCATCGCCCAAGTTCCACTCTGATGTCCAAGGGCAGAGTGGAGCAGCACACCCTGGAGCTGCCTAGGTGTTCTTGGCTGCCGCTTCCCCCTTTTTCCCTCCTTCTTCCTGCAGATAGAAGATGATAGTGCCCATTCTCTGTGTTCACACATTGCTTGTTGACCTCTGCTCCTCCTGTGTCATAAACATAAGCTTCAAAGCTGAACAGCCCTTACCCCATCTTGTCTCCTCGGGAACATGTAGTGTCCAAGGAGGTGATGCAGGAGAGGCTTCTGTGTCCTGGTGGAATGGCAGGACTAGCTATGATCCTGAACCACAAGCACCTGGATGAGACCTTGGGTCTTGTTTCTGCCTTTCCTAAGCAGAAATTCAACTAACATTTAATGACGATCCTCAAATGTCGTAAGTTATACTTGGCAAGCACAGGAATATATGAGAAGCAAATCTATCTTACAGAAACCCACAACATGGTTACAGAGTGAGACAAGGCAATGTGAAAATGTGGGGTACATGGAGGTCTACACCGGACACTCACCTCTGGAGAACTGGCATCATGTTTGACAGACTCTGTGGGAGACCACAACATAGAGTTTGAGACCAAAAATCAGGCCTATGAAAATGGGACTCAGATCCTTGAAAGAAGAAGATAGAAGATGACACTAATCTCAGATAATCACTATGTAAGACAACTCACCTTGAAGCTGTCTCTGTGTAGGACCTGACATGGCTTTCAGCAAACAGACTGAAAGACTGGTTTTGGTTGGGACCCTGGTTGGTGCCATATGAATTATGAATTTAACCCATTTAACCCAGTCTAGAAAGCTTGTCCTGAGATCCCGAAGACAGATTTCTAAGAAGATGAGAGTGTGGCCACACTCTGGTGAATCTTTTACCTGAATTATAACCTAGTTGGGAAATAGCCCTCTCCTGCATCAGCTATAATTTTGCAGGAGTGGAACTCAAGCAGAAGTCATTAATGCAGCTCATGATCACTGAGATAGGCAGTGGAGCAGAAATGGGTTTCACCAGTGAAAACTTCCCATGGTGTGGCAGAAACTCCAGTGCCCCAGGCTACATCCCTTACCCTTCCCACTTTCCCACTTTAGTGAATAAGGGACACTTTCCAACCATCAACCCTTGCCTGAGAGCTTTGTTTGTTTGTTTGTTTGTTTGTTTGTTTTGAGACAGAGTCTCGTTCTGTCACCCAGGCTAGAATGCAGTGATACAGTCTCAGCTCACTGCAACCTACGCCTCCCAGGTTCAAGCAATTCTTGTGCCTCAGCCTCCAGAGTGGCTGGGATTACAGGCATGTGCCACCACACCCAGCTAATTTTTGTATTTTCAGTAGAGACAGGATTTCACCACGTTGGCCAGGCTGGTCATGAATTCCTGACCTCAGGTGATCTGCCTGCCTCAGCCTCCCAAAGTTCTGGGGTTACAGGCATAAGCCACCATGCCCAGCCTGTTTGAGAGCTTTTGACTGGTTTGTCCACTGGTGCAGCAGGCCAGAAATGCCAGGGAATTAATTTCTATTTCACAAGAGCTCTCAACCCATACTGATGGGGTTAGGGTGTCAATACCCTCCTTTCCCACCTCTCTGGTTGTGTCCTCTGAAATGCACGTTTCATGGAGTTCTCCTAGATTTCCCCAGAAGGACTAAACTTCAGTTGCACACAATGGTAATTTGCTTCTTGGTAATATATCTTTACTGACTGCCTTAGTTTCCCTGTCTCACATTCCGTGCCCCCCACACCAGCATTTCCTGTGATTGTCTCCCAACTAAACTACTTGTACCCTAATCTTTGTCTCAGCATCTCCTTCTGCAGCGAGTGGAAGAAACTCAAGACAAATCCTCAGTAAAAAGTTGTGAGATACCTGGAAGCAGGTGGGCACAAGAATGGATCATACCTTAAAGCCATGGGATGCCCAGTGATTGTGGGTTGGAGACTCCGCACTGTAAATGACTTCTGTTACCGCCATGATTTTCACCTTTGTCACTGCTTCCCCTTCCATTGGAAGGCGTGACCTGGAGAAGCAAGGGTGCCAGAAAGTGTACACAGGTTATTATGGAACTGTCAGAGGGGATGAGGTAGGACAGGAAGAAGCAGCTATCTTGGTTGTATGCCTGCTGCATGCTTGGCTGGACTGGCTGGGGAGAGAAAGTGAGGTGGATTCTTAGTACAGTAGCATTTCTCTACTAGTATGTCCCTGTCACAGCTGTGATTTTTTTTTACCTGTACAGCAAACCTGTTTACAGGACAGGGTTGGCAGTTTCTTCCACCCCAGACTTTCCTAAAGCTTCCACATCCCTTTAGCTTGGAGGCTTCTGTCTGGGGATGTGGGTCCTCAGAGCCATGAACCCCCCTAGATAAAAATCTTGGCATTTGGCTTTCTCAGCTCTTCCTCTCCCAGTGTTCTCCTCTTGGGACTTTCAGTTCTGTACTTGGCTTGGATATTTCTTATATGAGTTATGCTATAAAAATAAACTGGTGATGAAAACAATAAGAAATGCAGACTAAAAACATGGCAAAATCAAATTGGTCCACTTTTTCTGTTTAGAATTCTCCTAAATCTTAGGTAAGGAAAATTGTTAATAACCTTCTCTTCAGTAGCTTCCATGATGCCACACCCCCAGGTCTCCTCACCAGCTGTGGGTAACCTCTCCTTCAGTTGGTTACTCTTTCATTCCTATAGGTCTTTGCTTTTCTTTCTAAGGCAGAAAACCCTGACAAGTGTGTTTGGGCAACTCCCCCCTGCCCCAGTCTGCTGGGGCTCTCAATTCCACATGGCCTGCATGCCGCTCCTAAACCTGGTTGATTGTAGGCAGGACGTCTGAGATCCAGTCATCACTCTGTGCTACCACCCTGGAAGGTTGGGCCTCATGTTCCACGTCAAATTACTGCCCTCACTGCCTGGCTACTGAGGACACAGCTTTCATATTCTGGTTAATTAGGGTTGAACGGAATTCATAAAACAGCAGGTATGGGGGCTGAAATCCAAGAAGAGCAAGGGAGGTCAGTCAAAATTGATGTATTAACACTGCTGCTTCCAAACAAAATAGGTTTCATCAGTACTACTTCCTGGATCTGCAGCCTTCAACAACAACTTGAGGTGGAAGGGTTAGTTGGCATTCTGCACCTGGCTTACCAACTGAAAATTGAACATAACTTTGTTTAAAAAAAAATAGAGGGAAAAAATGTTTATTTTTGAGCATTATCATTATCCTTAAAGATGTCAGAAATGTGGGCTTATCTAGCTCTTTTGTCTGCGACACCCTAGGGTCATAACAACAGATAAGATCTCATGTTTTCTCATTCTGTCCCGAGGGAGGCAAAGAACTGTCTGATTAGGGTATTTTATAGGTGTGTTGCCAGTCGTGCAGAACAACCGAGCCACTCACCAATGTCACATAGCCAAGTTAGTAGTTCCACTGAGGGAAAATATAAACAAAGAATATTGTGAGACTTTTACATTTCCATGACTTAGATTCTTTGAGTACCATGCTTTTAGGGTCATTGAATTGGATTCTTCGGTTGTGAATAACAATTATTTTCTAGAGCAATGATAACCAATTAGAAATTTATATAGAGATTTAAAAATATTTTTACTGTCAATATTAATCCATTATTTTAAATAATATGTTATTTCTGGATTATGGTTATTAGTAAATTGCTGTTGTTTGAATGTTTGTGCCCCGCCTCCAGATTCATATGTTAAAATACTAACTTCTAAGGTGATGATATCAGGAAGTGGAGCCTTAGGAAGTAATTAGCTCATGAGGGGAGAGCCCTTGTGAATGGGATTGTGCTCTTACCAAAAAAAGACCCCAGAGAGACCCTTGTTACTTCCACCATGTGCAGACATAGCAAGATGACGTCATCTCTGAGGAATCAGGGCTCACCAGGCATTGACTCTGCCAGCATCTTGAATTTGGACTTCCAGCCTTTAGCACTGAGTGAAATAATTTTCTGTTGTTTATAAGCCACCCAATTTATGGTATTTTGTTATAGCAGCCCAAATGGACTAAGACAGTAATTATAAATATGTAAGAACATATTTGAACTTTTACAAGTGTATGTGAATTTCACTGACCTGGAATTGTATACCAAGGACCTAGGGCATTAATATAACAGTATCTTATGACTGTAGAATTTTTTCAAATGACAAAGTGCTTTTGCATACATTTCACATTCAAATACATTGTATTATTTTAATTGTGTAAAGACAAATAGTAAAGGATAGAGTGATAAAGCCAACCTGTTGGTAACAGGTAAAACCAGGTCTCTTTCTGTAGCCCTCCTTCTGTATCTCATCACCCACTCTAGTACTTGACGTTAAGAAATTTCTCATTCAACCAACCTGAGGATTCTTCACACTCATAGAAACTGGATTCCTGTTATTTGCAATTGTTTCTAGGACCAGAAATGAGTACATATTTTAGTTGTTAAAGTTGGTCCAAATGTCTACCATTTATGCCTGGTTTACTTGTCTCCATACTAGTAAGGCTCATACAGAACTTGATAACTGTTAACAGCACTGTCTCCCAGCTTGGCAGTACTCTCTGAAATAATAAGGAAAAGAAATGTAGTAAGGCTTTAGTTATCAAGCACCTGAAATCAGGCCCCAAACCAAACCAGCTGGTTTTTCAGTCAAAACATGATCACACCTGTCAGCAATTTTCAACACTTCATATTTTCAAAGGTAAGAAAAATATATTTTCAACTCTCAGTCCAATAGTCACAGAGGTAGGCTGATGGAAGTATAGCAACATAATTAAACACTTGCGGTAGATGAGGTTAAAAATAGTCATTCATAATTTTTAGACCCTGACTCAAAATTCACACCCATTTATGACATCCTTCTGGATTAACTGTGTACATTCAGAACACATGTGTTTAGCCCTCTACTCTTGATTGGTGCTTTAATCCACATTATATTCCTTTGCCCTGGCTCATGATCTACTTCCAATTGTTCCAGAGTTATTTCACTCTCAGTCATCTCTTGGAAGGCTAGAATCACATCTTTAAATTTTTTTCAATCTTCCCTCCTCCCAGAAAAAGGAAATACTGAAAACGGATAAGCAGAATCTGCAGTTAGAAAATGTGGGTTAAAGTCCCAAGTTGACCATTCACTAGCAGAGAGAAGGTGGGCTCTTGTTATTTAGCTTTTCTTTAAAGAGCCTTGTCTTTAAAATAATAATAATATATTCCTCCCTTACAGCCTAGTTGTAAAGATTAAATGAGATGGTGTATGTAAAACACTCAATCTCATGCCCAGAGCCTTACAGATCTCGTGTAAGGGTCATTTGTTTGTTGCAAGACTACTCATATACCTTGCACTTGGTAGACACTTGGCACATAAATGTTCACCCCACATGTGCACCCTGGGCTTAGGCATCTGCAGACATGGTTTCTTGGTCACTTATGGCCTTTCTCTTAACTAAGGAAGAACTGCTTTGAACCACTTCAGAATAAGAGCCGTCTTCCTTCTTGTAATTCAGTTGCTTTACAAGTGGGTCATCTATCTACTGGCTTCTGAAGGCATTTGATCTTCTCAAGAGAATGTGATCATGTCAATGAAGTAAGAAAGAAGCCACTGCTGCCCAAATGGCAGCCCACCCAAGACTCCATCTTTTTAATTACTAGGTGGCTTGCTGGTATAATTGCCCAGTAATTGCCTGAACTTGTGTAGCAACAAAGTGTGTTTATAAGTTATCAGCCATGCAATAAATGTCCCACTCATTCACACTGGCCAGGGTTTTGAAGGTTTGAATGCCACTTGCCTTGATACGGGGCTCAAAGTGCTTGATACATTTATCTTCAGTGCCTTCTTGAAATATGTTTCTTCTTGTTTTCTTTCTGTGGGCATTCTAATCATGGCCTAAAGTCATTTACTTGCTTCTCTGTTCTATAAATCCCAAGTAAGCTTTACTTCAGCAAGTATGTAAAACAGTTCGCTAACATACTGAGGTTTATTCATCTATTTCTTAATAGTGTATTCATTAGAATAGACCAAAGCTAAACAGAAAGAAGAGTAGACAGTGCTGAGTAGGCAATGCCTGCTTGTGTTTCTGTGACTTTAACATGACTATATGTTAGAGACATTGTTGGGATGTATCATTAGGGCTAGACATAAGAAAGTTGTTAAGTAAAGACTAGTCAGAATGAAACATGTCAGAATTTTTCACTCTTTATGCACTTAAGTATGGTTGTTAGAATGACTTATTTCTGATAATAAATTGTTTTTCGCCAGTAGAAGCCATTGACGTTGGGGGCATCAAAATGTGTGTTTGAAATTGAACATTAACAGCACCTAGTCCTTATGATCAAGTTAAACTTTTGGGGATGTGAAATGTATAATGTAGTAGAAAGTTTGGAGAAATATTTTGAGTCTAGGCTCTCCCATTTGCAATTTCTGTGACAATTTACTTCAATTAATTATGTCCTAGCTTCTTCATCTAGGAAATGATGAGTTTGGAAAAGATTGGTGATTTCCATAGAAAAATATCTGTGAAGCCCTGGAGCTCACATTGGGCAAAGTTCTGGTCCCTCCCTATGGGTCTCAATAAGTAGAAAGGGACCTACTTTTATCTGTCTGGCATACTGGCTTTCAAATTCATTTTTTGTAAAGTATCTGCTAAGTTGTATTGAAGTACCACTGGACTAGATGATCACATTGTCACTCTGAGTTCTCACCTTCTTCAGAACTAAACTTTCACTCTAGAATGTTTAAGATTGTGAGACTCTTGGTTTGCTCCCTATATGCACCCTGAGAGAAGGCAGATTCATCCTTCCCTGGGTGCAGCTCCATCAAGGTCAGCTTGGGCATACTGGATGGTCTGGTCGCTGGAAGCCTTGAAGCTTAGCTTTCTGGTTGCTACCCTTGGTTCCTATATATCATGGTCAGGACCTAAAAACAGTCCTCAGGGGCTGAGTAACTTCAGCCTAATGCATGTGCACAAATGGCAGCAGAGTGGGCAACCACTGAGTTGTCTAGGAACCAAAGAAGCTGGAGGACCCATAGCCCTCCCCTCTCCCAGAAGGTAGCATCATTTACTTAGATACCAGTTCTAACGATACCACCTCCCTCCCTGGAAGGGAGGAAGAAGGCAGAGCTATCTGAAAGCCCAGCATTTGCCCACGGCTAAACATTCATTAAAGAGGCTGTATAAATGATTAGATGCAACTAGGCTTGAAATTGGTGGGGCTCTAAATTATTCCCCCACTCCAATCAGTCAGTGAACCCTCAGGAAAGAACCCATCATTTTTACAGACAAAACAAAGAGTGTGTCTCCTGTGTGTGCACATTTGAGTCATGTTGAGAATTAAATTTGTGAGCTCACTGTATTTAGAAACTGTTAGAGCATTTTGCTGACGACCATCTATTCTCTGGAGTTTGAAGGACTCCTTTGAGTTGTTCAGGCCTATGCTTCCTGTGTGTCTTCACCTCCATAGCAGAAAGCACTTTCTCTTGCTTTTTCCCACTCTAGGAGTGAGATTGATTTTCAGCATGTATGTTTTATTTGGGCCCCTAAAGGGTAACATTACCCGAGAGGCTCCTTTTGCATGGATGTCGTTGTGCCTCCCTTACGCATGTGTATTGGCTGCATGGGGGATTTGCTCACTCTGGCCTGTGAACAAGACAGCAATGGGTCATTCTCCTCCAAGCAACAGCACAAACTAGACTGAGCATGACGGGTCATTCTCCTTCTTTGGGAACTGGATGTCCTGCCAAGAGCGGAAGAGAGCTCCCCACACACAGGTATCCCACCACACTGTGCCTGGCTCCCTGCCCCCTCCCCTCACCTCTTCCCAAGAACATGTCCACAGTTACCTTGGTGCCAGCAGGGGCCTTGTTCTTCGACACAGCCACGGCGTTCCTCACAGGTTAATGCGATTGTAAACATTGAGTCACTGCCAGAGAGCTTAAATGCTGAAGGAACAGCGAGTGGTGAAAAGATGACCTCACAGCCTGTGGCTGCCAAGTGGAGGCATCAGACATTGCTTCTGGCAGGCAACACGGCAGAGACAAACGGTATAGAGGGGCTTTTGAACAATGATCTCCCCAAGAAAGAGCCACCCTCTCCTGTGTGCCCCAAATGGTTAGGCTGCAGGTGGTGGTCATCATGAAAGCCACAAGGGCCAGATCTCCACCCCAGGCAGGATGACTGCAGGGAGAACTGAATCCCCTCCTTGTCCCCTCTGAGTGTTTATACTTGGAGAGAAATTGCATTTGCTAAGTTGTGTTGCATTGGTGGGTGAGGGTGGGCAGGGAGCAAACTTTTGTAAAATGTACTCAGGGATTTCTTTGAAGTATCCTAAAGGACTGCCTTTAAAAAGATGCATGTGGTAAAACTAAATAAATAAATAAATAAAGAGGTAGTAAAAGATCTTGTCATGGAGTTTGCCTACTACCAGAGGAAGATAAAGCTTAGTGGTGATGTCTCTATTATTGTCTGTACAATTACAAAGCGATTACATTACACACTAGGTGCTCAACCTGTGTTATGATGAGTAGAGGGCAGTAGACAGAAAGGCGAGACAGGGAGTACAAAGGGATTTTTGCCTTCAAGGTGCTCAGAATCTATAATAGTTCCAGAGAAGTAACTAGCTCATAAACAACCAAGTAACATGGTACGGTTCTCATTATCACACAGGCTGAAAACCCAGGAAGTGTTCAAAAAGGATGTGGAGGGATAAGAGCTGGATTTCAAAGAATGGCTGGATGTATGTGTGTGTACATATGTACATGTGTGTACGTGTGTGTCTGTCTGTGTATGCATGGTGTGTAATGCTTTCAGTGTGAACATGGTTAGCTACTTAGGATTGCTGGGGACACTGGCTCTGACCGGCTACAATCTAGCATAAGTGGAAGAAAGTATAATAAACCAAATGTCATAAACAAAGTATAATTTAAAAGCTCTGTTTTTCAAATAAAGTTCTCCAATCAAAGTTTTGAAAGCAGAAATACTTTCTTCCCATAACCTCTAAGTGCTTTGTTTTTATTATTATACTTACCTGGTTTATGATGAAGGGAAGATTTCTGCATTTGGGTCATGTCTTACATATTAGTAACTATAGCTTGGGCTTTTTTTTCCTGCAACCGGACTTAGAAAAAAATAAACAGGGGGAAAATATATACATCTGCTGGTTGGGAGGTTTTTCTCTTTCTTCTCCTTCTTCCTGAGCCCCAGGCTTCTCTCTCTACTCTCTCTTCCTCTGGAGGAGTTAGTGTGCAATTTAAAAAATCATCTGAACTACCTTCCTTTCTTCATTGGCTGGCTTTTCTTCCAGTGTCTCTGATCGCCCTGCCTTTCAGGCCCCAGGCCCCTCCAAGCTGCATGGCTGGGGGTTCCTGGAGTGCTCTACAGCCCAGGATCTATGCACAGTCTTTGTACTTACGCGGAAAAAAAGAAAAAGAATTGAGACCCACTGTCTTATGAGGTAGATGTGGTTAGGGATGGAGATGGGCAGAATCAAGGACCATGCTTTGTGTGTGTGTGTGTGTGTGTGTGTGTGTGTGTGTGTAAATCTCCATTTCCTTTTCTCCCTCATCTCAAATCCAGAATTATTTCTTGCCCTTACTGAACCATATAATCCTAATTTTACAATAAAACTATTTGCCTTAAATAGTTGTCTCTTACTCTAGACTTAATCCCATCCCCAAAGTAGGGGAAAGTAGGGAAAATTGCTTTTCCTGCATAATTTGTAACTAGGAGCACACACACACACACACACACACACACACACACACACTTTTTCAGATGTTTTAATACAGTGAATGCCACTGCCTATTGAGAATTCAGGGAATTTTTTTTATATATCAGTCTAAAAGTAAAGTATTTTATTGGGTGATGAACTTAATTCTTAGGTCCAGCTTCCTTTATTCTCATTACCCTGTTCACTATCTCTTTCTCACTTTTTCCAGAATCATTGACATTGCAAGGAAGTAATGATATGTGGAACCCCCCAAAGAGCATACTCTTTTTTTTTTTTTTTTTTTTTGAGACAGAGTCTTGCTCTGTCACCCAGGCTGGAGTGCAGTGGTGTGATCTCGGCTCACTGCAAGCTCCACCTCCCAGGTTCACACCATTCTCCTGCCTCAGCCTCCCGAGTAGCTAGGACTACAGGTGCCTGCCACCACACACAGCTAATTTTTTTTGTATTTTTAGTAGAGATGGAGTTTCACCATGTTAGCCAGCATGGTCTTAATTTCCTGACCTCGTGATCTGCCTGCCTCTGCCTCCCAAAGTGCTGGGATTACAGGCGTGAGCCACTGCACCTGGCCGTGTACACTCTTATGACTGCAGAAACTCCTTACTTTTTATCTAACATAGAGTAAAATTAACAGAGGCATGAAACTAAGACTTGAAAGTAAAGAGTATTCTAAAAATCAGTGTCTAATTTACTTTATGGATTGGTTTGTCTTTTACGCTCCTCAGTTTTTTTCTTCTTATAGTTGGATTGTGCATGTCAGCTTGTCTCTCCAATACTATCACTTCAGTCATTGCCTAGAGTCTTTTATAGATTGTTGGTGTTGCTATGGGTATTGGTGTTGCTATGGGTATTGGTGTTGCTATTGTTATTAGTGTTGCTATTATTACTATTGTTATTATTATCCATTTAAAGATGAGAAGAACCAAGACTCAAACTTTAATTATTTTTTTACAACTTTTCTCACCTCAAATGGTGTTAAGAGGAAAAATGCCAGTGTAAGACAGAGAAAGAGAAAAAGACTAGATGAAGTCTAAAAAATATGGCAAGTAAATATATCCAGAATTATAGTACAAACACCAGGAATTCTGCTGTTGTGATTTTGCAGTTTGCAAAGTGTGCTGTAGCCCAGGAGCTTCCTGCCAGTGATATTTAGCAGTGACCTTCTCTGCTTGGGGGAAAGAGACAGGGGTCTCCTAGAATTTTACCTGCTGTTAATCCTGGGAAGCATTAACTTGTCTCTAAAAATATTTTATTTTCTATGAAAACTGTTTTGCAATGTTTGCACACACTTTTTATTTAAATTTTTTCTTATGCAGACACACTGGTAACTGATACCAAGTATGGGTAATCTACGGCAAAGAAAGGAGAGACAGGTAACACCAGGAAAGGCACACTGTCTGGAGGGGGCTGGGGCAAACTTTATTTGCTAAAAAGATTTAAAAATGTTTTACATTAGTTTTCAAGCTATCAGAAAATTAAATGCAAATATAGATTTCAATGCATGCTTAATTGTTATATACAAACTTTTATGCGATAAAATGTTTTTCTTCTGAATTAGTTCTGGCAGGATTTGGAGAGCACAGGTTTCTAGCTTGACTTATAGTGAGGGATGTGTAAAAGACAGCAGAGGAGGTAAGGATGTAGGGACAAGAGGCGCCAGATGCAGGGAACACTTCAGTGCCTGAGTAAAGAGATGGGACCTACGGGCTGCCTTTATGGAACATATAACTAAACAGCAGCAGGTCAAGTGTCATCAATAGAGATCCCTATATCAGGGTCCTGTCTATACCACCAAGTCATTTCTGCAGAGTCAGACATCAATGGAACCTTTAGAGATGAAATATTTTAAGTACAAGAACACAATTCACTATTGAAAAGATTCCCTTGATAGAGAAAAGAATCCTTACTAAAACGATACTATCTCATTCAATGTACTGGCCCAAGAGGCTCAGATTTGTGAGTGTATCAGTGGAAGGGCCTTGTAGTCTTGAATAGACTTTCTAGAAACCATAAAACTGAGCTTGTGGGCTGGTGATCCACCATCATAATCAATCCATCAATCTTCATGGTGCCAGCACTGTGCTCTGGGTGTTGAAGTTTCCCCAAATATGCCAGGCATCTGCCTGCCTTAGGACTTGACTCTGACTTTCCTTTCTGCCTGGAACACTCTGCTTCTGGGTATTCACTCCTCACTCCCTTGACCCCCAACTTAAATCTTTTCCCTAGTCTGGTTGACTTGGATTAACTTACTTTAAATTGCAACCATCCTGTGGCCTGCAATCCAGATCCTTCTTACTCTGCTCTACTCCTTCCTCTTCCCAAAGCACTTAACACCCTCTAAAATACGACACACTTTACTCACTTACTATGCTTATTGTTTACTGTTGTCTCTTAGGAATCCGGGCTTTGTTTAGTTGGTTCATTGACATATCCTCAGCATTGGGATCAGTGCCCAGCACATTGTAGATCCTCAATAAATATTTCTGGAGTGGAGGAATCAATGCCTGGTTTCTAGAGTTTCTGCAGTTAACACAAAATCTTTATAATGTTTCATTTTCCAGCTCATCCTTTGGGTGCCACACCCATGATGCTGCATGATGGACGTGTGTTCATGACTTGCAGCTGCTCCCTCATGGGGTAGCATAAAGATGCATAGGACTTAGGGTCCAGTTCCAGCCTTGCCGACTGTGTGGTCTTGGGCCTCAGTTTCCTCATCACTACAATAAATTCCTTAGAGGGTTTCTGAGAGGAAGAATGAGGTGACATAAGTGAAAGTATTTGTACACCATAAAATAGGATACAGCTGTTTTCCTGTTGAGAAATACACAGAACTTTGGGCTGCAGTTTTCACTGTTCATAAAATTTTCTGGCCTGGCTTGCTCATTCACTTCTCAGCTAGTTGTCAGTCATCATTGGAGTGGACCTCCACTGATGATCTGCTATGTGACTAGAACTCTCCTAGGCAATTACACATATTATCTCCTCACTTAACAAATCTACCTTTGTTACCCCACTTTACAGGTGAAAGAGAGAAGACTCATGAATTGTCAAAGCCACCTGGGTAGTGAATGTCAGGGCTGAGACCCAGATCCTCGACTGTCTGACATGATCGTATTCTTTCGTACTGCCTGTTTCACTGCTCTCTCTCCATAGCAACATGTCCCATCCCTCTCCCTACTCCAGTCTCCTACCCAGTCCCCCACTCTCTCACACTCACACACATATGTACATATACACCCTGCCCCATGACCTGGAGCAATGTGTATCTTGAAGAATCAGCAACCCTCAGCACTCAGATCACTGCCCAGCCTCAGCATCTCAGCTCATCTTGTCTTTTGTTTGTTTGTTTGTTTTGTTTTTTCACTTTAACCTCATTAAGGGTCAGCAAAGGATCACTTAAATTTTGAGTTATGCTCTGTCACATATTATGGGGTAAAGGTTGCATCATAATAATATTTTGGAGAGTCTTAGAGACCTCTGGACTATCCCATGTGAATTATGAGGTCATAGTACATATCCTGCAGGCTTTCAACCTTGACCAGAGGTTTTCATAATGAATGCAGCATCCCTGGGGAGTGATCTGAAGCTGGCGAGGCAATGAGAACACCCTGGCAGGGCAGCTGAGCTGGGTGGATCCTTGTTCTGTCACCAAGCCTTTAAGTCATATGCTGACATGTTACAGTCCTGCCTGGGACCCTGCCCACAAATACTTAAGATACACGGTGAGCTCACAGTCTGCTTGTCTGAGGTGGGAGAAATCATCTGTTCCATTCTTAAATTCCTCCTTTCTCTTTCTTTCCCCAGACTTTGGGAATCACCCAACTGATGGAAAGAACCAGGAAAGGGGTCAGGATCTGCACCTTGGCAAACTTTGAAGAACACCCAATTTGATGAATGAAAACTCCTCACTTGTGCTCTGGTGGTGTTTTAGGACAATGGGCCCCTCCTGGGTAATAGTTATTGATGCAGTCTCTATCAGTAACCACCCCAAGTTTGAGATCCTTTACAAGGGAAGGTCATATTTCCAAAACTGAAACCTTGACCAAGTATCCCAGAGAGATAGGAAGGAGATACCACTCAAGTGTGTCATGGGCCTGTCCCAGGGCCTGGGAGTCAGCAGTTGGTGGCCTGGGATCCAAGGGTTAACAGCATGACCTGTTCTGGCTGGCACCAGTCACATGGTGTGCCCAACCTCACTGTTATTATCTGTTTCGGGTGAGTCACTGAGAACACAGACAGGAAAGACCCATGAACTTAGCTAGTTTCGCCCCAGGGTGTGAGACTCCACACAACTGAGTCTGGGCCACTGGCAGTGACTCATGGCGGGCCTCATGGGATTGCTGACGCAAGGTTGGAAGGGCACGTGGTTCTTCCCCCCACCGCTGGGTAGAATCCCCGCCAAAACATCCAGGCTGGAAATCCATCTTGGTCCTTGGGGAGAGAGAAAATAAAAAAGAATCATTTCTGATACTATAGCAAAGTATACAGGTGGATTTGGCAGGTCCAACTGACGAGTCTTCCACATTCTGAAAGAATTGGCTTTCTCACAATGTTAGAGTCTCTAGGAGTACTGGGGAGTGCAAATTCAACTGTTATAACTGGCATATGCAGAGAAAACGGCCCTCCTATCTCTTTTCTATGACTTGTGATGTCTTCCTCCTACTCCTGACCATCCTCTTTGGGCCCCTGGGGGTTCCTGGCTGATTTAGCCTCACCTGAGCTCTTGGTGTCACTAGAGACAATCAGTGTGGCTGTGAGTCCCATTCATTCACTTCCTGACCAGGCTATCACTCTGCCCTGTTCTACCTTTGCTGTTGGAGTTCAGGACAGGCTGCTCCAAAATATGGCCCCTTGGCATTTTAGAAAACAGCAGAAGCAGTAAGGACACTCTCTGACCTCCTCTTGCCCTTCTCCCCTAAAGCAGACTATCAAACCTAGACAGAATTTTCTGACCACCTGAAAGAGACCACAAGATCCTCATTCAAGAGGTGCCTTCAGGCCGGGTGCAGTGGCTCATGCCTGTAATCCCAGCGCTTTGGGAGGCCGAGGTGGGCAGATCATGAGGTCAGGAGATCGAGACCATCCTGGCTAACAAGGTGAAACCCCTGTCTCTACTAAAAACACAAAAAATTAGCCAGGCGTGGTGGCACACACCTGTAGTCCCAGCTACTTGGGAGGCTGAGGCAGGAGAATCACTTGAACCCGGGAGGCAGAGGTTGAAGTGAGCTGAGATCACACCACTGCACTCCAGCCTGGGTGACAGAAAGAGACTCAGTCTCAAAAAAAAAAAAAGGTGCCATCTCTATACCTAGAGGAAAGGAACATCCTTATCCTCAAAGACACAGAGGCCAGGAAGAATCTGAACAAGGAGGTCTTGCTAAGTTCCCCCAAGGTTGTTACCATCAGATCACACCTTTTTGTCCTCCAATCATATTTCTCCATGACTATCCACTCTTCATCAACCCAAGCATAAAAATAAACAAGCTTCTCTCTTTCTTTGGGTCTTCGTTTCCAAAGGCTTCCATCCACATAAAACTTACATTAATACATTTGTATACCTTTCTCTTGTAAATCTGTCTTTCGTAAGGGGCACCTTACCCATGAACCTAGCGATGGATGTGCAAAGAAAAGGAACCTTTCCTCCCCTCCACCGGTGAGCTGGACTCTCAGCCACATTTAGGTCCTGACTCAGGCACACAGGGACCCAGGGAACCTCACGAGAGTTAAATCTCAAGAACTCCCATTCTGCTGCCCACCTGCTATACACAAATGGGGTCTCAAAATGGGGAACAAAGTCAAGAGCCACTATCTGCCCTTGGTGTTTCTTTTATTTATCATCATTTTCTCTTCTTGATGAATTTCTATTGCCATTCATTCAAAAGACCTATTAAGTACCTGCTATTTGACAGGCTTAACTGTGACCTCATCCAGGAAGTTTTCCAAAAACTTCCTGAAATGTCTCTTCCTGCTCTGTCTTTCCAGGGCACTTTATTCCTACCTCCTATTCTGCCTCTCACATATATTGCAGGGATCTGTCACTCCCCTGTTCTGTAGACCTCCCATGTTCCTGCTCGAAAGGAGAAGCAGTCTTATTCAGCTTCTCGCCACCAGCGCTTGACACTCTGAATGTCTGTTGATAAAAAATGAATAACGAAAGGAAACAGAGGCGCAAACTTAAGTATAGAAACTCTTCATACTCAGAGAGGCAGCATGGTTTTGTGGTTCAGGGCACAGGCTCTGAAGTCAGACCGCCTTGGTTTTAATCCTGGCTGTAAGATTTAGCAGGAGTATGAGCCTAGGCAAGTTATTTAACTGCCGTGTGCCTCACCTTCCACATTTGAAAAGCGGCAATAATAAGTACCTGCCTCATAGTGTGCTCGTGTGGATTAAATAAAATAATCTATAGTAAGCATTCAGAATAATGACAGGTATGTAGTAAATGCTCAGTAAATGTAAACTATTACTGTTTGTTCTTCCCCAGTGGATTTGAGTCTTTATGGTGAAATGCGTATGCACTTAGATGAACAAATGGATGGATTTAGGGTGTGATTTGAGTTCCATTTTCAGTTAAAAACAGAGGGGAAAAGTCAATGGATTTTATGCTTTGCCGTCAGACTTCCCCAGGTAGATGGGAGATACATCTAATTTGTATTCTCTTTGCTTTACATGGAATCTAATGCAACAAGAAGGATGAAGGGGCATAGCAAAGTGTAGCTGTGTGTAACAAAGAAAATATAGTTGGAGGGCAAAATTTGTCATCAAAGAAGGAAAAAAGTATGCATTTTTCTTACTGAAAAAAAATGCATAGTTTTTTCGTTGTTTGCTTCAGCAGTACATATGCTAAAATGGGAATGATACAGAGAAGATTAGCATTGGCCCCTGTGCAAGGATGACATGCAAATTAGTGAAGTGTTCCATATTTTAAAAAAATCATGAAGGTAGGATTTGGGACCAGTTCCACAATATGAACTGCTAAAAACCCATAAGATAAATGGTTACTTTTAGGGAGCTGGCAGCAATCCCTGGTCTGAAAACATGTAATTTGAGACAATTTAGTTAATCTTGAATTTGAACAAGCTCCTCAATAAACTCTTTAAAAAGTGTCAAATGAGCTTTCTCTAAGGATTCCCCCAACACTCACCTTTGGTCTGGTAGCTCTCACTGGTGTCTCACCTCTCTGTTCAATGTCACAACTTTGCTAGAAAGTATAGTGGTGCCCCCTTATCCATGGGGAATATATTCTAAGACACCCCAGTGGATGCCTAAAACTGCTGATAGTACCAAACTCTTTATGTGCTATGTGTTTTCCTATACATGTATATATATGATAAAGTTTAGTTTATAAATTAGGTGTACTAAGAGATTAACAACAATAAACTAGAATAGTTGTAACAATATACTGCAATAAAAGCTATGGAAATGTGGTCTTTCTCTCTCTTTCAAAATATCTTGTTGTACTGTTCTGCAGGGTAGTTAAAACTGCAGAAATCAAAACTGTGGATAAGGAAGGACTACTGTAGTCACAGACTCTTCCAGAAACAGTCAGATGAAGTCTTGAAAAAGTGCCCATGAACATGGGAACCACTTGTAGCAGATCATGGAGACCACAGAAAGTTAAAACACACAAAATGCTGCCTCCAGTTCCCAGAGCACTGAAAAGAAGAGTCTCACGCTAGGTTGGGGAGTTAGGGAAAACGTGCTAAGCAAAATGAGGCAGAAAAACACACACACACACACACACACACACACACACACACACAAACACACACACACGGGAAGGTGACCAAAAGTGCAGGGCAGCATGAGGGGAATTTGGAGCACACCAGGGAAGTGAAGTACAGACTTGCTCACACTCCTGCAACTCCCTCACCCTCTTTTCCTGGATCTCTGGCTTTCCCTGGATTTCCCGTAATAGGATCTTCCATTTTCACCTCTTCTTTTACTCCCCTTCACCCTCTGTCTCATTTACTTATGAACTGAAACTGGCCTTCATCGGCTGGAGACAAGAAAGATGTTTAGCCCAGTGGTTCTCAAGGTTTGCTGTGGGGGAGTCAGAGGCTGGGCAGTCTCCATTTGTCCTGCAGAGCCACTCACGGTCCTTCTCACCATGCCCCATGCCCTAGGGGGCTGCCTCCTGTGTAGCAAAACTACAGGCTCTCTTGCCTCTGGCTTCTGGTTTGCAGAAGATTGGCAAAGTGAGGTTGGTGTCCTTATACCCCTATTGGGCCATCAAGCACTGGCTGAGTCCCTCCATGGCAAAATTCCAAGCACATCCTATCTTATGGCCCTTCCCACAGTCCCTCTGCTCCAGATTCCAGTAACCCATTTGCCGCGCGTGCCCCTGCATAGCTGCACCTAGGCTGTTAACAGCGCACAGCACTTGTGACTTCTCCTTACCCCGACTACCTCTCTGAAATGGTCCCTTTATTAAACCCTCCTAAAATTATCCTAATTTGAGTGTGTCATCAGTTTCCTTCAGGGGCACTGACACAACAGGGAGCTTGTCTAAACTTCAGATTCCTGGGTATTGACTGCAGAAATTCTGAATAAATAGGAGGTCCTGAGGGGATCTACATTTTTAGCAGGTGCCTAATTCTGATGCTGGTGGTCCAGGGATGATTTTGAGAGAGATTTGCCTACACCTTAACTGTTACAGTGGACACAGTTCAGATTGAGTCAAATAGTGAGAATAACGCAGCCCTCATAGTTCCCATTGTTCCATTGTCTCTCCTGAGAAGTCCACATTTCTGGGTGGGATCATTGTGAGCCAAGTTGGGAAAGGCAGGGAGATTTCTGAACCAAGCCCTGGAATCTGTGGGAGGGCTCTGGTAGCCAGAAAAGTAGAATTACAGAGCATCAGAGTATGTGACATAGAGTTTCTCAACACCTCATCGATTTATGCTGGCACAGTTTACCTATAGCCGAGGGCCCCTGAAGTTTATTTGTATTGATTGCAACATCACTCACAGAATGGGGAGATGTAATAGATGGCATATGCTCGAACATGAAGTTGAAGAGTGGGATCTATGCAAGCCAGCCATGCATGCCACTGGTCTCCCCAATGGTTGTTACTAACACAGTGTGAAAAGGAGGCACTTGGCCAAAGAGAAAAGAATCAGAAAATGAACTGGTGTTAGGGAAACAACAAGCACCAATCAGGCATGCAGAGAAAACCCAAAACCTACTTGCATCTTGAAGTCCTATGGACAGAAGCCTGTCCTGTTTTGCAAGTATCAGGTGTATTCCTGGAAGATGACTATTTCAGGTATTTGGAGTAATACTTGTTTAGGTAACAGGGCAGACAGCAGAGGTGGTTGAAGAAGAACAATGCCTCTTCTGGGAACTGCAACCTCCTGCTGTTTGTCTGTTTCCCTTCTTAGCATAGTAACTCAGAAGGTAGAGGGGCCAGCTCAGATTCTCCTTCACAAGGACATGCTGTAGATGTCAGGCCCCACCACTAGTGCCTGCCTTGAAGGTCTTCAAGCAAGAATCTGGTCATAGACATCCCCTTAAAGAAAATCTAATTTAAATCCTCTGCTATTGCTAAATGATGTGCCAGAAGAGATTACCCAAATAAACTAATTTGCAATGACTTGAATGAAGTACACGTTCCCCTGGCATTCTGCTTCCCACCATAGCACGCCTAGGTGTGATATGCTATTAATCCCTTGGTAGCTCTAGAAGAAGAAGATGGGCTGTAGTATCTAAACCCTGGATTCAAATCTTGGCTCTGTCACCTGCTTTGGAAGGGTTATTTAACTATTCTGATTATTTGTTTCTTAACAAAACTGAAAAAGTCTGGGAACCTCATAAGAAGATGAAATATTTCATCGTATTGATGTATCTAATCATAACACAGCAGCTGTTATAAAGGTGTCAAATGAGAGTGGTCATTCTTCTTACTCTTCTAGATGCTCCAGTGAAGCCCCATATCACCTTTTTCCTTCCTGTTTGCCATAGCTCCAGGTAAGAGACACTGTAGTCAAAATGACAATTTTGATTTCAATCTTGAAATGTGCAGCCTAAATATAAAGCTCATCTATTTGGTTTGAGGTTCAGAGACCTGAGCAATTCATTCTGAGAGATCCAGGTTCTAAAGTAACTTGATCCCTGCACAGGAAACAGTCTCAACAATGACCTTGTCATCTCCCATTCATTCTAATTTCCTGGGCACCAAAGACTTCTACTACCTCAGTGGAGAGTCAGATCAGAAGCTATAGACTCCATCCACTAAAACTCAATGGCCCTCTCCCAGCCTGCCCCCTGTCTCAGGTGAATCCAGGCAGCCTGTGAGAAGATGAAACTCCCCTGCATGAATTTTTTTGGTGAGAAGTTTTAAAATCACTAATTCAATCTATTTACTTGGGTGTTGTGCCATGTGTAACACTTAGAATCATCCCTGGTGCTCTCCTCTTATGTATTTCCTGCATGAATATGAAAACATCCTGAATCTACTGAACTTAATCCCTCAAACCTGCCATTTCACCAATGACCTACCCTAAATCACTAGCTGGGCCCATTTGACACTCATGAGCCTAGATTATTTTTCACCTAACTCTACTAGCAAAGAACTTGTGTCCTGTGACTAGCTATTGGCATTGACATTCCTCCATCCATCCATAGTAATATACATATTATTGGGTTCACTAACACTACATGTTAGTGCCCTCTTAAATCTGGAAGTACTTGGGTGAGTATGAGGAAATTTGGTCTATTGAAAGAAGCATTGAAGTGTTGGATTGAGGATTAAGCACTTGACCTTGGTAGCCTATATCTGTCCCCAAATAGCCAGTGTCCCTGTGGAAGGTAGACTCCATCCAACTCCAAACCAAGCCCCTGGAAATGCATCCCTTGTTCTTATTGGTGGTAACAGGCACCTCCTTGAACCTCTCCCCAGCCTGGCCTCTCAAAGCACCAAACAAACCTGAAATTGTCTCAGGGGAGCCCCTGTCTCTCTGACACCAGGGTATTAAGAAATTGGACAGAAGCCCCACTAAGCAGAGTCAAATGTAACTCTCAGCCTAAACCTGATAGTCTCTTTCTTCCCACCCAGATACAAGGTACCTTGACAACAATCCTTTAAAAATCAAATAAAGTCCCCCTTGTTCTGTGTTGATTTTTAAATTTTCACAGATTTCTCCTTTTGCTAAAGCCAAATGTAGCTGCACAACTGCTTTTACGTTCTTTGCAAAAAAGCTATTATATTAAAAAGAAAATGAGAACGCTAGGCTGTGCTGCCCAGTGGCTCCTAATGCCTGCATTACACAGACAGAAA
The DNA here is from genome assembly GCF_000001405.40 of Homo sapiens. Taxonomy (NCBI): domain Eukaryota; kingdom Metazoa; phylum Chordata; class Mammalia; order Primates; family Hominidae; genus Homo; species Homo sapiens. The sequence goes on along the minus strand of NC_000001.11, from coordinate 221,832,982 downwards.
ACTGGGATTGGATCCTGCCCATTTTTCCTAAGGGGATGATGGTATAGAATCTGTTTAGTCAAGAGCAGAGGGTAAGAGAGGATAACATTTTTCTCCAAACAAAGGAAGGGCATGTATCCGCCAAAGGTTCCTGCAGCCAGGCCTAGGAATATCACCAGTGACCTGGCTTGCTTCCAGTGGGCCTGTTTGGTTTTGTCCTAGCATAGAACATAAACAGCATCCCATAGTCTAGGACAGCCAGAGGCTAAAGTGCCTGAGAGATTCTCAACCCTTTCTGTAACTATACATTTATTTTAAGTTCACTCCATGGACCTCCTCTAAACCCATAATTTTAACCTGAGTATCTTTTCTACTCGTTTTGTAGGTTTATATGTCACTGCTGTTTTATGCTACAAAGTTAATTTTCCTTTAATTCTCTTTATGTCATGATGAATTACTTACATTTAGGATCACTGTGTTTTTCTTTCTTTAGACAGAGACAGAGCACCTTAAGTAGTTATTCATAACATTGGGACCAAACTTTGGTAGTTTTCCTTTCTGACATCACAACTTGGTTCAGATTAACAAAGCAGTGGTCCCTGCCTCAGAAAGATGATTAAATTCCCAATGACAGCAAAGTTCACACAAAGCAGGTCTAACAAGAAGCCACAGTGTCTAGCGGCAGCCTGCAGTTATATGTGACAGGAAGCAAGGAGAGGGCTGGAAACTCCAGCTGGAGCAGTGCCTGACATGCCTTTACAGCCAGAAGTCTTTCATGTTTATTGATGCTAAGGAAACAATTATAATTAGTTATGGCTAACTAGGCAACATGAAATACCTTTCCATTTATTCTTAATTCTGTTTCTGCTCTTACTACCACCACCACTACCATTGATAGAAACTCTATGGAAAGAGGAAGAAGGGAGAGTCTGTGGGTAGAGGGAGGGATGGAGGATATTGGGCAGGTTGGAGCTAATGAAGGTAGTCTGAGGAACATCACACTATCAACAGTCTGTTCAGAAGGGAAAGTGATGACAACAGTGAGGACCTTTGTGGAGTGCTTGCTCTATGCTGGGCCCTGTTGTAGGTTCATTACCTGTATTATTTCACTAAATCTTCACTACAACACTATCAGGTAGGAACCATTATGATCCCTTAGAGTAAATGGATTGCTGCCACATTGCATGTAAAAGGGTGATGTTACATATACAAAGTAATATTGCATACAGATTGAAATCACATGTAAATTAAGATTGATATTGCATGTATGCAGATCATAGGTAGAAGGATGCATTGGAATCAAGGCCGTTTGTCAAGATGGCAGCACTCATTGGAAACTCTTCTTTCCTAGGGGTTACTATTTAAACCAGTGGCCTAGTTTAGAAAGTAACTTTGTGCCTCTTGGAAAAGGAGTTGGGAACAAAAGGAACTAGTTGCTCGTAGGAAAAAAGCAAACACAGAGAGGTTCTGAGATCTGCCCAGAAGGGGATCTGAAATCAAGACTAAGTGTGTAGTCCTTCACGAAGCAGCAGGCAAGGCTCATCTTAGGAGGAAGAAGAGGAAGCCATCATCTATGTGTCACAGGTGCTGAGGTGTAGGAGACCCCAACCCTCCAATCATCTTCCCTATTTAATTTGCTAATAATGCGTCAACATAGTAGACCCTGGCACACATTAGGAACTCAATAAATGTTACTTTTCTTATTTATTGGGTAAGATCCAAGTGCTTTATCCGTGAAGTACACCTTTCTGTAAATTTAGTTATACTGTCCATTCTCAAGAATTGATTTTAGGGCTGGGCACGGTGGCTCATGCCTCTAATAACAGCATTTTGGGAAGCCAAGGCTAGGAGTTTGGGACCAGCCTGGGCAACATAGTGAGACCTCATCTCTAAAAATGTTTAAAAAGTAGCTGGGCGTGGTGGTGGGTGCCCATAGTCCTAGCTACTAGGGAGGCTGAGATGGGAGGATCCCTTGAGCCCAAGAGCTTGAGGCTGCAGTGAGTTATAATTGCAAAACTGCACTGCAGCCTGAGTGACAGAACAAGACTCCAACTCACACACACACAACAAAGTTTTTGCTAAACAGAAGAGAGATTTTGGGGATATCTGGCAATAAAAGGAGAAAATACTCCAGGGGAGATGGATATGGGAAGGACAGAGTGGGACACCTAAGAGAAGCCCCACATGATTTTCCCAATATTGCCTGGGCAGCCCTAGGAGCTGAGGGATGGGACAAGGAGATACCAGCAGCCTGCAGAAAGCTGCAGAGCTGAACTTGCACACACACCATCCACGGACACCTGAATGCAGCCCATGTTTATGCCATAGCATGTGCTCTCTCTTATAAGCCTCATGCACCCGCTATGTTCCTTTAGCAGGAAAGCCATAGATTATTTTTCCAGTGAGTGGCCATTTGGAGGGAGATGTGCAGGTATTCGGTTTACAACCTCTCCCTGCTTGTTGCACAGCATAGGAAGGTGTGGAATGTATGATGGCACAAATAGTAGAACCTCCTCAAAATACTCTGAAACCTTCATCCTTTGCAAACCCAGAGGCTCCTTCCATCCTCCACTATTCTCTTTCAAAAGTCAATTATTTTAATCATAGCAAAGCTTTCTTGACCCCATATGTGTCCCAACAACCAAATGACAGTCTCAACAACATTTACCTGTTAGCTATGGATTCTAGTCTAAAAGGACTCATGTTGCTTTCATCTTCCTAGATCCAGTGCCTGGCACAGTGAAATAATTCAAAAATGTTTGTTGAACCCTTCGGTGATTTTACTATGTGCAGAAATGTATATCAAAATATTCATTGAAACATCTCAGCCCTGGATCTAAGAGTGGGTTAGGTGTAGGAAGAAAGGGTAGTGTACCAAAAAAAAAAAAGTAATATATGGTTTCTGTCTTCTAGAAGTTAAAAGCACATATTCAAAAGACAGGTAAGTAGCAACAGGCATGGTATGGTTAAACACTAAAATTAGTCATTTACATATTATCTGTTTTTCTCATACCCTCACTGTGCATTAGAAGCTTTGTAAAAACTACAGATGCCTGCAGTTCACACACAGAGATTCTGATTAGGTCTGTCTAGTCAGAGTCTACATTTTTAAACAGTCCACAGGCGATTCACATGCGTATCCAGGATATGAATCACTGTAACAAGTGCTAGAGAACAGAATTAAAACAGCTACCAGCAAGAACCAGAGTGGGGGGAGGAGTCTCACGGCACGATTGGAACCTCTTTTGAACCCTGAATCATACAGAGAATTTGGATTGTAGGGATGGAGAGGGGAGAGCCTTCTGGTTGGGAGGAAGAATTGAAGACATTGTGAACAAAGGAGGTTGAAAATTAGGGAGAATTAGGGAGCTATTGTTTAAAGGATACTGAATTCCAGATAGGAGGAATAAGTTTAAGAGATCTATTGTACAACATGGTGGCTAACCACAATGTATTGTGTACTTGAAAATTACTGAGTAGGTTTTAAGTGTTTTTGCCACAGGAAATGATGTGTGTGAGGTAAAATGTATGTTAATTAGCTTCATTTCCCCGTTCTATAATGTATATATGTTGTACCCCATACATGTATATTGTTTTTTATTTGTCAATGAAAAAAGCAAATTAAAAATGCCAATGTTAATTTAAAAAAAAGAGTTGAAAGTCAAATGGATACCTATTTGCTTAGTGGCAACCACATCTCAGAGTAAGGTGCAGAGGTGCCCATGTGAAGATGGGCACTGGTTGAGGTAGCACCACCTGCCTACCTGATGGCAGAAAGAATATCCTTAATGACCAAAGGAAGGCCACAGAGGGAAGGTAGGCTTTGGCCATGTGAAACCAAAGAAAATGGCTGAGGTGACTCAATCAATCTAGAGATTTATTCTGCCAAGGTTGAGGACGCACCCAGGAAAAAGGAACACCTGTGATTTGTGCTTTTTCCAAAGAGGGTTTGGGGTCTTCAACGTTTAAAGGGGAAAGAGTAAGCAGTTGGGGAAAGAGGAAAGAAAAAATAAAAAGGGAAGAATACATAAAAGAGGCAAGCAATGGCATTCTTTTGAAGCTAGATCCGTGTTCACTGAATCCACATTTTAAATGTGAAAAGAGGGGACAGAGGAATAGTCAACTATGCATTGGCTCCAGCTCAATGAATCTGCATTTTTAGGTAAAATAAAGTAAACATAGAGTAAAGGAAGCATTCAAATATGTATTTGTCTCAGGTGAGCAGAGGGATGACTTCTAATCCTGTCTTTGTTCTGTACCTATGAAGATAAGCTGTTGATTTACATTATCAGGGTGAAATTCAACAGAACTCTGTTTTAGGGTAAAGATCTTGGGGTGCACAGAGAATTTTCTTGTGAGTGAATTGTGAGGGAGGGCCCCTGGGGAGGCCTGTAACCTTCTACCTTTGTAGCTATCTATTTAGGAACAAAATGAAAGGCAGTTTTGGGTGACTCAAGCTTTTTTTTTCCCCTTTGGCATAGTGAGTTTGGGGTCCTGAAATTTTATCTTCTTTTCACAGCCATAGCCTGGGAAGTAGGACCCCTTTCTTTGTACCTGCAAAACAGCTGTGGATGGCTACAAAAATGGTCTTGAAAAAATGTTGAGATAGACAAAGAAACACATGCATTCCCAATCACAGATTTCATTATTAACTCTATCTCAAGAAAGGTGCTTGAGTTTGAGGTCCCACATTCTTGGAATGGTGACTACTGGGAGCTTCACCTTAAGGGTTGAGGATGTGTTTCCTTGGCTTCCCTCAATTCCCAGATTATCAAGTTTCTTTCTTTCAGTGACTCAGTGACAAAAGTCTTTTGCCTTTCTACTTCCTTTCTAGGGAGTAATAAAGAAGAGGGGTATGAGTGGGACTCAGGGATAAATGGAGGTAGAGAGGAGGTTCAAGAGATGAACCAAAAACATCTTAAATAAAAAATGCTCCCAGCAGAGGGTCAGGGGTGGATGTGCCTGATTCTGAATGCAAGTCAAATATGCATTTGTCTCAGGTGAGCAGAGGGATGACTTCTATCTCTGTCTTTGTTCTGCACCTATGAAGATAAACTGTTGAATATAAGATGTTCCTACCTGTTCTAGGGCAAGACAAGATAGTTAAAAAAAAAAAAAAAGAGGTGATGGTAGATGCTACCCCAAATGGAAAGGTGAGGGGTTATTGATGGCACACACCAAATTTAGTAAGCTCACTTATGACACCCAGTAAGGACTGTTTCATTGCATGAAGCACTTTTTGTGCAGGTGTAGGGACAGATCAGAAGATTCTGGAAAAGGCAGATCACCAAAGAACTCAAGATGTACTGATATTTTGCCAGTTTCCTTCATCAACAACTTGTCTTCTTTACCAACTAAGGGCAAACAAAGAGAACAAACTAAAAAAAAAAAAAAAAGAAAAGAAAAGAATTAAATAATTAAACAAAGAACTTAAATAAGAAGGTAAGACCCCCCCCCCAAATCTCCCAAGATAGTGAGAAATGTATTTGCGTCATGTCTGCCTAACAATGAGCTATTATTAGGATGGTAGAAAATAGCAGCAAGTAAGGACTACAGATTTCACCCAGAGGCAGAGCAGACAAAAGAGACAACAGTTTCCTGGGAAAGGAAGATGATTCCAGTTTAATTCATCCAACAAAACTCTTCCAAGAATGAGACCAGAAACCCTAACTGCATCTTGGAGGGAGCTGGAGGCTTTCCCATCACAATGAGGCCAACTGCTACCATGGGTGCCAGTGCCAGAGCCACTGTCTGCAGGCACTATCATGTCTGTGTGGGCCAAGGAGCAATCTAAATTAAGATGATCATCTAGGTCCTCAGGCCCTCAGGGTGAGTACATATTGCAGCAGTTTCAGCCTGTTTCATGCCCTCCATCTGCAGATCTACAATGTCTATAGCCAGATTCACTGACCCCCAACCCCTCAACTTCAGATCTCAATCCCCAGAACAATGTGGGCTTAAGACAGGAAATATTGAAGCGGGTTTAGCACTTCCTCCTCCTCCCCCAACAGCAGTGGCATCCTGGTGTTGAGTCATTCTCCAGATTAGGTTGAACCAGCTGACCACTGGGCTCCCTGTGTGTCACCTGAGTCACCCTCACTCTTGATTTGGCCTAGGGGTCCTCAGTGGGCTTCCGCCCCCACCCCTGGGTTGCAACTCTCTAGTCGAATAACATTCCCACTGTAATTACAAAACTCCTATACCCAAACTTCTTCCTGGGAAACACTGAAGAGTGTTGCACTTTTCCTTCTTTCTTTCTCTCTTTCTTCCTTCCTCCCTCCCTCCCTCTCTTTTCTTTCTTTCTTTCTTTCTTTCTTTCTTTCTTTCTTTCTTTCTTTCTTTCTTTCTTTCTTTCTTTCTTTCCTTCTTTCTTTCTTTCTCTTTCTTTCTCTCTCTCTCTTTCTTTCTTTTCCTTTTTCCTTCCTTCCTTCCTTCTTTCTTTCTTTCTTCCTTTCTTTCTTTCTTTCTTTCTTTTCTTTCTTTCTCTTTCTTTCTTCTTTCTTTCTTTCCTTCAAAATGGAGTTTCACTCTGTCACCCAGGCTTGAGTGCAATGGCGCCATCTCGGCTCACTGCAACCTCTGCCTCCCAGGTTGAAGCGATTCTCCTGCCTCAGCCTCCTGAGTAGCTGGGATTACAGACGTGCACCACCATGCTCAGCTAATTTTTGTATTTTTAGTAGAGACAGGGTTTCACCATGTTGGTCAGTCTGGTCTCGAACTCTTGACCTCGTGATCCACCCACCTCGGCCTCCCAAAGTGCTGGGATTACAGGCATGAGCCACCGCGCCCAGCCATGAGTTGCACTTTTCGACCTTGGTTCTCATCTCATCCTTGGTTCAACCATCTTGTCTTGCTCTTGATTTTCCTGAAATGGGAGAGTTCCCTGACCCCCCTCACAGAACATGCAACAGGGGTGTGGCTTGTCTGTTCAGCTGCCTTACCTCCCTTATAGGAGTGGGAGCATGCAGACGGGCAGGTGCAAGAGCCAGGACAAGCACTTTTGGGCTCAGGCTCCATGGTAGCATCTAGGGGTGGGTGCCTGCAACTCCCAAAGCCCAGGTGGGTGTGTTACAGTGCTCTTTTAGCTCTGCTGTCTGCAGATGGCTTAAGTGTTAACCAGCTCAGTGCCCTCTTGGTACCTGAGTCCTTGTTCAGTATCCAGGACGAATTAGGTCACATGGACGAATTGAAGGTTGGCAAATGCAGGGGACTTTGTTGTCAGATGGAGATGGCTCTCAGCTGGAGGGATGGGGAGCTGAAGAGGGGATGAAGTAGGAAGAATGATCTTCACCTGGAGTTTGGCTGTCCTGCAGCCAGTCTCCTCTCCAACCATCCCCAGATGAACTCCTCTTGATGTTCAGATATTCCTTCTTTTCTCTCCTTCTCTGCCAGGCCCACTTTTCTGCCTCTGCTCATCTACTTGTGGAGCATGGGATTTGGGGTTTATATGGGTATGAGATAGTGGGGCATGGTGGGCCAGAAGGCAACATTTGGGTGCAAAAAGAGAAATGCCTGTTTCTATTTAGGGCCATGGGTTTCCAGGCTTGAGGGTGGGGCCTTTGCCAGGGAACTGCCTTCTTCTACCCAGTATTTCCCTGTCTCTTGTCCATATCAGTACCTCTCTCCTTATCTGAGGTTAAGATCAGGGGAGTCTTTAGCTCTGTATCTTAGTTTAGTGTTGGGGTCTGGATTTCTGGGGAACAAATCTGCCAGAGGCTGGCACCCTGCCCTGAATTCCAAAAATTACCTGCCCCCAATTTTCAGTGGGCCCTGCTCATGTTTTGGCATAATTTGCAATTCCACTTGGAGCACCTGGTGCCAGCTACTTAGCTGAATCGCTATGTGGAAGGCTGAACTCCTTGCACCTGTGCCTTCTCCAACCTCTCCTGTTAGCTTGGCCTGTCCCACTCTGAAGGGCATGTCTAGTGCCAAGTCTCAGTCCCTTTCCTGCCTACACTGTCCTGCTCCCAACAAACCTCCACACCTCCTGATAAATCCTGGCACAAGAGAAGAATGTATGGGAAAGTGTCAGCCTCAGAACTTCTTGGGAATTGAGAGTGAGGGAGTTGCTGGGGAGGAGGGCTGGTCCCAGATCCTAATGCCCACCTTGCTTCTCCTTGAGGATTCTGGTTGATAAAAGATACACATATTGTTAAATGAGGATTGCAACATTAGTTCTGTTTGACTTTCTGTAACAATTAGAAGACTAGAGAATATAGCTGGGTTTCTGACCTCCCACTCAGAATTATAGAGAGCCAAGTCTTCCCTACAAGGTGGACTTATCCACCCAGTCCCAGGCTGAGAAGCTGGAGATCAGTCCTCCCTGCTCTGAGGTGGTCCCACCAAGGGGTTGACCCACAGAGACTGACCCATTGCTCTGAAATAAAGGCTAGTTCAAGAAGAATCAGGAAATGGGGGAGCATGTAGGAGAAGTGAGTGACCTTGAGTTTTTACCCTGCCCAGTAGAGGAATAGCCAGTGTGTCTGATAACCAAAGTCATTCTTCTCTCTTTGGAGTGGGAAAGGTATAGGAATGAGGTAGGTCCTGAAAATTCCCACTCCATCCCTTCCCCCAAATGAAGAAGGTGTTGATGGAAGCACCTTCCTTTCTGAGTTGTGGAGGAGATGATTCAGCTGAGCCAAATGACATGTGAACAATAGAAACAGTTCTACCTCCCATGAACTGTTGGCTTGCTGTCTTCTTCATGAGTCAGTTTTAGCAGAGTGTGGCCAAGAAAATCCCCATGATGGAGACTGGGTAAACAGTCAACCTCTGTGGGTCACCTCCCTTCCATCCTCTACTCAGTGCAAGTCAAAGCTGCCCATCACTGGGCACTGGGCAGTCAGGGGACTCCTGATGACTGACTCAGAGCAGAGTGACGTAGTGACAATCAGGCACAGAAAATCAAGTTCCACAGAAGCCTGACAAATGAGCGCTTTTCTCTGCTCTCAAATCCTTTTCAGTGAGGAAGCTTTCTCCAGCATTCAGGTGGCACCTAATGCTCCATCCTGAGACCACAGAGATAACTAAGATGTGCCAAAGTTTTTGAGGAGAAGGTGACATCGATGCTCTGTATCTCAGTTCAGAGGCTAACTGTATGTGTCACAAGTAGCATCTGTGGATAAGTGGTGGAGAACTTGGGAAAAGACAAACATCTTGGGAAAAGAAAACCCTTCCCTTGCAGCCACACACCAGAGACTATTCACAAGAGTCATCTTCAGTAGTGGGCAATTTCTCACACATCTGCACAGTTTATGGCTAACCTTGGAAATAAGCAACTAGGCTGGCTGAGTTCCAGTTCAAGAGCAATCAGGTAGGGCATGCAGCCTCAAAGACAATTTCCTTTATGATCCTTGTCTTGATTCTTGATGAAATGGGAACTTTAAAAAAGCTACTATAGGTGTAAGGAGATCTGACTTCATTTTTTACCTTTGAGAAGTTATTTCCTGTAATCATCCAAAGCTTGCCTGGTATCTCTCATTCCTGGATGCCAGTTTCAGCTTTATGCAGTGGAGTGCTTCTTTCTACTTTCTGCCTCCTTCCTATGGTGTAGTCTTCAAAATGAATCTCTGCTCTTCAGTGGTTTCTCTCGTCCCGTGGTTCTCACTCAAAGCGTGGTCCCTGGACCAGCAGCATCAGCATCACCTGAAAGTTTGCTAGAAATGCAAATTCTCAAGCCAACCCAAGACCTACTGAATCAGAAACTCTCGGGGTAGAGTTCAATAATCTGTGTTAACAAGCCCTCCAGGGGGATTCCAATGCATGCTAAATTTGAAAGCCACTCTTCTGGGGCAAATGATCCTTTTGATTAACTCCTACCACTGATATGCTGGGCCAGAGACCAAATGATGATCCAATTCTGTTAAATATTTAATCAATAAACAATTAATATTTAAGTTATTTTTGGAGGCTGCTCTGATCACTGGAATCCATGGCTAAAGCCAAGTTGTCTGAAAACTTATTTGTCACAAGCCCTCACAGTTACATTTTATCTTCTTCATGTACTCTAGATTCTATAAAGTAATTTGGTATCCTTGGCATAGTTTTCTTTGTCAAATAACTCTCTGCTGCTATAATAAGATCTACTGAGAGAGGCATCAAATGCTTTGTTAACGATCTATTCCATTCACACTAATGAAACCTCCATTGTCCACCAAAATTGGAATGGTGTCAAAGAGTCATCAAGTTTTCCTGAAAGGTTTTTTTGTTCCCCTTACGTGCCACCCAGGGCTTACCTATTTATACCCTATGAGCTCAGTTTGATTAGCTTTCAATGCGTTGTCTCACAAGTGATATTAGATGAATGAAAGGGTTGTTTCCTTTAGGCTCCATCATCAATGAGTTTCTTCCTGTGTTAGAGACCTCAAGTAACTTTAATGTGTCTTCAGGCAAAAGATGTCAGGAAAAACCTGGCAGGAAGGGGAAAACTGTGACTTGTCCCACACTTTTGTGTATCTTCCTACCTATACCTTCTGGTTCCTGACTTGGCTTGACTTGGAATTGCACTCCTTTTCCAAATGAAAACTGGTTATTAAAGCCCTTTTGCATGAATTTCTGTTAGCAGCCCACTTCCCAGGGTTGTCTCTCTCTCTCTGCCTCCAAATCTCAGATAAAATCTGATACCATACTCACCTCATGATTCTATTTCAGCCAAATTTGATTATTCTGGCTTAGCTTTCTCAAACTTCAGTGTATATCTGAATCAACTGGAGGCCTTGCTACTACACAGATTGCTGGGCTCCACTCCCAGAGTTTCTAATTCAGTAGATGTTAGATGGGCCCAAGAATTTGCATTTCTAAAAAGTTCACAGGTCAGGCTAATGCTGCTGGTCCAAGGACCACAATTTGAGAACCCCTGCTGTACACTGGCACACGGCAATACCTGCATTCTTTCTGATTATTGCAGTCCTGATGCCCTTCCGTTCTTATTGCAGTGTTTCATGTCTTCCTCTGTTTCATTCATTCCCTTTAGAGCATCGTATTTCTTGCAGGTTGCCAGGCAACTGTGATCTATTGCTTGGGCAAGAAAAGGTAATACAAACCTCACCATTTTCCCATAACTTTTATTTGGTACAGTGGAGTGACCTGGCTCCAGGAAAACAACTTACTTCTTTGCTAAAAGTAAAGTCCTTGGAGGGTGTTAAAGCCACACAGTATCTTTTAGAAACTTAATGTAACCCATGGTATTTACTGATAGACACCCAGACATATGTAATAGGATTATAGATCAGCCTCGTTTAAGATAAAGTTTGCTGGGGGAGATCAAAATTACTCCCTGTGGGACCTAAATTAGGTACAAAGCAATTAACTTTAAGCAACCAAAAAATTGGTTCTATAAAAATTCCATTTCAAATCAGCTCTAAACTACAAGCTCATTACCAGGTACCTTCACTACATAAGAGACAAACAAGTCTCTGGAGATGGAAAATGCGAACTAAATTTTGAGACACCTCATTGAATATAAAAATTGATGAAGTCTTAGATCTAATCTCTTATAAGGGTCAGCTATTTCTACAGACTTTCTGACCTTTCGAATCACTTCCACACCCAGAAAGACAAATCTTCTCATTCCTGAAAACAGATACGTTTATGTTTCAATTCCATTGATGGTTCAGTTGGTGCAATATTAAATACACTTGATTTCATTCCATTTCTTTTTGAGTGTGAGAATTTTAAACAACTTTTATTGAGAGCCAACACATCAGCTCAATAGACCTTTATTTTCACAATGTGTTTCTTTGCTTGGCATATGGTAAGAACTTTATAAGTGTTTGTCAATTAAACATTAATAGATAATTAATTGTTGAATGAATAAATTAATGAAAGTTGTTGACTTAATATATGATTATGAAATTAATGTAAGTGCTTTAAAAATTAGAAAATACAGAAAAATAAAAAGAAATAAAATAGTCATCCATAATCTCACAACCTGAAGCTAACTACTATTAATTTTTGAAACATTTTTCCCATCACATATGCCTATGTGTGTATGTAGGTATATATAATTATTACCATATTGTATATAAAATGTGACATTTTGTGAAATTTACTTTTATACTAGAAATTTGTAGCAACATAGATGGAGCTGGAGGCCATTACTCTAAGAGACTTAATACAAGAACAGAAAACCAAATACTGCATGTTCTCACTTATAAGTGAAAGCTAAACATTGAGTGCACATGAACATAAAGAAGGGAACAACAGACACTGGGAATGGGACCGTTAGTTGGGGGAGGGAGGAAGGGGGTCATAGACTGGAGAACCACCTATGGTTACTATGCTTACTACCGGGGTAATGGGATAGTCGAGACCCCAAGCCTCACCATCATGCTATTTATCCATGTAACAAACCTGCATGGATATCCTTTAATCTACAATAAAAATGGAAAAAATTTTTAAGTCACATTTTGTTAATTTACTTTTTTTTTTTTTTTTTTTTTTTGAGGCAGAGATTTGCTATTGTTGCCCAGACTGGAGTGCAATGGCACAATCTTGGGTCACTGCAACCTTTGCCTCCTGGGTTCAAGCAATTCTCCTGCCTCAGCCTCCCAAGTAGCTGGGATTACAGGTGCCCACTACCATGCCCAGCTAATTTTTGTATTTTTAGTAGAGATGGGGCTTCACCATGATGACCAGGCTGGTCTCAAACTCTTGACCTCAGGCGATCCACCCACCTCGGCCTCCCAAAGTGCTGGGATTACAGGCGTGAGCCACCATGCCCAGCCTTGTTAATTTACTTTGATAATGAAAATTTCCTGAAATCATTAGCAATTCACTGAAAACATCATTTTGATGGTCATGTAATATTCCAGTGAATGAATATTCTCAATTTAATACTTCTACTATTACTGGATATTAGGGTATATCTAATATTATTTCTATGTGCCTAGATAAATATGTTTCTAGAAAAATATTTTATGATTAGAATTTCTTAAAATAAAATCATTGGATGAAAAGATAGAAATATTTTTAAAGCTCTTGATACCTATTGCCAAATTGTTTTTCAGAAAGGTTGTACCTGCCTACAAGATTATCAACACCATGTGAGAACATCCACTTTGCTGAACTCTTTCTCACATATCACCTTTAGAGATGTTACATGGTATGCTTTTAATTATCATTTAATCCTTTGCTAGTTAGATTAAACATGGCAAGTTTCACTAACCGTTAGTACTTCCTTTTTATGTGAAATGTCTGTTCATGTTCTTTGTCCATTTTTCAATAGCATCTTAGAATATTTATTGTTCACTTGCATATGCTCTTTATACATTAAAGATATCAACCCATCATATATCGTCTCCTATTCTGTCAATTGACTTTTAACGTTATTAATGATTTTTTAAATATATAAATAAATTTTGTTCTATATGTTTTTCCCATAGCTTTTAAACCTAGAATGTATTTCCTCAGCCATAGACTAGATAATGAAACTCTATTTTTAAATAAAGATTTCTAAATTGGTTTACATGTTAAAATTAGCATTTTAATTTTTCTAAGAAAATATTTGGCATAAGAAGTAAAAACTTTGCTTTCCCAAAGAGACTAAATAAAACAAACCACACTTCTCCATTTATGATTAATATATATTAAGTGTATATATGTATGTAATTTATATACAGATATATATATAAATATGTGTGAATATGTGTACATATATACATGCATATATTCATATAATTGTACATCTGTACACAACGTATGTATATATACACACATACGTACATACATATGTGTATATATTTATACACACACACATACTTCTAGTACGATGTTGTCCCTTTTCACTGAATTATTTATCACCTTCTGCAATTGCATTACAGTTTTAATTATTATAGCTTTACAGTATGTTTTAATAACTAAAGCAAACACCCTCATTATGTCACTTTCTAAAGTATTCTTGGCTATGCTTATCTATTCATGTTTTCTCAGCTATTTTCAGACTGATTTAGTTGTTTTACCTCAAAAATTTCAATAGAATTGCATTAAAATATGTTTTAAATATTCACATTTCATACTGGGGTATACAATAAATCCATCCATTTATTTAGAACTTCTTTTATATTTCTCAGTAAAGTTTCACAGCTTTTTAATATATATCTTATCTATTTCAGGAAATATGTATCCCTTGTTGCCTTATATTTTTATCCTTATTGAGAATAGCATCTTTTCTCCTTGTAACCATTTAGTTGATTTTCAATGGCATACCAAAAAAAACCATATTAATATTAATGTATTTACTTGGTATTCAGTGACTCCACTGAAGTTCTTTCTTAATTACACTTTTATCCAGTGATTTTCTTGCATTTTCTTTGCAAACATAGAAAAAAATGATATAATTAACACCATTATGCTTGCCAGCAAACTTTAGCAAGTCTTAACTTTTTTCCGTATTTGCCTCTAATGCTTTTTTTAAATAAAACCATAGATGAAACGTTATTGACATATTTGAAAAGTCTGCATACCCCTCCCTAACAGTAGTCCCTTCTCCTTTTTTCTCAGAGATGTCTATGAGCCCAAAGTTACTTTCTAGGCTCATAGCCCTCCCTTTTATGGGTTTATACATATTACTTACATGTTAGTAAAAACTATCTGATTATTATGTTTTAAAATATTATGAAATTATATTATTGCATATATATTATTTGCAGTTTTTCTCAATAAAATACTGTAATATTTATTCATGTTGATATAGTGGTTCTCTTTTAGTGATTTTCATAGTTGTATTGCATTTGATTGTGTGAATATGCAACAATGTGTTTATCCATTTTTCTTCTGATAGGCCTTTGCTATTGACAGTGCTTCCATTCCCACATGTGTGGCCTTATGCAAATGTGCAAGAGTTTCTTTAAGACGTATGTGGGTATGCTCACCTTCCACATTATTAAATATTGCCAACTTGCTCTCTGCAGTCTTTGTACCAATGCAAGCACCCTCCAGATAGCTATCTGAGCAAGCTCTCCTTCCATATCAAACCCTGCATGAGGTACAATAAGACTTTTATTTGTCAATCTGAAGGGTGTGGAGTGATCTCTTATTTTGTTTTAATATGCTTTTACAACAGGCTTTTTTTGTTAAGGGCCAGGTTTGTTCTTTGAGTTTCTTTGGGTTTGTTGTTGTGTGTTTTTCAACCAACCATTCAAGAATGTAAAAACACGTTCCTTGCTCTCTGGCTCTGCCAAAACAACTTGTGGGTTAGATTTGGCCTGCAGGCCATAGTTTGCACACCCCTTTCTTTGTGAAAACCAGTGAAGTTGAGCATTTTTTCAGAGGATTATTGACCATTTTCCTCTTTTTAATTGAAACACAAATTTTGCCCATTTTTGTATTGGGTGATATGTCTTTTCTTATGGATTTGTGGGAGGTCTTTGCAAATTCTGAATATGAGTCTTTTCTCAGTTATATGTATTGTCAATATCTCTTCCATCCTTTGGCTTGGTTTTTCAATTACAGCACAATCTTCACTAGAAGTCATTTCTTGGGGTTTCTAAGTAGAATTTTGACCCTCTACAAATAATATATCCTCTCCTTTTACATACACAGTCATTCCTCTTATTTTTATTTCAAGCCTCATTACATTGGCCACAATGTTCACAGCAATTTAAAATAGTGATGATTATCTATGGTTACCATGTTTTATTTTTGATATTTTAAAATATATGTTGATCATGTGAGTTAATATGGTTGTTTCTGAGTAAGAACAGAATCAGGCTTTTTGTGCCTTCCATTACAGTAGTCCTCAATCCTTTCAAGCCATGGACTCTCTCTCTGTAGCAAAAGACATTTTTGCATTTTCTGCTAAGCCAATGGGCATTTGCCATTATGTAAATAAAATCCGTGTGCTTTATACTGGATGGTTAGCTCATCTTCAAGCTCAGTGGTGACGAGTCACTAGTAGAAAATGCAGTTTGTAAAGAAACACATTCTTGTAGGTCATGAGTGAATGAGTGAATGCATTAACACGTGAAATGAATAACAAGAAGACCTCAAACAGAGAACAGAGCACAGGCATACCTGGGAGATATTGCAGGCTCAGTTCCAGGACACAGCAATAAACTGAATCACAGAGATTTGGTTTCCCAGTGCATATAAAAGTTATGTTTAAGCTATAGTGTAGTCTGTTAAGTGTGCAAAAGCATTATGTCTAAAAACAACTCACATGATATAACTAAAAATACTTATTGCTGAACAATACTAACAATTATCTCAGCCTTCAGCCAGTCATAACCTTTTTGCTGGTGGAGAGTATTGCCTCAATGTTGATGGATAGTGACAGATCAAAATGGTAGTTACTAAAAGTTGAAGTGGCTGCGGCAAATTATTAAAATAAAGCAACAATGAAGTTTGGTACATTCATTGACTCTTCCTTTCAGGAAAAAACTTTCTGTAGCAGGTGATGCTGTTTGATAGCATTTCACTTACAGTGGAACTTCATTCAAAATTGAAGTCAATCCTCTCACACCCTGCTGCTGCTGCTTTAATAACCAAGTTAATTTAATATTCTAAATCCTTTATTGTCATTTTAACAATGTTCACAATGTCTTCTCTAGAAGTAGATTCCATATCAGGAGACCACTTTCTTTTGCTCATCCATAAGAAGCAACTCTTCGTCTGTTCAAGTTTGAGTTGAGATTGCAGCAATTCAATCTCCTCTTCAGGCTCTAGTTCTTCTAACTCTAGTTCTCTTGGTATTTCTACCATACCTATAGTCACTTTTTCCATTAAAATCTTGGACTCCTTAAAGTCGTTCATGAAGATTGGAATCAAATTTTTCCAAACTCCTGTTAATCTATGTATTTTTACCTCTTCCCATGAATTATGAATGTTCTTGATGGCATGTAGAATGGTGAATTCTTTCCAGAAGATTTTCAACTTACATTACCAGAGCCATCAGAGAAATCACTATCTATGGCAGCTATAGCCTTACAAAAATGTATTTCTTAAATAATAAGACTTGAAAGTCAAAATTACCCCTTGATCCATTGGCTGCAGATAGATGTTGTGTTAGCAGGCACGAAAACATTAATCTCCTTGTATATTTCCATCAGAACTCTTGCATGACTAGGTGCTTTGTTAGTGAACAGTAATATTTTGAAAGGAATCTTTTTTTGTTCTGAGCAGTAGGTCTCACAATAGGCTTAAATATTGAGTAAGCCATGCTATAAATACATATGCTGTCATCCAGCCTTTGTTGTTCCACTTATAGAGCACAGGCAGAGTAGACTACCATAATTCTTAGGGCCCTACAATTTTTGGAGTGGTAAGTGAGCATTGGTTTCAAATTAAAATCATCAGCTGCATTAGCCTCTAATAAGAGAGCCAGCCTGTCCTTTGAAGCCAGGCATTGACTTTTCCTCTCTAGCTATGAAAGTCCCTGATGTCATCTTCTTCCAAAATAAGGCTGTTTTGTCCACACTGAAAATCTATTCTTTGGTGTAGCCACCTTCATCAATGATCTTAGCTGGATCTGGATAACTTGCTGCAGCTTCTCCATCAGCATTTGCTGCTTCACCTTGCACTTTTTTTGTTTTGTTTTGTTTTTGAGATGGAATCTTGCTCAGTCTCCCAGGCTGGCGTGTGATGGCATGACACCTTGCACTTTATGTTATGGAGATGGCTTCTTTCCTTAAACCTCAGGAAGCAAACTCTGCTAGCTTCCAACTTCTCTTTTCCAACCTTCCTCACCTTTCTCATAGAATTAAAGATAGTTAGGGCTCATAGAATTGAAGGGAGTTAGGACTTTGCTCTGGAATAGGCTTTGGCTTAAGGAAATGTAGTAGCTGGTTTGCTCTATTCAGATTGCTTAAACTTTCTCCATAACAGCAATAAGCTGTTTTGCTTTCTTATTTTCTTTGTGTGTTCACTGAAATAACACTTTTCATTTCCTTCAAGAACTTTTATTTGCATTCACAACTTGGCTAACTGGCAAGGGCCTACCTTCAGGACTCTCTCAGCTTTTGACATGCCTTTCTCACTAAGCTTCATCATTTGTAGCTTTTCATTTAAAGTGAGGGACATGCCACTCTTCCTTCCACTTCTTTCCCTTTGCTTCCTTTCACTCTTCCTTTCACCTAGAGACCATTGTAGGGTTATTAATTACCCTAATTTCAATATTGTTGTCTGTGGGAATGGAGAGGCCAGAGGAGAAGGAATGACCAGTCAGTGGATAAGCAAGTATACATACAACATTTATGGATTAAGTTTGCCATCTTATATGGACTCACTTCATGGTGTCCTGAAACAGTCAATAGTAACATGAAAGATCACTGATTACAGATCACTATAACAACAGATATAATAATGAAAAAGCTTGAAATATTGTAAGAATTACCAACATGTAACACATAGACACAAAGTGAGCATATACTGTTGGAAAAATGGCACGAATAGATGTGCGTAACTCAGGATTGCTACTAGCCTTCAATCTGTAAAAAAAAAAAAAAAAAAAAAAAAAAAAAAAAAAAAAGCAATATCTACAAAGCACAATAAAGCAAAGCACAATGAACCAAAGCACAAACAAGGTACTACATTTAGAAGGAGGCTTATAGGGCTGAGGTTCATAAAATATGAAAGAATATTTTATAAAATCAAAATCAAATAAGTGATATACAATGATAAGTTATTATTTAAGTTAGCTGCAACCATGATCACCATACTGTCAATATCTCCATGGGAAACTTCTAGCTGCCAGGTATTTTAAAGCTCTCTTGAACTTCTCCATGGGTACAATTGTGAGAAAAATTGGGATCAGGTTGTTTATTGTTTTGCATTTGGCAGGTTTTCCAAAACTACTTGAGTCTGAGAACCATGTTATTCATCTTTATGTTTTTCATGTGAATTACATAAGAATGACCCGTGGTACTAGCTTGACAAATGTTTAGAAATTGAAATCATTGAAGTGGGAGAATTTCTAAAGAATCCTGGGCTCAAAAATGATTCACTCAGACAGGGAAATACAAAGGGAATCATGTTACTTCTTCAAACAGATAAGAGAGGCTCTACCAACAGATGCACTGTGCTACCTGTGTTTCCAGAATCTGTTGGTAAAGCCTCTCTTATCTGGGACCTAGAAAGAGTGAAGAAGGGGATAGTAGAACTCAAGTTGCAATTCCCAAAAACATACTTTGCAAATCACAAACTGAAGAAGCAGACACCACTACTTACTGTATGGGGGCAGGTGGGGAAAAGTGTCCTTGTTTTTGAAAGGTGACTTCATTCCAGCTTTATTACTTCTTGTAACTCTACTGTTTAATAAGAAATAATACAATGAATTATAATAGCTCTCTCTGGAGACTATCTTCAGCCTAAATATATTGCTACATTCTAATGACAGTCACTTGAGATCCATTCTGGAAAGACAAGACACACATCCAGTGCTCCTGTTCCTGCTCCTGCTCCCACCCCCACCCTCACCCCCATCACCTCATGAACACCTTTCCTGGAATCTACACAGAGACCTCGTCAAGATTTAACCACCTCATACACCTTTCCCCCGGACATTTTTTACCCCCTAAATGTTCCCCGAATGCTCTTTGAGTAGGCTTTCTCTGTCCTTTGTCTCTGCTTCTACCCTGATATTGATGAAAGGGACCACCTCGTAAGATGCATGTTGGCTGGACAGCTCCAGCTCCCTGGGAACCTCACAATGAAGAGAGGGTTTGACTCCATAATATTATTACAACTGTTATTCACCTGCAGCGCACAGAAGCCAGGGAGGTGTGCTGGGACCTCAGGAGCTGGTGACAAGTAGGTAATCATGTCATTAGTTTAAGTTTCAAAAGCCTGAAGACACAAATATACTGCCTATCTGGTGGCTCAGGCCATCAGTGTCATAGCAGGCCTGTTACAGATAAAAGAAACTCGTGACACCATGTCTGTCAAGCTGGAGAAAATGGGTATAGAGGGACAGCTACACCAGATAAGGAAGCACGTGGAGGGGGGCACATAGCAATTTTTCTCCAGGGGGAGACTTTCCTAAGAAATACCGCCATAAGAGGAGAGAATATTGGAAAAGTGTGACATACAAAGCACCTGAAATGATTCCCAAAATATGGGACAAGTGATAATGAAAAAAGAATAGAGTCATTATTCTCTGACCCTGGGCCATAAAGCCCTGTGATTTTCCAACTCTCTCTGCTTTGGGAACCAGAAACTGGAGAGGCGATGGATTATACTGCGACATTGACCTCTTTCAAATATTCAAAACAAAATCCCCGCTTTTTCTTTCAGAGAACAGGCTGGGTCAGGGCATCTGTATTTAATTGTGTCCACCCTCTTCTCTGTTTAGGTGACCAACTGTCATTAACTTTGGATGTTTTTCCTGGAGGAGGAGAATGTGCAGGAATGAGAAGAAAATACCATCAGAATCATGTGGACCCACATTCATCCCTTACTTCACCCCTTCTGGGAAGGAACCCAGCAGGCTCAAAGATATGGAAAATGCCACCAGAAAAACAGTACCTGGGACAGAGGGTAGAGATTCCTATGGCAGGAATGAGACTACTTTTAATCTTTCTTCCGTCATCTCAGCTTTTAAATTTCTCCCTAGAGAACATTTGGGTAGTAAGATTCAGAGGTGCATGTTAGGGTGTCAGGTGCACCCTGTGTCCTGGAAGTAGATGGTACAGGCTCCTTTGTCTGGAGGCAAAGCGGGGCCAGAGTGGGCAGGGTCAGTTTCAAGGCTTTGGGAAAGCAGTGGTCTGGCAGTACTCTTCTGGCTCTTGGAAGCAGGAATGCAAACTTGATTCAGGCTGGGAGCAAACACCTGTTTCATCTTTCAGGAATATCAGGAGTATAGCAGCAGGTGACAGGGTACTTTGCAGAACCAGCAGAGGGGTGTCACCTCACACCCCAGGGAGCCATAGTGTCCCAGTGTGGAGGCAGAAAGGTAGAAAGGGGTCATTGGAGTAGCTTAGAGTAATCTTGTGAGCTTTAGGCTTAAATCAGCTGACTGAGCAGGGTCTTCTCTTCCACTGTTCAGGATGAGGCTATGCCTGGGGTCAAAAAGAAAAAGCCTCCAACTATTTTACATTGGCAGCTATGAGGATGGAAAAAATAGTAGTGATGGTGTTTGTTTTTTCATTAACAGGTTAACCTGACCATTGTGGGAATGTCATTAAATATTTTTCTAAGATATAATTTTTACTGACTAATGCTTGTGCCATTACTTAAACCATTACCTTAAATTGTTTTCTAATATAAATAATTCTGAGATGAGCACCTATGAATATATATTTTCTCCCATCACTGAAGTGAGATTGCTGAATCAAACGATGGAAGGTTTTGAAGACTCTGGATACAGTTTTCTAAGTTCCTTTCTAGAAAATTGTGTTAACAAACGCTCCCAAGAGCAAGGCAGAAGAAGACTGATAAATTTGTTCTTGTGACTTTCTCAGGATGTGGACTTTGGAGAAGTAATACCTGCTGATCCTGGACTTCTGAGAATGGGTGTTTATGGGATAAGATGGGAAGGTTTTCCAGCCTCCTTTAGGGAGGTCATTACCTTCAAATGAAAAATTGAGGTCACACTAGATATACATACACATAGAAAGTACAATGAGGAAATGAACTTCAAGTAGGAAATCAAGCAGGAAATAAGTCAATGATGGACTAATCTCTCAAAGTAAGTTGTTCTGGGAGCTCTGAGAGAAGGCATAAGGGGTGTGTATCCAGCACCTGATGCCAAGACAAGCTTTGCTCAGATGAAGACAACACACAGCCTTTCCACTCCTTTTGGGTTGATTGTGTCCCATTTCTTCATTATTCTTTTCTTCATTTAACATTAATTGAGCACATGGTGTCAAGCACTGTAAAACAAAAGGGGGTGCAAAAGTGAGGAGTTCTCAGTTCAGTGTGTCTTTGAGTAAAGACGGGACTAGGAGTAGATCCCAGATGTGCTAACAACAGTTCCAGTATGATACCGTATCTCTGGAGATCAAAGCAATTATCCCAGCATAAATTTAGGAAAGACTTCTGAGATGAGGACACTTGAAAGCAGTGGAGGCCAAATCATCTTTGATCACAAGGAGAAAAAGAGAGAGGGCATTCCAGAAAAGCACATGCTAAAGCATGGAGAAGTCAATGAGTCCCACATGTTTGTGATTGTGGCAACATAGATCATGGTAAAGGTGGGGGCAAGAGGACAAAAAAGGTCAGAGGCACAGTGACAAGAAGTGAGGCTGTAAAATAAGTCAGTTTCTATTGCAAAGTCTTTGTATTCCATTCAAAGGGCTTCAGCCTGTCCTACAGGAATGAGGAAGCCAGGGAATGTCTTAATAGATGCCATTTATATAAACCCATATTTCTGGTATAACTGGTGGCAGAGGAAATGGGCTGGAAAAGATGAGAGCCTGGAATGGGAAATGACTAAAGTCATGACATAAAGACATCGACATGCATAGATTTTGTGGTTAAACACATTTTTTAAACAGAGGCAGAAAGAAGAAAGTGTATGGCAGAAATGACCAGAGACCGCAGATGAGCTCATGGTGGACAGTGATGAAGTTTGAAGCCAGGGTAGCTGTCATTGCAGAGAATGAAACATGGCCAAGAACTTCCTAAATATTAGACTAATGTCATTATTTTTTCCTTACCTATGACAGCTGATGAGCCAGTGTGATCTATGATCTTTCTGGGTATTTTATTAAGTTTTCATCACTGTGCTGCCTTTGCAATCCACTAGCCTCAGGGAA
The DNA here is from genome assembly GCF_000001405.40 of Homo sapiens. Classification (NCBI taxonomy): domain Eukaryota; kingdom Metazoa; phylum Chordata; class Mammalia; order Primates; family Hominidae; genus Homo; species Homo sapiens. Next base: position 221,810,315 of record NC_000001.11, on the reverse strand, counting down.
CATTTGAGACTTGAATTTGAAAATGACATTCACAAAATTAGATATTCTTCATGTGTGTGTGGTGTGTGTGTGTGTGTGTGTGTGTGTGTGTGTGTGTGTGTCCTTTTTTTTTCTTTTCCTAGCTCCAAACTGTCTTCAAAGGGTTATAAAGAATGGGGTCTTTGAGTCCTTTAACCTTTAGCTATGAGATAGCTAATTTTTGTTCCCCAAGCAAACATGTCAGAAATGACTCCCTGTTTCTTTATTATTTGCAAATATATGTTCTTTTATTCCACCCCCTTTCCCCTTGGGAATGAAGGGCCTCCTTGGATGGGCCTTAGGCCCAGGCTCTCAGAAAGTTAAGAAGGCTTTGGAGGGTGTTCTGAGGGCAGATAAATGGACAAAATAATGGTGCAAGGAGACCGTGTTGGAGAAAATTCAGTTAGGCAAGAAGCACCGAGGAGTTCGACCCGGGAGGAAGTCCAGTGAGAGCTCTGGCAATGTGAAACCAGGAAGTGACCTTTAGTTAATCAAGTACCGAAGATGAGAGGGCAGACATAAGACTCAGACAAAAAAAAAGTGATAAAAATCATTCTGAAAAGGGAAATTCTAGTTCTTTGTTCTCTCTTCTTATCATATAATTTCTCAGGCTCTCTCTGTATCGCCGGAGGAACATGAAAAATTTAATTAATGACTCGAACATTTTCATGTAGGCAGAGGTTTGGTTTCCTGTAGATAAGACATCTGGTTAATCAAGTGAACTTTCTCCTTTTCATCCGTGTTATGACACTTGTATATTATGTGGCCACATGGTATTTACTAGCTCACTTCCATCTCTATAATTTGCTTTGCTCCGTGTTATTTGATCTGGACCAGCAACTTTAAGACATCATGTCTACCTCATCAGCTATGTCTGCTCCCAACCAAAACCAACTGTGGGCCTCTGACACCTTCATATTGTTCGTAGCTTGAGACTCTAGCCCCTCCCTCTAGCCAGCCTTATGCTTTCTTCCTGCTTTAAATTCTTGCTTTCAACCTTGCCCACAATTGGGATTTTGCTGTAGGTCACACTAAGACCACAACTCATGATGTGCTGTTCAATGAGCAGAGTTTCCTGTGGTCTCCCAGATGACACTTGAGCATGTCTCACCATGCCATGGATGATTTCCCAAATCCAAGTCGGGGACATTTCTAGAACCTCATGACATAGGCAGACCCCCTACTGCTGGCTCTTCCAATTGTAAACATGTAAGTCATGCCACAACCCACTTAGCAAATATCTCAGTGGCCTCAGGGCTGTGCCCTTGAATGGATTACACTGCTCTTGGATGTTCCATAGGATAAAAAAATCACAAGAGAAAAAGAAAAAGTCTGGAGACTTGGAGAACAAAATGCCATAGAAACAAGTCTCTTCACATCAGGAGCTCTATAGCTGAAATCTGCTTCCTTCAACTCCCAACCCAATGCCCTATCCTCAGCTGCCAATCCAGCAAGAACACATTTGTACAAATGTGATGTGGGCTCACTCCTTGGGTGGAACTTGCTAGAAATCTCAAGCAGTGAACAGTTTCTGAAAGCTTAAGAATACCCATTTTAACTTTACCTCAAAAAGGTTAAATGATAGAGTAACACGGACAGAGAACAGACTCTAGGAAATGTGCAAGAAGTAAGCTCTCTTTCTGTTTTATTCAGATATGAGTTTTCATTTCACCAGCCCCCAGTGGATCTGATCCAATGACCTAGAGATTCATGAGGCTGAAATTACCTTGGTGAACAACATGATCTTTCTAGGATTCCAGGCATTCCTGGTACTAAAAATCCTCCTAAGCTATTGACAATTTTTTTTTAATTGTGGGTAAAATACACACAACATACAACTCAACAATTTAACTATTTTTAAATATACAGTTCTGTGGCATTAAGTAATTTCACACTATTGTGTGACCATCACTGTCATTCATTTCCAGAACTTTTCTATCTTCCCTCTAATTCTCCATTTCCTTCTCACCTCTCAGCCCCTGCCCACCATCCTGCTTTCTGTCTCTATCAGTTTGACTACTCTGGGTACCTCACAGAAATGGAATCATATAGAATTTGTCCTTTTGTGACTGGTTGATTTCACTGATAATTCTTAACTATTATAACATTTTCCTCAGTCAACTTGTTTTTATGTCACATAGATCCAGATATACTCTTGGTGTTACTGAGGGTCCAAACATCCCTTTTCAACAATGTAGTACATCAGTAAATAATCAAGTATTTATTGAATTCCTACTATATGTTTAGCCATAAAAAAATAAGAATTTTGAAGAATAGTCATTATCCCTCCCCTTAAGAAAATTCTAATTTTGTAGATGTGGAGGCAAAGTGAATGCAATAAAATAGTAGTAAACAGCATATATGCACATGTATGCAGACAAACACACACCTATTCACATGTAGACATCTGACCTCATTACTTTTATGTGGTCATGATGATGATACAGAATTATCTCTGTACAGGCGATACAGAGATAATTCTAAAAAATCTAATCTATCTTGGGTAAGTCCAAGAGCATCTTGGGACACAATACTTAGCAAATTGGCTTTTGGGAATTCTTTACTTGGGTCAGTGGTTTGGGGGAAACCTTTCACTTATTTTGTAGGAGGTTAGTGGTCTCGCTGTATTATCCAAGTTGGTCTTAAACTCCTGGCCTCAAGCAATCCTCCCACCTCAGCCTCCCAAAGCACTGGGATTACAGGCATGAACCATCATGCCTGGAAAATTTTCATTAAAAAAAATCTAAATAAATATTAACTATCCAGGGATTTTTTTTGAAACAAATGGGAAGTAGGAACTTAGCTCACACATCTCTCTCTCGATGTGCCTATTCACTTTAGATATTTCACTGAATCCTGCTAAAAAGCAGTCAGCTATTTGCCATCTGTACAGAACAGCTGCAATTTCCTTCCTATCCAAGCACAACATTTTATTATAGAGAAATTGGCATATTGTTTTTGCCATGTGCTTTTTACATATTCCTCCCCATGGCTAGACTAATCAGGGAAGAAATATCTTCATGTCCCAGCTCCTAGCTAGGTCAGGTGAATACAAGTGACATCATGTGTATCCTCTTCACCAAGTTAGCATTAAGTTGCCTTGCCAAACCCTTGAAGCTTCTTATGTGAGACATCTGTGCCCAATGTTATTTATGAATAGGAGCAAAATGTATAAATATCCATGGGACTTCCTGTTAAATGTACCACATTGAATGCAAATATTTATCTCTGCTGCTTCTGAAACTTTATTAAAATGAGAGTAGAAAAAATAGAAGGATACAAATCAACAAGGAGGAAGAGAACAAGAAAGATGATCCCACCAAATAAGAAATGCCAACAAAATTTTGGAATCTGGAAATAGACGAATGACTGGTAATTATTTATCAGAGCCCAGAAAGAATATTGAGGAGGGAGGCACAAGAAATGAGTTAATGTCAATTTCAGAACCCTGTAAACATTTAGAAATTTGGAGGCAGTAGGTACTCTGAAGTTAGAGGAAGTATGGGGCTTAAAATAGGATTCGTTAAAAAATCTGTGTAAAGAAGAGTTAGATTTCCAATCCTCTTTCTATCTCTGACCACCAGTCAATTAACCCTTCTTCACCTAGGCAGGAGAATGGAGGCTCTTCTTCGGGGAAATTTAACCTGGAAGGCTCTACTTGAGCACCTAGTCACGGAAGATAGTGGGGGAAATGCCAGGCTGGAAATAGGGACAATTAAGTGACAATTATGGTGAGCCCCCTGGTTCCCAGAATACTCACTGCCAATCTTATACTCCCCCAGAAAATGATTAGAAGATTGCTCCTTGTAGAAAGAGATACATGGGCCCAGCATGCTTGCAGATACTGGTATGTGTGGTTCTCTCATAAAATGACTGTATCTATCTTGTCACTCTATGATAAAGCCAGCTGAACCAAAAATCCCCAACTCCCACCCTATAAACATTCTTAGAGATCTTAAATCCATTTTTACTCTCTGTCTCTCCTCAGAATTTGTTTTATTATACACACAGTATTATGTTTATTTTAAGTAATCTGAAAATTATATAAAATCATGAAGAAGAAAATATCAACTGTATTTCCATCTTTTATAAACAATAATGGTTACATATATCATCTAGGTGTTTTCTATATATGTATATTTCATAAATATTTTCAATAGATCTCTATTTTGATACAATCTTCTATCACATTTTTTGACTTAATAATGTATCATTAACATCTTTACTTGTCACTAAATATATTGCAATAACATTTTTCCCTATAGCTGAAGCGTATTTCTTAGGTGGGTATAACTATAATTTATCTTGTTAGTCCCTTGATGTTAGACATTTGTATTGTGTCCATTCTTCAGTATCCTAAACAACACTGAAATAAACATAGATCTCTGCAAACATGATTATTTCTTTAAGATTATTAGAAGTAGAATTGCTGGCTCCAAGGGCACACTATTTTTCAAAGCTTCACTGAATTTAGCTTAATTGTTCTCCTGAACATCTTTCTCAATTTATAGTTCTATCAGCAATGTATGAGAGTATCCTTTTCCCATCCTTGCCAATATTTGGAATCATCACTAAAGAACACCCCCAAAAAACAGACAAACAAAAATCCTTAACAATTTGATGCTAAATATGACATCCTATTGTTTACATGTATACTTTATCACTATTGTAACATTTTGAAATGTTGCTAACTACTGATATTTTGAAAATTGGTTATCTATAGCATTTATTTATTTTTATTGGGACAGTTGTCCTTTCTTATTGATGTCTTCATGACTTTTAGATATGTAAACATGGACCATTATTGTATCATATATAAGAAATATTTTCTCTGTTTGGTAATTTTTCTTTTTAACTTTGTTTCTGGTTCTAGTCTTATTTTTAGTGACTCACTCTTGAATATAAAGAGAGAACCAAGAATCATCAGACATGTGGAGAAATGATGTAACATGAAAAGTAATATCAAAACAAAGAAACAAAAAAAGGAAGAAATTGAGAAATGCAATGGACTGAATGTTTATCTCTCCCCAAATTCATATGTCAAAATCCTAACCCCAATATGATGGTGTTAGGAGGCGGGGCCTTTGGGAAGTAATTAGATCATGAGGGTAGATCCTTCATAAGTGGAATTAGTGCCCTTATAAAAGAAACCCCAGAGAGCTCTCTCCTCCTTTTTCTGCTATGTGAGGATACAAGAAGATGGCATTCTCCAACCCAGAAGAGGGTTCTTGCCAGAACCTGGCCATGCTGACAGATTGATCTAGGACTTTCACCTCCAGAACTATGAGAAATTAATTTCTGTTGTTTGTAAGCCACTTAGTGTATGCTACTTTGCTATAGCAGCCTGAACAAAGACAGAAAGAAACTAAGAAGATGAAAGACAGGAATAAAATCTCATGAAATTATGAAATTATGGGTCTCAGAGTTAAAAGATAGTGTATTAATGAAGAAAGAGATGCTATAAAAAACAGAGAATATGATATAGAGAAGATAAGAACATGAAAAATTCTATACCGTACATTCAAGAGAGCAGTTGAAAGATTATGCTAATAAAAGCATACCAGAAAGCGGAAGAAAAAGAAAAATAGAAGAGAAAAAGCAGAAAATTTAACTAATAGGAGTTCCAGAAAGAGAGAACAGAGAAGGCAGAGGGGAGTTAATTATCAAAGAAACACACACACACAGAAATTTCATGAGATTGAAAGGCTTTGCCAAGAACTCTGACATAAGAAGCACACCTGTTTTTTGATTAAGTACATATTATCAGCTTTAAGACAACAGTCAGTAGATAAGTAATTGCTTTGCAATGGAAAAAATATCACTTTAGGCTAACGCCTGTTGAACCAACTACACTACTCCAGAGGCTGAGACAAGACGATTGCTTGAGTCCAGGAGTTCGAGGCTACAGTTAGCCATGAAAGTGCCACTGCACTCTAGCTGGGTGACACAGTAAGACCCTATCTCTAAATAAATAAAAATAAATCACTTGGTTTTTCTTAACTAGATTATGAAACTCTGTGTCTGGAAGCTGTGGAGTTAGGGGCTCAGAAGATAGGACAATGTTCTTCATTCATTGCCTTCATCTATATCAAACATTTCCTATTCTCTCTTTCTTCTCACATTGAGCCCCACCTTCATCCTAACTAATCCAATCATTGTATCTGAAGAACTATGTTTCTTACCAGTCGTGATAAAAAACAATGCTCCACAAGTTTAAAACAAAGACAACATGTGATTGGAAAAAATGATGAATTTCTTTTTCTTCCTCTTTGTTTTGTTTTCATAGATTACTATTAATATAGAAAGCAAGGCTGGGCACCATGGTTTATGCCTATAATCCCAACACTTTGAGAGGCCAAGGCAGGCAGATCGCTTGAGCCTAAGAGTTCGAGACCAGCCTGAGCAACATGGCGAAACTCAGTGTCTACAAAAAATTAGCTGGGCATGGTGGCACGCACCAGTAGTCCCAGCTACTTGGGAGGTTGAGGTGGGAGGATCACCTGAGCCTAGGAGGTTGAGGCTTCAATGAACCATGATCTCACAGAGTGCAGCCTGGGTGACAAAGCAGGACTTTGTCTCAAAAAAAACATATATATATATATATATATATATATAAACTATATTTTAATGTTACGAGCAAATAATGTGCATTCTTTTTACCCTAGGGATATAAAAAAGTGTAAAATAAGAGAAGCGAGTGATTAGCCAAGGGGAGTAGGTTTGTGTACATTTTTCAAGATAAATGGAATGCTGGTACACTAAATAGTATCTACAAACTATTGTAAACTGAAATGTTTATAGTATAATTTGTAAGATTAAGCAAACATTAGTTGAATACAAAAATAGCAAACAACAATTAGAACTGCTTTGAGAAATCTACTGCCAATAAAGCTTTTTTTTTTAAGTCTGTGGAATGGCAGATTGATAATGGTTTTATTTAGTGAGGACATATCAACCATGCTATGCCATTTTCCTTAGAAAAACCCATATCTGCTGAAGCTTATTAACTCATTCAATCATTGTGTATCACCTAATAATAGACAAACTGATTTGAAAGAAACTTGATGTAATTATGGCAATTTTTCTAGATCAAAAAATAGAAAAAATCGGCGGGGCACGGTGTCTCACACCTGTAATCCCAGCACTTTGGGAGACTGAGGCAGGAGGATCACTTGAGGCCAGGAGTTCGTGAACAGCCTGGCTGACATGGTGAAACCCCGTCTCTACTAAAAATACAAAAATTAGCCAGATGTGGTGGCACGTGCCTGTAATCTCAGCTACTCTGGAGGCTGAGGTAGGAAAATCACTTGAACACGGGAGGCGGAGGCTGCAGTGAGCTGAGATTGTGCCACTGTATTCCAACCTGTCAAAAAAAAAAAAAAAACCCAAAAGAAATAGTCACTTAATGACACTTTACATGTCTAATAAACAATAAGACTTAGCTAATATTGCAGACACATTTCTTTAAATCTAAAGCACTAAATGGAATCACCACTGTATTGTTTGAGTATATCAATAGATCATTAAAAAACTGCTGGTATGCACATTTGGCCTTTATCATTGAAGATCAATAAAACCGCTGAAATGGCTTTCTTTCTTCTTTTTTTTGACCTTTTTAGCCAGACTGTAATTGGGCTTGTCACCTGACTCTCAGGTGAAAATAATCATAAATCAGATTCATCAAATAATGTTAAAGAATAGCTCACACCAACAGAGCTAGGAAAACCAGTCCCTGCCAGTCACCATCCAGCTCCTTGGGAATTTGAGGGCTGGTTATCTCAGAGATGTTATATCAACTATTCTTTGCTTTTGTCCCCCATGGAGCCAGACCCGATAATGCTTTGAAAGAAGTGCAGAGAACACAGAAAAGAGTCAGTAGAAAGGAGATTACAGGGTGAGGGGAAAAGAATACAAGCAGCTTGTGTCTGTTAAAACAAATCACCCAAGTGAGTCATCTCTCCTGAATCACTTCTCCCTTCTGGGATGAGGCTCTGTGAGTACCTGGCTCCAGAACCCAGAGAGGATTTACAGCCAGGCAAATACTAACTGAGGCTATGTTGGAACCTGTGTCACCCAATCTCCTAATTACAGGTGTCTGTGGTTAAAATTTGGAGCTCACCAATTTGGAAGATGTTATGAGTCTAAGTTCTGTAATAGCTGAGTCAGGTTTGATACCAGGCAGCCCTACCACCTAAACACATTATATTCTGAATTCAAATGGACCCCATTTACTTTCCCCATGCCAACACCTTTTCCCCAGCCCCACCCTACTGCTACCTCCTGATGACTTCTGTCTTCTCTTCCTGCCCTCTATTTGGCCTAGTGAAGGGAGCATAGGTCTGTATACATTGTTAGCATTCCTTTAAGAAGCAAATCCTGAAAACAAGAAGAAATAAAGGGGTATGTCTATTTTCTTTAAACATTTGGATTGAGTAAAAGGGAAGCAAAGTTCTTAAGTTATTATAAACTTAAAATATTTGAACTCTGTGCTGGATGCTTTACTTTTACAATATATTTAATTAAAACAACCATACTTCATAGCACGAATGCTAGCCCGGAAAACTGAGACTAAGGTAGGTTGAGCTGTGGCCCAAAGTCACAAAGCCCACTTGTGAGTGAGAAGGAAATTGTGAATCCAGGTCTGCCTGCCTGAAAAGCTGGCCCACACAATCCCAGACTCTGAGCTTTAACAAACATGTGGCTGATGAGAGCCATGAGGACAAATTGCGTGGCTATTATTATGCACTGTGCACAATAAATGAGGTAATGCATTTGAAAGGGCTGTGTAACTATAAAGTACTCTACAAATGTTATTACCATTATTATGGTTATATTTATTACCTTCTTTGCTGGGGGTGAGACTGCACACATTATAGAATAGATGACTATTCTGAATCACCAGTCCCCAGTGACGCACAGTTAAGGTTGTGGTGAGCCACCTCTCAGCAGAACAGAGATACACTCCACAGTGCACAGTACAATTTCTTGAAGGTAAGTGTGAGCTTTGTGTAAATCAGCGGTCCTCAACCTTTTTTGCACCAGGAACCAGTTTTGTGGCAGACAATTTTTCCCTGGTGGGGCTGGTGAGGGATGGTTTTGGATGAAACTGTTTTCACCTCAGATCATCAGTCACTAGTTAGACTCTCTTAAGGAGTGTGCAACCTAGATCCCTCACGTGTGCAGTTCATAATAGGGTCCATGCTCCTATGAGAATCTAATGCCTCCACTGATCTGACAAGAGGCAGAGCTCAGGCAGTAATGCTCTTGCTAGCCCGCAGTTCACCTCCTGGTGTGCAGCTGGGTTCCTAACAGACCACAGACAGGTACTAGTCCACTAGCCTGGTGGTTGGGAACCCCGATGTAAACCACAATACTTATCTTTATCTCTTGCATCTTTGATTTTCTCTTCTGTCTCTTAGTTACAGGAGGGCCAGTGAATTTGATTCATAGTCTAGAGTAATTCATCAGCTTGAGGGCTGAGTGCCATCAAAGTATATGATAGTTTATGGTAAAATATTATTTTAAAAGTTTAATATTTTTAATCTAAAAGCAGCTTTTAAGTATCATTAAGAAAAATGAAACCATCTTAATAGATATATGATTGGATAAATCAGTGTGGTGCTATATACTATGAAATGCATATGTGCAGACACCAAAAATTATTCAGGATTTATTGACAAGTGGAAAAAATCTAATTGCAAAATTAAAAGTGTAGTATGATTTTGTTATCATACTTTACGAATGTGAGTCTACAAATATGTTAAAAAAGGTGACTGGAAAGATGCACAGCACATTTTTAGGTATGGTTACCTTAGGAAGGGAGTAGAAATACAGGGAGAGAAAAGAAATACAACCTTTTCACTATATTTCTGTATGTTTGAGTCATGCACAAGATCAATAAGTGTATTATTTGTAAAATAAAATAGCAGTGAATTAAGTCGTACTGTGATTAGTTTTCAAAAATCTAATTAAAATAGGTGCTGTTTTATTGTGAAAATTGGCAAAATATTTGCAAACAGAAGGAACTATATTATAAAAGAAACAATTTTGTTTAAAAAGTCCATAACTGGATGTGAGATTTTATAATAAAAATTTCCAAGCACCTAGCTTGAATGAATAAACAAATAAATAAATAAATAAAATGCTTGAAGGCAGATTATAATGAAATTTCAAATTAACACCACCAATAAAGGGAAAATTCTAAAGCTTTCAGAGAGAGAAAAAGAAAAGGATAACACATGTGAAACCTGGAATTAAAATGGCATTGAACTACTTAAAGCAACACTAGAAGTTAAAAGACAGTGCAGCAATATCTTCAAAGTTCTAAAGGATTTCAACCTAAAATATTATACCCAGCCAAAGTATACATCAACTGTGATGGTGATGGAAAAATAAAGACATTTTTAAGACGTGCCAAGCCTCAAAATTCTACTTCTCATTCTCCTTTCTTCATGAAGCTTTTGAAGAATGTGCTTCATTTAATGAAAGAGTGAACCAAAAGAGAGCAGGGCATGACAACTGGAAAAATAGGGGACACAGAACACAAGAGAGGTGAGGAGACTATCCAAGATTATTGCAATCATAAGTATCTGGACAATAGACGTAACCTGGTCCAGAAAGCAACTGGTGAAACTAGAACAGGATAATAAAAGGGCTCCAAGAAGGATGTCTTTATTAAAGTAAAATGTTGCATATGCAAAAAATTAAATTTAATCATAGCATGCTACTTGTCTCAGCAGTAAAGAATATTTTTATAATCATGGTGCCAGTGTTGATTTTACCAAAAATTATAATTTTATTCTGGTGAGAGAATTGTGAGAGGGTATATGGAAGTTGTTGGGATAGGCATGCTAAATCCTCATCCCCCATCATATGAAGTCACTAACTTTGGTGACAAAACTGACAAAAATGAGAGTAAGTATATAAGCACATAATTTTGAAATATGGAAGCAAAGAGATAAACAAAGAGTTAAAAAATATCTGTCATTAGAAGTTGGGCCCTGAAGAAAAGAAGGAAGGGCAAGTATTTCCTGTCTTATCTCAAGAGTTTTGTAGCTATCTTTTAACTTTTAAAATATGTACTAGCATTAGTTTGGTAAAAATAAATGTTTAAAATCAACTAGAATTACAAACAAACAAAGATGTCTAACAATGAACTTTATCTCTTTGAATACAATAGGATATTAAATCATCTTTTAAAAAATCAGTGTTTAAATCATTTTTAATGACAAAAAATCCTCATGAGAATATAAATTTTTAAAAATTGGGGTACAAAATATATTTGGCACGTAATCCTATGCTAAAAAAACTAGAAAGAAATGCATATATAAGCTGTTATTAGCTCTTGGGATGGAATTATAAGTGGTTATTATTTTATTTTCTATACTTTTCTATATTTCTAAGTTTTTACACAGTAAATATATATTACTTTTATGAAAGAAAAAGAGTTAACTATTTGTTTTAAGCACATGGTGTTTCATCATCAAGAAAATGCCTCTTCTTCTATAATTCTGCCAAGGACCAAACTAAAGAAATTAGTTTAAAGTGCAGGAGGGGAGATTCCAATTAAGTACATGTATACAAGTGTGTTATTAAATTGTGAAACTGACTACCTGGGGAAGTCACACAAAATATTTTAAGTCAAGATTAACCACCATCTTGGAATATTAGTACTTGAAGGAAACACCAAGATGACCAATTCCAAGGCAATTCTCCACAGATGAGAAAATTGAACCTTGAAGAGTTTAGATAGCTGGCCTAAGGTCATAAAGCTATTAAGAGGAAGAGGCATGGTTGGAATGCCAGTCTCTTAATAGCTTTGTGACCAGTGCCATGTTTTTCCCACTCTTATGATGTGTCTGAACTCCATAAAGTGCTCAACATAATTTAAAGGTCTGGGATGGATTTACATAAACCCCAGTTCCTCAGGTCTGTTTCTTCTCTTGTTTCTACCCTAGTTCTTTTTATTCTTTCTCTTATGGCCTCTCTACAGAATATTATAAAATAAAAACATAAGATATCATCTAAGGTGTGCATATTTGCCTTATTGTATACCTATGTTTTGCAGAAATATATCTTCTCTTTGGTTAACATCTTTCCCAAACAACCACTGCAAGCCTCTGCAAGCAGATGGTCCTCAGCAAATACAGTTGACCAAGGTTCTCTTTATATGTACATCTCATGCTTCTTTGAAAAATCAAATTCAACTAAGCCAGTTTTAATTTTGTTTTGCTTTATTCTGTTTAGATAACTACATTTAAGCAAAATTTATACTGAGGTGTTTTCTATGTAACCTGTTATTTTGGTGGAACACAATCAGGTTTTTAGGTTTGGAAACTGGCTTGGGTTTGGAAAAGAATGTTAAAACTGGTGACTGATAAAATGACATTTGATCCAACCAATGGTTGGGAGAATTCATGAACAAAGTGCCACATAAATGAATTTTCTTGATTTCAATCCATTAGTTTGATCTCTGGGAGTCCTACTCAAAGATTTGGACTGGTGTGGAAGTAGAAGAAGCAAGAGTTTCCTTAATGGTGACAGAGTAACATCACATTAAAAGATAAATGCATTGGTTCCTGAAAAGCACACACCAAAAACTGCATGGCCCTTCCTCTTTCTCCCACTCCATCCTCCCTGTCTTCATTCATTAGTAAACAGCCATTTAGTTAATGTCTGCTATGCCAGACACAGTGATGGATTTTGGCAACAACAAAGCAAACACTGTGTATGCAGGAGGATGACTCCCTTGTTCTCAAGGTACCTACATTTCTTTAGTTCATGCCTACCAATAGTTGGTGCACAACAATGGTAAATTGTGATAATGGTTTCCTGCTTTTTAAATATATATGTATCTCTATATGCACAAGGGATCTTCAAAATGTTCATGGGAAATGTGTATTATGAAGAAACTATGCATGGATTTTAAGATTTTTTGTACCAAAGTGAACCTGTACGAACTTGTTATAACATGTCTGAATAGAATCCAATTTGAGGCACTAACAAGAATAAAACCTCAATTTGAAAACAGCCCCTAACAGAGCAGCATGAATTCTGCTAAAATTTAAGCAAGAAAAAAAGATCAAATTGATGTTAAAACTTGGGTGGAAAAATAGTAAAATCACTGATGCTTTACAAAAAGCTTACAGAGGCATAAGTAGTTTACAAATAAATAACTTGTTTTAATAAAGGATGAGACAATGTTGAAGATAAAGCCCATAGCAGCAGACCATCCACATTGATTTGTGAGAAAAACATTAATCTTATTTGTGCCCTAATTGAAAAGGACCAATGATTAATAGCACAAATAGTCAACACCATAGATATCTCAATTGGTTCAGCTCACAGAATTTTGACTTAAAAATTAAAGCTGAGCAATCATTTTACTTGATGGGTGCCAAAGCTGTTGCACCAAGATCAGCTGCAGACAAGAGTAGAGCTTTGGATGCAAATTTTAAACAAGTGGGATCAAGATCCTGAAGCATTTCTTTGAAGAATTGTAACTGGAGATAGAACATGGCTTTATCAGTACGAGCCAGATGAGAAAGCACAATGAAAGCAATGGCTACCAAGCGGTGGAAGTGATCCAGTCAAAAGCTGACCAGTCAAGAGCAAAGCTTATAGCAAAAGTTTTGGGGGATGCTCGAGGCATTTTGCTTGTTGACTTTCTGGTGGGACAAAGAATGACAACATCTGCTTATTATGAGAGTGCTTTGAGAAGCCAGCCAAAGCTTTAGCAGAAAAATGCCCAGGAAAGTTTACTAGAGAGTCCTTCTTCACCACAACAATATTCCTGCTTGTTTCTCTCATCAAACAAGGACAATTTTGTGAAAGTTTCAACGGAAAATCATTAGGCATCCCACTTTCAGTTCTGATTTGGTTCCTTCTGACTTCTTTTTGTTTCCTAACCTTAGAAAATCTTTAAAGGGCACCCATTTTTCTCCAGTTAATAATGTAAAAAATACTGCATTGATGTGATTAAATTCCCAGGGCCCTCAGTTCTCTAGGGGTGGACTAAATGGCTGGTATCATCACTTACAATTATGTCTTGAATTTGATAGAATTTATGTTGAGAAATAAAGATCGTATACTTTATATTTATCTTTTAATTCCATTTTCCATGAACTTTTTCAAGTTCTCTCATATATATATATACATGTGTATATGTGACTACACATATATATAACTTTATATATATGTATGTATGTATAACTATTGTATTAAAACACAAGCAAAAAGCCATACATATAAGAATAAAGTCATAACAATCAGGTGAACAGAGTGCAGTTGTCAAGGCTTTTGGGAACAGGGTTGGGGTCATAGAGTTAGTGGCAGGGAAGGGAGCAAGGGGGAGAGAGGGGTGTTTAAAGTGTCTTAATATTTTGACAAGGCAAAGGTGACTTAATAAAACATAATTTTTTTTTCCGGGAAGTACAAAGAACCAAAATACAGTTTGTATAACTTTATTCTAAAAATGAATTTCTTTCTACTTTAACTTCTATAACAATGACAGTAGTTTTGATACGACAGACATCTTACATCAGGGACAATATGTTAGGGGAAGGATAGTACTGTGCCATGCAGAGAATATGGGCTTGGGGTCTGGGAGCTTGGGTTTGGGTCCTGACTCTGCCTTTCCAGCTGTGTGGCCCTAGGCAGGTTCCTCACATGTAACACGGGGTGGTTGTGAGGATTGAATGAGAGATGTGTGGTAAGGCAGCCAGCACACCACTTAGCACAGAAAACTTCCCACTTAGTCACAATCTTCCTCTGGTCTCAAAGACTTCGCCCACACTGTCTCTATACCCTTTTGCTTCCATCCATAAGCTTCTAACAACTTCTTGGCATTGGTTTAGTCTCACAATGGACTGTCAGATTGGTTGTATATGTAATTTGTACATTTTTTTCTGTCCTTGTGTTTTATTTCCTTGACATCCATTTCAACTTACAAGCCCCATTGTATTTAAACTTGTTCAATAGATAAAAATCATTTATTTATTCAGTTTTTACTCTGTGTAAGACACTGTGGGAGATAAAAGATGGATTAAATATAAACTAACTCTGCCTTCAATGAGCTATTAGTACAGACCATTGTGTCCTCATTGGGCCACTTTACAGGGATAAAACCTATCTGAATGCTCTAAAGATTCAGGGGAGGGAGACATCATTTCTGAACCATTAATCATAAAGAGGCTTCAGAGTCCAGACCATAGATGAGTGGGTCTGGAAGATTAGGTAAACAGGAGTATCAGATATTGCAGCTGAATTTTTTTAAAGTTTCAATGATAATTAACATGAGACATGTTTAGAGAATATTCAAGGTCCACCATGGCCAGAATCTAGGATCCATATACGAGGATAGTGGGAGATGTGCTAGGAGCCACAAATGTGGCAAGAGAATGAGCTGTTTTCTATAGGTGAGTGGAAAGCTTATATGATGAGATTTTTCTTTACAACAATCAATTTACCCTTAGCAGGCAATTTGGGTTGAAAAGGGAAGCTCCAGGAGGGGTGGAAAGTATTTGGAAGACTACGCTAATAGTCTGGGATTACAGCAACAGGAGCTGAACTGGGGCACTAGGGTGAAATGGAAAGGAAACAGAGGGATGGAGAATCCCAGACATCACTCAGGATGAACCAACAGAACTTGGCAACTGATTCATTTTGTAGAGCATGTATTTGTATCATCTGTGTAAGGGCACCCATTAACTTCCCCAGCAAAAGTCCCTTTAGCCTAGCCTGTGATTACTGACAGGGCCTCAATTCAAGTCATCCTCTTCTCTCTCCACCAATATAATTGCATGTAATTAAAACTTGATGTAACGTGGTTAGCCCAGAGCAGATGGGTTATTTCCCTGCCACCAGCATGACATCAGAATTTGGTTATGATAGTTTGGAACTCCCCACAAAGGAATCAGGTTAAACATTCTGAACAATGGCATTGTTCCCTTGAGCCAGGAGACTACAGTCTCCTGTGTAGGAGAGCGTTTGAATTGGTAGGCATGTTGTTGGGGGGTGTGTATGTGTGTGTGTGTGTGTGTGTGTGTATGTGTAAAGGAAAGTTCAGTCACTTTTCTCAGGGGCAGGATAGAGCCAGTGCTCCAGCCTGGTACTTTCAGACATGGTTCCATGACAATTCCAATAGAAAGCAGCCTCTTTTCACTGCTTTTGAGCTCTCTCCCCAAGAGGCAAGATCCTTTCTGGATCAAGTTAACACTGGAAAGGAGGCTTTGGAAATAGGGCAAGAAGAGTAGTGAGAGAGAGGAAAAAAGGAGGAGAATAGAGGCTAAGGCAGGCAGGAGGAGGGATAGAGAACTAGAGAGGAAGAGATGAAAGGAAAAAGAGAAGAGGGAGAGAGCACAGAGGTGGGAAAGGCAGAAAATGCCGGCTTGATCGGTAGAGGAACTGATACAGGCTTGAAGTGGAGAGAAGCTGCCCAGGAAATGCCTGAGACCTTATGAATGACAAGTGGTCACAGTCTACCACCTCTGCTCATGTGATCTCACCCCCTTGCTTTTATTTTTATTTCTTCACCCTGACTGCTTTGATCTCTTCTTATTTCTCCCTCTTTCCCCATGCATTTTTCTTGTCTTATCTTCCTCCTTACCCATGATTTAGTCCTAGAAAATCCAGGCTCTTTCTGCTTGGTCTATGACTTGAGGTTTGGGCTAAAATTGCTGCTGAATACTGAGCCAATGACTGAGCCCAAAGAAACCTCCAAGTCCTAGTCTCCCTCCCTCCTCACCACATTGACCTTCTCCAAAGGCTGACTCTGCTCTGTGCAGCTTGAGTCACGTGGCTCAGAGGTAACCTTCCTGTCAGCAGAGCTGCCTTGGCCTTACCAAGTGTACACATGTGCACTCTCACCTGTCTCTGACGTCCAGGCAGCCCTAGGCATGGCTTTTCCCTTAGACATTCCAATATAGTCTCCCTTATTTCTATACCTTCTTCTGATATAGGGACTAATGCTCACAGTCTTTCAGGAAAAATAAATTGTTCTGCCACCTTCATGGATCAGGCCAGTGGGCAGAAGTTACGTGCCTCAGCCAGTGATGCCTGGGCTAGTGAGCAGCAGACTTGCAGACAGAGCATGTTCATCAATTTCATGTTCATTGCTAAGCCCATGTTTGTCCCACATAAAACGGACTCTTGTCAGATAATGTTAATGGGAGTGGGAGATAGGGAGGTTCATCCCAAGGAGAGCATGTGCTTTACTAATGGAAGCACCAATATACGCATGGCATGCATTTCTCTATTGGCCCATTCATTTGTCAAATAAACATCTACTGAGTATCTACCATGCACCAAAATATGTGTCGGACACACTGAATATAAAAATCAATTGACAGAGTTCCCCGCCTTCAAGAAATAACACAGTTTTATAGGATAGGCAGATGTGAAAACAAATTATTAAAACACAGTGGAGAAGAAAAGTGATGAATTATGAAGGCTAGATGATAGGTTAGCTCTTAGAGAAAGAGTGGCTTATTGCCTAGCATGAAGAAAGTGGACTCCAGGCAGAGAACATAACCTATAACATACCAGAAGATACAAGAGCCTGGGCTATTTACACGTGAAGGACAAACTTATTGTGGTTCTATCACAAGGGTATGTGTGTGGTTGATGGAAAATGTGTGTGGTTGATGGAGAAGAGGATAGAAATCTAGATAGGAACCAAGTTATGAAAGGCCTTGTATGCCGAATTCATTTGGGATTTGTACTGGAGACAATGGGTGTCACTGAAGAATTATGAAATATTAGATGATCACATAAGAAATCTCAAATCTGGAAATCACAACAGTCCAAGCAATGGAAATAGAAAATAAAGTAAGTTAGAGCATGAGTTGGTGATCTTTTTCTGTAAAGAGTCAGATAGTAAATATTCTAGGCTTCTTAGACCATTTGTTCCCTGTTATGACTATTCATCTCTGCCATTGTAGCATGAAGACAGCCAGAAGTAAGACATTTTTAAAAAGTGAGCATAGTTGTGTTCCAATAAAATTTTATTTATGAAAGCAGAGTGCAGGCTGGATTTGGTTTAAAGACCATAGTTTGCTGACTCCTGAGTAAGAAGAATGTGTAAGAATAGAAAAAAAAAAAAAGACTTATAGGTGTTTCCTTGTGCTGGTGAAGATGGCAGTACAGTGATTGAAGTTCTCCCCTGCACTAGGATGTGAGGTTATGCTATCATTTCATATGTAAGCCTGCCTTGCCAGGGCGAAAGGAACACATTTACTAGTGTTATGATCAAAGTTCCATGACCATGAAGCAGTCTGAAAACAATGGGCTGGAGTTGATTCAGGAAATAATTGAACTCATCAGCCAAAGCAATGGGACCAGCAACATGGTCTGCCCACAGAAAGAAACAAACTCAGATGAAAAACTGAGTTTCTAAAGAAGAGAGTTAAGGCTGCCACTCAATGACTGGGTCTTTTGCAAGCATTCGGAATGATATTTCTATACAGCCATGGTTTCTGAAAAGCATCTTTTTTGTTAAATTATTTTTTGTCTTTATTATAGAGATGGGGTTTTGTCGTGTTGCCCAGGTTGGTCTCAAACTCCTGGGCTCATGCAATCCACCCTCTTCAGCCTCCCAAAGTGATGGGATCACAGGCATGAGCCACCTCACCCAGCCTGAAAAGCACATCCCATAGTGCAGAGGAAACAGGAGGCAGGGCAATGTCTTATGTGTGCCTTATAGCTAGTCATAGCTTTTCACTGTAGCAGCAATCCCAGGTCACCAGAGCATCACTTTGCCAATACAAGTCCTGGGACTTTCAAGGCTGTTGATATCCCCAGGGCTGTCTGAGTGAGGCCAGCCCCATTGCTGGTGGGGACAGACTTCCGAGACCTATTGCTGTCCAGCTAGATCCTTCTGTGGTCGAGACCTCAGAGAAACAAGTAGGCAGCAAGTAGATAGCACAGGCTCCTGGGTCAAAAGGGTGCTTGTTTGGATCCAGTGTGGACTTAATGAGAGTTAACCCCTCTGGTCTTCAGGTACCTCATCTGTAAATTGAGGATTTTTTAAAGTGCCTTCCTTACATGGTGTACAGATTAAATGAGATCATATCCGAAAAGCATTTAACACAGAATCTTGCATATATTAAATGTTTAATAAATGTTAAGTAAGTAATTTGCATTCCTGTTTTTTTTTTTTTTACTTCCATACCTCGTTTAAGAGATCCTTGGGCCATGAAGATAGAATGGGTTTTTTTCTTTTTTCCCTTTCAAGGACCATAAATGATTTCAGAGAGACACTGCATAGTTCACAGGGCCCAATATCAACATCAGGAAACTACCTGATTGGGTCAGTGCAGGGACCAGGTGCTTTCCGTATCATTTAATATGCAACAAAATCTGGAAAAAAATGAGTTTTTTTCCTCTTAATTTTGACTTACGGGAAACCAAGGTTGAGAAAGTTTGGGGAACTCTCTGGCAGAGACACAGCTCATCAAAGCTAGCCTAGGACCCAAACCTGGGTTGACACGGAACAAGTTCATTCTTTCTTCCTACCACATAATGCAGGTGTGCTTACTTATGTATATGGCTTAATACCACTACCTCCTATTGGTATTAAGCTGCTTCCAATAGATTGTAAGTTCCTCGTGGGCAGCGACCTTGTCATCGTTCTGTATCTCTTATGATAGCTGATACAGTGTCTTGCACATGGTGGAGATTCCTATATTTTTTGAACGAATAAATTTGCATCGCACCCATTTCTTCTTAGGCTCTTCCTCCCTCCACACAGGATATTCCCCCAGCTATGGGGATCCCTGAGGGGCCCACAGCGTGGTCTGCTGAGGCATGGCAGCTAGAGCCTCCATGAGTCCATAAAGGTAGGGGGAGGGGCCCCTGCATGGTGGGGAGGCAGAGGAGTGAGGACTCACATCCAGGCCTCAGTCTCTGCCCCTGCATTCCCCTAGGCTGGGGGAGCAAAGTCCTAGTACCCAGCATAATTTACTCTACTAATTGGGAGAAAGGCTTTCTGGAATTGCCAGAATTCCTTTTGCTCTAATTCCCTGACCTGACATGAAGTGGGTGAATGGCTATCACTGAAGAAAAATAGTATTTGTAGCAATGAGTGTCTGACGCCCTGTTCCTCATGACACAACCCCCAACCAAGTCACGTGGTGTCCTAATTAGGCCGTCAGATACAATTTGGACAAGCTCTGAACTTTTTTGTATGTTTATCCAGACCTCTGAACTATTAGATCTTTTCTCATTGCAACTTACAATGAAAAAAGCAATATAAGAATGTATAAGAAAGGTATTTTAACTGAAAAAATAAATTTGAATTAAATAGCTGTGACCTCCCTGAGCTCATCCTTCTAATTTTAAACTATCTTTGCTTGAATAGCAAGGAAACCATGTCCAGATTCAACCCCCTTACCCTCCTCCCCACATTTCCTCTGGTCATGTTGGGTCAGCTACCATCCAAGTGTCCTGGACAGAGCTCAAAAGATCAAAGATGAATGGATCTCCAATGATTCACCTTACAGTTTATCTGAGTCTGTGGTGACAGCCTCTCTACAACATAGGAGATACACAGGGTATTTTCAGAGACTTTGAAGGTGAGGCCTTAAATACTGACTTTACAACTAGGACTTCCTTTAGTTACAATATTTAGAGGTGCAAGGAGCCTTGGGGGTTCCCTCTATATATGTATGTCTAGGAGGTTGGGGCTACCACAAAGCAGCAGTGAAGGTACCATTAGGGTGTGAAGAGCTGAGCTCCTGGTGAGGCCTCTTACAAGAAGGTTGAAAGTCGAGGATCAACTACAGAGCCCAAAGATACTCTTCTGCAAAACACAGATATGAGGACAACTTTCACTACAACAGTTAACATATTTTATTTTTGAGACAGGGTCTCACTCTGTCACCCAGGCTGGAGAGCAGTAGCACAATCATTGCTCACTGCAGCCTCACCCTCCCAGGCTCAAGCGATCCTCCTGCTTCAGCCTCCTGAGTAGCTGGGACCATAGGTTAGCTGGGACTGCAGGCATGCATCACCATGCCTGGCCATTTTTTAATTTTTTTTGTAGAGATGAGGTCTCACTATGTTGCCCAGGCTGATCTCTAACTTCTGGGCTTAAGTAATCCTCCCACCTCCGCCTCACAAAATGCTGGGATTACAGGCAGGCATGAGCCACCGTGCCCAGCCAGTTAACATTTTAACATGAGGAAAGTTGGGGCTTTTGTTTGTTCATTTGTTGTTTTTTGAGAGTAGTCCTGAGGGCTGGTTTGGGGTGCAAGGCAGGAGCTGGAGAGGGCAGTTGTGGGGTTGGAAGGCACAAGTTGGCTGTGCATCTGGGTCTGGAGGAATTTTTAATTTTCTCAACATGTAAACAATGAGCAACAGCTCATTTCACTCTCATTTCTGTGTTGTTGTTGTTTGTTTGTTTTTTGCCTTGTCAACTATTCTGGAGGCTCTTTGGGTTTTGATTCCTAGACCTCATACACAAGGAAGAAAATATAGCCACTGCTGCTGTCCCCTTGGTGTGTGCATAGATCCTTATAAATAAGTCTCAATTAACTCTCCTTTCCGTGACCCAAAGAAGCCCCTGCTGATCCTGGCTCTGTTAATAAAGCGTGTGCCTGTACTGGAAGTAATTAAATGGGTTGAGTACAATTGTCAGAGCTCCAAGGGCCGAAGTACTGTCTTTTGCCAGGACAAGAGTAATAGTGAACCTCCTTTGTTGGGAACATAATGAAAGAGACAGGCGGGAAGAAAGCCCATTGTCGGCAACACAGATAACTTTGGTGTACCTGGGATTTGTTATAAATGTATTTTGATGGCTTATTATGTCGGAAAGAATGTTTCCTTATCTTCAGGACTACTGAGCAGAACAGAGGAAATAATCCAAGTGTGACATTTATTTAGCTATATATGAGTCTCTAATAGAGACGATGGGGGGATTCTATGTAGACCAGGAGGCTGAATTTACACCGTCTTCTTTATTAATCTCCTAGTCCTGCCTAAACAACCTATGCAGGTGGATAAATGGGCTGGCCACTGTTGGATGTTTTGCAGAGAGACAGACCTGAGAACAATTATCATAGACTAATTCTTTTCAGGACCGGGGCTTTTAAAATGATATTTCCTTCCATACAAAAGCAATTTTTCCTTTCTGCTTGACAGTCGATGGCAGGTAAGTGGGGAGTAACTCTCATAATCAACAAAACATCTGTGAAATCGTGTGTTTAACAAAGCTGAGAAGACTTCCTTGCTCTAGACCAGCTCGGAACCCTTGTATGCGATGTGTGCTATCATTCTGCAAGGGGGTGACAGTGTGCGTTAGGGAGGTTTTCCCAAATGTACTGGACCGTAGGCTGTTTTTAAGAGGAAGCTACTTGTAGGACTAGTGTTTTACAGGCTATCCTTTGAGAAATGATGTTTTCATAGCAACCTATTTTTTTCCATGAGTCTTTACAACTCTTTATCTTGGCCACAATTCTTTAAAAATTCATTTTAGGCCAAATGCGGTGGCTCACGTCTGTAATCCCAGCGCTTTGTGAGGCCAAGGCAGGCAGATCACGAGGTCAGGAGTTCGAGACCAGCCTGGCCAACATGGTGAAACCCCATCTCTACTAAAAATACAAAAATTAGCCAGGCGTGGTGGCAGTTGCCTGTAATCCCAGCTACTTGGGAGGCTGAGGAAGGAGAATCGCTTGAACCCAGGAGGCAAAGGTTGCAGTGAGCCAAGATAGCACCATTGCACTCCAGCCTGAATGACAGAGCAAGACTCCATCTCAAAAAAAAAAAAAGTTTTAGAACTATTCAGACATGGCCAGATTGGTTATATTCCCATCTTCAAAAGATAACACCCTGGCTGTTGGCTAAAAATCAGTGACTGGATCATGTCAATCCCTCATCTCATCTTTCTTTCCTTACAACCCACCCAGGCTGTCAGATGATAGACCTGGCTTCACCCTGTGCATGTTATCATAGCTTGGCACTGGGGTCTCAGGATTCCTGTAACTGCCACTCTCAGAATGCTGGGAGATGCTCTTTGTCACACTGGTTTGGGTTGGAAAGATAACAGACTTGGGGAAAACTTTCTCCCAGTCCCATTCTCTTTTTTCTTTTCCAATTTTTCCTTTTAAATATTTCTCCCTCTCTCTTTACATCAGGACAAGTATCATCCTTAATATCCAAAACTGTGGCCTATGTTTAGAGTACTGCCACTCTAGGAAAAATGCTCTCTTTAGGAATTTCGACTCCTTGAATTTTTTTCTTTTCGTTACATCCATGTGGGTTACATTTACATTTTAAAAGAAGACTAAAGGGAAGAGATAATGGTGTGCCCAATGGAATCAGTCCCTGATGCTGCCATATTAAGCACAGTAACAATCTGGTTAAGAGTCTCTGAGGAAATTCTTATCTCCTGATCATTTGTCAATTGAAGTGGATGGGCCCTTCCTCTGTCACTTGCGCATAAGGCAAATCCTGCATGTTTTACATCACTAAGCATCCGGACTACGTGACTATTTATGGCTGCATAATTAACCACCCCTAAACTCCATAGCCTCACATGATAATAATGTATTATTTCTATTGATTCTGTGCGTTTCTTGGCTCAGCTAGGTAGTGCTGCTCTGCATGGTGCTAGCTGGGGCACTCACGTGGCTGTACTTAGCTGGGAACTTGGCTGGGGGTGGAACATCCAAGATGGCCTCATTCATGCGGCTACAGTTGATGCTGGCCATTAACGTAGATGTTTCAATTCCCCTCACATGCCCAGTAGTCTAGACTGACTTCCTAAGAGCACCAAGGACGGGTTCCAAGAGGATAACAATTGAATTGCTTGCATCCCATTTTATCAGCCAAACAAGTCACAAGGCCAGCACAGATTCAAAGGGAGCAGAAATCGATTTCACGCTTTGATGAAAGGAGCAATGTGGCCAGAGGTGGGAGATGCATCTTTCAGGGTCTACCATGATGACTATCCTCGAACACTGGAGATAACCCAGAGACTAGCTCAGTAGAACAGTTCACATCTACCTACTGCTCCAACTTTGCAGAACTTCAGAGAAAAGATGCCAGGGCCGGGGTTTCATCGTGTTAGCCAGGATGGTCTCGATTTCCTCACCTCGCTATCCGCCCACCTTGGCCTCCCAAAGTGCCGAGATTACAGGCGTGAGTGGGCATGGTGGTGCATGCCTGTAGTCCCAGCTACTAGGAAGGCTGAGGCAGGAGAATTGCTTGAACTCGGGAGGTGGAGATTGCAGCGAGCCAAGGTCGCACCACTGCACTCCAGCCTGGGAGACAGAGTGAGACTCTGTCAAAAAAAAAAAAGAAAGAAAAAAGAAAAAAGCAGGAAGGAAGGAAAGAAGGAAGGAAGGAAGGCAGGAAGGAAGGAAGAAAAGGAAAAGACTCCAGAGCTCAGATTCACAATTGTATTCTTTTATGAGAGTCCTGGCCTGTGGATATCTCTGAATGAGATTGATATTGCTCTAATTTTCATATCACAGAAAATGAAAAGGAGGCTCTCTGATATTGGGGCTAGGTCTACAGTTTACCATCCCCAAACTTTGTTCTGCCAAAGGAAAATGTGGCAACAAGCCCTGGTACCCAACATTGGAAAGCTCAGGGAATACTGACATTTGACAGATTTCCTCAATTACTCCCCAGATGTTCAGAGTATAGTAAGTCCTAGCCTCTAGCTCACTTTTGGCTTCTGCGGACAGACACAGGGTGCTTCCTAGCATTTTCCTGAAGACTTAGTGTAAATCGAAGTTTAGAAATCCTGATTAAAGGTATTAAGAACACCTTGGTTACAGGTATTGAGGCTTCCCTCTGCAAAAGCCTCACTCGCTCAAATGCTACTCATTTACTTACAAAGCATTGTGGATTTTAAAATGACAATATGAGTAAAAGAATGAATTCTAATATTACGGCCCCCAAGCCCATCCTTTTTGTATATCAGATGGCTTGCCAACTATCACAAAAAGGTAGATATGTGGCTAAGTGTTCAGAAATCAACAACAGCCATGATCCACTATCACTATGCTGTCACATGCACCGTAAATACAGCAAGAAAATCTATCCCAGTTATTGAAAAGGAGAATGCAGGTAGATACCAGGAAGACTGTTCCAGCTGTTAAGCTTTGGGACAGATGACCAAGGGCTATTTGACTCATTTGTCAGAGCTTGAAGGATACATTAAGTAATAGCTACACAAGCTGTCTTGGTTGATGCCCTGGCAGAAGTTGAGGGAAAGTATTTTATGACCTTCTCACATCATTTTTCACTCTCTGGGACTGTTTCTGCTCATAATTGTCATATGTTTTCTTCCCACGACATTCATTAATCTGTAAGATACAAAGATGTTCATATTTATTTGCATTTAAATTGCTTTCCCCTTTGAATCTAGATAACACCTGAGGCTTTATTAGTGTGCTCATTAGGAGTCATTACCACACAGAGATGAGGCTGGAATGAGAGGCAGGTCGCTCTGTGCACATGCAAAGCCTGCCCAAACTGTAGCCTGGAAGAGAGGACAGAATGGGTTCTGGGTCGCTTTCTTCCCTGGAGTTTTCTCTGAGATAAGCCTGCTTGTCAAGCAATACGTCTGTGCCTGACCATGAAGGCTGCCCTGATGCTGAATGAGAATACTCAAAAAAGAAGAACATTCTGAATACTCAGTTCACTGAATTATCAAAGCTTCCTTGCAAACGAGAGCTTGGCTTCTACTTTTTCTGGCCAATTTAATCAAAATAGCTCCACTCATTTCTGCTTAATGATTTGGCTTGCAGGATGGCAGTTGTGAAGTTTGAATGGGCTTTTCAGCTCACCCATTTTTGTCAGGATTCAGGGCTGGCAAAGCCTACAAGTTGGTTGATTTGGGCAATCCATGTATATCTGGCTTTTAGAATACCTAGTCATTACTGCGTGCTGGAGGACACGGGGACTTGTGAGGGTGCTATGGGTTGATTCTGGGTCTGGGCTTCTGCATGGTTGATGATGCCGCTGCACTTCTGACCCTGGTTTGTGATCATTGCAACCCTACCACATCCACAAGGAAGCCTCTATTCAGCTTAGGTCACCGCAGTCCAAGGGAAAACCAGCCTGGCTTTGCCACAGCTGCTACCATAATAAAGGCCAAGTTTCTTGCTTCCCAGGCCTTTCTACGTGGCCCACATGGGACTATACAGGCAGTTCTCAGTTTTAAACGTTGAATAAAACCACATCCCTCTCAGACTCCTCCCTCTGCCTCTCCCCCTTCAAACCTGGGTGACCAAGTTCTCAAATTAAATTCCTTCTGTTTTAAATATTTAGAGTGAATTATCTTTCCCTGGTTGGACCCTGGCTTCTCTAGGTACCCTGGAAAGCTACCTACCTAGACTTGATCCCTGCCCCATGCTGTTCACCACTCTCCCTTTGGAATAGCTTTGCACAGATTATGCAGGTGAAGTTGGATAGTAGCTCTAATTCAGTCCAGGGATCAATGGCCAATTCAGCTGTGTGAACTTATAAAGTTTTTGCATCTATCTCTCCTGAGTCCACTTTTCATCCTAGATTGGATAATTCATTCATCATTCACTCATTCATTCTGCACATTTTAGAGAATCCCTCTGTCTGCAGAAATCATTTCCGGAGACCCAATTACAGAGAAGCAGGATGTGGGCTATGAAAAGCACAGAAGCCTCTTTGGAGTCTAATGTCAAAATTTCCCACCCCAGCTGTGTAGAGAGATGTGAGGTCTGCAGGACCCGGGTGCGGGGAAAGCATAACTAGAGCTCTCCTCTCCTCACCAGAGCTCCCATGCAATTGACTACAGGGGTCAATCGCTCTGCTTAGGGGCCTGGTAGATTGTTAAAAAAAAATGCGCTCTAGCACACGGTAGGGAAAAAATAGCATTCCACATTCTGTCTGTTGCAAAATGATTCCACACTGTTATCAATGCAGGCAAAGCCCTCTTAAATCAATCAGTGTGACCTCCCTATACCTCTGCATAAAATAGGCAGAGGGAAAGTAAATTGTGGTGCACAACCAAAATCCACATTTCTAAAAATGAAATGGAAAGGAAAAAAAGGTACACTTCCCCACAGAAGTAGAATCTTCTTCATTTAACACTTAACAGTTGCTGCTATTCATCAAATACTCATCATAAAGCCAGAACCACACACTTGGTTTCACTGTGTCCCTGACAGCACAACAACCCAACACAGTAGGCTTTTGTTAATCCCTGTTTTACAGATGAGGAGTTTAAGCCCAGGTACATTTCTGTATTTCACCAAGAATATGTAGCTTGTAAGTGGCAGAGCCGGGAGCCACACCTAAGCCCATTGATTTCTCAAGCTCAGGGTCTTCCCATGATTCCTCACCAGCCTGCAATTTTCATGTTAGCGTCCTGGGTTTCTGGGTCACTTACCCATAATGGGTCTAGAAAGCAGGCTAGTTTCCTATCATGGTGCCAGAGACAAAAAGAAAAAAAAAATGAGGAAAGGAAAAATCCATGCTGAGAAAAAAACAAAAAACAAAACAAAAGCCACAAGCAAAAGGACAATGCCATGGGGTTCTTAATGGTTCGGGAGCCACCTGACTTTGCTCCCTTCCTTTTGCAGGGATAATGACACTGTTTTTCAAAGAGGAGTGGCTTGTGTGGCCTCTCAGAGGTTTCCTGGAATGTAGCTCCACATTTCTGGTGAGCCTGTGCTGCTGGAAATCCTGAGCAACGGAGAGAACATAGGCACTGGAGAGGAAGAGCTGGGCTGAATACCAACTCTGTTGCTTACTAGCCAGCTGAATCTAGGTCAGTTACTGAAACTCTTGGAGCCTCAGTTTCCTTGCTTGTAAATGAGGATATCAGTCATTCTTCCATCATCAATTTGTTGTGAGAACTAAATGAGATAATAATCATACTTTACTTAGAACATTGCTTGCACCGTTAGTGCTATCTAAGTATTAGCTGCTACTCTTAACATTGTTTATCATGCTCTCAGGTGGTCAGAGAACACAGATGCCCGTTCTTGTAGACAAGATATGTTTCTTTCAAAAACGCCAATGAATCAGTGTTGTGGCCAAGGTATGTTTGACACCTGGACAGTGCTGCAGGACCTCAACAAATACTGGCCCCCACCAGAGAAGGTGTCCCCAAAGCTTTTTTCCTGCAAAGTGGAATGGCCTTCAGGCCCAGCACCATATTGAGGACCACGTTGTCCTCAGGGCAGCTTCCAACTCTGAATTCAAAAATGGTATGTCATATATTCTTGAGGTTTCATGGATATACTTGACACCTCACATTTCTCATTCAAATTCAGGGGGAGAAAGGAAAACCGGTTCTGGAGAAGAGGCTAGAGGTGGGGCAGGTTGGTGAGTACTCATGGTTCTCCCATCACTTACCCCGACTTCCACCCCTCAGGACAGCCACTGCCACACACAGGTCTCCTAGGCTTGCCCATGTCCATCTTGAATGGTCATCTTCCTTCCTTTCTGTGACTTGCCATCTTTTTGCAATAGCAAGCTGTTTCTAGACCTTTCTCTGCTTCAATTTACCTCTTGCCTTACTATTATTTAACTACAGATTTCAGTCAGCTCAAGAGAGCATTTTTGCAGGAGGCAGAGAGAAGGAGCCCAAATGAGAAAGTGTCTTGTTACAAAATCCATTTTTCTGTAACGTTTGAGGCTTGGAGCTTCCATTTCAGGTTGACATTTTAAAATGTATCTGTAAGAACACCAGTAAGGGAACCGATAATGACACTGCATTTCGGAAGCCCTTTCACAAGATGGCTGGGGAGATGATTTATCATATTTATTTATTCCAATTTGTCAGCTAATGGTGGGGCCTGTATCAGGGCTGCACGCACTGGTGCTTGGCTCTGGTTTCAATGCCTCTGCCTTGCTCGCCTTTACCCCCGGCTTCTCCTCCTTTCCCAGAGGGTCCAGCTGCATCAGGTGACAATCCCTCTGCAACTGTGCAACCTGGAGGGACAGGGCAGTTTGCAGTTGGGCAACGGCCAGATGATATCATGCAGTTTCACTTCAGTTTCCCCAAAGTGAACTGGGTCAAGTGTATTGAGGGAAAAAGGCCATAAGTGGCTCAATACCAGACTGCATCCCTGGAAGCAGAAAGCATGACTCATGGGTAAGACAGAGACCCCACAGCAGGCTGGTCAACCAGTGTGCTGAGCCCTCACATACACCAAGCCTAGCAAGGCTCTGCATAAGTCCCAGTTTCCTCATCTGTGAAATGGACACAGGCCCTTTTGGAAAAGGCATTTGCCTTCTTACCTACAGAATGTATCTGCAAAGGGATTAACACTTAGAGCAAGCCTAGTCTATAGGGTTGTCTGTGTCCTGGGAACTTTACCCTTCTGAGTATCTTCTTAGTGCTAGTTTGAATTTGCCTCATTACACTGTTATTTCAGAACTCATAGAAAAGCCTGGCTTTTGTACTCACAGCAAGACGGAGTAATAGGAATGGAATAGAATTAGCAAGTACTAGCACAGTAATCACTAGCACATGATCGGGTGAGAGGTGATAGGGTTTGGGGGTCATCTTCCCTGAGTATAATGGGGTGTTCAATGGGTAGGTGGAGCACTGCCTTAAGGAAACTAGAGAAGCAGGTGTATTGGTTATCTATTCTCTGGTTCTGTTATCTGTTTGACAAGTAGCCCCTAAATTTTGTAACTTAAAATAATTATTCTCTAACGGTTTCTGTGAATTGGGAATTCAGGAGCAGCTTTGTTGGTGGTTCTGGCCCAAAGTCTCACATGAGGTCACAATCAAATGTCGGCCAGATACAGTCTTATGAAGGCTTGCCTGGACCCTGGGATCTGCTTCCAAGGTGGCTCCTGACCCTTCGTGGACAGCTCTGGTTCCTCCCCAGGGAACCTCCCACAAGGCTGCTGGGGCTGATGGCAAGGTGGCTGGTTTCCCCAGGGGGATGGGTCCAAGGGCACAAGACAGAAGCCGCGACATCTCCCATGACCTCACCTCAGAGGTTGTACATTGTCACGTCAGCTGCATGCTACTGTGGTCACACAGGTCACCCCGAGTGAATGTGAGAGCAAACTGCTCAAGGGTATGGCTTCAAGGTGAGGATGAGTGGGGACTACCTTGAAGCTGTCTACCATAGCGGAGAAGGTGCTATTTGGAAATGCAGGAAAACTGGATTTGAGGATGGGATTGTTGCAGGGGAAGGACAGGGAATAGCAGACAGATATCAAAACAGAAGCTTGGGGACCAAAGCCTAAACCATGGGCCAACTTACTCAAACTGGATCATGGATTATGAATCCATGCACAGGAGACTCATGACCTTAAGGAAACCTGCAAGGGAGGTGACATGACTCAGGCTGCAATACTAGCTTGACTCCTGTCACTTCACTGCAGAGGAATTTGTGAGCCAGGCAGGATCCTAATGTGCATCTCTGGGCCTGCTTTCTCCAGGCTGACTGATAGAAGCTGTGGCTTGATGCTGAGTTCACCATCAGGGCTGAGGCTGCTCAGGAGCTTCCTTTTCCAAGCCCAGATAGGTCTTAGAGGTAGGTAGAGTGGCCGTCCATGCAGGGAGAGCCCAGAGGCTGGAGAGCTAGCTAGGCTCTGGTTGCGTCTGTTTTGTGGCTAGGTGGTTGGTTTCGCCTTGTGTCCTTAGGAGGTCCAGGGCTGCCCACGGCCACCATTGGTTTTCAACTGTGTGAACAGACACAATGCCCCAGACCAGGGAAGAGAACACTGCGAGTGTGCAAGCAAACTCATAACCAGCACCCCAATGTGCCTTTGTTTGCCCTCTCCCCCTTGGCACATAGAACCAATCTAAAAAATTGCTCCCTTACACTTCTATCAAAATCTCAAATTTTCAAAGTCCTATCAAGAATATTATCCCATAAGCCAAGGCTAGAGATGAGTTTTCGTAATAACTTCACCAGACAAAAGAGAAAACTGAAGCTACAAGAGGCAAGACCTACCCAGAACCATTTGGCTGAGCCCAGCACTCTGCCCATGGTCCATGCACCCCTTGACCCTGACATCAGCAAAGCAGTCCCCATCACCAAAGTGCTATGTGCCATGTGCCCCTGGGAAGAAGAACCAATCTGAGATTGCAAACAATGGGAAAGGACCTCAACTCTTGTGAGGCAGCTCTAAGAACTTTCAGCCCTAGACCTGTACATTTTTTGTGATTTTTTAAAAATGTAACTCACCATGCTATACACATCCTTAGCACACATCCCGTACACAAGCTCACTCTGCTCCTGGCATTGAGCACCCAGGGTCTCTTTAGGGGACTCCCTTTTTCTCCCCTGAACGGGCCACTCTTTACCATCAAAATGAATTGCCTATCATCTGTACTCGGCTTTTTAGCAGTCACAAATACAGGGTGGGGAATTTATTGGATACCAGGTGTCCTATTAGCCAAAGTCCTTTCCAGCTCATGCTGCTGAATGAGCCAGGTCATGACCCCAACCAGGCACTCTGGTTAGAGCTCAGTGTAGACAGATGTGCACACACTGCTGGGCACAGAAGGTTTGGGAGTGTAGACAGAGGAAGTGAGTCCTGTCAACTGGGGCGGCTCCTGCACTGAGCAGTGAGGGCTGTGAGTGAGAACTCTCTGATGCTTCCTCTCTATGTAAGGCCCGTGAGCTTTATGACTTCCTTCTGGCTTGGTTGTAAGCGAAAATCACCTCAAAAGGGGCGTGGGTAAGAGCTACTAGCCTTCTTGGAATGCCTACTATGTGCCAGACATGAAAGCAGATGCTTTTTTCAAATACTTCTGTCGGATGAACTTTCTTATTATTGTGGTACAGATGAGGAGGCAAAATCATTTGTCTAAGACCCCACTGTTTCAGCTGCAAGCTTTCGTGGCTCCTCAGTTTGCATTTTTTCCTCACTGCAGTATCACTTTGTGAAGGAGGTCTGAAGTCTTCAAATGAAAATAGAGTTTTCTCCTTATGTAAGTATAGCAATCAAATGTTCTGGAAAGAACACTGTGCCCAGCCAAATTGCTCTAGATGTTCAGGGCAGGAGAGGGGCGGATATCCTGGTGGTGATGACCACATAACAAGAAGAGACAATGTGTGCTTAAGGTACCAGCATCTCAGGGTGGTCTAGTATTTCTCAGAGAATGGTCTGAGAGTTGGCCTCTCGTGGTATAGGTAAATTTTTAAGTATTTATGAAAATGCTTATATGTCTGGTTTCAGCCTGATTTAGTAATTTGCTTGTATAATCTCTATGTCTATTCTTGGTGGTCCAAAGGGCCCAGATTAAGAATTTTATAAACATCCTGCTGTGTTTAGTGTGTTATACCTCGGAGTATCTATTTCGCTAACCCAGATGGTGCCGTTACCACACACATATCCTGCAAGGGGAGGGAATTGTATTAACAAGTATAACCAGCAAAACCACAGCATTTCACTTTAGCAAAAGGGGCCGAAACAGGAAGCAGGTAAATTCCCTGCTCCCACACATCTACCATTCTCTCCTCCCTTCTATGAACTTAGAGTCTCTGGTTTTGTGGCCACTGAACTTGTCTCCACCTCTAGGGGCCAAATTGGGCACTGGGGGGAATTCACAAGCTTTATATTTAGCTCAAAATCACCTGGGCTATATGTGGGCTCATCACTTCCTTAAAGGTGGAAGAAGTTATAATTTCTTTTTTCTCTCTTCTCTTTCTCTCTCTCCATCTTTTCTCTTCTTTTCCTCTGTCATTTTCCCCTTCTCCTTCCAAGCATTATAGTCTTCCTTGGACCGCTTTTTCCGAATTGGCTTCCACTGGCCCATTCCAGAGTACAATTACTAGTACTGTACTACATTTCCAATAGTCAATAAGAAAGCAGAAGTGGCCACATTGGCTTCCCCTAAAAGCAGCATCAAATTTCAAGTACTTTCTTATATTACCGCCGCTCATTCCACCACCCTCTATAAGCACACAACTCACTGCTGAGCACATCATAAATGCTAAAAAGTAGTGAATAAATCAACGAATTAAATAATTCTTTTATTCTAATTTTTTTTGTACAGCAAGCCATTGTGAATAAGATGGTTCTTTTATCCCCAAAGAGGTTGCCTATTGACTGAAAGCCTAAGCACAGCTTCTGAGAGTCACAATGAGATCACATCTCTACTGTACTGAAAATCTTTTCAGGCACCAGAGAGAAAGGCCTGAGTGTGATTCTCCTTCCCTGGTTCTGAGTGAGAAGGTCATTAGCTCACTAGGTACTGGCAATTTCAAGAATTGCCAAAATGACAGTGATGTGATAAGAACAACTATCCTGTTGGGTCTTTGTGTAGTATTTTTCCTTTGAAAACAGCTTTATGCTAATTATCCCATATGAAACACAAAAAAAAAGGAAGTGTGAGGTCAATGTGGCTAAGATTTATGTCCGTTTTGCAGACGTGGATCTGAGATATCTCGTGATTTGCTGGTGGTTGCACAGGTAGTGGAAGAGCTGGGGTGGAAGGGTTTCTTCCTGAGCAGGTGGCTGTTCCTCCCAGAAGTCCTGCCTACCTGCCTTTCTCTTGCTGACAGCCATATCACCCACTTTGTTTAAGGGTCAAAACTGTCTCAGGTTGTTCTCACTGCTACACACCCACTAGCGCCATGACAAATTACAGATGCCATGGCAACATCAGGAAGTTACCCTGTATGATCTAAAATGGGGAGGAACCCTCAGTTCTGGGAATTGTCCACCTCTTTCCTGGAAGACTTGTGAATAATCCATTCCTTGTTTAGCCTATAATCAGGAAACAACCATAAAAACGGGCAACCAGAAGCCCTCAGGGCTACTCTGCCTATGGAGTAGCCATTGTTTATTCCTTTACTTTCTTAACAAACTTGCTTTCACTTAAGAAAAAAAAAAAAACTTTCTCCAGTAAAAATTTATGTTCACACCTAAAATTTGTAAACCAATGTGCATAGCATCTTTATTCATGATGGTTAAACACTGGAAACAATCCAGATGTCCATCAATAGACGAGTGGATAAGCAAAATGTATAATCCGTGCAATGGAATATTATCGGGCTGTCAAAAGGTATGAAGAGCTGACACATGCTGCAACATGGCAAAACCCTGAAAACATTATTTTAAGTGAAAGAAGCCAGTCACAAAAGCCCACATTATGTATTATTCCGTTTAGACGAAAAGCCAGATTAGGCAAATGTATATAGATGCAAAGTAGATTAGTGGTTGCCCAGCGTGGGGAGTTGATGAGGGTATTGGAAACTGATGGCTAATGGGTACGGATTTCTTTTAGGGGTGATAATAATGTTTTAAAATTTTTGATGGTGGCACAACTCTGTGAATATACAAAATCTCACTGGGTTGTATAATATAAAAGAGTGAATCATATATGTAAACTATATCTCAAGAAAGCTGTTATTTTTTTTTAAAGACTGACTCTCGGCTGTGGCTTTCATAATCTTCTTTGGCCATGGCTTTCCCCAGGGCTCCAAAGCTAGGCAGTGCCCAAAACTGTCTCCTCTAACTTTGTTTTACAGGGAGACATTCCTCCAACTCTGCCTGCTCAAATTTGTGGGGTGAAATCTGGTGCCTCTATATTTCCAAATACAAAGCGCTAGAGGTTAAGTTGTGTGCTTCTCAAATGTCAGTGTACATTCTGATCCCCTGGAGATCTTGCTAAAATGCAGATTCTTAACCTTTGGGTCTGGGACACAGACTGAGATTCTGCATTCTAAGAAGCTCCCAAGCAATGTCAGTGTAGCTGCCGTCCTCATTTTGGGAAGCCAAGGTGTCGACCACAGACCCAGAAGATGCAGCCTTTGACTCCTCAATGCCACCAATACAATTCAATCAAATATCAAGATTTTCAAAACATAGTCAATCGAATGTCTTTTTCCCACTCTCTATCCAATTATTAGGTGCATTTATAATGGAAGATTGTTAAACACGATTACCAACTTGGTGAAATCCTTTGGTACACAGTAATGTTTATGGAAAGCACCTAACAACTTGGTGGAGTATTTTTTCTTTGAACTGACTGAATTGGCCGTTTTTGGTTTGCATCATAGGGAAAACCCTGAGTTGTGCTAAGTCTGAGCTTCCTTAATCATTAACTATACATTTTAAAAGCACAAGATTAATTTCTGTGTTCCAAACACCAAACATGTTGTCATTTTGAGGAGTGGGCAGGTTCAGAGGACCTCCTTAGAAGGAGATAAAAGCCAAGAGATGATGAAGTTTTTATTTTTATTTCGTTTTATTTTATTTTATTTTATTTTATTTTATTTTATTTTATGGTAGAGATGGGGGTCTCACTATGTTGCCCAGGCTGGTCTTGAACTCCTGACCTCAAGCAATCCTCCCACCTTGGCCTCCCAAAGTTCTGAGATTACAGGTGTGAGCCACCACGCCCAGCCTGGATGGTGAACTTAACTTAGTTTTATAGCATCAGTGGATTGTGATAAGAGTTATGTACACAACTTAATTTTTGTTTAATAAGCATGTGGTGTGTATCTGTAACATAAAGAACACTATGCCTGTATCTCAGGAAGAGATATGTAAAGATGAATAAGATGCTGTCTGTGCCCAAAGAGAGGCCTTTATTCCTAGTCAGGGAGAGAAACAAGCTCACCAAGAAAAGCAAGAAATAAAAGGGAGAAGGAGAGAGCTTTTTGCTTGTTCTTGCTGTTTGATTGGCTTAAATTTTATCTCCATAGATTTTACTTTCTCCAGCTGCAAAGCTGAAGGCAAAGCTGAAGAATCCTGGACACTCTCCTTTGTTCAAATAAAACTTCTATTTACACAGGATTTGCTAAAGGAGTACAAGGAAATGGCAGAGATAGCATTAAGCTCACACAGCAGTTCCGGAAAGCGCCCCTTCATTGTTCTCAGGCTCGTACCTGCAGTAACAGGGCCTATAGGCTTTGAACACAAGACAACTGAGTTCGGAACCTCAGAAGAATTCTGGATATGGTACAAAAAAATTCAGGTTCAAATTCCTGTTGTGCTCAAGTTTAGATATACGATGATCATTGCTTTTTAAACCTGCTGGGGCTTATTTTTTCATCTGCGATATAAAGATGATTATACTAATTTCTTCAAAGGATGACATGAGCAGGAAATGAGCTAATGTATGGAGACAGTTTCATGAACTGTCCAGCACTCTACATATATAAGAGGTAATGACTGTTTTTCCTAGCCCATGTACTTCAGGTCTCGGCTGTCCCTCTCCTGCCCTCAGGTCTGGCAAACCCCACCTATCAACTAGCCATGGCTGCTGTGCTGTTTCAGGGCCCTGCTTGATGATCCAAGCGGATGTGGGGTCTTCCTAAAGACAATGCATTGTGATTGTGACCAGAAGGAAACTTAAGTCCAAGTCCTCAGTGAATTATCTGGGACTCAGTGTCTTCAGCTGTAAAATAAAGTTATTGACTACATTTTGAAATTCCGTTATAGAAATGCCTGCCCCATAAGCAGGCATGATTTATATTGGGGCACTGTATCTGTCTCCCGTATGAAGAAAAAAGCTTATAGTTCATTCTTTTTCTTCCCTGGGTTTTTGAGTCTAAGCCCTTATTTTCCACAAGCTGGGAAACTGGAAGAAGGGAAACACCGCAATAAATCTGCTGAATTAGCCACCACCCCTTTCTCCTCATCCCCACCAGGCTTGGGAGCCTGAACCACCTACAGGCCTCCCCACCCTTCCTAAGGAGAACAGGAGCCACTTATCAGCTCCAGCTTTGGAGCTTTGCAAGCTAATCAACTGCAGATTTCCTAATTCCTGTTATCTCCATCTAAGTGATAAGCCAAACATGGAACAAACTCTTATAGGAAGAATACTACTTTTAAATATGATTGATAAAATAATAGCTGAGCCAGCAGAACCTTTACTGATAAAGGCTAGTGAAGATTTCTATCAGAACTACTGTTGAAGAGGGTTTTTTTTTAACTCGACCATAATTAATTCCATCCAAAATTTGCTACATAAATTCTTACCTCCGGAAGGTAAGATAAAGTGCATTATACAATATGCATGCATGCGTGTGTGTGTGTGTGTGTGTGTATACATATCTATATATCTATATCTATATATACATATATAGATATATATATATACACATGTTAGGTAAGTTCTTTCCAAGGCTCACTTGATGGATATAGGGCATAAA
Organism: Homo sapiens; assembly: GCF_000001405.40. Classification (NCBI taxonomy): domain Eukaryota; kingdom Metazoa; phylum Chordata; class Mammalia; order Primates; family Hominidae; genus Homo; species Homo sapiens. The sequence continues at coordinate 221,773,227 of NC_000001.11, read as the reverse complement.
TCCAAACTCTGGAGAATGAGATATTAATAATTACTTCTGTAGTGTTTGATACTTGCGAAGTGACTTGCAGTTATTTGTTACATAGTTATTTTACATTGAACAGTGTTCTTTCTGGGTAAGTAAGAGCGGGGAATGAAGAATGGGCTGCTATAAAGGTCTAGAAAGATGTCTTTGCCATCTTTTATGGTAGATGTCCTGGGGGAGCCCAGGTTCTCCCTCTGAAGAAGCAGACCACTGTGTCCAGCCACTTCTCCCTTTGTGTCTCTGGCCAAATATCCATGGAACAGATAGAACAGGTGAAGGCTAAGTTTTCACTGTGTAGTTGTGATCAAAGTCCTCTTTCTTGACGTAAAGCTGTAACTGCTCCCCCAGCCCCTTCTTTTCTATGAGGATGTCCTTAGTTTTGTTGGGAGAAGGCAGATAACAAAGGTTCAGCAGTGAGAAGGCCTAGGTTCTGGTCCCACTCCCTTTCTAACTAGCTGTGTGATTTTTGTTAAACAAATTCACTATTTGTGGTCTCTGCATTCTTCATTTGTCGTACTGGAATGACAGCATCTCATCTATTGGGTATAAAAAGGTTTGTTTGTTGTGAGAGTAAAATAATGAGAACAATGGCACTTTGAAGATATTCAAAGTTCTGTAAGGTTAGAATGATGTTATTATTACTGCTATTCACATAAACGGCTTCTATCCATCCCATCCAATCTGAAAATTGATATACCTTGGTCAACAGCCCCAATCTAGATTTTAACCACGCACTTTGCCTTGCTCCTAATTTATTTATGGTTGCAACTTTGTTTTCTTTATACTGAGAGGCCTGATAGCATAGTGATTGAGATGACTAATTCTGGTTTCAGATGGACAGGATTTAAATCCTGGCTTCATCAGGACGTCTATCTCTGGCCTTGATGAAGCAACTATTACTGGACTAGCCTTCCTGCCATAAACAAATATAAAACTGTTACAACATGCGTGAGGCACTTTTTTAGTTATTGAACAATAGATTGCCCCTGACTATGATCCTTGAGAGAAGGAAAACACACAAGATGAAACTGACATTTGCTCCAGCTCTCTTCTCATGGAAAACAGATCCACATTATAGCAGAGAGAATTGGACGGAGCAAAGCAGAGCACAGGGGTGTCCCTTAGCCAAGGATTAGCATTGAGGCTGATAAAGGGGCTGGAATCTGTGGGGTAGGACATAGGAGAGAAGGGAGATGTGAAGAGAGGGCCACAAATCTATTTAGGGGTTCTCCAAGAGTTCTTGAATGGGACATAGTCTGTGTGTGCAGAGGAAGAAAAAAGGAGTCTTATCAAGTAGCAGCTGCTATGGGATTACAAGTGGAACAGAGATACTTGAGGTCGAGCAGTGCTGGAGATGTCGGAGAACCAGTGTAGGGTCTTGTTAGGGCCCCCAAATCCTGAGAGCTGAGGAAAGTCATATACTAGACCTAAGGGGCATGCCCTAGAGTAAGACCTATTCTATAATCACCTTATCAAGCCCTCATACCAAGCTTTGACAAGATCTGCATGGAAAACAGAGTTAGGAATTTGAAACCCACCAAAATAAAAAGCCTTGGGCAATATCTTGGGCTTTTTGCAAATCTTCCCTGACTAAACCTAACATAAAGTCTAAACAAGTTCAAAGTGATTGGCCAGTAATTGAACTGTTTGCTAGAATATAGCCCAATGCACTTAAGAGACTGATAACAAAGTCCAGTGTCTCTAAAATGTATAATTTACAGTGTCCAGTGTACAATAGAAAATACTAATCACACACACACAAACACACTCATGAAAATATAATTTATGGTCAAGCAAAAGAAGTCAATAGAATTTGACCTCAGGGTGGCCCAGATGTTGAACTGTGCTGACAAATACTTTAAGGCATCTACCTAATATATATCCAAGAATTAAAGAAAACAAGATCTTAATGAACATATTTTAATGGTCAACATATTTTAACATAGAAAATCTTAGCAGAGGGAACAAAACCGTAAAATAGAACCAAATGGACGTTTTAGAACTAAAAAGTAAAATAATTAAAGTAAAAAATTTACTAGGAGGTCTTAAAGGAAAATTTGAGCTAGAAGAATAAAAGGACTTAATGAGATTTTAAAGGGGCTTAAAGAAATATAGATATAAATTATCCAATTAGCAGAACAAAGGGGAAAAGGTGAAAGAAAAATAAATAGGGAGCTTCAGAAACATGTAGAGTAATTACATGCATTTAATTGGATTTTCAGGAGAGGAGGGTGAGAATGGAGAAGAAAAAAAAAATGTGTTGAGAAACAATGGTGGGCCAGGTATTGTGGCTCATGCCTGTAGTCCAAACACTTTGAGAGGCTGAAGTGGGAGAATGGCTTGAGTCCAGGAGTTCAAGGCCAGCCTGGGCAACATGGTGAAACCCTATCTTCATAAAAAATAACAGAAATTAGCCGGGCATGGTGGCACATGCCTGTAATCCCAACCACTCAGAGGGCTGAGGCATGAGAATCGCTTGAGCTCAGGAGACAGAGGTTGCAGTGAGCTGAGATTACACACTGCCCTCCAACCTGAGTGACAGAATGAGACTGTCTCAAAAAAACAAAAACAAACAAACAAACAAAAAACACAAAGAAATAGTGGCTGAAAAATTTCCAAATTTGAAGGAAAACATCACTTACAAATCTAAGAATTTGGGGAAATCTTAAGCAAAATTAATACAATGAAAACCACACCAGCCATATCATAGTCAAACTGTTGCAAGCCAGAACTAAACAGAAAAAGCTTTAAAAAGAAGAGGGGAATAACATAAAATAAAATAAATAGCTATCAAGCCATAAAACATATGGAGGAATCTTAAATGCATATTGCTTTGAGAAAGTAGCCATTGTGAAAAAGGTACATACAAGTTATATGACTTAAACTATATGACATTCTGGAAAAGACAAAGCTACAGGGACAGCGCACAGGAAAAGACAAAGCTACAGAGACAGCTAAAAGATGAGTGGTTGCAAGGGGTTTGAGGGGAGAAGGAGAGAAATAAATAGGCAAAACACAGGGGTTTTAAAGGCAGTAAAACGATTCTCTATGATACTATAATGGTGGATACATGACATGATTGTGCATTTCTAGAGCTGAACAACACAAAGAGTGAATCCTAATGTACACTGTGGACTTAGCTGAAAATAATGTATCAATATTGATTCATCAATTATAATAAATGTATCACACCAATGCGAGATGTTTAGGGGAAACTTAGTGGGGGTGAGATGGGGAATATGGAAGCTCTCTGTACTATCTCTTCAATTTTCTGTAAACCTAAAACTGCTCTAAAGAATAATCTATCAATTATCTATCTATCATTTTTAAAAAGGATATATACAAGAGGAAATGATAAGAGATTTTGACTACTTATCACTGAAAACAATGGAGGCCAGAAGACACTGAAGCAATGCCTTTAAAGTGATAAATGGGACAAAAACCTGCCAACCAAGCTTTCTACATCCCAAGGAAAAATGTCCTTCAACAATGAAGATAAAATAAATACCTTTTCAGTGAACAAAAGCTGAGAGATGCAACTAAGAAGACAATATAAGCAATAAAACACAATACCAGTATTATTCAATTAACTCAAAATAGGTTTTAAAAAAGAGCAGCAGAGGAACAAAAACATGAGGGACAAATGTAAAATAGACAGCAAGATGGTAGGTAAAATTCAACTACATAAATAATTTCATTATACGTAAATGAACTGAACACTACAATTAAAAGGAAGTAATTGTCAGACTGAATAAATAAAGCAATACTCAATTATGCTGTCTAAAACAAGCACAATATAAATAGAAAGTAAAAGATGGAAAGAAGTATAAAGTATGAATAATATGCACTTTAAAAATTCTGTGTTTATATTAATCAGAGTAGACTTAAGTATTAACAACAAAGAGAAACATTGCATAATAATAAAAGGGAAAATCATTAGGAAGATAAAGCAATCTGAATGTGAATGTAATTAATAACAGAACTTAAAGATATGTGAGGCAGAAGCTGACAGAACTGAAGGAAATAGACAAATCCATCCTAAAGGAGATTTTAACACCCCATGTCTGTGAGGGATCTCCAAAGAAATAGAATATATATTTTATATATAATCTACAGATTACATATTAAATATGTTATATATGCATATATTTATAGATGACTACATATCATATATGTAATCTCTAGGATATATATATATATAAAATCATAATAGATCCAGATATACACATAGAGGGAGATTTATTTCAAAAAATTGGCTCATGCTATTGTGGGGCTGTCAAGTCTGAAATCTGTAGGGCAGGCCAGCATGAAAGGAAGTGACAAAAGGAAAACTCAGACAGGAATTGATGTTGCAATCTTTCTCTTTGGTCTTTGAACTAATTGAATGAGGCTCACCCACATAATTAAGGTGAATTTCTTTCACAAATAGTCAACTGATCGTTGATGTTAACCACTTTTACAAAATAAATACCTTCACAGCAACACTTAGGTTAGTGTTTGTTTAAGTAGCTGAATATATCAGATGTTAGAGAGATTATGGAGAAAAGCGAATGCTTATACACTAGTGGTGGGAATGTGAATTAGTTCAACCAGTCTGGAAAGCAGTTTGAACATTTCCCAAAGAACTGAAAACAGAACTACCATTCAACCCAGCAATCCCGTTACTAGGTAAATGCCCAAAGGAAAATAAATAATTCTACCAAAAAGACAACTGTACTCGTATATCTATCACAGCTCTATTCCCAAGAGCAAAGACGTGGAATCAATCTAGATGCCCATGAAAAGCAGATTGAATAAGGAAAATGTGGTATATATACACCTTGGAATACTATGCAGCCGTAACAAGGAATAAAATCCTATTTCCTGGAGCAACGTAGATGCAAAGTGAATTAATGCAGAAACAGAAAATCAAATACCGTGTGTTCCCACTTACAAGTGGGAGCTAAACAGTGGGTACACCTAGATGTAAAGATGGGAACAGTAGACACTGGGGATGCCAAAAGTGAAGAGGGAAGAAAGGGGGCAAGGGCTGAAAACCTATGGGTACTATATTCACCATTTGGTGACAGACTCATTAGAAGCCCAAACTTCAGAATCACACAATATACCCATGTAAGAAATCTGCACATGTGCCCCCGAATCTAAAATTAAAAACAAACAAACAAAAAACTGGATGCTAAAGTCTATGCAAGTTGACACATAAAACTAACCACTCTCAGTAATTGATAGAATATATATATAGACATTCAGTGAAGATATAGAAGATGTGAAGACACCATCAATCAACTTGACCTAATTGACATCTGTAGAAACTACAGCAAATAACTTCAGAGTACACATTATTATTATTTATTATTATTATTATTACTATTTTGAGACAGAGTCTTGTTCTGTCACCAGACTGAATTGCAGTGGCGTGATCTCAGCTCACTGCAACCTCTGTCTTCCAGGTTCAAGTGATTCTCCTGCCTCAGCCTCCCGAGTAGCTGGGACTACAGGCATGCATCACACGCCTAGCTAATTTTGGTATTTTTAATAGAGACAGGGTTTCACTATGTTGGCCAGGATGGTCTCGATCTCTTGACCTCGTGATCCGCCCACTTCAGCCTCCCAAAGTGCTGGGATTACCGGCGTGAGCCACCGTGCCTGGCCAGAGTACACATTATTTTTAAGTGCACATGGAGCACTTACAAGACAGACCACATGCTGGGCCGTAAAATAAATCTCAGTAAATTCCAAAAGACCAAAGTTTGGCTTAACTGGTACCTAACGTATGATCACGGGCAAGTCAATAACGTTCTATAACTCAGTTTTCCTCATGTGAAAAATGGAAATGGTAATAAACTGCCATTGTTGTTGTGTTGAGATTTTTGTGAGAATTCATTGAGTTAACTTATGAAAATCCCTTTGCAGAATGTCTAGTAAATATTCCATAATTATAGCATGATGATGATGGTGGTGATGATGATGATGATGATGGAAAAAGAGGAAGAGAAGGAAGAAATAAAAGGGGAGGAGGAAAAGGAGGGCTGTGTGTGGTGAAACAGGAGTAGGAGAGGCAGGAGGGGAAGGAAACGCGGAGACAGAGGGAGAAGACCTGGCCCAAAATAAGCATAAAATCAGTGAAATCCAACATATAATCATTTGTTAGTGGTAGTAAACATTCATTCATTCAACAAATACTGTTGAAACTTTAGTACATGCTAAGCTCTCTGCAGGAGAAAAACACTAGTGACAAAAACAGCTACTGTCCCTGCTTTCATGAAGTTTATCACCTGGTGGGGGAAATATATTAATCAGATAATCACTGTGAGATTAGTGATGTGAGGGAAAGGTTATAATTCTATGACAGCATCTAAAAGGGAACCTGACACAGGTTGGGAAGAAGAGGGCTCCAGAGAGAGCAAAGAATGTGCAAAGGCCCATTTGATGTATGGAAAGACCAACGTGGCTAGATGGAACAGAGAGACTAGAGTACAGCGCATGAGGAAGCCACAACTGGACTGTAGACTGTGCCAGACACTGTGCAGAGCATCTCACAGACAGTATCTCATTTGCAACCATTCTGGAGTAAATAACTGACTAAAACGAATGGTTTGACTTATTGTTTTCAGTTATAGCTAATAATTTTTCTATAGTTAGGTTTAATTAATCATCTAATTTTTGTTGATCTTTTGGCACCAGTAATATCTTGAGAATCTCAAAGGTAGCAATTATTTCACACACACACACACACACACACACACTCACACACACACACACACACACACACACACGAACTTTAACAGGATGTTTGGTAATTGGATACCCATCCTGCCTTCCTAAAATGAAAACATCTGTTTGACCACTGTTCTAAGTTCAGAGTCTGCAACAAATGCTTCCATCTGAAATAAAAAACCAAAACTAGAACAATTTCCCAGTTTACACCTTAAATAATATTTCCACTATCCTCCCAGTGCAATTTGATTTTTTATCCTCATGAGAAGTGCAGAAAATGGAAGTGGACATTTCTTTTTCAACAAGGATGCTAGAAGTGCTATATGTGTATATGTATACACACACATACACAGACACCCACACAAACACAGACACACACTCCTACCAAGATTGGGGAGAAATACTATTGGTTAAAAAAATAAAATAAAGCATATTGCAGTTGGCAAATGAGGGGTTTCATAAGGTCCCCAAGCATCTGGTCTGGGGCTCAAGGTATGGCCATTGACCTAGCATTGAGGTCAGCTCTGGAGTTGGAGGGGGTTTTGTGGGGCTTGAAGCTTATACAATTTGGGGGAATCCAATGTAAGGAAAACAGTACCAAATTACGTATACCAAATCTGATCCAAAAGTGATATTCATTTAGAATGAGAAGTCACAAAAAATTACATATGTGGCAAAGCTAGTGGTTCACAAATTCTACAAAATACAGAAAAATAGTGTAACAACACAACTTAATTACTCAACTTAATTTATGGCCTCGAGAACACAACTGCATGACTCACCTCTAAAGTATTTTTTTTTCTTGTATATATTCACCACATATTCTTTGACCACCTTTTCATATATCACTGGTTTTGGAATATCATTTTCTGTACAGAGAGTATAAAGATAAATTGTCTTTTCTCTAACAAATCTTATTGAAAGTTTTTAAATAAACTTTATTTTTTAGAATAACTTTAGATTTACCAAAAAAAATTTGTAAAGTTAGTATAAACAGGTCTCATACACCCCATACCTAGTGTTTCCTGTAGATTCTCACATTAGTATGATACATTGATTATAATTAATAAAGCAATATTGATATTTTATTATTAAGGAAAGTTCATACTTTAGGTAGATTTTCTTAGTTGTAAACAAATATCTTTTTTTTTTTGCCACTCCAGGATTCATAAAAGATACCACATTACACTCAGTTGTAGTGTCTTCTTAGTCCCCTCTTGGCTGTGGTAGTTTCTCAGACTTTCCTTGTTTTTGAGGACCAGTTTTGAGGAATATTGGTCAGGTATTCTGTAGAAAGTCTTTCAATCAGTGTTTGTCTGATGTTTTTCTGATTAGACTGAAGTTACACTCTTGGGGAGGAAGAAAACACAGAAGTAAAATACCATTTTCATCACATCATATCAAGGGTCTATGTTGCCAACATGACTTATTATTAATATCGATGTTGACCTTGGTCTCCTGGCTGAGGTGGTGCTTCTTAGGTTTCTCTGCTGAACAGTCTGCACGTTTCCCCTGCTGTACTCCTTTGCATGCTGTATTCCTTCAAAGGAAGTCATTCTGCACAACCTATACTCAAGGAGTGGTGAGTTATAGTCCACCTCCTTGAGAAAGAAATTCTACATAAATTAGTTGGAATGCTTCAGCATGAGAAATTTGTCTCTTCTCACCCACTTACCTATGTATTCAAACAGTTATGTATATCACTATGGACTTGTGGATATTTATGTTATATGTTGGGTTGTAATTAAATATTATTTATTTTTTGCTCAAATTATTCCTGCTTTAACCATTGGGAGCTCTTTCAGTTGGCTCTTGTGCCCCTTTAACATACCCCTGTACTTTTTTTTAAATCCTTTCTTACTTTCTGACACTATAGGATGCTCCAGATTCATCTTGTATGTTTCCTCTCCCAGTTCAGAATCAATTATTTCTCCAAAGTGCTCTGTTTCCTTTTATTGGAGAATGATATTAAAAACGAAGTTGTAAGTATTAGGTGTGCTCATTACTACTACAGTGTTATTGCTTGTGGGCCCTTGCCACTGACAAAACAAGGAAAAATAGGTGTATATACTAACTTGTGTATACATACATATCAGTAAATATTTCCATATGTAACTATCCATATCTATATGAAGCTAAACATCAGTTCATACTGATGTCTCTAACTCCAGTCCATTATCTTATGGCTCATTCTAGCTTCTTTCTTTTGCTTTTCTGTAACCTCCTACTCCAATAGTGAGAAACCTGGCTCTCACCATCCACCATCTATTTACTTAATTATTTAATTTCAGTATACATGCTACTATAGTTTGAATATGTCCTCCAAAATTCATGTCAAAAATTAATCCCCATTTTGATGGCATTAAGAGATGGGACCGGGCCAGGCACGATGGCTTGTGCCTGTAATCCCAACACTTGGGGAGGCTGACATGGGTGGATCACCTGAGGTCAGCAGTTCAAGACCAGCCTAGCCAACATGGTGGAACCCCATTTCTACTAAAAATACAACATTAGCCAGGTGTGGTGGTGCGCACCTGTAATCCCAGCTACACGGGAGGCTGAGGCAGAAGAATCACTAGAACCCGGGAGGTGGAGGTTGCAGTGAGCCGAGATTGCACCATTCCACTCCAGCCTGGGCAAAAAGAGCAAAATTCCATCTCAAAAAAGAAAAAAAAAAAGAGTTGGGACCTTTGGGGAAGTAATTAAGTCATGAGGGCTCTACTGGAGAGAATTAGCTTAGGACCTTGTTTGCTCTTACACTCTTCTGCCATGTGAGGACACAGTGTTCACTCCCTCTGGAGGATACAGCAACAAGGTGCCATCTTGGAAGGAGAGACTGGGCCCCTCATCAGAAACTGAATTTGCTGGCACCTTGACCTTGGACTTCCCAGACTCCAGAACTTTCAGTTCTTCATAAATTCCCCAGTCTTAGGTGTTTCGTTATAGCAGCACAAAATAACTAAGACACCTGGATAGTGATTTTGGAATTATTAACCCTTATGCCTGTGGGACACAACTTTATCAGATAGGGTATAGTGCTTATGCAGTGTCTGTTGCCTTGAGTCTTACAGATTCCACTCATTTCCAAAGGCTCTTCTCCTTCTCCCCCATCCACTTCAGTAAGCTTGTTTCATAAATTTTTAATTCAGTTAGATTTTTATATCACACTCTGCATTCCATCCTAGGATCTCCTGACTTCCTAAATTTTTAAAAATTTGTGTATATTAAGGTTCATCTAGTGTCATAAATCCACAATTATAGGAAATTTTTGTTTTCATTTTTTTTTAACTAACGATATTGAGTTGGTGCAGAAGTAATAGCAAAAACCGGAATTGCTTTTGCACCAACCCAATAATTTAGAGAAGTTTCTTTCAGATTTGTTATTCATTATTACCAATGCCAAATACATTTTCAGAATTGTTATTAAAGTTGGAAAAACTGTTGAAGTTTCATAAATGAGCTATAAGATTTGGAAGAATTTTCTGTAAACTAGCACCTGGTGCCAAACATTTCAAACCTTGTTTCTCCTCCACAATCCACATATAATCCACATACTTCTGATGCCATGTCCCTGCATCTTTGTGTCACAACAGCAAGTGAGGTCATGCAATGAACAGTGGAAGTATTCCTGAAAATCAGTCTTGCTTGAGAATAGCCAGTAGCAACTTAACTATACATGGAAGTGTCTGAGAAGTACATAAAACCCCCAATGATTTTAACCAATTGCAATTTAAATATGTCAGTTTTGACAATTTTTCAAAAATATGTGACCATGTGGACACAATGCTAGGGCCATTAGCAAGTAATAGACTCTTAAGCTTAAGTTTGTTAGCTTCATGGCAAATCTACCCCTGAGTTAGAGAGATCATTCTTTCACACACCCAACAAATATGTACTGAGCACCTACATATGCAAAGGACTAAGTGTTCAATGATAAGTGAGATGAAGTCTCTGCCTTCAGGCCCTCATCAAAAACTCATTCTAACAGAAAGAAAAAAATACAGATTATCAGCCAGTAAACAAGTAATTTCAAAATGTTATCTGCTATGATGAAAATAAACAGGGTGCTATGACACAGAATAAGAAGAGGACTCAATTTAGAAAAATTCTTAGGGAAGTGGCATTTAAGCTCAGAACTGAAGGAAAAATGGAGCCAGATATGCAAAGAGCTGAGATAAGAGCCTTCCGGAGGGGAAATGGCATACTCATATATGTTAAGGCTGGAAAGGAGTCCATTTACTCCAGGAACTGAGCGAGGCTGGAATTTAGTGAGGGAAGAAGAAAGGATATGAGATGAAACTGGGGATAGAAGTAGAGGCCAGACCCTCCAGGGCCTCCCAATACAAAGTGATTTTATTCTAAAAGCGGAGAGATAACAATGTAGTGTTTCAAGCAGGAGGCTGACCAATTCAGATTTTTGTCTTTTAAAGAATTATTCTGTAAGAGGAACAGATTAGAGAGACATAATAAAGAAGCAGAAAGACCAATTATCTGGATTGAGGGCTAGCTTTGACATTTCCAGGCTATGTGGCCTTGAGTAAGTTACATAACCTCTTTTAGCGTCCTCATCTGTGAAATGAAATAAATAGTTCTGATACTTCACAGGATGATTGTGAAGGTCGAATGAGGCTATGCAAATAAAATGCTTCCCACCATATCTGGCACACCGCTAACACTCAATGTTAGCTATTATTACTGTTGTTACTATTGTTAGGACCAAAGCAACGTGTGGTCTTAAGAGAGAAGGGAGAGTTAGAGCAAGGACTCAGAGATAAGTGGTCAAAGCCCAGTTTGAAGATTGTAACCTCTGTGGGGAAAGGGCTGGAGAATGAAACCTGGAACCACATTCTAAGCAGCACAGAGGACCTGGGACATGGGCACTGGCATGCAGTCTCTCTCACCTATGGTCAGAATTGTGCTGGAACCTAGGGGCAGAGCTCAGAAGCTGAGCTGGGGTGGAACAGAAAGCTGGGCCTCTCCACCCACCTGCCATTTGTCTGCCCTGAGAGGCTCCCTGATGAGACCTAGACCACCTATGAGTATAAAAAGCAACTGAAACTTGTAAAATAGATCAGGGTCCTGATCATCCACAACTGTTTTCTCTTACTGAGCAAAGCACACTGTTGAGTGAATACAAAACAGGAGGCTAAATCTCAAAATGAACTGAAGTTAAGGAGAATAAACACAACTTTTATTGATTTATCTTTGTTGTTGTGTTCATAGCAAGAGCAGGCAGGAAGGGGACTAACCACTTGTATATCTTCAATCATTATTTTAAAATCAAATGAATTTGAAGCCCATGCTTTCTGAAAAGACAGGAAGAGACCTGGGCTGCTTCCTATGCAGTCAGATATCTGGTCCAAAAGATTAAGCTAGACGCTGGGATACATGAGTGAGTAAAACTGGAGGAGTTGTTACTGTTCAGAGATTACAGTCTAGTGGTAAGAATTTATAAAATTATAAAATAAAAGAAAGACTGTAGGTTCTTGTAGTCAGAGGGAGCGAGCACACACTATTGTGGGGGTGATGAGAACCGGTTGGCAAAGTCTTTCCCTAAAATTCTCTTTCCTTAAAAGCTTAGAATATACCTTCTTCCTTTTACTCTTTCTTTATCTCCAATTTCTGCTTCTCCCTCCCTACAAACCTGTTCCAACATTATTTATCCTGCCTTTGCCTACATTTCCTCTAGTCCAACCCCATCCCTAATCTCTCCCTTGGAACCTGTTTTCTTCTGATATCTGGCTTTCTCTTTACTTTTATTTGACTTGCCATCCACTGAAAATAATCATTTGTTTTTCTCCTGTCATATATATAAAAGATTTATTGAGCATTTGTAATAGTTACCAGGCTGTGAGCAACTTTTCACATTTAATGTTCACTTTTACCCTCCAAGAAAGGTTCTGGTATTTTCCCAATTTTACAAATAAGAAAACTGAGTTGTAGAAAAATTAAATTACTTGCCCAAGGTTATACAAGAAGTAGAAGTTGCCAGACTTAACCTCCAGTCAGTTGATTCCAGAGCTCACACCATTAACCGTAACGCCATCCTGTCTCCAAATGATGTTGATATACCTCACAACTGTGGATGACCTTTACACAGAGGGCATTTACAACTCAACAACGGTATGGAAACTAAGCTGCACCTGTCTATAAAGTGGGCAGCAACAGTGGCAGCAGCAGCAGCAGCGTTGTCACCTAGTGGGAAGCAGAGTGCTGGGTTGTTAGCAGGAGCAGGGCCATAAGGTCTCCAATGTGGTCTCCACCCAGTATTGGATGGGGATGTACTTTCCAAGATGAGCGATCGAGGAAACTCCAACAGTGGGTAGACCTAAGTGGGGCCGCTTCTAGCATGAGGACAAAACATACTCTGAGGAAGCTTAGAAGATAGTCCCATGAAGAATGGTGGAAGATGGAGAGCCATGGTAGGAAGGATCTGATGCATCGGGCTGGAGGCCTGCTTGTTCATACTCCGCAAGAAGGAGATGGCAAAGTCCAGGCTGTCCTAGGTGGCAGCGACCACCTGTGCGGGTGAGGCAGGGATGGGATGGTTTGCAGCTGTGCAGCCACACCCTTCACAGGAAGCAGCCCCAAGCAGGAGGAGCATCTGTGAAGATGGACACAAGTGAGGTGAGACAAGGTCAGGAATTCTCTTCTTAAACATCAATTTATTTATTCAGTCAGTAAATACTTATTGTGCACCTCCTATGTTCCAAGCCCTTGTCTAAGTATCAGACATTCAGGGTTGAACAAAACAGGCAAATATCCCTGCCCTTATGGAGGTTTAATTTATACACTTCTTGCAGCAAAGTGAATTAATCAGCAACCAAAACAAACCAGATGACGATGCGATATGGGTATGCCAGCCTTAAGATAAGCACAGTTAGAGCTGTCAAAAGAATTAATCAGGCAGCAAATATTTCCTGTAACAAGCTCTTTGCTTCATACACAAAAAAAGTTTATTCTGGAGTCTTTTCAGAGATGCACCACAGAGATCCCTGAATACGTGCAAAACAGAATCTAAATAATCAAAAGTGAATTTATGCCAAACTTTTCAGAAATCCTCCTCATATAGAGGGCAGGATGTTCTAGTGAGCAGGTACTAATAAGGTGGCCTAATTCTGTGACTGACACTATAATACCTAGTGGAGTTACTAGTTCCACAAGTCTTTTCATAGTAAGATTATTTCAAACATGGAAATCACATGAAATAAGAAAGGCCTAGCAACAATAACCATAAATTAGAGTTGCTAGTATTGATTTTGTAACCAACCTCTCTTGTCACCTTGAAGAAGTCATTTCACTTTTGTAAGTTTCATTTGCCTTTCCTATAAAAAGAGGGAGAAGGTGCATTAAACAATTTGTAAATTCTCTTTCCATTATAACATAGTCTTTCTGTATGCTTCCATGGAGGAAATCTTTCTAGGGGAGTAGAATGGATGGAACGTGGCTAAATGCATGCTAGATACAGAGGAAAAGCTGTCAAATTAACCAGGGATCCCAGCTCTTAAAACCTAGATCTGGGTATCCTCCTGTATCAGAAGCACTGGACAAATTATTATATAAACACTAGGTATCATTCCCTCAGGAGATATTTTGTTTTCTTCCCTGTGCCCTACCTGCATGTTGTATGTGGCCCTGTACACAAAGACTTGAGGTGTTTTAAAAGCAGCCATATGTGTATGTGGCCCCTTAGAGAACATGGTGCTCTACATGAGTAAATTCCCAGAAAATCTGGGCTTATTTCTGGAAACATTAGCACTCCTTTCAGCAGCTTCTAACCTATTTTACTCAGAGCCAGTATGAGGAGCACCAACATTGTTCTGTGCTGAGCTACTGTGACTTGCTACAGCTTGTTCAGGAGTGTAGATCTGAACCCAGATAATGGAGCACTTTTTATTTTTAAAGTTTTGTTTGTTGTTTGTTTGCTTGCTTATTTTTGTCTTTGTTCTTTCCTCTGCAGTCAGCTTTCTCATTGCCCTTGCCTTTTTGTTTTGTTGTGTATTTTTTTGTTTTATACCTCACTGCCTAGAAGAGGGCTTAAAGGCAACTCCATGCTTCCCCAAATGTACATCAACTGAGCCCTGTGACTCTTTGTTTCTCAGAAGGAGGCTTGTTAAACTTCCTATCAGGATGATGGGGCTAAAAGGCTAATCTTCATAGGGTTATTTGGGTATGAAAATCTGTATTTAGAAATCAATAATTAATTCAAAAAATAATTATTTGCATTAATAAATGTGCTGTTTTAAATAGGGAAAGCCATGGGCACTGTGGGGTGAGCACTAAAGGGGAGATAAAATGTTGACAAATCAGGGCATGTTCTTGCTCTACGAAATGTGAAAGACTGCCTCTCTCCTTGAACTTCATGTTTTTTTAATCTGCAAAATGAGAATAGGAACATGCACCACAGAGTTGCTGTGGAGTTCAAATGAGGTAAAATGTATAAAAGCACTTTGCAAAGACGATTGTTATGACATAGCATTGAATTACAGTTATTTGTAAGCATACCTCATCATCTAAACTATAAGCTATTTCAAAACAGGAAGTTTGCCTTACCAGGTGATATTCAAAATTATTAGATTCAAAATATTTAACAACTGGTAGGGCATCAATCAAAGCAGACACTGGCTATGAACACCAAGAATGCCTAAGCCCATGCTCACAACAGCCTGGTGCATGCCCATGGGAATATTCCAAAGGGACTAGTACAGTGCCTTGCATGTAAGGGATGCTCAGTGAATTAATTCAAAACATTATCTGCTTTGTGAAACTTTATTTTGCTCACAACATTTTTAGAAGAACTTCCAGTATAAAATGAGCTACATCGCTCTCTATTTCCCCAAGATTTCTTAGGGGCATGTGATCTATTCTTGCCCTACTTGACTCCCCAAAAGAATATTTTTTTTCCCAACTCAGTTCCAGGTACTAGCACTTGAAGCCTCTTTTCTTTTACCTAAGTTACAGATTCATTAACCCAGACTTTTAAAAAATGTTATTATTAGAAGTTTAATCACCCATGTCCTCCTTTTAAGTTCTTTCTAAAATTACTTTCTGGCAATAATAATTATGTCAATCAGGGGCCAGCCAAATATAGCTGTGGCCCTTGCGCCAAATCAAGACGGGAGTTTCCAGCCATAATCTATTATTTAGCTCCAAATGGTTGTGCTAGTTTCCCCACACCCACTCCCTCTCTGTCCTACCTACCATTCTTTTGGCATAAAGTGACAGCCTAGCAGGTGAAGTCCTAAAGACCAGGATAGAATGTCAGAACTGGGCCTGTTTTACTCTCTTTGCTACATTGGTGTCTGTCGCCAAAGTTTGCAAGTTGTATCTTATAGGAATGCAAAGACAAAAATTAAATGGTAAGTCAAGGACAGAAGCCAAAATGGTGGTGGTGTTTGTGGTGATGGGGGAGGGGGATGGTAATATTAGGGATGGAAGAGAGAGAAGCCAGGGAAACCTAGAAATGAAGAGTAGCAGACAAAGTGTGTGGATGGTAAGATTCTCATTTTGAAAGATGATCTCAGCCACAGCTGATTTTGATGTAATCCAGGAATGCTTTCATGAATGTACCAGATTCAGTGAAGGAAGCCACAACCAATAGATGCATTTCAGTAGTGGCTCTCCTGCCTTTCAGCCTCCACAGCACTCCACATCCATTGTTGGGGTTCTATGACTTTCTCTATAGGCTCTGGGATCTGAGACCACCTTGACCATAATTAGGCAGCATTTAATGACACCACTTTCATCAGCTCTGCTCAGTATGAGATCAACTAAGTTATCCCTTGGCTTCATGTATTCATTCAACTAACATGTACTGGATGCCTACTATTTTCCAGGCACTGTTCTGGGTGATTGGAATGACAAAATGTCTATTCTTAGTGGTAAGGAACTAAGAGGCAACAGAAATGTAGGCCAAAAATCTTACATGAAGGAAACAACATGCATAAAACCTCAGAGACCAAGGAAAGGGCACATTCCAGTTGTTCAAAATGCCAGGCTTATGGAGAGTTAACTGTGCCATGCCTGGTGTTTACGTGGGCTATAAGGAACAAGTGAAGGGCCAACCAGTGGAGTAAAGTGTTTAGATTTGGACTTTTGACAGCTCACTGGAGCAGCAGAGTAGAGAAAGGCTTGCTTGGATTTGCCTGGCAATATCCAGGCAAAATTTCAAGGTGGCCTAGACTAGATCGGTGGTAATGAGGATAGAGAGAAGAGGGTGGATTTGAGAGCTATGTAGGG
Organism: Homo sapiens; assembly: GCF_000001405.40. Classification (NCBI taxonomy): domain Eukaryota; kingdom Metazoa; phylum Chordata; class Mammalia; order Primates; family Hominidae; genus Homo; species Homo sapiens. The sequence goes on along the minus strand of NC_000001.11, from coordinate 221,756,247 downwards.
GAGAATATCAACTAGGCTGGTGAATGATTAGTCAAGGCAGGTGAAGAAGAATACTCCTCCATACTTCTGGCTTGATGCCTTGGCGATGGAAGGCACCAACTCACCGAGGAAGAGTAAACAAACAGAAGAAAGTATAGGAAGTAAGGTGATGAGTTCAGGTTGGTTAGACATGTCTCTGGAGTATTGAGATTGATATGTCAGTAGGAAATTGTGTGGATCAGTGTTTCCTGAAAGTACCTGCTCTGGACACTGTAATGAGAAACAGAGTGCTGCCAGAAGGTAAATTAATGCTGTGCTTCTTTCAAAGAGAAGAAGAAAATCAGTTGTTTGCTTGCATTCCAACACAAGCTGCTTCTCTGAATTTGAGCCAGCAACAAATAATCTGTTATCCTGCACTGGCCCAAGGGACCCCAACTTTGAGAAGCTCAGGTCTAGGGTAGGAGCTCAGGAAAGTTGGGACTAGATGTTCAGGTAGACCATCCCCATATGATGCCATCTTCACTCTCCATAGCTGGTCTTGTCTCTTTCTTCACCTCTTCAACTGACCTTCTCTCCTCTCAACATATAGCTAAATATTTATTCATATTTCCATTTCATGTCAGAAGCAAAGGTGCCTCCTCAATTTTGAAGGCTAATAAATGCCCCTGGCCGGGTGTGGTGGCTCATGCCTGTAATCCCAGCACTTTGAGAAGCCAAAGCAGGTGGATCACTTGAGATCAGGAGTTTGAGACCAGCCTGGCCAACATGGTGAAATCTGTCTCTACTAAAAATACAAAATTAGCCAGGTGTGGTGGCATGCGCCTGTAATCCCAACTACTCGGGAGACTGGGGCAGGAGAATTACTCGAACCTGGGAGGCGAAGGTTGCAGTGAGCTGAGATTGAGCCACTGCACTCCAGCCTGGGTGACAGAGCAAGACTCCATCTCAAAAAATAAAAATAAAGAATAGAATAATTGCCCCCGGTCCTGCTGACCCGTTCATTCATTCTCCTTCATTCAGGACATGGTGCTGACAACTGTCTCCCCCTTGTACTTTCCACGTCTTGAAAGGAGTTCATTTCCATGAACTCCTCAACACAGACTCCAATACACTCAAATCCTCCATTCCGAAAAAAATAAACAGGAAATCTCCTGGGTACCCCTGGCTACTGCATCTAGCTCCTTAGCTCTCTCTTTTCCTTTATCACACACCGTTTTGAAAGAGAAGTCTTTGTCAGTCTGTCTCTACTTCCTCACCTCCACTGTCCCTCAGGGGACAACTCCCTCCCTTTCTGCAACCTGCTTTCGGTGAGATTCTCAGTTGTCATGGCCACATCTTTTTTCCATCTTCCACCTACTAAAATTCTTCACAATGTTTGACATTTAGTCAAACATCAGTTACTCTTCTTGAAACTTCCTCATTTCTAAGGTCCTCGTTCTGCCAGTTCTTCCCTCACTTATTGTTTTTTTGTTTTGTTTTGTTTTGTTTTTGAGACGGAGTCTCGCTCTGTCACCCAGGCTGGAGTGCAGTGGCACGATCTTGGCTCACTGCAAGCTCTGCCTCCCAGGTTCACACCATTCTCCTGCCTCAGCCTCCTGTGTAGCTAGGACTACAGGCGCCTGCCACCTCGCCCGGCTAATTTTTTGTATTTTTTATTAGAGACGGGGTTTCACCGTGTTAGCCAGGATGGTCTCTATCTCCTGACCTCGTGATCCGCCCGCCTCGGCCTCCCAAAGTGCTGGGATTACAGGTGTGAGCCACCGCGCCCGGCCTCTTCCCTCACTTCTTTGACCACTTGGCCACAAATTCTTCTCCTTCCACAAATGCCTAGCAGATATGACTAATTTCTGAAATAGTTTTTGAAAGTAGTTTGAAAATAGTTTCTTTTCTGAAACTATTATTGAAAGTACGTTCCTGCGTAAGTGTCTTATGCAAATAGAAACTATTAATGAAAGTATGTTCCTGGAATAGTTTCTTTTGAAAATAGTTTATTTCCTGAAACTACTATTGAAAGTATGTTTCTGGGTAAGTCACTCCAACTTTGTCTTTTTTCTTCCACAAAATGAGCAGGGTTGTGTTGTGACACTTCCAAAGTCTATTCCAGGTAGAGTTTGATTCAAGAAACATTTATTGCATGTTTTATATGTGCCATGAATAGATTTAGAAAATATACTCAAGAAGTGTGAGTTACATCAGGAGTCAAAATTCACCTACAATCTGCCATGCAACAATAACCTAACCAGCTACTGTAAATATGATTAGGGTGCTCGTTGTTTTAGCCATCCAAAAACCATCCATTGAGCACCTGGTCTCTGTGTCAGACATTATGCTAAGTACACAAATAGAATCATTATTTCTAATCCTCACAATACTCAGGAAGGCAGTGTTATTATTCCCATTTTACCAAAAAATAAACTGAGGCTCAGAAAGAGTAAGGAATTTTTATACAAGACAAAAGAGAAGTTGGAGTTGTGTTCTTTAATTATATATTTATTAATGTGCCTTCTGGTTTAATGTCCATTTTCTCTTCTAAACAGTAGGCTCTTTAAAGCAGAGAAAATGTTCATTTTGTTCATTACTGAATCCCTAGCACTTAAGAGGTAGGTACAGAGTAGGTTACTGAATGATCTAATCAATCAGTTGATCAAATTAAACTCCAGGGTCACTTGATTCTAAAGCCCATGCCATGTTTCCTAGGAGACTTGGTCCTTTATAAATGCAATGTTTGTGTCACAAAGTTTTTTGGGAACAAAGAAGAGTCCCATTAATGAATTTTTGAGAGATCTTTCATGTCATTTTTGGCTATATCTTGCTAGAAGGTGTATATCCTGACAGATAGCACCCTAGATGGCCAAGTAGTGTTGGGAGCAACCATGAAGGGGCCTAGAGGAGGAATGCAGAAATAAATCATTCCACAGCAGCTCCAAAGAGCAGAGGAGATAGATTAAGAGATGGATCGAGTACCTGGTGAAAAGTGACCAAAGGAACAGAGAAGTTACTCTCCCTCACAGTCTCTCCAAGTCCAGCTCTGTTGATCTAGAGGAGCACTATCCAAAAGAAATATAATGTAAGTGGCAATTGCAAACAACATAAGTAATTTGAAATCTTCTAGTAACTGCATGTTTAAACATAACAAGAAACAGGTGAAATTAATTTTAGTACTGTTTTATTTAACCTAATATATCTAAAATGTTATTTTAACATGTAATCAATAAAAAATTATGAATGAAATATTTTGTCCATTTTTTCCTACTGAATCTTGGAAATCTGGTATGCATTTTATACTTAGATTAGATCTTAATTCAGACAAGCCACAATTCAAGGGCTCAAATAGCCACATGTGGCTAGTGGCTACTGTATTGGAGGGTGTGGATTTAGACAAGCATAGTGTGATATGTAGTCCAGTTGCTTCAGAATTGCTGGAAAGCATGCAAGGAAGTGTACAATTTCCAGTCCCATCCCAAACCTACTGAACCAAGCCCCCCAGGGATCTGTGTGCCTTTGGAGTTGGAGCAATGCTGGTCTGGCTAACAGGCAGGGGGCTTCCAGTCTACTAGAAATGAGGGAGAATGAAATGGAGAACTATATATTCACAGTCAAGCACTCTACATATCTCTGATAAAGAGCCAGGGAAACAAAAAACATAAGGCAGCTGCAAAAATGGCATGCATTTTTATCTCTGATTTGCTTTCGTGAACTGTGAACTCTTCTTGAGAAATCCACTCCTTAGGCTCTTAGCTGAGATTTTATAATTCAACCATATGTCGATTAACTTGGGAAAGCAGAAGTAACAAATAAATAACCTCAACAAGATGTCAACATTAATACTGAGATTTAAAATGGCTTTCTTAATAAATGCTATAAAATTGGGAAATCAATCTGTTCTTACTATGGAAACTCCTGACAGTCTCAAAATTCAGGATGTTTAGAAAAAGATTAAATATGCATTTGGGGGAAAGTAAAAATATTCATATATTTCTTCCTTCAGGCTGAATGGACACAAATCAGAGGCTCAGAAACTGTATCTTAGGTTTATTTTTATCATTCCAATCTCCAGATTTCTTTAGAATCCCAAAGCCAGAAACTTCAACTGGGATTTTCTATTTTTCCCTAATAAATTATAGGGGGGAAATTTGTTTTTCTTTGGCATCAACAATTCTATCTTAGATCTATTAAGTGTATCCTCATCACCTTTTTAGGGTAGTTTTAAACTCATGGAAATTATGTTACTCAAAGATGAAGATGAACCCAATTCAGTACATTTTTAGTAATACAGGACAGGATTGCAGGACACTTGGTACAATTCTCATCTTTTAGGCTATGCTTTGCTCTGTCCACCAAAGGGGAAAAAGGGTGTATTAGGATTCTCTAGAGAAACAGAACCAACAGGATGTGTATGTGTATAAATGGAGATTTATTCTAAGGAATTGGCTCATGCAATATGGAGGCTGGCAAGTTCAAAATCTGCAGGGTGGGCAAATGGGCTGGAGAGCCAGGAAAGATCCAATGTTGCAGTTAAAGTCTGAAGGCTGACTGGCAGAATTCCCATTGCTCAGGGGAAGTCAGTCTTTTGTTCCATTCAGGCCTTCCACTGACTGGATGAGGCCCACCCAAATTATGGGGGGTAATCTGCTTTACTTAAAGTCCACCCCTTTACATGTTAATCTCATTCAAAAACACCCTCGTACAAACAAACACCTTCACAGAAACAAGCAGAATAACACTTGACCACATATCCCATGATCCAGTCACGTTGGCCACAGAATTAACCATCAGAAAGGAAGATTGCACTAGCTTAAACATACAAAGGGGAAGTTCTGCATCCACACAGAGAGAGACACAAACTACTCCTTATACCATGGGACTAGCGGAACTTGTCTTTGAGGTTCTCCTGGGTTTAAAAAGAGGGGCCCCAGGTGTGTGCTTGACATCCCTCAACTGTACAAAAGCAGTTGGCGCCTGTCTAAGCCAGTGCAGCCTTCCTTAACATGCACCAACACAGACAGCCCTATTCTTTCTTTTCTATCCCAGGAGGTGGTGGGGCCCAGTGTCTGCTGAAGTCAATCAGAATGAGTTTTAGTAATATCACATTTTTTTTTTTTGCCAGCAAACATTCAACAACCCCTCTGTAACCAGATCCTATTCTATTTAATAGCTTGTGAAATTGTAAATTTCTGGAAATAGCAAAATACCCTCTACTTGTCTGCTCTTTGCCTTCTTTCTGCCCAAAGTTACCCTTCCCAACTCTGGAGTCAAAATACAAACTAAATTTTAAAACAAAAGCAAACAAAACAAAACAAAAAACCCAGTCAGCCCACTGTTCTTTTTGCCTGCCTGCCTTACTTCTTTCAGTCCTTCTTTAACATGCTGGGCAAGTTTGATGAGTTAAAATGTCTGCCTTTAACTCCTCTAATCCATATTCGGGGGGACTCATGTATTACATGAAGATTAGGACTGTGTTGAAAAGGGAGTCCAAATCTATTGGCATTTCTATTCTGCAGAATATAGAAAAGACACTTCATTGGACTGTTTGCTATTATTAATCCAATTTAAGGTTTAGAATGGCGGTTCATAGAGTTGCTTCAGTTTTCCTAATTACTGGGAATAGGAATTGCAAACTGAAGCATGAAGGAGCTAAGAGTCCTTGTGAATTATACATCTTAGTTTACTACTGTAGAAAAATGATACAGTTTTTCTGTCACCATACCTGCGATGGTGAGCACTGGCAGATGAATGAAGCACAGCGCCAGCTCTCTGGCTACTTTCTGATCCAATCTATTTATCTTTCTTGCATTCTAAATTTTTGTGACCTGCAAGTTAATGGCAAAAATAACATTTGCTTCTTTTCTAACATTTCTACTTGAACTAAAATTTTAGCCAGTTCCAATAAGGATTTTTCTCTTACCTGTTGAATAACTCGAATTGACTAGACCTGACCTGATTTGGATTAATTTGAATACCCCTACTATATGCCTGAGTGGTACTGTGGGCTCAGTATTTAGCATAGCATAGACACTTAAATTCACCCAGAAAGGGTTTCATCCACCATGTTTGTACATTCTTGGCCCTTGCTGGTCATGAGTATAATTACAAAGTGTTTGCTTTATTTACCAGCTAGACCAGGGAAAACACTGAACCCTCCCCCTGGGTGTGAAATCCAGGTGGACTTGGGCCCATTCACAGAGCATTAGAAACAGGACTTCTCGGGGTGCTGCTCCCCACCTAACCCAGAATCAGTAGTGGCATTTCCTTTCAGAGCACAACCACCAGGAAGACGAAGAACTCACTGATGTCCAGGCTCAGGTCCTTGATTAAATGCCTTTCTGAAGAAAGCTATTTATTGGCATCAGTCACATGCTAGAGAAAATAAACACTGGACAATCCGTCTGTCAGGGAGATAAACACCAGGAAATGCATGCCTTTGAGAATTACAAGAAGGAAGATGTTGAACGAGAAAAGGAAGATACCTTCATCCTCCTGAAACTCAGTGAACAAGAAGAGGAATTTTTTCTAAACATTGAAGACAATCATAATTGCAAAGAGCATTGACCAAAACAAAAATCAAGTATGGTATGGAGTATAATGAGATGGATTATAATGAGAAAGATGCTGATGTTTTCTAAATTCTATGGGAAAGAAATGGAGTTAAACTGTAAAGAGGGAAATATGATCACAACAAAACAAAACAAGTGGTGTGTAAACAACGTAGCTCCCCAGAGATAGACACTTGGTTAATATCTGCATAAATAATTCAAAAGAGTAGTGAATTTAGGGACTTTGGAGGTTTCTAAGTTTCCAGCTATTACAGAAGGCCAAACCAGTAGCTAGAAAGCTATCATCAGATGGACCAGGGTATGCCTCTAGAAAAATGAATAATTCAAAGGTACGTTCTTGCTACAACCTGAATATTTGTGTCCCCCCAAAATTCATATGTTGAAATCCTAAGGCCCAAGGTGATCATGGGGGCAGAACCCTCATGAATGGGATTAGTGCTCTTATAAAAGAGGCCCTAGAGAGAACCCTCACACTTTCCACCATGTGAGGACACAGCCAGAAGTTAGTAGTCTGTAACCCACAAGAGAGTCCTTATCAGAACCTGATCATGCTGGCACCTTGATCTTGGACTTTCAGCCTCCAGAACTGTGAGAAATAAATTTCTGTTGTTCGTAAGGCATTCAGTTTATGATATTTTGTTATAGCAGTCTGAATGGACAAAGACAGTATGTTTAAAAAACATTCTCAGTTCATTCATTCATTCAGTCACTCACTCACTGAACCGAAGCTTAATGAGTTCAAACTACGTGCTAGCTCCCGGGCCACCGGCTAGGGATGGGACGGCAAACAAGACATGGTTTTTCTAATAGAAGTGTCATAGGCTCTTCCTTGAATTTACCAGTCCAATCCGCAGTAGCAACCAAGCCATTGACACAATTTAGGGCAATATTTGAGACTGTTCTGGAAATAAAGTGGAGGTCTGGATCCATTCCCCAATGTGGAGGCTGCGGTTGTAAGAGTGAGACCACATGGAGATTCACGTCATGATGGACTTAGAAAAGTTCAGAAGAAAACAAAAGAAAAAAACAGCAAATTCTTATGAACAGGCAATTAAAAATATACTGCAGTCTGGAGACTGAGGGGGACATGATAGAAGTTTATAAAATCACAACAAGAGTGAATGAAATAACACAAAATGGTTAAAAGCAGATGCTCTGGTGCCAGATTGTCTGGGTTTAAGTGTTGACTCTGCTGCTTTCTAGTTTTGTGACCTTGGGCAAATTATTTACCCCATCTGTATTTCTGTTTTCTCATCTTTAAATTAAGCTAATAAAAAAGTACTTACTTATAGATCGATGTGGCTGTGAGGATTTAAGTGAGTTAATGCATGTAAATCACTTACAGCAGTGCTTAGCACAGAACAAAACACTTAGTAATATGTTACCTATGATTATTTTTTCCCAAATTCTAGATCTTTAAAATCAGTTCAGTTAATATTCAATTGTAAAGATAAAGTACGTTATGATGCACTTTGTTGTCTAAAGGAACTTCTTATATGTAGAAGTGGTACAGTCTGAACCTACTAGGAGATGCTGAGAACGTTAGATTAATTCTTTAGTGTTAGACCTGAAACAAGTCTTGAGGGGGTTTATGAATGCTTTGCGTGCATGTTTACCTTATAACTTTGCATCCTTCAGTAACACAGTTGGACCCAGCCTCCTGGGGTTGAGAAACTGGCGCTGACAGCATATCGTAATGATAAAACATGATTGCTCAGTTTAGTGAAGGGGAAAATGTTAACAGTCTTTGATGTAGCAACACATAATAATAACAGGCCATCCGCCACAGAGGAGGGCATTGTTGGAGACCCAAGGCCAGTGAATGTTTTGTGTGTGTTATTTTCATAAAGAAAATAAGTTTACATCCATGGTCCACACACTTGGGCTGAGGCAAAATCCTCTTCTGAGAAAGAGCAGCAGATGTTTGTGGGGTTACAAATAGGGGAGCAGTGAAGGGGAAGAAAAAACTGAAAGGGATCTGCTTGCCTAAATGAAGACAGGGAGCATATTAATTCCCCTAACCAGCCAGTCACCTCTGTGTGATCAGTAGAGGCCAGAGTGAACCTTGAAAAGAGGTCTGAGATCAATCATGCTTTGGCCATGCCATCCAGTGAAATTGCTTTACAGGAAAAAAAAAAAAAAAAAAGAGAGAGAAACAGGATTAAAAAACAAAACAGAGGATGGGCGTGGTGGCTCACGCCTGTAATCCCAGCACTTTGGGAGGCCGAGGTGGGTGGATCATGGGGTCAGGAGTTCAAGACTAGCCTGACCAACATGGTGAAACCCCGTCTCTACTAAAAATACAAAAGTTAGCTAGGCGTGATGGTGCATGCCTTCTAGTCCCAGCTACTCAGGAGGCTAAGGCAGAATTGCTTGATCTCAGGAGGCGTGGGTTGCAGTGAGCCAAGATCATGCCACTGCACTCCAGCCTGGGCGGCAGAGTAAGACTCCATCTCAAAAACAAAAAAACAAAAAACAAACAAACAAAAAAACCAGAACCACCACAACAAAAAAATCCCAACCAGGATCCTTTCTTTAACTGAAATTTTACTTTGGAAGCCCATGAATAAGACATATATCTATCCATAGCTATATCTGCATCTGTCAAGTGTGAAGGTGTGGAGGACAAGATTGTGGTCACAGAGGCTCCACCAGTTCACCCCTGCTCCCATTTCTATTGCCTCCCACTTGCACTGATGTCTTTTACCCTTTGTATATAAAGTTTTCAAGATCCAATGTGTATTTTAATCTTATGGCACATCTTAATTCAGACTAGCCACACTTCGAGTGGCCGACACATGTGTCAAATGACCACCACACTGGAAAATACAGATATAGAGCCTTAAATGGCTCAGAGCCTTTTCCTGAGTCACAAGCACACCTGCCCATGAATTTTGTAGGAAAGAACTGCAGGCCTCTTGTGTCCAAACTCATAGATAGTGGGACAAGCACATGGCCCTGCCTCTGTTTCCATCATTACAGTAGCCACTGTCTTAGTCCAGTTGTGCCGCTATAACAAAATACCTGAGACTGGGGAAGTTGTAAGGAACAGAAATTTATTGCTCACATGAGTTCTGGAGGCTGGGAAGTCCAAGATCAAGGTGCCATCTGCAGGTTCACTGCCTGGTGAGGGTCCAATCTCTGATTTCAAGATAGCACCTTGTTGCTGTGTCCCCACAGGGGAATGGAAGAAAACTAACTCACTCCCTGAAGCCCTTTTGTAATGGCCCTAATCCCTTCCATGAGGCCTCTGCCCTCATGACTTAACCACCTCCAAAAGGCCTCATCTCTTAATAGTGTCACACTGGTGATTAAGTTTCAACATGTATTTTGGGGGAACATTCAAACCATAGCAGCTCCTTCCTTCAGGGAACACTTCTTATCAGCCCTTCCCTAGGCCTGGAGAGTGTTGCTGGATGTTTTGCCAGGCTGGTCTCAATGACCTCAAACACTTACCATGCCACTTTCCTATTCCTCAGCTTATTCCCCACTCCTTCTGGTATAATATCATCTTTATCCTGGATGATTTTTAAGTTTTCTCCAAGCCATTCTCTGCCTTAATTCTAGTACCTCCAGAAATCTATCTTGACCTTGAGGATTATTTTGAAGGCCCCACCTTCTGCCATTACCCCACACACTTAACCATTTAAGTGCACAAAAAAGAAGTAATTTAATTAATACATTTGCTAAATACTATCCATATTATATCTTATATGTTGGCCTAAGTTATTGTCATCTTTTGACTTTAATACATAGTACTTCAGCTGAAACAGTCAATATTTTTCTTATGATGTTTGTGGGAACAAAGATATGCTCAATACAATCATGTTACAACATCCAGACTGAATGAAGATGCTTCACTCTTTCTTTGGGACTGAAACTAACATTAACGCTCTGCTGCTGGTTATTGATATACAGATCAGATTTGTAGCCATTGGCTGACTAGCATTACGAATTTAAGTCTCAGGGCATTATATTTCAGTGTAGTATTTTCACATTTATCGCTCAAAAACAGGAATAAAATCACTTCTTCTTGTCCAAAAGATGTTCTGAAGAGTAGTGAATGGAAAAAAATTCCATCTATAATCTGATTTTTTTCACCAGTCTTATGACTTGAATATAAACTTAGAGATGCCTAACTTAAAAAATAACTACAACTTTGCTTATATTCATAATCTGGTAATTATTCCACATTTCAGGCTTGATATATGATAAGGAATTTTGCCATCTTTCCCAATGTTTCAGCCTGGATGGCTTAGATTCTTAGTCAACTAAATTATAATAATCTACTACTTTGAAACTATAATAAAACAATCATCTCATTACAAGAGTTACATTTCTTCTTGAAATTACTTTTCCATTTTGGGCCTTGTGGGAAAAGCTGTTAAGAACTCTTCTGCAATTGTATAAATCTATACTTTGGGCTTAGATGTTGAGGCATTAGAAATGAATTCATCATTTATAGATCATATATACCTTTAAAGATAGGCACCTTATTTCCTAAAGCAAGTAAATTAATTTTTTTTTCCACTGAATGCCTTTTATCAGCAGGGGATCTTTTTTCCCCCCTGAGCGCTTGAATGAGTTCCCTTTTTCTTCTGAGTTGGGGTATTACCATTCTATGGATAAATGAAGACAGAGACTGGATGAACAGATATAACAGATAGAGTCAGAATCAGAACTTAGAACTCTCAAACTCTGAGTTAATGAAAAATTTTCCCATAATTGTCTATGTTTAGGGAAAGGTAAGCTTTCAGCCTTCCAGCTCCAGATAGATCAAGGGTAGAACCTCTGGGAAGTTCTTTTCTGATTTGTATAGAAATTACCCAGAACCCAAGTTTCCTGACCATAACCTGTTGATCTTCAAACATTTAAGAACCAAATGGTGTGCCCTAAGCACTCTGCTATTATCAGGAGGGTGAATTGACGTGTGTGTTGGTGTGTGGATGGAGAGAGGTGTAAACCAAAAATAAAATTCTAAGCACCCCCCACGCCCCACCCCCTGCCCACCCCGCCTTCCCAGGCAACCCTCTGAACGGACTAATTTGTCAACCAGGGCTCTTGTAAAATTTATCCTGAAAGACTGGTTCAGGCCATGAAGGGATGTGAGGGTGGGACGTGCCCCATTCATTATATATCAACCAACGGACTAATTTCTCAACCCAGGCTCCTGTAAAATTTATCCTGAAAGACTGGTTCAGGCCATGAGGGGAAGTGAGGGTGGGATGAGCCCTGTTATATATCAACATGGAGTTCAAGTCTGATAAGAAACATTTTACAACCTATTGTCTCTGAACCTGCTGCCTGGAGACTTCATCTGCATAATAAAACTTTGGTCCCCACAAGCTCTTATCTTAACCCATACGTTCCTTTCTTTGATCTCAGGTCTTTAGACAAACTCAACCAATTGTCAACCAGAAAATGTTTAAATTTACCTATAGCCTGAAAGCCCACCCGCTCCTTAGAGTTGTCCAGCCTTTTTGGACCAAACCAATGTATTTCTTAAATGTATTTGATTGATGTCTCATGCCTCCCTAAAATGTATAAAACCAAGCTGGACCCCAACCACCTTGGGCACGTGCTCAGGACCTCCTGAGGGCTGTGTCACAGGCCATGGTCACTCATATTTGGCTCAGAATAAATCTCTTCAAATATTTTACAGAGTTTGACTATTTTCGACAACAGACGTTACACAAAATCCTCTCCTATGTAAGACTATCGGATGTGTACGTGATGCCCGTCGTAACACTGGTGTGAAAAGCTGGACTGGGGGGTATGTGCCTGCATGTAAGTGGAGGTGCCCAAGGGGATTTCTCTTCACAGCTCATTGAGCATAGCTGACTTGCTAGCTATGGTCTGACACCTCCTGATTTCAGATCTGCCCTGAAAACAATTACATGAATATGCCCCTGCTACTCAGTATACTACTAGGCTTGGAGTCTGAAGTAGACCTCCAAACCCCATCCAATCAGGTAAGGGAGAAAAACGATAGCCCAACATTCCCTAGTGCTCATAATGTATTATTCCATTATTTCACTTTTTATCCCTTCTCTCACAGATAAGAAAAGAAAAAGCTCTACTTCTTTAGGGTTCTTGGACGTAGACTCTCCACAGTTCATCTGGGGTTGTTCATCTCCACTTCTTTTTGTATCCCAGGGCAACTTTCCTGCAGTTTCCCTAATGAGAATATTTTCCGGACTAGGCAAGGGGCGGCTTGCCCCGCCCCCTACTCTTCTCCCTGATCAGGAGCTGCGGCCAGCTACCTGGCGCCGGCCAAAGTCAGGGGAGCGGGGAGAGGCGGCGTCACCTCCTCCACGCTCCTCCGGCCCCATTCAATCTAGCTATTTGCACTCGGCTCTGGCTCTTTTCCGCCAGCTGCGGCTGTTCCAGAAGCGCCGGGCTGCCGGTCCTGGCCTCGGCAGGGGCCGTGCGGGACCGAGGGGTGGCGGCCGAGGCATGTGGGGCGGGTGGGTTGCGCGCTGCTGGCACGGCGCGGGGACCCAGCGCGCCAGGCGGGAAAGGGGGGCGGCGGCGGGCGGGGACCCAGACCCGGAGGGGCAGCGGGCGCGTAGCGGGCCCCAGGACGCCCGGCCAGGGGATTGGCCTCTGCACCGCTGCTCAGGGCGCGTCCCTTGCCGCCTCTGGCGTCGACTCAAGCCTCCTCCTCCGAGCAGCCCTCAGTGGCGCCGCCTTAGTGCTCTGGGTCGAGCCCCGGGAGGGTTAGCCTGGGGACGGCAGGGGCGTGACCGTGGCGCGGAAGTAGGTGAGCAGCAGGGCGGCGCGCGGCGGTCAGGCCGGGACAGCCAGAGGGGCAGCGACATCTGCGGGCGGGCGGGCGGGAGGCGGACGCTTCCCGGGCGGAGCAGGGCCCTCCGGAGGACGCAGGCCGCGTCGAGGCTGAAGGGCCTCCCTGTCCGGGACGGTCAGCTGCCAAGTTCGGGCCCTTAGCGCGTGGCCCCGGGCCGCGGCTCGGAGCGGAAGCGTCGCCCCTGGCTGCGCGCTCATGCTGGTCCTAGCGCAGAAGACCCGGCGAGGTCCGCGAATTTTGGCTTAGCGTTTGTCAAGTCACCTCGAGCGACTCGGAGAGAACCCGGCTTTCCCACTAGGGACGGTGATCGCAGTCTCTTTCCTTTAGAAAGTTACTCCGATACTTTTGATCATCTGTCCATAGTAAGGAGGAAAAATAGCGTGGTTTGTCCCCGGGTGAGGGAGTGTTGGAGGATCCCGTCCAGTGGGAAGAGCCAGTTTTAGCGGAGCAGCGCGTCCAGCCCGCTGACACTTCAGCCTGGTAAAGGGTTAACTGCATCCTGCCGGTTCGGTTTACATGTAAATAGAGAGCAGCTGCTCCGCGCGGCCCCGGCTGGCTCTTTTAAGTTTTTGATTGGTTGCCAATGACATCACCGCCCGTGTTTTAACACCGAGGACCCAGAGCAGCTTCGGATAAACCCTCCTTAAAGAGATGAGGCCACGCCTTCTTACCCGCCCCCTAGGCTGCCCATTGGTCGCGGGGCTCTGTGAGGTAGCGGTCGGCTTTCTCCGGATTCTTATTGGCCCAACCCGCCGTCGGTCGGCGGCGAGTCCGCCCCCTCAGAACCTTACATTTACAGTGTAGCAAAAGAGAAAGTAACTATGTTGCTGCTGGAGATCAATGAAGCCGAGTGAATGGGGGCTGAATGTGCGAGTCCATAGCTGAAGAGGAGCGCCAGATGGTGGAGGAATACACTTATTTATGAAGTAAGTGGAAGTCACCGCGACTACTCCTGAGAGCCCGGGACTGGAGGTGGAGGATTGTAAGGCGGTGCTTGTGTGAGTGTGAGTGTGTGTGTTTGTGTGTGTGTATCTGTGTGTGTGTGAGAGAGAGACAGAGACAGAAAGATAGAGATGCGATGCTGACGGAGGAGCTACAGCAGGTAGGGTTATAAGGTTCCGGCCGTTGGCTCCTGCTACCCTGTGCGTTTACTCCCTGCAGTCTACTTGGATTTGGGGCGAAGAAAAAATGAGGTTTGTTGGGATGCTTTGCGGCAGTTTTAAATGCTCGGGGCTCATTAGTGCGCTGTGTGCCGAGGAGTGAAGCGGGGGGCGGGGGGATGTTAAGTGCTCCAGGAATGGGGAAGAAGCATTCTCTAACCACTTAATTTTCTCTCCAGCTCTTGCCTAGTGGTGGAAGGGAGAGGGGATAGCTCAGTATTTCTCTGGGAGATTTTCTGGGCCAGACTGGATGGTTTCACGGGCAGTATGTACGCCCGACCCTCTGCTGCAGGGATGCAGGTCTCTCTATACACTCCGTGTGTGTGTGTGTGAGCCTTGAACTCTGTGTGGAGGTGGGGGTCCCAGCGCGTGTCTCTGTGAACACGCTTATGCGTCCCTCTCAGAAGAAATGGTATGTTGATCCTGGACGTGTCCTACCAGGTAACACAATAGCAAAGACTTTCACCGCTTGGTCCAACCGGGAAACAGTTATAGCTTCTGGAATAGAACTCGCTCTTCAGAAAAAATACTACGCAAGGGAAGGGGGGTTGACTCCTTCGCTCCCATCCAAAGGTGGGTGAGAGAAACCCGAGTCGTTGGAGATCTGCCGACGTGATGGGTGCGTGCCCCGTGTGCGCGCGTGAGTGTGGATTCCGCCTGTGACACTTTGGTTCTGTGTCAGAGAATGGTGACGGTCGTGTGTAGACGGATGAGAATGGTGACGGTCGTGTGTAGACGGATGATAGATGGCATTTTTCCTGATAGCTCTTAAAGTTCGTTTAGGTGAGCGTCTCTTGGCGTGGGGTTTGGCGTCTTTGCTATGTGCATGTCTAATAGAAGAAGAAGAGTTAGCAAGCCTGAGTTGTAGAGTGCCCCTGTGCCTACAGGAGGAAGGAGCTGTCTTTTTGCAGACACTCTGAAATCAGAGATAGATCCGGTGGGCAACAATTCACTGTCCCTTTCAACGAGTACAGGCTAATTGGGAGGTCCTCTTTACGGAATCAGTACTCTTGAAGGGGGGATATCTGTATGGGATTGAAACCTTATACAACGTGGCTGCCTCCCATTGAGAGAAGCTCTAGGATGCACAGTCTGTGCCAGCCAGGGAGATGAAGAGGGGAGGAGAGCCCAAGTTGTCCTTTCCAGGCAGGAATGAGGGCGGGGGCAGGTGAGAGAGCAAAGGGTGAGGGATTTGCCGGGGCTGGGGTTTCCAGGTTTCCAGATCTGGCTCCATGGCTTGAGATTTCGTTTTAGGACACCAGTTAGTAGTGAAAAGGGGAAATGCAGATTAATTTATAAGAGGCCAAAAGACAACATGTGAGGTTTTAGTATGACTATGTTGTGCTTTTCAAAGGACCCCAATAGAGAATGGAAGGCAAGAATAGCTCCAAGTTAAAGAGATTCACTTAAGGGGATTTGCAGAAAGTTGACATCCACCCTGATGTATATTTAGCTGCTGTACCTTTCTGTGAACCATGCCAGTGCTCTTGGTTACCCCTTTGCCTTTGCAGCGAGTGAGGGAATTAAATGGCAAGCATGCAAGGGTGGACAAATGGGTCTTTCTCAGATGTTTGCAGTGTACTTCTGCCCGAGAGCTGAGGTTCAGAATAGATGCCTCTTAAGAGCCTCCCTTCTGTCTTCAGCTTTTCTAATTATTTGTGCTTATACCTTCTCTACAGCTGAACTTTTATGTAGGTCCAGGAAAGGTTGTTCATTAACATTTACAACATTACATCCAAATTTAACCTTAGACTTAGCAACCAAATTGATTGGAGCCCTCAGGTTTGCATCCTCTTTGAATACATAAAAATGAATTTCAAGTTTTGATAATGGTATGATAAAGGGCAATTAGGACGACTTTGCTCAGAGGGATGCAAAGGTCTTTCCCAGGGATTGGATGAGACTGCCTTTTGTGTCACGTGACTTTATTCTTTCTTTCCCCCTTCCCCTTCTTTACAGACTGTCTTGAGTTCTTCTTGAATTGCCAGTTTTCAGCCTCCTCATGCCTCCGTCTCCTTTAGACGACAGGGTAGTAGTGGCACTATCTAGGCCCGTCCGACCTCAGGATCTCAACCTTTGTTTAGACTCTAGTTACCTTGGCTCTGCCAACCCAGGCAGTAACAGCCACCCTCCTGTCATCGCCACCACCGTTGTGTCCCTCAAGGCTGCGAATCTGACGTATATGCCCTCATCCAGCGGCTCTGCCCGCTCGCTGAATTGTGGATGCAGCAGTGCCAGCTGCTGCACTGTGGCAACCTACGACAAGGACAATCAGGCCCAAACCCAAGCCATTGCCGCTGGCACCACCACCACTGCCATCGGAACCTCTACCACCTGCCCTGCTAACCAGATGGTCAACAATAATGAGAATACAGGCTCTCTAAGTCCATCAAGTGGGGTGGGCAGCCCTGTGTCAGGGACCCCCAAGCAGCTAGCCAGCATCAAAATAATCTACCCCAATGACTTGGCAAAGAAGATGACCAAATGCAGCAAGAGTCACCTGCCGAGTCAGGGCCCTGTCATCATTGACTGCAGGCCCTTCATGGAGTACAACAAGAGTCACATCCAAGGAGCTGTCCACATTAACTGTGCCGATAAGATCAGCCGGCGGAGACTGCAGCAGGGCAAGATCACTGTCCTAGACTTGATTTCCTGTAGGGAAGGCAAGGACTCTTTCAAGAGGATCTTTTCCAAAGAAATTATAGTTTATGATGAGAATACCAATGAACCAAGCCGAGTGATGCCCTCCCAGCCACTTCACATAGTCCTCGAGTCCCTGAAGAGAGAAGGCAAAGAACCTCTGGTGTTGAAAGGTAATGCCCCTGCTCCCTTCCCAAGCACGGTCCTGATTAGCCGGGTTCACTTTGGGTTTTCTCGTAGAGTGACAGCATTCTCCTTACCCTGGCTACCAAAGACCAAAATAGACTTTATTCTTCTCTTCCCTTCTATGCTCTTTATTGTTTTGGTTTAGTAAGAAAAACCCAGCAGCACTGAACTGGAAGCCAGAAGATCTGGGTTCTACCCTTCATTTGGGTTCTAATTTGCATTGTGCAAGTCATTTCACCTCTCTGGGACTGTTTTCTCATCTTTCTAAAAAGGGGCTTTATACACACCAGATGGTATCTCAAGTCATGCCTGGTCTGCTAGCTCTATTCCAATCAATCACTAGTTGGAAAGTTATTGTCTCTCAGACTTAACCAATGTTGATGGAACAGAGGAAGGAGCAACTATGGTGAACTACAAGTAAACCTACAGGTACCAGTTCTTACTGTGGGAAATTCTTTCTCTTTCTCACCTTTCTGACCAGCTTGACTTTTATGTGGTTTATAAAGTGACCTTGAAGAAGGGCAGAGCTTCTTATTCTAAGGCCCCATATAAAGTATAAGTTCACCAATTACATCCATTCCTCTGCCAAGGCTCCAAGGGAACAGAGACGTTTTTATGAAACACTCCCCAACCCATTGTTTTTTCTGGCCTCACCTGACAACGGTTGGCATCATGGCTCCTCCCAAGATGGAGTAATGGGTCACTTGCCCCAGTATACTGAATGCAGAATAACTGAGATTAGCAGAACTGAGCTCTGGCAGAAGGAATTATTCACCACTCTTCTCGGAGCACCTTCCATACCGTGTTGCCTAACCTTTCCAAGTAGCCTGCATCCTGTGCCCAGCCTAGTTGCACCTCTTTGCCCTCAGATACTGACTTTTGGGGCACTGTACATCACTCTCATTCGGCATCTTTTACCTGGTGGTGGTAGTGAGAGATAGTCGTCTTCTCTCTTCTCTCCTCTTGTGTTCTGAGCCAAGGTACGCAGTTTCTGGGTCACATCTCCAACCAGTCTCCTAAAGTGTGTTGACCAAAGGTGTTGCTGAGTTTGAACACATTGCATATTTAAATTGCAATAGGACATGTGGGTGAGCAAGTTAGTTATTTTGTCTCTATGGGACAGCTTTGCCATTCTCCTTCTTGTCTTCCCAGTGGGGCATTCTGCCTTTTGTTAAGCAGTGTTCTGGGAATTATAGTTCTGAATTCCACTGACACAATCTCCTCTTCCCACCCTCCGCTCTCCTCAAACTTGCCCTCATGGGGCTACACTACCACAAAGGCACATCTCTCCTTAGGGCTGGTGGGCTTTGCTGGGAAGGAGAACATGAAAGAATTGTATGTAGAGAGTTCCAGAAGCTTCTAGACATTTCCTGGTCGTGGTGGTTGTGGTGGGTTTTCTTGAGGTCACAAATATGTTCAGATTTCCTCCATATAGCTCTGTATTTTATTGTTTCTGTATTCTTGTATGGTTGACTTTGAGTGATTCCCAGGATATTTACCCTGCTATTGTCTTACCATAATCTTGATGTGTCTAGCCTCTTACAAATGAGAAAATCCTACCGAGGAATTTCCCATTTGTAATAGTTTGTCTTGGGGAGCAAAGAGGAGGATAGCCAATGATCATGATGATCTCCTCTTTTCTCACGCAGAGCAGGTGTTCATGATAAAAAGCAAGTCTTTTGTGTCTTCATGATCTGAAGAGAGGAAACAACACGGATCAAGATGATCCTAGACCTCCTAATCATGGGGATGATTACAAGGAGTTGCAGACCCTACTCTCTATTTTGCAGTGGGTGGAGTTGTGGATAGGGGTGACCCATCAGTCATTGAGAAATGAATCTCCTGGGTGCTACTTGTGAAAGTGAGGATCCTCTCTCCCTTTCCTGTGGATGCAGCTGAGATTCTGGACAGCCTAGACTTCTTCCTCAGTGTCAGAGTAAGATTGCCTCAATGGGGCGGGGCAGGACACACTGCTGACCTCACCACTGGGCGCCCTGGGCAGCCACTGCGAGGCCTCGTCATTTTCGAGTTGGTGAGACACCGCGGCAGTCGACTTGGAAGATGCTCTGGTGGTAGAGGTTAGATTATTTGTAGTTTTGGGGGCCTTTTCTTCAAATATCTGGGAATTTCATTGAAAATATGTAGTTCAGGAGTGAAGGGGTCTATATTCTACTTTATAATTATCATTATCATTTTGGTATCTTTTGGGAGAATGGCCTAAAATTGGGACCAAGATGGAAAAGAAGGGAAAGGAATGGGTCAATATTAGAATGCCCTTCGTTATCCTTTCAACTTGGTAAACCAGAGATTAATACCATAGCACCACTGTGGTGAAAGACGGGGTGGGCATTCCCCAAAGGCATGACCAGCAGACTTCTCTCAGATTCTTGAGTGGGTCAAGCAGACCATTCTGGTCTGGCTTCTCCTCTCAGATTTATTTGAGTAATCCCCTCCCTTGGTGATAAGATTGTGTTTCAGCAAGAGTGGTAGTGGTACCATTTCGGAAGGAGTAATTTTTGCAGGGAAGTTGGTGGGAGGGGGGCATAGTTAGAACATAAGGAGGAAACTTCTAAAGGCTTGTTAGTTTATTTTCAGAGATTTCAGTACAATCTTGGGTAATTTATGGCTGGCCCATCTGATGCTCTGGTTTATGTTTGTAAACACTGGTTGCTACCCTCCCTGTCCAAGATCCTTGTCCCCCTGTCTCCATGCCATACTCTCCATTTTTGGTGCTGTCTGTCAAGTAGAGCGGCTGCTAACTTGCCATTTTAGTAATGCTGTGTCAGGTTGGGAAGAAACCGATCAGAGGCATGGCAGCCCCTGGGATTAAGTTACTGTTCTAATTTACAGTGCCCTCCCTGTTGTGACCTATGCTAGAATCTATGTTTTAGTCTCATCTTCTAAAGAATAAATGGCATCAGACCTGTGCTTCTCTTCAACCTGGTGAAAATGATCCAAATGAATAAATATTTAGGGATTTGTGAGGTCTTTGAAAGAATTATATTGTTTTACTCAAAGCTGATTTTTAATCAACTAAAACTTGCTTTCTAGTCAAACTGAGTAAGAAAGTTGAACAATTCTAGACCATCCATAACGAGAGCTACCGTTTTTGCTATAAAGTTTTTCAGGCTCCCTTTCTTTTCAGTAAAGCTGGGTCCAGGGAAATAATTTGTCATTTACTTAGGTAGGAAGAAATAGTCTACTGCCCCTTTTTCTTAAAGACAGTATATGCCTTCAAAAATGTTATTATAAACATTTTCAAGCATATAGAAAAGCAGAAAAGTGTGTAATGAACATCCATACACCTATCAACCAGATTAAACAATTATATTTTTCCTATTTGCTTTCTCTTTTCTGTTGAAATATTTAAAAATATAGATAATGTTTTAATGTATTTAAGTATGTTTAATGTGTAAATTAATGTTTCAAATTCAATAAAGCTGGAAATATTTTATAGTATACTATGAACATTTTCACTCGTAAACACTTGAGTGTCATGTACCCATTTTTAAGTGCTTTTCAACTTCGAATCCCTCTGTGACTGACTGGCAGTCAGGTCTACAGAGGAGCTTCCCTCCCTGGGAGTAGGAGGGCTCCAGGTGCCTCCTTGGGGTCTGTGTGTCCCCCTTCCTCCCTGGTATGTCAGAGCCCATGCCTCTACTTGCTCTATGCTGTTGTAAAACAAGGAATGACCAACTGCTACAATCTTTATAGGACTGCTCTGTACCAAAGGCCTTTACTGGGGGAATGTGAGAAGAAGAGGGAAATGGTTTAAAAGGATGATCCATGGGGAGGATTTGATCATGCAGGCAGTTAGGCCTTTATACTATAAAACTTCATCACTCCTTAGAATTGAGCACCATACATTGCACACTTTTCCCTAGTTGAAAAGAATTCTGAAATATACTCTTATTGGCAATAGAGTTCTATGACAAAGTGGATGGCTAGGCTCAGAAATCAGAGACCTGTGAAAAATATTCTGTTTCTGCCCTTTTTTCGGGGGTGGGGTGGGGAAGGGAATAAAAGTCTCCCCTTTTCTCTCAGAGATGTTATGAGGATTTTAAAAAATACCTGAAATAAAGACATATCTACATTCATAAACGTGCTGTTGTTATTCTGAGCCTCTGGTTAACATCCAAGGCTAAAATGTCAAACATTAGCCTTGTAGCAAATGATGGAGAAATCAAGGCAGAACTTCGGATCTAGTCAGCCTGAATGCTAGCCTTGGCTCCCCTCTAACTAGGTATGTGCCCTTGGGGAAGGAACTGAATCCTTCAGTTCCTTAGTTACCTCATTAACAAAAAGAGGATATAACAATAGCTATCTCAAAGTGTTAGTTTCTGAAATAAATGAATTAATGTGTGTAAAGTGTTCAGAACTTTATACACATACATGGTAAGCACTCCATAAATATGGTAGAATGTTTTTATTGATATTGATTGAAAGGAAATGATAGTGCCAGTACAAAGGCAAATTTTGTTCCTAAGGAGTACAAATAACAAGCTAGGTATAGTAGAGTGTGTGTGTTGCTATGGCCTAAAAATAACTTGGTGACTGTTAACTAATTTAAGTTGCATAGAGTTGGAGTGCCAAGTAATTGCAAAAACATATTGGGCCAGGAGGCTGGAGTAATTTGGGTATATCCAGAATTATTTGTTTTAGGGAAATTTGTAAAAACATGATAATAATTCTGTCCAAATAATGTCCCATAACAAAAGCATAAAACTTTTTAGCTTTGCTTTTTGTTGCCTCTCATCATCTCATCAGGAGGATTTATTTTTGGAATAAGGATTGTGGACTGACTATAAAAGGGTAGATGGAAGGAGGGGTGCGCTGGTTCCTGAGCCTAGGGTTGTGTTGAGTTAGAATGTGAAGGAAAAAGGAGGGAAGGAGTTGAATGGCCTGCTCCTGTCTTTCAGGAAGTCCTGAAACTTCTTTCTGAACTGCTGCACAGTTAGTTGGCTGTCCTCTCTCTGAGCTTTTGGGTACACTCTCCTGCTTCCTAATTTAAGTGTAGGTGAACAGATAATAGAAATGAACTCTCTCTCCCAGCCATGTTCTTGCTTTATCTGTTCCTCATTCACGATGTGCTCAGCAGAGTGAAATTTTGCTCACTTACACCTGGGTTCAAATCTAGGCATTTCCATTGACCAACTGTATGCCTTTAGGCAAATCAGGGGGCCTCTCAGAGGCCAGGTTTTCTTCATTGTAAAACAGGGACAGCTCCAGCATCCTAGGTTGAAACAAGGTGATACAAAGTACCTGGCATTTGATGGCTGTCAATAAATCAAGCCTCTGGACCCTGCTCTCCTACTCTCATGCACTAATGTAAGAACCTCTTACATTGCAGGGGCAGGGGTATTGGGGAGGATGGGCAAGTCGTTCTAAGCACAGTACTGTGGGAGCCTGTTAAGTATGAATACTCTTGCCCTTACCAATTCAGAACAGTTAATTAACTTAATCATCCAGCTTGTCATGGACAAGTTCAAGAAACTCCTCTCCTGGCAATAGGAGACATGATTTCACATTAGAAAAGCAAAGCAGGGGAAGGAAACTGAATAGGTAAAGCACTTTGCCTATTTCTGTTTTCAAAGCACGTGTGTATAGGAGAAAGGAGAAGGGAGAATGGTGAATATGTACACTTTTCTACTTGGTCCTTTAGGCAAACCCATCTGAAGGTCTGACAAAATTACAGGAGCAGAAAAACTTTCCGTCACATACTCCTGGTGCATACACCCTCAGGGACTAAGTGGGAGCTTTTGACCAGTAGCAAAAATCTAGTTCCTTAAACCCTGCATTATCAGAAGCCAGAACCTCCAAGCCCCAGCATTGCTGAAGAGCAGTTTGGGCATGAATGTGTGATATATCGGAGTGCTTAGGCAGTTTAATCCAAGTTGGTTGAAAAAGATAGACTACATATTAAGGAGAGAAATTCTAGTTCCAGGAGAGGTCATCTCACCTTTTTGGAACTAAAGAATCCCAGCTTTGAGAAGAGCAAGGAACTTTAGAGGGCCCCTAATCCAGTAGTTTTCACTGCAGGCTGTTCATTGGTATCACCTGAAGGTGATTTATAACCTATGATGCCCAGTTCGTGTGTCCAGAAAGCCTGATTAAATTGGTCTGGGGTGCAGCCTGCACATCAAGATTTTTTTAAAGCTCCCAAAGTGATTCTAACAGGCAGCAAAGTTTGAGAACCATTGATCTAGTCCGGTATTCTCATTATGCCACTACAGGAATGGGGCTTGTCCAAGGTCACATGCATGATTAATTTTAGAGATTTAGTCCTTAATGTTAAAGTAGGTCTTGCCAGGTTCAACAGATTCAATAGATATCAACAGACTGAGGTATTCGTATGTATCATTATTTAATAACAACAGAATCTAATATATAGCATAAAATATAAGATTTTTTGAGTACTGATGCCTTTTTTCTTGAATTTTGAGATTTCAGTTCAGAACTAAAAAGACCAAAGTCTGAGGACTTTCAAAACCAGCAGTTCATGGTCTATATATTTACCTGGATATTAGAATATGGACCAAATATTAATGTTGATTTAATCTCTTCATCTGGGGAACCTAGTGGTTTAAGCTGTTAACCTAGTGGTTTCAGCTGTTAACAGCTATCAAAACAGGTATCAAAGAAGCCCAACCATCTTAGGCTTCTAGGGACTTTTTGGTAGGTGGTCTCCACAGCTGTACAAACTTGTGGGCAGAGGAGATTCATTTGTTTGTTCAATAAATATTGTTGAATGCCTTTGGTGTGCTAGGCACTAATCTGCAGGCTGGGCAATCTGCATCACAATGCTTATCATTCAAATGCAAGAAAGACAACATATATGGATGGGACCAGTCTTCCAGATCCTTTCCATCTTGGAAATTGTGTTCATGTTTCTATTCTTCATCTTCTTCTGCCACACAATCTTATTTAGGGAGTGTTTCATCTTCACGAAATTTTGTTCTCCTGTGAAGCACATGTTTGTACTTTTTTTTTCTTTTTCTTTTTTAAGAAATAGCCAGCCGGGTGTGGTGGCTCATGCCTGTAATCCCAGCACTTTGGGAGGCCGAGGCAGATGGATCATGAGGTCAAGAGATTGAGACCATCCTGGCCAACATGGTGAAACCCCGTCTCTACTAAAAATACAAAAATTAGCTGGGCATGGTGGTGCACACCTGTAGTCCCAGCTACTCGGGAGGCTGAGGCAGGAGAATTGCTTGAACCCGGGAGGTGGAGGTTGGAGTGAGCCGAGATCCCGCCACTGCACTCCAGCCTGGCGACAGTGAGACTCTGTCGCAAAAAAAGAAAAAAAAAAAAAAAAAAAAAGAAATAGCCTAGCCTTTTCTAAATATGTCATGGGCCAATAGGATTTCTTTCCAATGTCTTGATCTGAAAAGAAATGATTCATTGGTTTTTAATGAAAAAATAAATATATATGCCCTCTGTGCCTCAAAAGCTCAGGGCTGACAAGTCTCCTCTGTGTGGGAGAGTGAAACTTTGTAATTTGGACCCCCTAATTTTGTACATGTTGATGATAGGAATAAGGGCTTCGTTTATTTTCACTGCATGCTCTCTATGGAAAGAGGATGTGCTAAGCAAACAAGCATTGTAAACAATATTTCAGAGGCAAGGTTTTGGCCTGCTTTAAAAAAATAAAATGTTTGCAAGTACAATTAAAAACCAGTATAAGGGACAGGGGTGGGATGAAAACCTGTCTCTAAGATTACGAAGCCTGCGTTATTTCCCCTAAATCCCCTTCGAGGAAGATTTGAATCCCTCATCAACAAATTTTCATTGATTATGTTTCTATTATATATACTGTAGACTCTATATTCACGAATGTAATCATACTCATTCAGAAAAATATAGGAAGAGAAAATGAGTATGACCTGTAGCCTGAATTTCATTATAAAAGATTTAAAAATATACATTTTATATTAAAATTGATGTAATCTTTTAATTATGAAGTCTTTGATTCTTTAGATGTTTTCATCCATAACCCAAGAGCAAGATCTTGGCATCAGTTTTTTCCAGGTTATGTCTATATCATCTATTATTACTTAAAAGTTGGAGTTACATATAGATATATAGATATATAGAGAGTTATAGATATATGTAATTTTTTTTCATTCCAGTCCCCCACCCGAGCAAGACCCATATTTTATGTAACTTAAAAGTAAAGAAAAGAAACTTTGAGCGTATGTTTTTGGATAAGGAAATGAGCTGTGCAGGCCTAGTACTTTCATATAAGATAAAGGCTCTTACCTATTCTCTGAATCTGGCAAAGTAGAGAATCACTTACAGAAAGAAAAGGATTTGTGGATGCATCAAATTATCTGCATTGCCCTTAATGTTTTATGTGTGGTAAAGGCCTACTCAGGCCACCGCCCCCAACCCTGGCCCCCGACTTGAATTTCATAGAACACAAAACAAAGCGCAACTCTTCCTGAGTGCTTCCACAACGGGATTTTGCTTTCTTGCCTTACCACTTCAGAATGGACCACCATCAGGCATCTGTTGTCCATTGCACACATCAAGTAAACAGATTAAACTGCCCGAGCCAGGGGGTCGCATCAGGCCTGTCCTCCCTTTGAGGAGCTTAAACCTCTCGTGTTATAATGCGAACTCGACTGATCTTATTTTGTGTCCTGAGGTAAGGAGGCAGTCACCGTTTTGCATCAGAACATCACTATCCGGTTCCTTAATATCTTATATTTATTTTATGGAAGAAATAATCTCACATTCTTTGTATCACAGCCCTGAGCTTCACTACCATTGAGCTAAATATTACCAGCTGTTGCTACTGGCAAGAGAGAAGCAAAAAACAAATTGAAAGGAGAAAGAGGAGGGGTGGGGGAGTGGACAGAAAAGAATAACATGAGGGTTGAGGGTCTTAGGGTGACAGCAACATATCTTCTAGCTCCCAGACCTGAGTTCTGGGCTCCAGTATTGAAGACTGTGAGTCATTTTCTTCAATCATTACAGTGTTTCTTCCTGTCTTAAAAGAATAAGACTAGACACAAACTTCTAAGAGGGCCTTCCCTGAAGAGATAGAGGACATTTTCTATTGTTTCTTTTAATTTCTATTTTTATTAAAATGCTATGTTTTTATGATAAGACTTTAAAGGAACGGGTCTTATGGTTCTCATGAGGTGATATTTTAATCTGCCAGCAGAACATCAGTTAATCACATAGAACTACTCTGGCTCTGTGACCAACCTATCATCCCTGAAATTAGAAAATTATTTTCCAGATAGTTTGGAAGAAAAACAAGTTAAAAGCTATTGAATGCTTTCTAGATGCTGGGCATTGGGCTGTCATATATGTGTCTTATTTAGTTCTCAGAGAAGCTCTGTGAACGTCATTTTATATCCTGACTTTTATAGCTCAGGAATCTGAGGAACAGATTAAATATTTTCTCCCTTGTTATTAACTAGTAAATGAGAGAATAAGGATTGAAATCCAGTTCTTATGATTTCAAAGCCCAAATTCTTTTCAGGCTGGCCATATCTATTTGCAAGTCTCATTCCTTATGGTGGCTTTAGTTGTGCTTTACCTCTGTGGTGCCTTAGTTATAATGCCATCTTCCTTTCCCCATTTTTCTTGTATATCCTCAAATAAAAATTCCATTGCTAAGGTGAGTAGCCTATTCTGTGTCCTTAGAGTAGACTGGCTTCCCAGTAACCTTGCCTCAAATTATATCCCAGCTTTTGGATACTTTAAATTTTGGTCATGACAGTTTTTTAAGGAATAAAAATTTGAGCAAAACAAACTTTTGAAAACTGTGATAATTCTAACATATATGAAGTATTTCTTACATGCCAGACTCTATGCCACAAGTGTTATGTCTCATGATCCCTTTCCAATTTACATACGAGGGACTGAAACTCGGAGAGGTTCAGGCACTTGTCCAGTGTTACTCAGCTGGTGCCTAGTGGATCCTGGGTGTAGCTCTGGTATACTTCTGCTCAGTTTGCTTTTGATATCTGGAACCTTAGAATTCATTCTCCTAGTAGCCTGTGGATAGAAGGATGATATTTCCTGCTTTTGCACACATTAATAAACCCACTTTCTGGAGTAGGAAGTAGATGAACAAAGGTAAAGAAAAGTACAAGTACAAAGTTAGGTAAAAAGAACAAGAAAGAATCTGTGACGAGTATGATGACTACATCCTAAAGACTCTAATGCCAAAGGTATTTGATTGTTTATGCTTTATATTCATTATCTGTCCTATTAGTGTGGATGATAATGAAAACTATAGATTGTTTTCCCTCAAGTAGGTGAAGAAAGAATCTCTAGTAGGTTATGATTGCCCTTTGGGAAGGTTAGTTATCAGGGATAAGTGAACAGATCCTATCAAACCATTTACTGTTTAGTTTCTCTCCTCTCCTTTCCTAATCTTTCTTATCTCTGTTCTTCCCTTCTACAGTCTAAGCCTACAAATATAGCTCAGGTAATCTGGAGGTGTGGCAAGGACAGACCCTGGGAAAAATAATAATGAACACATTTGAAGGACAGCAGGATGGACTCCTTGGAATCCTGTGTTAGGGGCAGCATTCATAGAGGCAGAATCTGTCTTCTGACAGAGCACCCAGCTTCACACAGTGAAAGTATGTGACTGTCCTCTCAGATATCAACTATAAGATTTCGTCACAAAGTTCATTTTATGCTGCTAAAACAGAATACCTGAGATTGAGTAATTTACAAAGAACCATAGGTTATTTGGCTTATGGTTCTGGAAGCTGTGAAGTGCAAGAGCAGGGTGCCAACATCTGGCAAGGTCAGCCCATGGTGGAGGGTATCACATGATGAGCAAGTGTGTAAGACAGTGAGAAAATGGAGGCTAAGAGTTCATCCTTTTTATTAGGACCCACCCCTGTGATGATCCACTCCATGGAATGGCCATGCAATTATGGTCTTAATCCACTCTTGAGAGTGGAGCCCTCATGACCTAATCTCCTCTTAAAGGCCCCATCTTTTAATACTGCTACAGTGACAATTAAGTTTCCAATACATGAACTTTGGGGGACATATTCAAACCATAGCAGTAAGGTCACCCCAAACACTCAGGTCCTCCAGTGAGAGGGGAAGGGAGGGGGACATGGGTGATCAAGGCAGTAGAATTAGTGAATGGAGAACAAAATTTAAAAATCTGAGCATTTTTTATTCTGAAATATAAAAGTAATCAATTTTAAGAAAGCTTAAAATAAATTCAAGGAGATTAACTTCACTGATCATAAGTTCTCACATTTACATGGCAAGGTAAGTTTTCTGAACCACAACAACCCCAGGATGACTTTAGAAATGTTGAAAAACCACAGAATTATAGTCCATTGCACAGCAAGCATTCACTTACTCTATGTTGAATTAGAAAGGAAAGACATTTTTCAAAGAACATGGTGTTACAGAATTGTGAGAGATGTTATCAAGCATTTGATCTAACCATCCCATTTTACAGACATAGAAACTGATTACTTATCCAGGAGGATATAAATAGCTATTAGCAGTACTGGCATAGGATTCATGTTTCCTAACTCTCAGTTTAGGGTGTTTAGAAGCCCAACCAGTATATAATCCTTTGGATTAGTATCTGAGTTGTTGTTAAATAAGCAAATCTTGTGGGTTCAAGTATTCAGCCAGGTCATTCCATAATTTTTCTCATTACCTTTCTTAGGAGCGTATATAGTGACTAATTGAATGAGCCGGCTGATGCTCCCTTATATTTGTATTCAGTTTATATATTTTCTTGCGAAGGGAGTATAGTTTGGAGGTTAAGGGCACAGATTCTGGAACCAGGCTGCTGAGTTTGAATTCTGATTTTGCCAATTATTATAATTTTGGACAAATTCACTTTTCTGTGCCTCTGTTTGCTTGTCTATAAAATGGGGAGGGTAATGGCTCTTTTCTCATGGGCTCAATTGAGAATTAGATAACATATGTAGAAGTGCTTTGAACAATAACGAATGCATACTAGCTAACATTTATTGAAAATCAACCATAATTATAATATTGAATCTCTACAATAATAATTCATAATCTGCTTATATTCAACTGATATATGAGTGGTATAGTTCAGTAAAATGCTTTGATGTCACCACTAATGCAGTACAAGTAGGAGATACTTTTCTGATGCTTGGTAGATCTTTTTGTTTAAAAGTTTGGAAAAACCCAGTGTTTCTTTTGGGGTGGATAGATAACTACATAGGGTTTTTTTTTTTTTTTTTCCTGAAATAGTGCTGTGCTGAAAAATTATATGCTATTTCTATGTAAGGAAATCTTATAAAAGTCTTAGCAGAAACACTTTATGTATACTTATTGTTAAGATATTAAGAACATTTTAGAAAGAAAAACATAATATTACTAATCCCGCCCTGACTGGCCTAGTTTCATTTTTACATTTCTTTTTGTTCTCTACCCATATATGTGCATGTTTTTCAGGGTTTCTCACATAGTAACTGAAATTCATTTTCACTTTATATTGCATGTACTTTTGCTTCCTGTGTTGTGATCATAGATTTTCTTCTTTAATGCTGTAACCTGTCTTATTACCACATTTTACTTACTTGCCTATTAATATAAATTAAGATTGTTTCCAAGGTTTTGGTATGACAAGAGAAACCTCTTGAAGGAAACCCTTGTTTGGAATTTTCTCCACCTTCCCACCCAACTGCACTCCCCATTTAGAGAAATGGGTACTAGCTGCCATTTTGGGTGCTAGTTGCCAGTTTGAGTTTATTTTTCCCCCCAATTCTCTTTCACTTTTTAACTTCTGCTTTTCTTTCCTGAGTGTAAGATCCAAATACCTATCAAAGTTGTGAGTTTTTAGGGACATCTTTATCCTTGACCACAGGTCTTGATACTGATCCTGAATGTGTGTGTTTACCACATGTCCTGTAAGGCACATATTGCAGATCTTGGACCTCTTTGGTGGATAGAGTGAGGACATGAGGAAGCACCACTCAGCGCTATTAAAAATCAGAAGCTATTGTGGAAGTGAATGATCTGGCAAGGCTAACAACGGCTCCTTATTTCATAAATATGAGTCACTCCCAGTTTTACACTGTAGATAAAACACTCTGAAAGGGACAATAAAAGCAGCAAGAGGTAGATTTAGTGAGATGCTGAGTAGATGTGTTTGTGTCTCCCTTCCTCTCAACTTTTCTAAATCCTGAGGTTTTAGTGCAGTGCTGAAGTCTTCTAGGGGCTTAAGCAAACACAGGCAGCAAAAACACATCAGAATGGAAAGATAATTCCCATTAGTTCATTTTGCCAAATTGAGGTAAAGTGCCCTTTAAATAGGAGATAATTCTTTGACAGATAATTAGCTTGTCTTCCTTGATAAAATATGTGAATTGGTTGAGTATATTATAATTAATTTTGCATATTATGTAAAAATCTATTCATGTACACTTACTAGGTGAATCTCTTAATTCCTACCTTGAGGATGGCTAGAAAGCCCCATTTCTGCTCCAGTGAATAGAAAGAGCTGGAGGAATGCTGTGGTTATGGAGTCCAGGAAGCCCTCTCTTACAAAGATTGGGAGGAGCTGAATGTGGTATATCATTATTAAAAGACACAGAGACTTCATATTAATACATGCATTTATTAAAACAAACTTTGAGAACACTTTTAGGCCTGAGAATGAGATGCTACAAAGTTGCCTAAATAATTACCTTGAAATCAATCTCTTGCTAGTGACATTCTTCTGGCTTCCCAATGTGGAGCTTTTTCCAGGGAGTGGAGTGAGTGATTGGCTGGGTGCAGCTAGCTGTTGGCTGGGCGGTGGCTGTGGGAAGTAGCCTGAGAGGGCACAGAACAGTTGCTCAATGACTCAGTGAGTCAAAGCTCCTCTCTGCAGTTTTTCTTCCCCCTACTCCTTAAGCCATTCTGAGCTCCTTCAGGCATCCCCATGTATCTGCGCACTGCTTTTGGGGTGTCTTTTCTCATTCAAAGCTATTGTCGTGGCTACTTGATTTGGCTCATATTAAAACGTGCACTGGGAGATGTTGGAGTGCTGAAATAAAAGAGCATGCTGTAGTTAATCGATCAGAGAGCCTCTCTTCTCCAAGTTGAAGTGTTTCTTTTCCTGAAAATAGAGTGGCTATTTGATGTTCCATGGGAGCCGAATGACTTCCTGGTGTAGTGTGGCTTATAGCACCGTAGATTTTAGTCATTGGTCACTACCCCTCCATGTGCATGCACACACATTCACATGCAAACAAACACATATTTTAGTTAACATTTGTAGAATGGGAACAATTATGACACTGAGCATTAACTCATTTAATGGGGATAGCAATAGTATTAAATCTATCTGCAGCGTCCAATATAGTAGCCTTGCTGCAAGCCAAACGTGGCCATTGAGCACTTGAAATGGGGCCAGTCCAAACAGAGATGTGCTGTAGGTGTAAAATATATACCAGATTTCAAGACTTTATATAGAAAATAATGTAAAATATTTCATTAGTAATTGTTTTAATATTGACTCTTGAAATGATATTTGCACATGTTAAGAAAAATATATTAGCAATATTTTACCTGTTTGTTTTTACTTTCTTGAATGCAGCTACTAGAAAAAAAAAATGCTTGTTATTATAGTAGCCTGAATTCCATGTCTATCAAATGTTGCCGATCTCAATGTGGTAATAACAGTATTATTATCCCCACTTTTTAGATGAGGCAATTGAGGCTGAGAGAGGTTAGGTAAGTTGCCCAAGGTCTCACAGCACAATGCCAAATTCAGACCTGCCTGACTCCAGAGCCCACACCCTTCATCACTAAGAAACTGTTGTATAATAGAGAATTTGTCTGGCCGTTGTCCTCAGTTCCTGGGAAATAATTTCTAAACCCTTGGAACTCCCCGAGTGTTAGGAGTGTCTTTGTTATGCATGATGAGCCCCTTGGATCACACCTGTGTTTATGTTAATGCGATGACTCAGGATAAGAGTTTATCATCAGAAAGACATCCACATGATTAGAAGGTCAGGGCTTTGTATTAGTTCATCTTCTTCAGCAGAAGAGAGTGGGACTGAAGATTGAGTTCAATCACAAGGCCAATAATTTAATTATGCCTAAGTAATGGAACCCAATAAAAACTCTGGACACCAAAGCTCAGTTAAACTTCCTAGTGAACACATTGCTGTGTCAGCAGGGCAATGTGTCCTGATTGCACAAGGAGAGGGCCTAGAAGCTCCATATGCAGGACCCTCCCAGATATTGCCCTGTATGTGTCTTTATCTGGCTCTTCCTGATTTGTAGCTTTTATAATAAAAACTATCATCATAAAGATAGGGCTTGTGTTCTGTGAGTCATTCTAGTGAATTATCAAGCCTGAAGCATTGTAGAAGCCACAGAATTTATAACCAGTTGGCTAGAAGTGTGGGTGGCCTGGGAACCCCTGAACCTGTGGCTAGCATCTGGAAGTGAAGGCATTCTTATTTGAGACTGTGGCCTTAACTTGGGGAGTCTGCACTGACTCTGCTTAGTCAGTTTCAGAATTATATTGCAGTATTGCAAGAATAGACTGCCTTTTATTTGGATGTATGTATTAGGAGAACAGCAGCTGAGAGAGCTAAGTGCTGCAGCTTAACTTGCTTATCTCTGTAACACCATTTCCTTGGTGACAATGGCCATTTGCATTCTAGACTTGGAAAATGACTCAATCTTTGAGCAACTGCTTTTGACCACTAGGATCAGTTGGGAGGCAGGCAGGCCTCTGAGACCTTCATACTCAAAACCCTTCAGGCTGTAATCTCTGGGGCCTATTTCATCTCCCAGTTGGCATCATGTTAGCGGTGGTGACAAACATATGTGTTGGCCCCTCTTTGACACCAGGGATTCTTAAGTATTGGTTTTGGGATTGAGATGTTCATGGGAAGCTGACACAGGGTGATACTATGGGTAAGGAGTATTTCGATTTTTTGTTGTGTTTTTTAATCATTTGCCTTGTCTGGAATTACGCTTTTGTGGTATGTCCTATTACATTTCATAAACAAGGTATTTAGCTCAATTGTTGCTTTTTCTTTTGGGGCTTTTGTTTGGATTTTTAAGCCAAGATCCATGTGTTTTATTTATTTTGGTTTAGTTTCTTCATCCCTGCTTAAAATAGACACTGCCTCTTGTCTGTGGTCCTGGTATCCACTACTCTTCTGTTTCCTGCTCAGGCCTGGCCCATGTTCTGCAAGGCCCTCTTAGGTCACCAGCTCCTAGAAAGTTGACTCCTATGAGTATCTCTTGGGGCCACCTTAGAATGCAGATTTCTAAGAAAAGTCCAACATAAACTCTGCAGTTATTGGGAGAAAGTTTCCGTCACCAGTGAAAACTAGGAATAAAACAAGATTTTGGAATGTATAAAAGAAGCCTCTTTCAAAAAGAAATCAATATGACTTGTTTTTTCCTAACATGGGCCAGCCCTGGGCACTTTTCATCTGCCACCACACCAGGCCTGCTCTTCAGAGGTGTTCAGCTTTAAGACTAGGGACAGTTCACACCAGATAACTATGAGGCAGTGTTCTCTGCCACTCATTGACTGTGGAAGTCTCAGTCCCAGTTTCTGAGAGGGGGAGAGCAAATTCATCAGAACCAACTGAAGAGGTACAGAACATGAGGCATTCACTTCTCACACAGTCCCTGAGCATCTCACCTTCCAGAATACCAGAGGCTTCAAGGCCCTTTTTCTACCTTTCAAGAGCGTTATAGCGTGCTATTGCTCTTTGAGAGATCTAGGGCTGTAACAGCCCTTATTTTTAGAAAAGAGAGAACTCCTGTGTTTGAAGAAATAGCTCTTATGATATGATCGTGTGGTTTCACATGGTCTTAAGTTCAAGTAACTTGCCCAAAGGTGCACAGTTATTAAGAGGGATAAGAGGAACTCCAAATTACTGATTTCAGATCCAGTGTTGTATCCCTTCAAAAGGAGATAGAAGAAACAGGGCCACCCGGGGTTGGTGAAGATACTGTCAGAATCATCTGTTACTGCTTACCACATCTAAGTGAGAGGGTCAGCAAGCTCTTGAGAGGGCCCACCTAGATCTTAGCTTGTGTATACCCTATACTGAGCACTGTGCCCCCATTTCATATTTAGTGCTTAATAAATGTATATTAAACTGAATTGAGGGCCCCTCCTGCTGCTCAGTGACATCCCTCAGGGTGAGTTTCCCTCCTGAGCCTTCTTTTCCCTTTCATGACTACCTTCCATGCATCTCTACCATTCATCACTCATATAGAATGTCCAAGAAGTAGGGGCGAGGAGAGAGGAGAAAGGGGTAAGAGGCCACCAAGTGTGATTTGCCTTGGATTTCAGCCCTCCCTGGAAGGTGCCCATTTGTCACATTTAAGGGAGGCCCAGCACCCCTGTAAATTGCCTCTTCCTCATAAGTGTACTCAGCCCTCCTTCCCAGCCTTGGAATGCCAGGATTTCTAAATCCTTGTGCTGAATTCACCTGGCGAGTCCTGCACCTGACTGTGTGAGTTACAGCTGGATGGCATTGTTCAGCTCAATCTTCAGTGTGTTCTGAAAATGTTTCTTCTTCCAGTCCTGTCACTGAATTTCCCTAAAGTTCCTTCCTCCTTTCCCTCATTAGATTTCTCTTTGGGGACTATTTTTTTCAATCAAATCTCGCAAATCCATAGCATAATGCTGAACAGCATATAATAGATGCTTTACAATAAACTGGTCCTATCTCATCTCATTCCAGTGTTCAATGAATCTAAAAATATTTAATGAGCACTTACTATATACAATTCAGATGCTAAACAGTGAATACTTAGAATTTCTATTAATAACTACAATGTAGTAGCTGATTTAATTCTTGCAATAACTATTGTTGCCTGTTAGGACTATTATTAGCTCCATTTCAGGGTACAAAGAGGTGAAACAGCTTTGTCAATATCATACTGGAAAGTTGTGGAGACAGTCTGGCCCTAGTGCACCAAACCATTACACTCTATTTCCTCTAAGAGAAAGAACATCTTGACTTTCTTGGGGTCCACACTTTAATAAGAACAATAAACAGGGAAGAAATAAATAGGTAACTTCAGATAGCGATAAGTGTTCTGAAGACAATGAAACTCTTAAAAACTTCATGATATGATAAAAGAGATTTGGAAGGGTAGCTGTAAATTGAATGTCAGGGAAGACTTTTCTGAGAACACATCTGGTCTGAGGTCTGAATCATCTATGTGAGTCTAAAGAAAAATAAATTTTTATCCTACCATACTTTCGGAACACCTCTGTGGATTTATGCCCCCTACACACAGAGCAGTCTTCCAGCAGACACTAGCAGAATGTCTTGCAACTTAATTTTGACTCTACCTGGTGTTAGCTTCAGACCCCACAAGTTGTGGCTCAGTCCTACAAGATTACCCCACCTTCCCCACACTGTTTATAAATCAGTATTTCTGCAACCCCCTCCCTGAGTCCCATTAATTTTCTAGGACAGTTCGCAGAACTCAGGGAAATGTGTTTACACATTTATTATAAAAGATATTACAAAGAATATAGATGGACAGTCAGATGAAGGAGATGGATGGGGTTTATGGGGGCTTCATTACATAGGCATGATTAATTACATCATTGGTCATTGGTGATCAACTCAACCTTCAGTCCCTGTCTCCTCCCTGGAGGTTGGGGGATGCGGCTGAATGTCCCAATCCTCTAATTAAGCTGTTTTAATTCTGGTGACCAGCTCCCTTCCTGGAGCTATTTAGGGGCCCCCAGCCACTAGTCATCTCATTGGCATTCAGAAAACACTCATAACTTCAGAGATTCCAGGGGTTTTAGAAGCTATGCTACAGGAACCAGGGGCAGAGATCAAATATATATTTTTTCATATCACAGTATCACAGTGAGGATCTACAGGAAGGGAGTTTGCGGAAGAGGGAACAGCAAATGCAAAGGCCTGGAAGTGGGAAGCAGAGCACCCAGGCTTTACACAACCTCTGACAGCTGAT
Organism: Homo sapiens; assembly: GCF_000001405.40. NCBI lineage: Eukaryota > Metazoa > Chordata > Mammalia > Primates > Hominidae > Homo > Homo sapiens. The sequence continues at coordinate 221,719,975 of NC_000001.11, read as the reverse complement.
TTTGTTCTTGCCATTGTTCATTCATGTCATATCGTACCATATCATATCATATATATGGTTTATCAAGGCTATATTGAAGTTATAGAACACCAGAGTTGGGAGAAACTTAAAGATTACCCTAAGTCCTGATTGTATAGGGGTGGCAAAAGAGGTCACAGAGCTAGAACCCAGTATCTTTTTAGTGTGGAAGGAAGGGCTGCCCTCTGAGTCCTTGCTGTCAGGGCTTTTGTTACCCTGTGCAAAGTTAGACATGGCTTCAGGGGAAATGGTCGAAAGTCTGATGGTGCCAGATACGGGATGCATCCCAGGTCAGCGCTTCATTCTGCGTGCCCCAGGTTGAACTGACCATTACTTGGCTGGTCCTTCACTTAGCCTCAAGTCCATGTTGACAATATGTAATTCCAGCCCACCTCCTCAGAGACAAGCAGTGTTTTTAATTGTTTTGTTTTCCCCCTAATCTCAGAAGGTGGTCACCCAGGCAGGGACATGCTAGCTTTTTTTTTTAACCCAGTGTAATTTTGTATGTCTCTTAGTGCATGGAGACCTCACCTTGCTTCAGGTGGACCTGTCAAAGCTCAGCCCTCATGGTACGGTGTGATCATTGGACATGGCTGAGTCCATGTTTAAGGAAAGCCCATGCCTTTTCTTTCTGCAAGTTGATCCTTTAGTACTCAGCCTTGCTCATTATATTCACCAAACATAGAATCCAGCTCAGTGACTTGAGGAAGTTGTTGCTATGCCTTTTGTGAAGTGAAAACATCGGTTCAGGAAAACAATTCAAATTTTGATGCTGACATTTGATCCTTTCCCCTACCACTTCCTGAATTCCCTAAGCCAGAGCTCTTTGACCTCCAGATCCTACTGAAATACACAGTTATACATACTGTTTGTTGGACATGGGGGTTTTATTCAAAGCAAACTCAGATGCAGCATTTTTGGCTGGGCACTTCCATACATGATTTTAGCAATGGAACCCTATCCAGGCTTCACCTGTGTAACTTTGTCTTGCTTACTGCTTTCCCCCACCCCTCCTGTCATGGATGTTTCTAGAGGACCTTTTGTGAATGTAACTTCCAATGGGAATGTTTCACAGTAGAAATATGCTCTCCTGTGAGGCTCGCATGTGACATTTCTGAAGATTTATTTAATTGGACTTTACTTAAATCCCATTGGGAAACATACTTTTGCTGTGAAGCTGTGATGTGTTTAATTTGGGGTCTAAGATAAATGTTGGTCCTCGGGGTGGATGGTTGAGCAATAGTTTTCCTTTTGTACAGTGGGTTTGTGTAATGAATAGCTTTACTGGGCTTTCCTCTGTTTGTTTGTTTAGCAATGCTTCATTATTTAAACTTCTGCACTGAAAGGCAAGAATGTTTTTAGACATTCTTTAGAGACTTAATGCAGAATATCTGGTTGAGCTCTCGGGAGAAATATGGCTTTGTGTTTTATAGCACTCTCCTCCTGTTAACATTCCTCTCTCTGCAGCTTCCCAGGATGATCTCATGGATTTTTCCCCCTCCTTTAATCCGTCTTGATGGATTAACCAGTATTAAGTTTGAGACCAGTGAGCAAAAAAGGTGGAGCCCTAACATGGTATAGAGTAGCCTCCCCAGTACGCAGAATGTCTCCAGCTAAAATATTCTTCCGCCCAGAAGGATGCCACATGGAGGTCATGTGCCAGTGCTGATCTGAAAGGGCATATATCTAATGAGGAGGGAAGTGTCTTTGGGAGAGGAGTGGGCTTCTGTGCGTGCATGTAGCTGGTTCATGGAACTAAGGTTCTACAAGGCTTACTGCGCTTGCCTTTTATAGGCATGCTGGTCCTTTCAGCACACCCCCACCCCCTGCAGCCCCCGCCCCCACCCCCACCACCCTGCCACCCCCATTCTGACCTTGGACCATTTTTGGCTTGGCTTTAAGGTATGACACCAAGTTGGGTTGGCTCTCAGGGGCTTTGTTCTCAGGAAGCCCACAAGTTTTAGTGTGGCTCTTCAAAAGTAAGTATTATACGTTGTATTTCTAAAAGTAAGCTACACTGGGAATTACAAGTGGCACTATATTCATTTGGGCTGCTTTAACCAAATGCCGTAGACTGGATAGCTTAAACAACAGAAAGTTATTTTCTTATAGTTCTGGAGGCTGTAAGTTCAAGATTGGGGTGCCAGCATGGTTGGGTTCTGGTGAAGCCTTTCTTCTTGGCTTGCAGACAGCTGTCTTCTTGCTGTGCCCTCACAAGGCAGAGAAAAAGAGACAGCAAGCTCTGTGTTGTCTCTTCTTATAAAGGTACTACTCCCATCACAGGAGCCCTACCCTCATGACCTCACGCTGGGGATTAGGGCTTCAGCATACGAATTTGTGTGTGTGTTTGAATATGGGGAGGAGAGATACAATCAGTCCACAGCAGCCACAAAAAATGCATTCAGAAAAGGAAAGGGTATGAATTTTGCCCAGGATTTGGAGTGTATGTAAATTACACCATTTGGTAAATCAGTGCGTTCTCTCTCTCTCTCTCTCTCTGTTTCTTTTCCCCTCCCCCCTCTTTTCTTTTCAAACACATATTGATCACCTGTTGTGGACTTTGGAACACTCAGGAGCTTCCCACTGAACTCAGAATAAAACCTGCCTAAGAGGCCCTGTGAGGAGGGTCCCTGCCTCCCTTCCTTCCCCTCTAGCCCTTCTCCTCACCCGCCTCTTGCCCAGTCATTGTGCCTCCCCACATTTGGCTCCCTTGAGTCACTCAGAGGTTCCCTGAGTTCCCTGCCTTTCCCAGTGTGGTGTTCCCTCCCTATGTTCTCCTGGATTCCGTCCCCTCTCATACCTCAGAGAGGCTGTCCATGAACCCCAATCTAATTAGTCCCCTCTCATAGCACCCAGGAACTGGACAGCGTCTTCCGTTATGACTTATCTTAATTTGTGACTGCCTTCTGGAATCTGTGTTTATGGTTGTCATATGTTTCCTCCTGATGGAGTGGGGAGGGGCAGGGAAGGGGCCTCTGCAGCGTGTCACTCACCTCCTCAACTCCCAGAATGTTTGGGGAGGGTTTGATCTTAAATACAAGAGATTATAACAGTGAAAAATGTGTTAATGTAACTGGCATGTCTGTTAACAAATCCCAGACTTGATCTGAGTGTTTATGGTGTGCATTTCTCCCTGGGAACCAGTTGGTCTGTGCTAACATAGGTAAAGTTTAGACACGTACCAGAAAGAAAACTGAACTTGCAAGTTTTCAGGAACATGGGGGCTGGAACTTGGCTGTCTTTCTGTCGGCCCCTGACCCCTCACCCCCAGACTGGATCTTGGTAGGCACCCTTCTTAGCCATTCACTTGATTGAAGCCCAAAATCCTTTCTTGGAAAGCAAAAATACTTACTCTTATTTTCTTTAGTTGGCATTTTTGTTAGTGAGAATGGAGTTCAATAGAAGTAGACAAAATTCTGGTGGAAAAAAAAATGAGACTACACAGGCTGGGAGGAAGGTCTGTGGATGGAGGGGACAACTGGAACCACCAGAAACATCTGTTCTGACCCTTCTATTCCAGACTAGGATTAAGGGAGAGCAGAAGGCACTTCCCTGCCCCTCTGGCAGAGGGACTGACTTGAAGTCAACTATGCCCACAACCTGTCTTCAGGTGGTTCTTACTGAAACCTTTGTGAGACAGAATGGGGAGGGTGAGTTAAAGATGGTATTCTCTGCACTAGCAGAGCCTTACTGTGTGTTTGGCTGGCAGGGATGAGTGCTCAATCACTCTTCCCAGCCCACCTTTGACTTTTTAAAAATAGGTCTAACAAATATTCTGTGGATTCGTTTGAAATTCAAGCATCAAAATGTATTCCAGGTAGAAGTCTCTCTTTCATGTTTTCTTCCCATCTACTGCTGATGGATTTATGAGAGACAGAGAAGGTGTAGGGAGAGGGAGAGAAGGGTAGAAGAGGGGAGATGGCAGGGACAGGGAGAGAAGAGGGAGAGGGGAGGGGAGGGGAGGGAGGAGGGATCAGGGTAGAGGAGCAAGAGTTGGGGAGGAGAGGTGAGGGAGAGAAGAGTGGAGAAGGGGGCAAAGGGGATAGAGATAGAGACCAAACCCAAGGCCCTGGTGGGGAAGAAACCAGAGAGAGTCATAGAGTCTCACTGACTTCTGCAAAACCTGAGGGGCTTCCTGGCTCTGGGAACTCTTGAGATCTTAACAGTTCAAATCCTGCTCACATAAAAGTCATCTGCTCATTAAAATAACACAAAGCTGTTTAATTGTTGTCTTTGTGGAAAATTACATGACTGTCATCAGCTGTTGCTTCTGGCAGTGCTTTCTGTTCTAATGTAAATAAATGAGGTAACAGATTTAAAGAAACAGGCTGTATTTACATACTTCTGAGGTATCCTCTCAAAACAATCTGCCTGTGTTATTCAAATACACACAAATTAAACTTGTGGTAGCTCAAACATTAGTTATTCATTAAAGCCTTAAAGTTGAAATGGTAGGAGGGGGGCAAGAGAACTGCACCTCCCTTCAGGGGGTAGGAACCAGAGGCTGACTTTTCTGTGTGGACTGAGCTACTCCAGCCGGCGGAAATCCAATCCCCAGCTCTTTTCTATACCAATTCTGCCCTGAGGCAACTTCTGAGCCAGGAGGGGAGGGTGGTGAGAGCAGAGGGGAATCTTTAAAGCTCTGACAAAAACTTTCCAGGGTCAGCATTTCTTGGAAGGCCTCCAATTAAACTTTATTTTCAATTTTCATAAATCACAATTCCTAAATCATTGGATGTTTCTGACTCAGTTTACTTTTTTGAGGTAAATATGTGGGCAATAATTTTTTAAAATTCTTCCTATTGAGGGCATGGCAAAGGTTTTATCAAACAAGGAAGGAAACAGTATATTCGAAAATATAAGAAAAATGACAAGAGACCCCTCCAATAAACAAGTTAATGACTGGAAAATGTAGAAGTATATGGAACAAAAAATGGAGAAGAAAGCACACTGCTAATTATACAAAGATTAGGAAGTAGCGAAAGTGACTGTTTTAGTTCTTGGTAAGTGTCATTGTCAAGTATTAGCTTCTTTCTGGAATGCTGGGTTTTTTTTAACGTTGGGGTGGGAGGGAATGGCACATCATCTGAGAGAAACAATAGTAACTATTGAAGTGGCTACCTTGTCTGGGTTAAATAACCGGGGTTCGTTGTCTCACACCAAGAAAATTTAGGACATAGACACACAAGAGGAGTTTAGAAGCAGAGGTTTAATAGGCAAAAGAAAGGGAAAGGAAAACAGCTCGCTCTTTAGTGAGAGAGAGGTGACTTCCCAGAGGAAAAAGGCCGACTGGTGGTGGATGTGCCAGATTTTATAGTCTGGCTTGAGGAGGCAGTATCTGATTTACATAGGGCTCACAGATTGGTTTGATCAGGTGTGAGGTTTACACAGCACTCAGGGGAGGCTGGTCACCCCACCCTAATCTTATTATGCAAATGAACTCTCCCCTTGCCTGGCGCCATCTTGTCTGCTCCTTACTGTACACGTGGCCGGCAGAGAAGGGAAGATGGAGCCGCCATTTTGAACATGTCTAGTCGCAGGTAATTCTTTCCTGCTGGCATCCACACGTGCGAGCTCTCAGTTTGCTTGTCTGTGTCTGCAGCTCAACTTTACAGGCTGCTCTCTGTTGAAAATGATTTGGGGCTGCTTTTCATTAAAAGGAAAACGTTACGGAGGACTTCTGTACCCTCACTATCTGCCTAAGTAATTTCTTCTTAACTCCTGTATCACTATGATACCAAAGTTACTATACGATGACAACTCAAGCAATGTCTATTTCATGTAAGCCTCAGTATTCTATATTATGTTGTTTTGTCCAGACAATCCAAAGAAAAGACTATTGTTAACTCAAAATTCAGGCAAATTCTGGTATCAACTTTTCAGAATTTTTTTTTCTCTTAAAACATTACTAAATACTACTTGGTTAGATGAACTAAATAAAAATGAACAACTTTTATTATTGGAAGATAGTTTTGGGAGGGCTATTCTGGAAATGATTTCAGCCTATCATTTATCACTAGGAAAACACCAGGAAGATCTTTTTATTTTATTAAGTTTTTGTAAATTATTTCCAAAAAGAAATTGACCACCTATCTCAATACCTCTTTCCCTGTAGCTCCTATTGGTATCTAACATATCAGCAGTCACCTGTCTTCATGTGACTTGGGGCTAATTCCTGTGTACAAAGGGATTTAAATAAGACTAGTCCTGCTCTCCAAGGACCTAAATTCTATTAAAGCTCTTAATCTGGATATACACAGAAAGGAAAATACATTTTAAAAGAATATGTATTAATAATGCAGTTATAGTTGTAGAATGAGGCTGCATGTATACATATAATAAGTTGTTGAAACTAAGTTTTTATAGAATGACTCTGAGAAAAACTGTAAACACCTCAACTTATTGAGGAAATTGAGGTATGAAAAAGTTGTGTGTGTGATAACTTTTCTGTACGTCCATTTCAAAAATTTCTAGAAGTATGCATATATTTTTAGAGAATATACCAGAAATGTATTTTTGGCTATTCGATATGCCTAAAAAATGTCTTTTTTTTCAAGGCTTCTGAAAATCGTAGACATAAAGAACTAAATATAATGAGGTTTTCAAGGGAGACCACACTAACCACCAGCCCCAACCCCCACTCTGCATGCCACTTCCTCCGGCAGTGATGGAGTGTAGACTAGGCTAACAGCACTGAGTACACTTTTAGCAGAGCAGAGCTACAGTGGGCTGTCCTCATGGCTCCTGCTTTGTCCTCCCTCTCTGGTGATGCCCTTGCATGGGGTTGCCTCTGCAGGATGGTCTCCTTTTCCTACTGCTCTGAAGCAACTGTACCAGCATCAAAAGTTCATCTCTAGCAACACTGACATTGACCCCTGTAGTCTCTGGTCATCTTCCTGCATCTGACTACCTCCAGTGCTAGTTAGCTTTGCTGCTCCATTTGACAGTCATTCAAATAGCTGCAGGGTTTGAATGCCTTCTTAAAATACCAGGATGGCTATTGTACACACAAAATCATTGAATCATTACGACAGACCTAAGTAGTAGTATCCTATTTTATAGTTATGGAAAGATAGCCCAGAATACTTCAATAACTTTCAAAAAGTCACACACTTGGCATGTGGCAGACCCACTATTCTAAATCCAAGGCAAAGCTCTTTTTTTTTTTTTTTTTTTTTTTGCTGCTTTATATATCATCCACTGTCTTTTCTAGAGTTGGCTTTTAAGATATATCTGTAGATAACTGTGTCTCCTTCACACAGGAAAAACCCATGAATGGAGGGACTAACTTATTTTTAGATATATCTTCCTAAAAGACTTAATAATATAGCAAGCCAAATAATGTGGATGGGTACTCAATGGGATTCAAGATCCCATTATGTTATATGAGTATATCTGAAGTTTTATGTATATGTGTGTATTTTAAGCTTGTGATACTTCCTTGTTTATGTCTTTTCAAACATAAGGCATCTCACATGTAAGCCAGACCACACTGGTTTGAGGGAAGCAGTCAAATGACGTGATCATAAGAAGACTTCTCTCTGACTCATAGTCAGCCTCCTAAATCTCTTTCTTCCCCTGAGTAAGATAAATACTTCTTTATCTCTTGTTTCATACCTTATACCTAGTGAGACAGCACTCCCATTCAACTCTCTCTGCCTCTGTTTGATAGGGCCTCCCTTTACTCTTCTTGGGAAAGAAATACAAGTTCCCTGGGGGCAAGATCCTAAGACAATTTAAGTAATACTTCCTTGGGTATTTTACAGTAGGAATGATTTTCATCTTGAACTTGAAAATACCCTACTGTAAAATACCCAATTCCTACTGTAAAATACCCAATCACATCTATGGAGTATAAAGAACATTTCATAGAAAACAAGAAGTAGAAATAATCTTTGTGGATCGAGCTGGTACCCACCACCACCCCACATGTTTCTCCTGTTAAGATAGGTGATATTCTGCCCTGAAACTTATGAAGTGACTCTGACCCTGTCTTTGAAGAAGATTTCAGCCTTGGCAGCCTGACATCAGCTCCAGTTCATCCAGGCTTTGTTCTTCCACAGATTCTTGTGCTTATAGAATCTTGAGTGGCTCTGATGTTCTGTTTCCATGGAGTATATCATAGCATCCATCTGTTCCTGGTATAAACAAAATAGTATGCAACTTACAGCAATGTCTCTCCCACTTATAATAAAACACCTAACTCTCATGTAGCATTTTATCCATATTGAGAGCTCTGTGAGATAGAAATTATTATATTACAAGTCACAGATATGTAAACTGAGATGCAGAGACATCAATAACTTGCTCAAGGTTACAAGGTAAGTGATAGGAGTCAGGAGTTTTAACTCAAGCAATCTGGCTCCAGTCTATGATCTTAACCACTATCATCAAGGTACTGTTTTACTTTAAAAGACTGGTTACTCAGTAAGAAAAACTAGGCAACAGAGAGGGGTGATCAATATGCTTATAGCAAACTGTAGAAGAGTCCAATTTTAGCCTACACCCCTCCCCCTGGTCTTTGGACATTACTTCTGTTTGCTGACCTTCAGTGAGAGTGTTCCTTAAATTTCTGGAAACAGCTCACTTTCTAGCTTAGCATAAGACCAAAAAGGGCTGTCCACCTTTAGAGTATAAAAATCTCTTGCTTATAGATTCTGCATTTGGATGTGGTTTCTTTAACTCACAACCCAGCGCATTGCTTCTGAATCACATTACAGAGGACTCTTCTGTTTCTAGGACTGCAGTCGCCAAAACAGCAACAGGAGCTGAAATGCATCTATAAAGAGAAGTTTCCCACTAAAACTAGAATCCATTGCTTCAGTAGGACTGTCACTGAACTGACCGTGTGTTAGAAGAAACTGGCAGGCAGTATTTCCACATATAGTTCTTTAGGGGTGCTAGGTATTCTTTGTTGCTGCCATTTAGAATCAATGTACTGACCATACTCATTTTGGCAGAGAACCTACTTTTGACATAAGCTTTGAAAATGTTTGCTGCCCCCCCACCCCGCCTTGCCTCACCCTACCCCAGCATTGTTGCTCATGGCTACAATATGTTCGCACTAATAACTGCAGGCTCTTGTGCACATAAGGAAGTTAGCCACCTTGGTAGAAATTAGAGGAAAGGAAGAAGGAGGGAAGAACAGTTTTATTTTCAAAATCCAATTCTGTGGAAAAACCAGAAATGCAAAGACAGTGTTTGTTAGGAAAGCTAGGACCAACAAAGTGAAATCAGATATATTTGTTTAGGAAAAATAGGGAGCTGTTGCTTTCTTTATGTTAAAAGTATGTTTTGCAAACTTTAAAACTGCTCGGATACCTTGGTTCCTAATTCTTTTTTGTTAAATAAAATTTTAAAAGTAAAAACTCAGGAACATTAGTTTACTTATATAGAGTCTTTATATTAAGCAGATTTTTTTTTTTTTAGATCTTTAAAATGGTAGTTTCCCAAAGTGATGAAAAGAAAAAGCACTTACAATGTGCTGGACATTGTTTTAAGGTACTTTATTAACCACTTTAATCATTACAACAGTACAGTGAGGTAGGTACTATTGTTATCCCTGTTTTGTATACAGGGAAACTGAGGAACAGACAGGTGAGAAACCTGCCCAGGGTCTCATAGCTAGTGTTTGGCTGTGCTGGGGATTCAAACCCAAGAAGTCCAGCCTCAATACTCCTTCTCTGAATCACTGCACTGCACTTAGGGCTCTCATGGACTATGCGTGTGCATAGATCTGTTGGAATTTAGAACAAAGGTGATGATATTGGGGGTAATAAGACATTATTTATCGAATACCTGGTCGTGTATCAAAACCTTTACATAGGCTTCCTGAACTATGACCCTGATGGGTAGATGATATTACATCCACTTAATAGATTGGTAAACTGAGGCTTAATGAGGGAACCTGACTTGCACAGGGTCTCACAGCTGCTAGGAGGCAGAATCATAACTGCAGCTAGGTGTGGTTTGTCTCTGACCTTTGCTCTTAACCTCCATGCTACACTGCTCCTGCTTTGTTTGTTAATTATCATGTTCTAATATTCTTAAATAGTAATAAACATAACATCATCAGGGTTCCTCATTAAGTGATCAGTCACTTTGGCCTCTGGTGATACTTGATGGGGTAGGGTCGGAGGAAAGTAACTGGAAAAGAAAAACCAGATTAGCTTTACTCTTCCCCCTCCCCTCCAGATTTCAATTTCAACCCTTCCCCAAGAGAAGAAAACAATCCTTCCTGCAGACTTCTCTGGAAAAAGCCACCACTGTGAGCTTCCACTCGTTGTTTTTTACTTTAAGCACCGTCCACAGAGAGAGTTTTTAACTGCAGTACAGAGCTGTGCATAAGCCTTATGGAAAACTGATGCCCAAGTTGATTAGCAGAGTGGCAGTTGAACAGGAGACTATTTCTTCAGACCCCTCAAGGAGAATTTCCTTGTTTACCTTATATGTTTAAATTGTAATATCTCCTTTTCTCTCCACCCCCACCCCTCCCACCTCCAAATATTATAAGAACAGAGTTCCTACATGGCTTAAACATACAATGCACCCATACTTTTGCACATAAGCATGCTCTGTGATTTGGAGCATTCTGTGTGTCTGTCTCAAATTCCCTCCTCCCCCCACTCCGCCACGGGTTTTTTTCCCCCCATTAGGCAAATGGAAGGCCCATGCCACCTGTTAGCATTACATCATTGGCTCCCCAGAACACAGTTGCACCAAAGGCCTTAAACAAAGTAGTTCTTCTTGTATTGTTTGCACTCAAAGAGCTGATATCATGCCAACTGATGTCATTGTATGTCTTTGTGTAACTGCTATGGCAACTGGGCAGGTGGGGAGCCTCCAGCTGATGTCATTGAGAAAGGAGGTGTAGAGGCAGAATTTTAAAAAGCTGGACGCTGCTTTTTTCTGTGTGTGGGGTTTTCTAGCATGTGTTGGTTTTTTTTTTTTTTTTTAAACTAGCTGCTTTTAAGACAAATTACAGCTTGAGTACCCTAAATAAGAACAGAGAGGTTTTTCCCCTGCTTTTAGAGCCTTCTTTTGAATTTGTTTTATTGTTCTTCCCTCTCATCTTATATGGAAAAATGTAACAACTGCCTTTTTTGAAGAAAAAAGTGAATTAGGTTCCCATCACAGAATCTGTGTGGAATTTGGGTTTTTGTGGAGGCGAAGCTGAGCAGATTTTAACTCTTCAGAATCCCTTTTGTGGAGGCTGTGATGATGACAATGGGTAGTTTTTATCTTATTTATTTTTTAAGTCTTCACTGGTGAAGTTATTTTCCATATTTTCTTTCTTCTACTTCAGAATTATCTCTTCAGGTTCAAACTTTATTGTCATAATTGCCTAGCAGAATAAACTATCATATGTAAGGGCAGAGGTTAATTCTAGAAATCAACTGAAATTCGTATATAGCTCTTGTTTTTCTTTTCAAAAAGCTAGGGTAGGTTTTGACTTCTTACTTTCAATGAGTAAAGTGAACATAATATTGCCCTTTGAGTTTTCTTTGGATCATAACCATACCTTAAGGAAAATATGATTTCTCTCTTTTACACAGCCAGCTCCGGGTCCATTGGTTGTGAAAAGTCATGAGACTCGGTCTAGGTTATGGTCTGGAGTTTCCCGCTGTGGTTTGTCAAAGATGAGACTTGAAATGGAGAAGAACATATGCCAGGCTCAGAGGCTAGTGGACAGATAGACTTCCTGTCCTTATTGCAACATAACCGTCTCTTGTTCATGCTTTGGGTTTTCTGCCTTATCTCCTGGAACTATCAAGACAGCCACAAGCCATCTGTCTTTGAGGGTAGATGTTGTGTTCTGGTGGCTTTCAGCTAATAGGACTTTTCCACTTCCCCCTCTTTTCAAAGGGAAAGCCAGAGTGTATCTAGTTCTGTTTGAGTAGGGTTAGAGCTCAGTTGGCACTAATAATGTCAATCCAGATTTTATAGCACTTACATGTATATTATTATAATTTGAGCTTTGTAATAATCCTTTGGGTTTATCTGTGCATGCCATTGTGTGTAAAAATATTAGCAGAAAATTTAAACAATAAACTATGATCCGTAAATTCCCTAATTTAAACAATTGTTCGTTTTTTGTACAGTTCTTCAGCTTTTGGTCAATGTTTTTTACTTAGCTTTTAAAAAATTTAATATTAAACCAAAATGTTTTATTTATTTTCACATCCTTTTTGCAACTACTCTTTTAAAGGCTACATAATACTCCGTGGAATGAATGTAATAACTTTTTTTCTTTTATTTTTGTGTTTTACTTGGCCTTTTTAAAATATATATAAAACAGATAACATTGTAGTGAACATCTCCATATATCTAGCTAACTATCTTTGGTTAGATGATTTCCCTAAGATCCATTCCCAAAAGTGAGATTGCACTTGTTCAGGGGAAGGTTTGCATTTTAAAAATGGAGAAATAAGCACAGTTTATAAGCTTTTTATACTAGACCCATAACTCGTGGGAGGCAGAGCAGAGCCGTAAGCTCAAAAGCATGCATTCACACATCCAAAAGAGGTTTCTTGATGGGTTTATGTGCCCACAAGCCTTGGAAAGTCGAGGAGTAAGCAACCGCGCTGCTCTCACATTCTGTTCTACTGAAAGTCAGGGTTGATAAATGTCAGGGCCCTACGTGGAGAATATCAAAAAAGATTATAAGAGCAGTCCTTCACACCCCACCCTGGCTTGTCTTTTCCAAGTACTTCTCTGCTGATTTCACCTGTGGGCAATCATATAAATAATATAAATTAAAATAGTGAATGCCTGCTGAGTTCTACTGTGTGCCAGGAGATGTGCTAAGTATTTTACACGTATTCATTTATCTCAGGCTCACAATTGCACTCAAAGGGAGACACCATCACCCTCAGTTTACAGATGGTGGAACTGAAGCACAGAGATAAATGAACTTAAGTAATAGTGTCAGGAAATGATGGTACCCAGATTATAATCAAGATAACCTGTCTCTTCCAATGTTCCTGCTTGTAACCACTCTGCTGTATTGGGAGCAAACTTGTCCCTCTGGGTGAGGTGAGCTATGAAGGGTGCAAGACATGCTCCTGTGGTGCTGAGATTCCACCCGAGGAGGTCATCTGTGCCTTTCTTGGCTCCCAAAGCACAGGGTTCTATGTAGGCCACTGAGCATATGGCTCTTTGAGGCAGGTCACATTTGCAGCTGAGGAAGATTGCCTGATGCCGCGTGGAACTCTTGCTAGGGGAACATGCCCTCATTTGTAGAAAGAGCACATTTCCAAAGTGTTCCATGCAGTGATACTCCCCGAAGCTTGTCTTGGGTCTCCAAATGGACTTTTAGTTTTTGTTTTGTTTTGTTTTATTTTTATTTTTATTTTTTTTGCTTAAATACATATTTATATATGTATTTAAAATATGCATGAGCTACAATGCAAACTCATTCTAATGGGGAGGTGGCATTCTCTGCCAGCTCTGAAATCTCAGTCACACTCACCTTCTGTGTTTGTGTTCTAGGTGGACTTAGTAGTTTTAAGCAGAACCATGAAAACCTCTGTGACAACTCCCTCCAGCTCCAAGAGTGCCGGGAGGTGGGGGGCGGCGCATCCGCGGCCTCGAGCTTGCTACCTCAGCCCATCCCCACCACCCCTGACATCGAGAACGCTGAGCTCACCCCCATCTTGCCCTTCCTGTTCCTTGGCAATGAGCAGGATGCTCAGGACCTGGACACCATGCAGCGGCTGAACATCGGCTACGTCATCAACGTCACCACTCATCTTCCCCTCTACCACTATGAGAAAGGCCTGTTCAACTACAAGCGGCTGCCAGCCACTGACAGCAACAAGCAGAACCTGCGGCAGTACTTTGAAGAGGCTTTTGAGTTCATTGGTAACTATCTCCCATAGGGAATTTTCATCCGCTGCCTTCCTTTTCCCTCCAGCTCTTGCTTTGATATCAAGTTCAAGGTTTATTCCTGTGTTGGAAAAGAAAAGCTGCCCTGGAGTTTTGGAGGGCTCTGCCACCTGAAACAGCCTAAGCATTCTCCTAAGTCATAGCCTGTCGAGTGTATCCAAGCCATCAGGATGGATATAAAAGGACAGTAATTGAATTTGTTGGGATCTGTTCAACTAGAAATCCTCATCCCTCAAGTTCTCAGTGAAATAGTGGTAGGGGTTAGCATTTATGTGCTCTGTAACCAGAAAAGTGGATGGAAAGTAAGGAATCGGAGGTCAGAGCTGGTGCTACTGCTACTTGATCTACTAGCGCCGTTGAGCACCTTGGAAGCAATATCTAGTGAATATGACACCCCTTCCAAACATACCTATGCCTTCCGGTCACCCTACTAAGCCTTATTCATCCAGCATAAGGGGAGATGGTACTAGGTTTCCTTTGACAGTCTGCCCCAAACTCATTGAACTAGGAAAGATCAGGTTGTGTAGACGGAGTAGTTCCCAAGGAGGAAGTTTTAGCAACAGCACGCTTTGATCCCCAGAAGGAAGCAACTATTAGCCTAATCCTAATCTTAATTTCTGCAACTTCTATAGCCCCAAACTGCTATAAGACTCAAAATATCGCCGGGCGCGGTGGCTCATGCCTGTAATCCCAGCACATTGGGAGGCCGAGGCGGGTGGATCACCTGAGGTCAGGAGTTTGAGACCAGCCTGACCAACATGGAGAAACTCCATCTCTACTAAAAAAATACAAAATTAGCCAGGCGTGGTGGTGCATGCCTGTAATCCCAGCTACTCAGGAGGCTGAGGCAGGAGAATCGCTTGAGCCTGGGAAGCGGAGGTTGCAGTGAGCTGAGATCACGCCACTGCACTCCAGCCTGGGCAACAACAGTGAAACTCTGTCTCAAAAAAAAAAAAAAACACTCAAAATATCATTTTGGGAGCACCTGCAATATAGCAAAACTCAACATTTATTTTTTTTTACGTAACTTCAACTTTTATTACCATAAAGGGGTGGCCTAGTACTTTTCCTAAATATTACAGCAGGTTGTTATTCCAGGAAGAATACAGTTAAGTGGAGTGGGGTGTTCCTTTGTCAGAGAAAGAAAAAAACAGCCTCAGGTTTAACAGCCAGTGGGGTCTGGTGGATTTGCTGTAGTGTTGACATCTCTGGTCATTTTGCCAAGCTGTTTTCCTTGCTAATTATGCCGTCAGCACAGGACCATGGAATATTGAGTCTGAAAGGAAATTCAGGGTGATCACTGAACTTAGAGAAGTAAAGTGACTTCTTCAAGGTCATAGGAATTCTAGTGTCCAAGAAGGGGCCAGAATCCAGGGTTTTTGACTCCCAAGCCTGAGGCCTTTTCACAACACACTAAGGCAATGTTTATGATGCCCTATTAAGTAATTCCCAACTGGCAACACTGAGGATGCAGAGATACTGCAGATTCTTTATTAATAAAATCTGAGCCAAACCTGGAGCGCTGAGGAAGAAAAATTTCTCAACAAGCATATGAGGAACTTCTGGTTGATACATGATGTGATGTTATGACTGAGATTCCATCTGACTTAACTCCAGTTGGAGGAAGTTAGGAAATTGTTTTCTATTTAATGAGTAGGGTAAGATATACTTGTTCTAAGAGGATTTCAACTAAAGCTCCTTCTCACATTCCTTATAGATTATTCAGGCTTACCTGCCTTTTTTTTTTTTTTTTTAAGGAAAACAAAACCAATAACAAATAGCATTCAGCCCGAAGAACAACTCCATATCACAACCTGCATAGGCACAATTTTATTTTCATTGTTATATTATTGGATAAACTGAAATCTTACAGTCTTGCTTTAGTAAAAACACAGCAGGTTTTATAAACATAATAGCTTTCACTGAGAGTGTAATATAAGCTGAGCAGCATCTAAGTTTAGTGTTTATACCAGTTTATTTATTCCTGAATCAAGTGTGTGTAGTGGAACCGGTGGTCCAGCCAGGCACTCAGAAGCTCATTCTCTCACCACCATGCTTTCTGGTCTTGACTTGGAGCTAAATACCGTGTGCTGAAGGGAAAAAGTTGAAAAAGAGAGATGCTTACTTTTCTTGAAATACTGTTGACTATGAGAAGTAAACTTCATCTGTAAATTTTTAAGATGAAAATTTACATCAGGTTTTTTTTCCTTGGTCCACTGGTGGGTAGCCAGTAGATGTAGTTTAGGTGAAATCACTACTCTCTCTACCCCTTCTCCTTCCCTACCTGTTTATCTAATTGGTGTTCCTTCAAGGAAGCTTTCTTAGGGATGTGTTAGAGTCTAGAAATGTCATTAAGAATCTGTTCAGGTAGTGCCCACATGCTATTGTCCTGAGCTTTTAATATATTTGAAAACTTAGCAAGTCTTCCTCTTTCAATTGCTCTGGATTTTGAGCCATTGCTGGGATTCCTCCATCTTCTGCATTATTGCCACACTGGAATGTCATACATGGAAGCAAACGGGATTGAATGCTTGAGAGGTGACACCCTCGGCCTGTATACTACTAGCCTTTAGTTAACTTTGCAACAACTGGATTTTCTGGGGAGAAGCTGAACATAGTATCTTCCTAGTTAAGCTTTATTCCTTTAACCTTAATCAGGGTTTAGTAAGACTAAAACTCTTATCCATTTAATGCCCGTTCCTGTACAGAGCAATTCTATAGAATAAAGAAAGTGTTTTTTCTCTATTACAAGTGAGAGAGTTGTTACTAGCACTAGGTTTGTTAAGTCACACAACCGAAAATTGGAATTAACATCCTTAATCCAAAGAGGAACTGCATATATATATATATACACACACACACACACACATACACACACATACATATACATATATATGTGTGAGTGTATATTTTCATGTGTGTGTATAATTTTTCCCCTTCCTCTCTCCTTTTCCTTCATTCTTTTTTTTTCTTTCAGTAGTGTAATTCCAGAAAAAAAGAGAACAAGACATTTGAGAGAAGGTTCAGTGACTGTTAGAGTCGACTTGATCAGTAGCTTGTTCAACGTGAAAGTTAACTGTGTTATAGGTCTGGCTTCCGGCCACTGCTGTCACCTGTGCAGCAAACTGTTCCTATGAGCAATTCTTTCATTTAATCTTCTCTTTAAATGTAGATGTATAGCTTCTTGTTCGTGCTGATATCAACTTTAGCCAGTTCTGGAAGTTGTGACATAAGTATACGTAATGAACTAGTGGATTATACTTGGCTTTAAAACTGTTTTAATTCATTATTTCTATACAAAATAAGGCATTGCAAAGTTGAGATGAAAGTTTCTCTCTCCGTGCCTCTCTCTTCCATCTTCCCTTCATCTCTTGTCTTTCTCCCTTTTTTCAGAGGAAGCTCACCAGTGTGGGAAGGGGCTTCTCATCCACTGCCAGGCTGGGGTGTCCCGCTCCGCCACCATCGTCATCGCTTACTTGATGAAGCACACTCGGATGACCATGACTGATGCTTATAAATTTGTCAAAGGCAAACGACCAATTATCTCCCCAAACCTTAACTTCATGGGGCAGTTGCTAGAGTTCGAGGAAGACCTAAACAACGGTGTGACACCGAGAATCCTTACACCAAAGCTGATGGGCGTGGAGACGGTTGTGTGACAATGGTCTGGATGGAAAGGATTGCTGCTCTCCATTAGGAGACAATGAGGAAGGAGGATGGATTCTGGTTTTTTTTCTTTCTTTTTTTTTTTGTAGTTGGGAGTAAGTTTGTGAATGGAAACAAACTTGTTTAAACACTTTATTTTTAACAAGTGTAAGAAGACTATAACTTTTGATGCCATTGAGATTCACCTCCCACAAACTGACAAATTAAGGAGGTTAAAGAAGTAATTTTTTTAAGCCAACAATAAAAATATAATACAACTTGTTTCTCCCCCTTTTCCTTTTAAGCTATTTGTAGAGTTTATGACTAAATAGTCTGTGCAGGTTCATAGACCGAAGATACTACACACTTTAAACCAATTAAAAAGAACCAAAAGTAAATAGAAAAGACATTGAATCACCAAGGCCTGGGATCAACCTGGGCTGTCCACACAGAAAACAAAAACCCAACCAAACCAAGCCCTGTTGTGCTCACTGGTGCAAAGAGAAGATCAGGGCAGCTTAAGTGGTCTAAGAATCCTTCAGGCATTCTTTAAGGAGAAAAAGGATACCTTTGATTTTGTGTGTTTCATGCTCTGGATTTTTTTTTTTTTTCCTTCTCTGGGTTTAAGAGATTTTTTTTGAAATAGTGAGGAACTGACCATTATATGCCTTCACTGGCTTCTTGTGCAATAATATGATGTTTTAAGTGTGCAAACAAGTTAGAGCTGGCAGCTGAATGATAGACAAATAGTGCAAATTTGCCAGCTTGGAGATAGAAAGGAATTCAACAATATATCAAATACTTTCCTTCCCACCTTTTTCCTTTTTTTTTTTTTTTTCTGATTTGATTCTGGTTACAGTGCCATAAACCTTGTTACATATGTATATCAGAATGTAAGAAAAAAAAATTTATTTAAAAATATTTTTCGCAAAAAAAAAAAAAATCTTGGTGTGTTTCTGTTGATTGTGTAAAAATTTATTTTCATTATATAAATGAAACTGGTTTAGGATGTGTCTTTTTTTCCCCTCTCTTTTACCTTAACTCAGGTTCAAGCCTTTCTTAAGCTCTGGTAACTTGCATATACAACAAAGTTGAAATAAAACAGATTTTTATATAGGGAAAGAGAGATGAGGAAGGGAACATATCCAGTTTTCTCACTGTGAAACAGAGTTAGCAAGGAAGTGGAAGAGCTCCAGTATTGATCTGCCCAGTCACTGTCCCTTATATTCTCACAATGCTGTCATCCTCTCCTGCAAATATCATTCCTTTTGCATCGGGGAAGGCTTGCATTAAGGGGATCCCATCTGCCTTTGCGCCTTGGTGACCAAATCCCTGCCAGATTGATTGGTGAGAATTCAGTGATCTCCCTAGTGGCTATTTGATAAATACTTAGGACAATCTTCCATTTAGGGATCTTGATGTTCCTCCCCCCACCCCCCCACCCCATTGTCACTTGCTCACTTGGCATCTTTGGTGACATTAACCATGTAATGCGTTGCAGCAAATTGCTATTGCCTACTCTTTTCCCCAGCAAACTGAAACTCAGCTCCATACATGTGTACAGCTTCCTTATAACACTGGGTTAATGCATAGCTGGGTTCCCAATTCACTGTTGATGGAGGGTTGGGGGTATGGGAAAAACACAATGCAAATATTTTCTGTGTTTCATTAAATTAAAAGTCTAGTGGGACTTGGCCATAAGGAAGATTTATGGCAAACTGAAATTTGCCTGGGGTGAATAAAAGAGTTGAAGAATCTGGCATGTTGGATTCTATGTGACAACATTTGACATAAATAATTTTGTGTATGTTGGCTTGAAAATGTTAGGAAATATTTTTGACATTTAAAAAAATAGCTTTTCTACCAAAAATAATTTAAATTTTTCTTTTATAGAAAAGTGGAGACTGAATTTAACAGGAATTAACAGCTGTTTTAGATTATTTTAATAGAAAGTGTTAATCAGGTGAAAAGCAAATCTCTGCTTTGTGCTTTCTACTCCTCAGGCTAACAATTTCCTTGGTGTTAGAGTATTTAAGGAGTGAGGTTGATATATAATTAGTGATTTAAAATACATGGTAATTTAGCAGACATTTCTTTTTGTTATTTTAAGTCTAAGTGTTAAATTTCTGATAGCATGTAAGGTATATTGCCTCCCTCTGTCCCTTCCTTCTTTCCTTCTGCTTTTTCTTTGTTCCCCTCCCTTCCTTTTCCTTCCCTCCCTCTTTCCTTCCCTCCCTCTTCCCTTCCCTCTCCCTTCCCTTCCCTCTCCCTTCCCTTCCCTCTCCCTTCCCTTCCCTCTCCCTTCCATTCCCTCTCCCTTCCCTTCCCTTTCCCATTTTCCCACTTTGCCTCATTCCCTCTTTGCCTCTTTCCCTCTTTCCCTCTTTGCCTCTTTCCCTCTTTCCCTCTTTCTCTCTTTGCCTCTTTCCCTCTTTCCCTCTCTCTTTTTTCTTTCTTTCTAACAAAACAGAGAAAAGTCAATACAGTTTCTCATCTTTATCCACATGGAAATGATTTATGTTTTTGGAAGTTTATGATTTTGAGAGAAAAGCCTATCCTGGGGCAAACAGTAATCCTGCCAACCAGAATACCAAAGATTCTGAGAGGGACTCAGGTCTTTTCTACTAATCTGCTGTGAGTCACTTAGCCTCCATTTCTTCATAAGGAATGTTAACCACTTCATGAAAATAATACAGATTAACCAAGCCATAGCTCTAGAAACCAGACTCCACATGTTGCTGGGCCTCACTAGCTGTCTGGGAGCTATAAGGCTGCCCTAGGAAATAATTGTGTCTCCCCAAGAAAGCCAAGTCCCTGACCAACGCATGAACCATTCTCAGAATCCAGCAACGGTTGTTTTATATTAAATGAATCTAATTACTTAGTAGAGTGAACCTGTAACTAATTTAAAGAAATACAGCAAGCATTGTTATCTTAGGTTGAACAAAACAGTAGCTTTAGGTTTCTATATATATTACATTTATTTCAATAGTTAATACTTTTCCAATCAATGCATGTGAACCATGATAGGGAGTTTTCATTTCTTGAAAGAGTTTGTGCCAGTGTCTTCTGGATAAGGAAAGGCATCATGGGAGGTAGGGCAAGGAAGCTGACAAAAAACATGTACAAGGGGAAATATTCAAGAAAAAATGTACACAACCACACAATCACATGCTGGCAGTAAAGGGGAAACATGGCCTTTCGTAATACGGGAAACAGGAGAAAATGGGAGGCTAAAATGAAAAGAAAAAAACCTATGTCAGAGTAAGGAACTAGGACCTGAATTACACTCCAGAAGCTGACTAAGATAGAATGCTAATAAATTGCTCAACTAGATATTCTGATGGTAAGAAGTCCAATGAGCCAAGTTAAATAGAGATCAATCAATGATGGCCTTCACATTATTTGGGGACAGGCTCTTGTAAATAGGTCACAACACATTTTATTTTATGCTTTTTTCCCCAAACATGAAATATCAGGAAATATAGTTGCTGTTTGGTTTCAAGCTCTGATTGGAGACAGTTGTTGCATATGAATGGAGGTCAGATGAAGGGTGGTAGAAAATGACTATTTTAGCACTGGCACCCAGAAGGATGGGTCATAATTCAGAAGTGCCCCAAATCACACCTATCTGTAGAAGACTTCCTGCCTTTTTGAGGTGGTGGAATATGAACACCAGTGCTTTCTGTGGTTCCTGATTTCTTCCTTCGTGACAACCTTTGTCAGTGTTTGATACAAGGTGCATGTATCGGTGTTTAATAAGAAGCAGAAACAGTGACATAGAATGAGGGGTTTATTCCAGGGATTAGACCTCAGGCAAGTGTGGGATCTGGTGAAGAAGTCAATGGGAGTGTGTTGCATCTGTCTGATAATGGGCTGAACTCTCCGGGTCAGCACAGCCACCAGTAACAAAAGCTGGGCATGAAGTAGAGAAGAACAAAGAATTGGAATTAGGAGGAAAAACTGGAACCCACATCAGCCTTTTACCAACCTCAATGGGGGTGACTTCCAGAAGGATCTAGTGCCCTCTGCCATGGAGCTGAACATGTACCTAGCATAGGACTTGGCAAAGCTGAAGACAGAGCTTTGGGAGCTTCAACTACAGCTGCTGCGCTAAGTCCAGGTGAGTCACCACATCAGGGTAAATGTGTGCTTGCCATCATAGAGTTTGGTGCCCCCTTCAAATGGTTGCTGCTTCAATTCTGCTTTTCCAACCTCATGCAAATTTCCCCTAAGGCTAACCTTAACTCAGTGTGAATCAGGAGAGGAAATTCTGGAAAATATAGCTCCTGATTTAGCCAATTTGATACTGTAGAAAGCTACCAAAGTCCATCCCTTGCCAACTTGGCATCCATGTCCACTTCTCTTAACTAAATATAACTTCCAAATGAAGACATTAGCAAAACGATGCTTCTATGTAGTATGATGCAACTATCAGTTCTACAGATGAAAACACATTTAAAAGACGACTGGGTGCAGTGACTCACACCAGTAATCCCAGCACTTTAGGAGGCTGAGGTGGGTGGATCACTTGAGGTCAGGAGTTCGAGACCAGCCTGGCCAACATGGTGAAACCTGTCTCTACGAAAAATACAAAAATTAGACAGGCATAGTGGTGCATGCCTGTAATCCCAGCTACTCTAATCACTTGAACCCAAGAGGCAGAGGTTGCAGCGAGCCGAGATTGCACCACTGCACCAGCCTGGGTGATAGAGTGAGATGATGCCACAGAAAAAAAAAAAAAAAAGATACATAGCCTCATAGGTTACTTTGTCCATTTTGGGATGATATTCAGTCTTTTTTTAGCTAAGATCCACTTTCCCTTCGATGTCATGTCATTTGAATATACTGAGATATAATGATATTATGGGTTGAATTGTGTCTGTCAAAAAGCCATGTTGAAGTGCTAAACCCTGAACCTTGTAAATATGATCTTATTTGGAAATACGGTCTTTGCAGATATAATCAAGAAGAGGTCATATTGGATTAAGATGGGCTCTAATTCAGTGACTGGTGTACTTATAAGAGGAGGGGAATTTGAACACAGACACAAAGAATGTCACGTAACAATGGAGGCAGAGATTGGACAAAGGAACATCAAAGATTACCAGCAACCATCAGAGGCTACAAGAGACTCATTGAACAGATTCTCCCTCAGAGCTTCTAAAAAGGAAGTGACCCCACTATCACATTGATTTAGGACTTTTCGCATACAGACTGCAGTAAAATAAATTTCTGTTGTTTTAAGCCACCCAATTTGTGGTACTTTGTTATAGCAGCCCTAGGGAACTAATACAAAGACTATTATTACCCCATTTTATATTAGATGGTGGATGGGGTAGAAAAAAGAATTGGTTAATATACAACCAAATATATTTATATCAAAAAATAAATATTCATAATTCTTACCATCCTAATTTCTATAACTGATCTTGTGGTCATAGCTGGTATTTATAACTTCCTTCTTTCACTACCCATTCCATATACTTGTGTCCTCAGCAAGCACATCACCTAGTCATGGTTTCTTGCCTGTTGGGGTGATGTCAGTTTTCATTTTTGAGGGATCCAAGCTTTTGCAATTGAGCCTGCATTGGGTTATTTTCCACTTACTTTGTTCGTTACAGCAACAAAAGTAATTACAAGACTTGAGAGTATAAGATATGATCTTGAATTCCAGGCACACTTTTTCTTACTCCTATAATCTGGTAGTAATCCAATTTCCCCAGTCATCCCAGCCAATACACCAATATCTGACTTTGCTTGTTGATTCTTTAGCATAAGGAGCCCAAAGTCGGCAGCAGGGAGTATCAACTTCCATCTTAATGGAATCATTGCTGTATCTCCTAGTAGAAGCATCTCTCCCTTGGGGACCAGAACTTCTAGACCAGCAGAGTCTAAAGTTGAGAATAGAAAGAATAAATTTTGCTGTGGATCACTATGGGTAACAGTAAGAGGAGCCCTTTCCATTTTTCCCCCTTGATTCCTGGATCTATGAAATCTGGATAAGAGAGAAACAGCAACATGCATTGATTGATCATTTAGAGAATTTACTGCATCTTTCAGGACATTATCCTAGCCCTGCAAAGTGTTTCCATCCATCTAGCACAGTAAATAGTTAAAAGAAGAATTCCACCTTTCTACTGCTTTAGAGTGATGAATAACAAGTTAAGACTAATGAATTCCATGAGCATGAGTCTGTTATTCTTCATTTGCTGCAAAGTAAGTTCCTTGGTCAAAAGCAAAGCACTGTGGAATAACATGAAGGGAAATAAGATATAAGAATTCTTTAAGTCCACAGATACTGATTTTGGCAAAGGTATTACAGGTAGGGAAGACAAATCCCTATAAAGAGTAAGTTTCTATGGAGCAAGAACAAAATACTGCCCTTTCAGGCCTTGTGAGTAGAAGTTCATGTTGCTGAATTCATGCATACCCTCCATGTCTACCATCATGGCTATTTTGTTCACGAGCTCATTGGTCAAGAACAGAAGAAACTGGAAAGAAAAACCTGATAGAGGTCTGCAGAATGTGTTCTCTTGTCCATTATTAAGATTCTTACATGCTGAGGTTGAGCTTTGATCAACATTCACATGGGCCCATTTAGGAAAGTCTATCCATTTACTTCTTCCCTAGATTTTCCTGTCACTAATTTTCCAGTCATGTTTCTTCTAAGTCCCTTATTATCCATCTAAACGTTAGCAACTGCCCATGAAGCAATGTAGATTTATACCTCTGGCTGTCTTTCCTTTGAGGCAAAATGAACAATTAGGTACACTGCTGGAAGTTCTTATTACTGGGAAAATTTTTCTTCCCCACACCACCAGTATAGGGCCACAATGATTTAGTCATTCGGTTTTGGATGATACCAGAATATCACACAAAAATTTCTGTAAACAATGCCAAATATTTTTCAGTCCACTGGTCACTGAGTGCTTCCCATGAGGCCATGGGTGTAAGATTCTGAAGCTATTGTTGCACAAATAGACACCATGGGTAACTGGGTCACTTGCTTATTTAATATACTTGTGCTTGATCTCATATATTCTACTTCCATTTGATCATTGAATGAACAACTTAGAGGCTTCCATTTGATCATTCATGCACAACTTAGAGGCTTGATGGATCAACAACACTTAGTTCATCATGGGCAGTTCAGGTTGCATTATAACTTGATGGCCCATGATCAAGCTTCCAGTTTCAAACTGGTATTCTAAAGAAGAATTTTGAAGAGAAAAGAAGAATATCTGAATTAAAAGAAGAATTTTTCTGAAGAAGTTGTTATAGTTTTGCTCCAGAATTCTAAATGTCTGCTCTATGATTCATCTATCAGGTTAATGGCTTCATGCAAGATTCCTGCCTAACAGAGACATTTTTAGCACCATGGAATCTACTGGATCTAGATGTAAGAGCAGTTTGTATGGCAGCCTTGTATTGTAGAGGCTTTTCTTGTTTTGGACCTCACACAAAACTAATGACCTTACATCTTACTTGGTAAATGGATTGTAGTAGCATGCCCAATGAAATATATATTCTCTTCAAAATCCACAAAGGCCCATTAGACATTATCCCTCTTTCTTAATAGTAGGAGAGGTCAGATATAGCAACCTGTCATCATGTTCATGAAAGGAATATCTTGGAATGCTCAAAACAAGTAGATCACTACAAATTTCAGTAACATTCAGTGGATATAAAGTGAATTTTGTGGAATTTATCACTCTCTGGTATGCAAGTATCTTAACATCATATCTAGAACTAGTTACTTTATCCTATTTACCAGGTACAGTAATCATGATATAATATCATTAATATAATGTGCCTGCATGGTATCTGATGGAATGGATAGACAATTATGGTCCCTGTGGACTAGATTACAACACAGGGCTGTAAAGTTGAAATAGCCCTGAAGTAGGACAGTGGAGGTACATTAGTAACCCTGTTGGCTGGAAGCAAATTGCTTCTGATAGTATATACCAGAGGTTAGCAAACATTTTCTGTAAAAAGCTAGAAAATAAATATTTTAGAATTTGGAGGACATATGGTCTCTGCCATAATTACTGAAATCTGCTGTTGCAGCATAAGAGCAGCCATACCTAATATGTAAATAGAGAAATGTAACTGTGTTCTAATAAAACTTTATTTATAAAAATCCAGTAGTCTGAATTTGGCCCATGAGCTGTAATTTGCTAATTTCTGGAATTTATTAACAGGTATAGAGAAATAAGCATTTGCCAGCTCAGTGGCTCCTGACCAGGTGCCAGGAGCCCTATTGATTTGTTCCATCAATGAAACTACAGTTGGAACAACAGCTGCAATTGGAGCCAACATCTGATTGAGATATTAAAAATTCACTGTCATTCTTCAAAATTCATCTGTGTTCTGCATAGGATAAATCAGCAAAATAAATGGGGAATTTGGTAGGAATCACCATCCTTGCATTTTGTTTCAGTTCCTGTTGGTGGCTCTAATCTTCATACTCCTTTAAGAATTCAATATTCCTTTTGTTTACTATTTTGGCATGTTGCTTATTGCTGCATAATAAACTACTACACAACTTAGGGACTTAAAACAATAACAATTGTTTTGTTCACTAATCTGTTTTAGGCAGGTTCAATAGGGACAGTTCATCTCTGATAAACTCATGCAGATAAGAAATGTCTTCTGGGAAGGCTTGACTGGGGCTGGAGAACGTACTTCCAAGATAGCTTGCTCAAATGACTGGCAAGTGCTTCTTATAGTTGACTTGGAACTCATCCAGGGTTATCCACTGGATACCTTGGATCCTCTCCACATGGACCTCTTCATAGGGATGCTTGGGCTTCCTGAAAACATGGCAGCTAGTTTCCAAGAACAAGGATTCCAAAAGGCATGGATGAAAGTTGTAAGTCTTCTAAATCACTTAAATTCCAAAGTTCTGGATCACTTCCGCCAAATTCTATTTATTAAATGAATCAGTAATGCAAGCCCAGATCCAAGGGTTGGGTAATTAGACTTCACTTCTCAATGCATAGAGTAGCAAAGAACTTGTGGCCATCTTTAATCCACGATAGTTCACTTTGCACAACAAAGCCAAAACTAGGAGACTGACAAAGGTTACTACCCCCAGAGGAGAGTTTTTGTAAGAAAATAATATCGAATTTCACAGATCTACTAAACCACTGGGGGCTCCACTGAGCAGTATTTCAAATGGATTACACTCTACCAAGTCAGGAAGATAAGTAAGAGAGGTAGAGAAAAAGGCCCAAAGAAAAGAACAGAACACAAGTATTTATTCATTAGTCCTTATTCCTTATATATGT
Source organism: Homo sapiens (assembly GCF_000001405.40). Lineage (NCBI taxonomy): Eukaryota > Metazoa > Chordata > Mammalia > Primates > Hominidae > Homo > Homo sapiens. Next base: position 221,693,129 of record NC_000001.11, on the reverse strand, counting down.
CAATTTCAAGGAAGTCATCAGAAAGACATTTCCTTTCTCCTAATCTGGACATGAGTCTCTGGGATTCTCTTGAAAGTCATCTTCCCAATGCTAGGCAGCACTGCACCTTAGCATTTATCCATTTATTTGTTCATTCAACAAACATGTGTTTCATTGATATCTTTCAGTGGCCCAAACCATGGCAAGTGTTTATTAAGAAGACTCTACCCTTGAGGGGCCCATAGCCTCCCATGTATCTATTTAGACTATAGGTTAAAGACATACTTGGTCTTCCCTATAACACTTACGTCAGTGTCTTGGTTGTGGTATTGCTCAGTATTTTATTATTGACTCATCAGAGCATTTTTACTCCATTGGCTTTTGACATCTAAAACAGTTGTCAACTTATAAAACTCCAAAATATTTAACAATCAGCTCTCATAAGCTGGTGTGTGGGATGGTATCAAAAAGCTCTCCTCTACCTCGTAAGGTTGTCACTGCAGACAGTACTTCAAGGATTTTTTTTTTTTTTATCTTTAGCTAATTTAAAGCTGTCACTCCTTATTTTGGATGGGAGGGAGAAAATAGCTAATTGGAAGCAGAGGAAAAAATAGTTTCAGGATCAATGGTGGAAATAGCAGCAAAATAATTATTATTACAGTCGTAATGCTCTGCATTTATATGGGGTTTTTTTCCAAAGGTCTCAGAACACTTTTCTGAATATCACCTACAAATTCAAAAACAATTATGAAGAAGTCAGAGTAAAGCATAATTATACCAGAAATTTACTCTGAAATGTAATTCAATACTCTAATACAATTTTACTCTCAAATATAATTCAGTGAAAAGTAGACTTATTGTAAACTGAATTATAGACATACATTTGGATTTTTTTTTTTTTTTTTTTTTTTTTTTAAGACGGAGTCTCGCTCTGTTACCCAGGCTGGAGTGCAGTGGCGCGATCTCGGCTCACTGCAAGCTCCACCTCCCGGGTTCACGCCATTCTCCTGCGTCAGCCTCCTGGGTAGCTGGGACTACAGATGCCCACCACCATGCCCGGCTAATTTTTTTTTTTTTTTTTTTTTTGTATTTTTAGTAGAGACGGAGTTTCACCGTGTTAGCCAGGATGGTCTCCATCTCTTGACCTCGTGATCCACCCACCTCAGCCTCCCAAGGTGCTGGGATTACAGGCGGTGAGCCACCATGCCCGGCCGAAGGGTCTGGTAATTTCCTTTTTTTGTCTTTTTTTCCCCCTCTCTTTCTGTGGAGAACGGGGTCTCACTATATTGCCAAGGCAGGTCTTGAACTCCTGGGCTCAAGCCATCCTCCCACCTCTGCCTCCCTGAGAGTTGGGATTACAGGCGTGAGCCACCGCACCCGGCACATTTGGATTTTTATGGCATATTTTAACATAGGAAGTGCCAGGATATGGGTCTTCAAGCAAAGCACTAAATATAGGTGCTAACAAATTTCCATGTTATGGATAGGGAAACAGGGGAGAAAGTTGTCAGAGAGCAGGTTGAGATGAAAATCATTTCCTGACCATAGCCCAGCACTCTTGCTAGAGGTATTTTAAATGACATGGCCCCAGGGCTTCAGTGAAAGATGAAATCTTCTGTTCCTGGAAGCTTGCAAATTTCTTGTAAGATGGCAGAGAGCAAGAACTGAATCAACAAAAGTATCTAAGATAGAGATAGGAGGCAGGAGGCCAGCAGGAGGGGAAAATGCAGCCCACAGATTGCTTTTCTGCAATGTTTGGACTACTAAGGAGATTATAAATGGACTAGGGTGTCTGTGAGCCATCAAAAAACATATGTAAATTTGTGTATGTGTTTGAACACATTCATTATGATGAGGCTGTCTACATCTTTCATCAGATTTTCCTATGGTCTCCTAACCAAATGGGTTAGGTAAGATCTGCTGGCCTAGAGAAATGCCTTGAGAAACGAATTTGATATTGCTTGTAGAAGAAAGCCATTTTACTAGCTTTTGCATGGTTTGGGCCCTTGCCTACCATTTCCATTCTCAGCTGAAAGGCAGCACAAAGTGATAGCATGGCAGCCTCTAGAGAAAGATTGCCAAGATTCAGATCCACACCCTACCACTTTGCAGTTGTATGACCTTGAGCTAGTTACTTGGTTATTCAGGCTGTCTGCAGCTCAGTTTCCTTACAAATGAGGATAATTATAATAGTATCTATTTCATCTGGTTTGGAGGCACACTAAGCTTCCCCACACTGATCTTCTCCCATTACATAAAACACCATGTTCCTTCTTACCTCTTTTGTACAAGTTATTGTACAAGTTATTCCTTATGCACGTTATTCCTTATGCATTGTACAAGTTATTCCTTACGCATGAAAAGTCTTTTGCTCTCACTCCTTCCCTAGCAAATTACTGATGATCCCTCAAGGCTCACTTTAAATTTCACTTCATCAGAAAAGCTCTGACCCCCCATAGCTCAGTTTAGTCCTTCTCTATAATATCTGATGTGACGCAGTGGTCTGCTGAAGTTGGCTCATGCTGGCTAACCAGAGCTGATTGTTGAATATTCTAGAACTGCGTGAGCTGGCAACTGCAACTGCCCATAGCTTGAAATTAACTGTGGATATATTTACACTGCAGAAATTGGCAGATGCTACAAATCAGGGCTTTTTTTGAAAGCTCGTTTACAAACAACCACTGTATACAGCATCCTGTATGTTTTCTTTGTCACACTTGTCACAATTTTAATTGCGCATTAATTCTCTGATTGCTTATTTAATGTCTGTGTATCTCACCAAGAAGTAGGTTTCATTAGGCAGGAAGCGTATCTGCCTGTTCACTGCTATACTTGTAATACTTACATAGTCTGGCCTGGGCATTTAACTTTGTCAAAGAAACAAATCAAAAAAGAAGGTAATCTGCAAATGGCACTTCTGTTGCTTCCATGGGCAAGAGGAGAATTACTTAGGGATAAGTAAGTAGAACCAATGTGACATTCTTCTTCTGAAACTCTCTCCCATGTGTCATGTGATAGCTAGTGGTGTATTACATTGTGTGATTCTTAATATGGGGACATTAGAAGCTCCTGACAACCATAGAACTTGAGTTACCATGTGGGATGAAAATACGTTTCCTACTCAGGATTGGAGAAATGCAGCCTGTCACCTTATCATAACTGTTCTTCTCGGTCATCTCGGTAGCTTAGTACTCCTAGAGATGCCATCGTCTGTGAGCTTCTTTGCTGCCCATACTAGTCCACTTGAGTCAACTTCAGATGGGGCTAAGTGGATGCAAAATCGCCTGTGAAATAGTGTCTCCAGGATAGTGCACTGTCCATCACCCCATGGTACTTTGCAGCTGAAAGAGGATGTCATTGGGTGGTTGTGATTGCCTGAAGCCCATGAATTAGGAAAATATAAAGAACTCAGAAAAGACAGTCCAAATGGCTTGTCAGAGACGGAGAGTCTGGATCTGTCTCAACAGCTGGGCTGAGGGTCTACTTCCTGGGTCTTAGTGCCTTCAAACCCTGACAGCGACCTGCCTGGCCAGCAAGCCCTCCAAATACCTGGAAAAACAGCAATTTCCTTTTTTATCTGGGGCAGTTGACCTCTACTGGAGCCAGCTTCCACCAAAAATTGATTCCAGTGGATCTGCTTAGGATACAGTGGCCCCTGCTACCACCCAAGAAGTTTTGTAAGGCCAGGCAAACTTAGCGTGAATAAAAAATGGGCTCCATGGAAACAAGGTATACAGCTACAGGAACACACCAAGCCACTTCCGCATCTTGAGGATGTTAGTCACTGAGCTATAGATCAGTGCAGGACAAGCCCCTATGACATTTGGTAACCGTAAACACAACTGAATGTCCTAAATCAATTAGGAGACAGGCCCTCCCAGTCTAGAACCTTTGAATCCTCATCCCTTGTGAGATGGATGAAATGGAAAGGCTTAAGAATGATGGCTTGGCCTAAAATTTTACCTTAGGACCCTCAAATGCACCCATCCTGGAAGCCTGGGAGGTTGTAAGACTTTCTAATCATCAGACATCAGGAAACACAAACCAACCAACCACAAACAAGCAAACAACAAATACCTGGGGCATTGCAACAAATGGCCTCACACCCTCTCCCAGACACAAGGCAATGGGCCTCCTGGAGAATATTTCTTAAACTTTAATATTTCTCTTAGTTCATATGGATCACCAAGGGACCTTGTTAAAAGGCAGGTTCTGATTGAGTAGATGAGACCTGAGATTCTGCATTTCTACCACACTTTAGGTGGAGACCAAAGCTGCCAATCCAAGGACCACACTTTGAGTAGCAGGCCCCAGAGGATGCATTTTGCAAAGAGGTAATTACCATGAAGACTAGTGGCCACAGGAACTCAGGATTGCTCTCTCTGGGACCTATTGTGGGCTCTACCTATGGGTCTGAGTTTACTATCTCCCCCAACAACTTCTAGAAAATAAAATCCGTAAAGTGAAACTAATATACTCAGCAACCCCTCCACCCCTGAGCAACACCATGAGAAAATAATGACTGTGCAGTATTATCCAATCTTGTGTGCTATGAGCTTATTACTTAGGAGTGTCTTTTCAGAAGGACAGAAAAGTCCTGCATAATGACCCAGTGTCCACACAACTGTTTGGAGTCAGAGGGTGTTGTAATTACATACTATAGCATCCTTCCTTACCCACTGTTTTTGTTTTTTTAGTTGTTCTTCTTCAAATATAAGGTTTACAGACACACTGCACTCCCTCCATGCCTTCATCCTAAGCTAAACTGTCCTTTTTAATGAGTTGGTGGCAACCCTGTGGCTTGGCAAATAGGGCCCATAAATGTCAGGTGCTTTCCTGGGGCTGATGTGGTTTTCACTCCTGAGTTTTATCTGACAGCCCATGTGGGCCTAAAAGGCCAGGGCATTTTTAGCTTGAGTTAAGCAACACCCAAATCCTCCAGGTTGAAGCTAAATCCCCCTTTACTGCTGTTGGAGTGCTAGCTGAGGGCACAGTGTATCCTCAGAACCCAAGGCGCCGGCACAGATGGGGCTGCTCTGGGTTGATTCTCCTATATTTAACACGGCCCTAATTACCCACAGGTCTCTGAGTGAGGAGGGCTGATGAGCAGTTCAAGTTCCCTGCATAGAAATAGCCTCAGAATAGTTCCAGTGTTGTTTCTAATTGCAATGGATGAGCAGACTGTCTCATTAATCCTCCCCTATCAGCGTGCAAACTGGCTGCCCCAGAATAGCCCTGATCTCAGCCAGCCCACTTGGGCTTAGGGACTGGTGGTTTTGTACATATTTGGAGAAGGAAGAAACTTCTCCCAGGGATGGTGGAGTGAGTGTGAGTGTGTGTATGGGTGGAGGGAGAGGGGAGCAGTCTATGGATTCTGGAATCTTAGATAAACCCAGGAAAGTGATATGGAAAAGTTTAGCATAGCACCTTGGGTCTGGGAAGGAACTGGTTCAGAAAAGTTAGGACGTAGCTGAAACATGTCCTTCCACTATCTTCAGCCTATTCTTTTGCCTTTTTACCTTTCTATGTGAATATTTTATTATTCTGTTTAATTCTTGCTCCGTTTTTTTCTGTCATTACTCAGTGTAGGGTCTGATTTCAGCCATTTGCACCTTAGTGTGACTGTGCCACTGGTAGGTTTTTATATGTTTCTAGCTTTATAATTTACAAAGATCATTTACATGCTCATTCTTTTAGTACCTCACAGCAACCTTGTAAGGTTAGCAATGGCAGGCATGGCTCTCATTATGCAAGAAAGGAAAGTGAGGCTCAACAAATAAGTCTATGAGCACCTCAAGCTCATGCACTTAACAAATGATACATCTTGGACAAGAAACCGAATCTTTTCTCTGATAGTTCTGAGAGATAGTTGGTTCCATGTTAGAAGAACATAATATCTTAATTATGGTCAGGATGATATCATGGAAAGAAAAGACTCGTTGGAATCAAATAGACTGGGATTTCAATCTCTATGACTTTGGGCAAGTTTCTTAAACATTTCTGAGCCTCAGTTATGAGGATTAAATGAAATGATGTACATAGTGAACTGCTAGTGATTAAAGCAAACTAAGATATATGGCAACTAAATACAACGTGTAATACTGGATTTGATGCTTTATTAGGAATAGATAGCAATAAAAAACGTTTTGGGAGATAGTTGGCAAAATTTGAATATGGACCCTGGATAAGATAACACTTTTATAATAATGTTAATTTTTTTAAAAACATTGATAATTGCACTGTGACTATGTATGAATGTTCCGAGGAAATACACATGGAAATATTTAGGAATAAAGAGGCGTGATATATGTAACTACTCCCAGAAGGATGGTTACCAGACGCTAGGAAGGGTAATCGTGGGCGGGAGTGGGAGATGGTTAATGGGTACAATAAATAGTAAGAAAGAATAATTAAGACTAGTATTTGCTAGCACAACAAGGTGACTATAATAAAAAATAATTTAATCCTTCATTTTAAAATAACTAAAATATTATAATTAGATTGCTTGAAACACAAAGGATAAATGCTTGAGGTGATGGATATCCTATGCACCCTGATGGGATTATTATGCATTGCATCCTTGTATCAAAATATCTCAGGTAACCCATAAATATGGACACCTACTATGTACCCACAAAAATTAAAAATTAAAAAAATAAAGTTGTATCTGGCAAATTAAAAGTAAAATATATATTTGTTTACATATGAAACTACTCTCCAATGATTCAGAAAATAGTATGTATAAAATTTGAGGCAATAACATAATAAATATGGGCAAAATTTTAATATATAAGGAGACTGAGTAAGGAATATATGGAAGTACTTGTGATTCTTCTGTACATTTGATAGTATATCATAATAAAGTTATAAAAGCAAAAAATAAAAGGGTCTTCTGTAAGGCAGAAATCTGTATGTTTTCTGATAATTCAAAGTAGTGTCAGGGTTGGAGAGGGTGGTGCCCTGCCATGGTGGTTCTTTACCTCCACCCTCTTGGCACACCCCAGATGGCAGCCTTCACCTGGGCCTTCTCCCTCTGGGCTCTGGAAACATGCTCACTCGGCATGCTGCTTTACTCTGAACCTGAGCTGGGAAGCCACATCCTTCCAGTCCATTCCTGTGAGCCTTAGTTAAAACCCAAAATGTAATAAACGGCATGTTCAGGGAAATAAAGCACTTAGAAAAATAGTGTTACCTCATCACACTTGTCCAGTGCCGATTGCCTCTAATATGGGTGAGCAGCATTTCTGGGAAAGGCTGGGGCCATACCTTCAAACTCAGCTGGGTACACAGGGGCACATACCAGACTCCAGGTCAGGACTTGACAAGTTCCCAAAGTGGTGTCACTGCTGGAACCCTGATACCCACACTCGTGGTCTGGTCCCTGATTCCCCCTCCTGCTCTCCAGCTTCATCTCTTGTTCTCATCCTGTGATGGTTAATATTGAGTGTCAACTTGATTGAATTGAAGGATGCAAAGTATTGTTCCTGGGTGTGTCTGTGAGGGTGTTGCCAAAGGAGATTAACATTTGAGTCAGTGGGCTGGGAGAGGCAGACCCACCCTCAATCTGGGAGGGCACAGTCTAATCAGTTGCCAGCCAGAAGGAATGCAGGCAGGTGGCTAGAAAAAGGCAGGCAGAAGAAGGTGGAAGGAGCCGACTTGCTGAGTCTTCCAGCCTTCATCTTTCTCCTGTGCTGGATGCTTCCTGCCCTTGAACATCAGACTCCAAGTTCTTCAGCTTTTGGACTCTTGGACTTACACCAGTGCTTTACCAGGGGCTCTCGGGCCTTTGACCACAGACTGAAGGCAGCACTGTTGGCTTCCCTACTTTTGAGGTTTTGGGACTCAGAATGACTTCCTTGCTCCTCAGCTTGCAGGTGCCCTACTGTGGGACTTCACCTTGTGATCATGTGAGTCAATTCTCCTTAATAAACCCCCGCACCAACCATATCTTTCAGTGCTTACCCTATACTAGCATGGACTTCCTCGCTTTTACCCAAGCTGCTTCCTCCAGTTGGAACCCTCTTCTTCATTCTCTCCTTGCCTTTCAGGCTTCAACTTAGATGTCTCTTCCTCCAGAAAGCCTTCCCTGGTCTTCTGAAATCTGTATTATAGCCCCTGTAACATGCCCTGTGCACCCTATTCTTATTTTAATCACCTTATTACTCTGCTTTCTAATAGCCTCTTTATTTGTCTGTATCCTCCAACAAATACAAGATCTGTGAGACTTGTTCATGTTTTTCCCTAGTCCCTGGCACATTTGTATACATATAATAGATTGTCCATAAATATTTGTTGAATGGATTCAATAATTAGACTAGATTACCATATCTCTGAAGATAAAGGTATCTTTCTGTCATTGCTTGTTTCTTAATCTTCCTCAGAAGGACCCATCACTGCTAATAGAGATTGTATTACATATACTTAGGAGATTTGGGAGTGATTCATCCAGAAGATGCATTCACAGAATCCTAAAAAATCAAGACTGAGAGAGATCTGATTCTAAGCCTGCTTATCTCCAAATACTGGTCTGTGTGAAGCCAGAATTCACTGGAAGGATTTTTAATGACATATATTACAAAGCCCCACCTCTGGAAGTACTGATTTCATTATATTGGATGGGGCCCAATACCGTGCATGTAGAAGGGTCTGTAGGTAATCCTGTGGCACAGCCAGGGTTAGACAGTCACTAGAGAACCTTCCATTTCATTCAAGAGAAGCTGAAGGTGAAGTGATATGCTCAAGGCCACACAGCTTGAAGTGCTGAATGAGGGATGGGACTCAGGATTCTAATCCCCACCAAAGGGCTTTCCATTTCCTCATTTCCTCTACTGGGAATTCCCTCCCCAAATGCAGCAGATTTGTTTTTCAGTTCTCGTCTGGCCACACAGGTGTGTGCTTGAATAGAGGTGATTTTTTTTTTCCTTACTGAAATAGTTGCATTCATGACTGACTGAAAGAATGTCTCAGGGTAATTCTAAAGATAATGCACTTTAGAATAAAATGCACTGTGTAAAGGGAGGCTGGTATTACTATAAACCCTGGCTTTTGAGTTGTTGAAAATATATATGGTAAATAACCTGCTGATTTTTGGAGAAATATCATGAATGAAGCAGGAATTGTGTTTATATTTTTAATAACCACTGGCTATTTGGAAATAGCCATATTGCTTAAAAAATAACCCAATCAAAAATCTGCTTTATTGTTACTACATCTGCTAGAAGGTCACTAACACATCAGAGAATGTTCATACTGGGAGGGGCCTTAAAATGCCATCTAGTCAAAGCCTTTCAAACTTCAAATTACAGATTAGGAAACTGAAGTCTCAAAGGGAGAAGTGACTCACTCAAGGTATACAGCCAAGACTATGCCTATTAATTCCCAAGCTTGCGTTCAGCAATAATAAATACTTGCTGCATCGATTGTCTTTTATACAAGGAACTAAAAATATTTAAAGCTTTAGATTACTTAGATTACTTATATGACAAAAACCCTTAGAAGTCCAGGAAAGAGCTGTGGGTTATCTGCTTAGTAGTCCAGATCCCCATGGACTGCAGGACTAAAACTATTCTCCTGCCTGACTTTAGGAGTCTACATTGAGAGTTGCAGCAAGTGATCAATACTATAGTCTCAGCATTCTCATTTCTCTCCAGTCATTTACTTCTCTAACTACCCAACTAACTTTTGTAAGGGTCCTACTATGGGCTGGGTGTTGTTTGAGACTTTGGGGGAAAAAGAGCAGTGGTGCTGATTTTGCTGCTGAGTAAATAGTATAGTTTCTTCAGATAGGCAGCAACAAGGTCCATCAGTGAAATGTGTACATATATATTTGTAGGATTATACTCTCAAATGACCTCTGACTCCTGACTATGGTCCTTGGAAGCAACACAGTAATGAGAAAACAGAAGACACTGTTTGATAATGAAGTCTGTTGAATACTTCATAGTAAACCTCTTTGGAAATGAGGTCCAAGACAGGCTATTTCTCTACCACCAACACCAGTAAATAGGCTATCTAATGCATAATTTCTTAGCTTATGAAGGTAACATTTTACATTTTTTCATGATACATGGTTTATTGTATTAGACCAAGGCACAGCTGAGAAAAATACTTGAAGTAAAGCCTAATAATGCACTCTCATCTATTGGTAATAAAGTTGGGGATAAGGTTAAAGGCTATAAATTTTTTTCCCCTAACACAGATAACTATTATTTTTATGTATTTATTTCATTTGTTTTTTCTCAGATTTAATAAGGGATAATTGACAAATAAAAATCATACCTACTTATAGTGTACATTATGTTTTGATATGTATATACATTTTTATAATGTATATAGTTTGATCTTGGGTTCAAGCAATTGATCTAATTTATTTATTTTGTCAGGAAGAGGCAGAGAAGTTAGAATTTTTATGATAAATTTCCAGCAGACACACCAGCATTTCTTGACAAACATGACTGCACTTAGAAGTTTAAAGAATATTCTGGCTCTCTTTCAAGTCGGTAGACCAGGCAAATTCTGGAAGTGGCCTCATTAACTCACTATTCTCTACTCCAAACACATAAAAATACAAGATAGTGGATTAAATTATTTTAAAAAATACATTGCCAATTTTGAAAGCAAGAAGTGAATTCTTCAGGTATCAATGATAAAGAGGATCAATAAATAACTGAGTAGGATTGGAGGCCATATGGCCCAGGTTACACAACCAGATGAAAGCTGCACGCTTTGAATACCAAAGACAGAGCAGGAGCCCAGCAGTAAGCTTTGTATCTGGAGGGAGATGAAAATGGATACTTTGCAAGAAAGGCTGCTTCCTAGTAAAACTCTAGCCCCTGTTCAAGGATACAAAGTGGAATTAGGGTCGTCTTACTAATATGATGAAAGCATACTCACCATTACTAATCAGAACCTCAAGACTACATTATGCTTTGGTGCAAAGGTAAAACTCTTGGACAGTTGCCGCCCACATCCACGGATTTCTGCATCCATGGATTCAACCAACTAGAGATCAAAAATATTTTTTAAAAATTGCATCTCTGTTAAACATTTACAGACTTTTTTCCTTGCTATTATTCCCTAAACAATACAGTATAGCAACTATTTACATAGCATTTACATTGTATTACCTATTGTAAGTAACCTAGAGGTGATTTAAAGTATAGAGGAAGATGTACATAGGTTATATGAAAATACCATACTGTTTTATATCACGGACTTGAGCATCTGTGCATTTGGTATCTGCTGGAAGTCCTTAAACAAATCTTTCATGAATACCAAAGGATGAGTATATTATCTATACAATAAGAAAATTAAGAGGACATAGCTCATCTAGAGCCATGGCTTTAGGGATAAGGAAAGGGTGGGAACTATTCAGAAAACTGGTCTGATAAATATTTAGTTCTTCTCAACCTTAAAAAATACTTTAAAATTAACATATTAAAGACGTTCAAATTATAAGGGAAAATAATCCAGAACATAATAATAAGAAAATGAAGCAGAACAGATACATTTGAAAAAAAAGTAGAAATTCTTGAGAATAAAAAATAGCCACTAAAATATATATAAAATTGGTAGTTTACCAGAAGACAGATTAAAACATTGTTAGATAATTTTAAGGAAACCACTTAGAATGTACTAGATGATAATAAGTAAATGAATAATTTGGAGGAGAAATTGAAAGATATAGAAGACAGGAGAGGCTCCAACAAATGTCTAGTAAAAATTCCAGAAAAGATTAGAGACAATGGGGACAGCCAATGTTCAAAAAGACGATGGCAGAGAGTTCAAGAATTGAAAGGAGATATTGGATGCAGATTGAAAAAGAGCAATGAGTATCAAGCAGGATAAATACAAACAAATTGATTCTTATACACATCACAGACAAACCACAAAATATCAGGAAAATTAGAAAATCTTAGAAGCTACTTGGATGACTAGTAAATTGAACTAATTTTCTTACTGAAAATAATTAGCACATATGGACAAAATATAAACAACAAATGTTTGAAAACACCAGATTACTGCCATAATTCAGAATTAATTGTGAAGACAAAATTCAGGAAAAGGAAACTCAGAGAGATGAGCTTGGCATTTTGGGATGCTTTCCCTCTAATGCATTGTACAGTTGTGGTAGAGTCCATTGAGAAGCTGTAAACTTGAGCAAAGCTTCTGAAAGTCTGAAAGGACTAGGGAAAACACTGGTCTTCAGAAGCCCTCAAGGAGAGAAGGATACTGGTAAATCGTCCAGGCTTTAGTTGCTGTCCCAAGAGATGATAGCCTTGGACTCAAGTTGTATAATGAATATACAAACCTACATGGAGATTAAAACTCAGTGTTTAAGAATCTCAATTACTTATTGGATTAAGGTGAGTCTAGGATTCAGCATGCTCCTAGCACCAGCCTGGCTGGGAGATATATCATCCAGAGCTTCAAATTATCTCTATGAGTGTGTGTGTGTGTGTGTGTGTGTGTGTGTGTGTGTGTGTGTGTGTTTATGAAAGAGAAAGAGAGATACAATGTGCATGCCTATGTGTGTACATGTGTGTATGTGACCATGTATAACCATGTAAACATTAGGACACAAGAAAACAACATGACTTGAAAAGAAGAAAATGACAGAAAACAGGAAGAGATTTACTGGTGGTCTAGAGAATAGACTTCCAGACATGGACTTTATATCTTCAATTAATGCATAAGACATGATAATCTGAGAATTTTGGAAGAGAACAAGAAACTTTAAAAAGGAACCAAGAGGGATATTCTAACACTGATAAAATATAGTAATTGAAATTAATGACTCAATGGATGGATTTAACAGATTAGATTAGACATAGCTGAAGAGAGAATTAGGGAGCTTGAAGATGAATTGTAAGAACGTTTCTAGAATAAAGAATTAAAAACCAAAAAGATGAAAAATACTTATAGATAACATGAATTACATATGAGGAAATACATATGATTCGGTACATGGTCTTATTTATGTGTAATTAGAGTTCAAAGAGGAGAGAAATAGAACAGGATAGAAGCAATATTTGCCTAGATATTTTTCTAAAAATGATGTAAAGTCTCAAACCATAGATTTACAAAGCATTATGAATCCAAAGAAGAATACTTAAAAAGAAAATCACAGCTAAACATCATATTTAAGCAAAGATCAAGAGAAAATTGTAACAGTTGCCAAAAGCAAAAAAGACAATTACATTCAAAAGAGCGGCAATAACATGGACAGCTGATTTTTTAACAGAAATAATGAAAACCAAAAGACCAGTAACACTGACAGCTAATTTTTTAACAGAAATAATAAAAACCAGAAGACCAACAGCTTCAAAAAGCTGATGGAAAATCACTACCAATATAAAATTCTATACAAAGTGAAAATACCTTTTGATAATGAAGGTGAAATAAAGACATTTTAAATCTAATCAAAACTGTTAGAATTAATCATCAGACTGTTCCTAAAGGAAATCTAAAAGTTGTTTTTTAGGCAGATGAAAAATTATCTCAGATGAAATCTTGAAGAAGTGGGAAAAAAATAAAGTATAAAAGAAAAAAATACATATAAATATAAATATATGGGTAAATCTAAACAAATATTATCTATATGCATGAACAATAATATCATATGAACTTACACACATGTATCATACAACAGCATTGGCATATATGTTCCCAGAAGCATAATGAAAGTTAAATTGTTCTCAGTTACAGCATTATATGGAATGAAGTGAAAGTATTAATTTAAACTAAATTTTAATGTGTGCATGTTATAATTTTAAGTAAAAAATACATCTAATGTGTAAATAGAGGTAAAAAGAATCTAATTTTTTTAAATACTTGATTTAAAAAAGGAAAGAAAGGAAAAAGGAAAATAGAACAGATTGGATATATAGAAACAAATAGAAACATACTAGATTTAAAGTCAAATATATTATACTGTATGCAAAATGTAAATGGACTAAATATTCCAAACAAAAGTTGACACTGTAGATAGAAAAAAGAAAATCCAAATGTGTATTGCTTATAAGTCACACCTGAAATGAAAGAATTTAGAAAGCTTGAAAGTAAAAGGATGAGCAAAGATACAAACACTAACCAAAGGAAAGCTGGTGCAGTCATATTAACATAGACAAGTAGATTTGAAGGCTAAATGCATTAATAATGACAAATGAAAGATGGCTGTAGCTGCAAAAGGAAGAAACATTTTAATGTCCTTTTTAGGAAAGTGTAAACATTCTTCTTTGATAATATACTCAACTTACATAAGTGACAATTTCTTAAAGGTAAGCTGCAACTTGGATTCTGAAACCGTATTATGAAACTTTCATAATTAGTGACATTAAAATCCATTAGTCCTGTTTGTCCATTTAATCATGCATGATTTTGTTAGATCATGAGTTGGCCATTTGGAAACTATAGTTCACTGAATGTATTAGTTTTCTATTGCTGCTGCAACAAATTTCCAACAACTTAGGGGTTTAAAACAACACCCATTTTCCCCAAATTGCATGCGTCAAATGTCTGGACATACCATAAATGAATTAGGTTCTCTGCTTAGGCCTCAAAAGGCAAAAATCGATGTGTCAGGATGTGACAGGAGTGCTGTATTGCTTATTGGAGGCTCTGGGGAAGAATCTATTCTCAAGTTAAGGATTTTGGCAGAATTCATTTCCTTCCTATGCTTTTCATGTGGCATCCTCTGTCTTCAAGCCAGCTAAAGCAAGCTCAGTCCTCCTCATGCTTCATATTTCTCTGGCTTTCTCTTCCATTGCCTCTCTCTCCTGTTGAGCATTTTTGCAGCTTGAATCCACTCAGATAATCCAGGGTAATCTCTCTATCTTAAAATCAACTGATTAGTCACCTTAATTATATCTGCCAACTCTTTTGCCATGTAAAATATCAAAACCATGGCACCAGGAGCCAAAAGTCAAAGGTCATGGGGTCAAAATTCTAGATGTTACATTGTCTTATGCAGCCCTTGCAAATATTGACATATTTCATTATACAATATTACAAATTACATTCATCAACATCAGCGCTGATCTCATCAGAAATAGCTTTAAATATTGGGAACTTGTCAAGCTAAATGTCACTATAAAAAGCTATATGCCAAAATAAGATTTTGTCAAAATTCTAATCTTCACTTGAAATCTCAAATTTTACCACTGACAACAAATACTCTCAGTTGCATTATTGTACTGACAGAATCACTTTATTTCTGAGAAAATGTCTGACAAATAGCAAAGCTTGACTAACCACAGTTTGTCTGACAACCGTTAAAGTAAATATAATGATCCATGAAATCAGTGGCAAGTTCAGCTTGCAACTCAAATGATCTCCAAGTGCTCTCCCTTGAGGCAAATCAGAATACTTTGGTGTGTAGCAGCATCGCTTTATGTTTACTTCCCAATTTGTAACATACTCAAAGGTTGAGATTTGATAACATTAATAGTTTTCACTGATTTATCAAAGGTTATTTTTAGGAGAAATGGGTACTTTTTTCTTATCTGGGAAGGTGCAGCAAGAATAGAACAATAACAACTATAGGTTGAATATCCTGAATTCCAAAACCCCAAATACAAAATGCTCCAAAATCTGAAACTTTTGGAGCCCCAACATTACACTCAAAGAAAATGCTCAATGGAGCATTTTGTATTTTTAGATTAGGGATGCTGAACCAATATAATGCAAATAGTACAAAATCCAAAGCAAAGTTGAAATCTGAAACTTTTGGTTCTAAATATTTTGGATAAGGGATATTTATCCTGTAATACAGTTGGTATTAGTGCCTTAATTTATGCTAAATCACCAACAATTTTACGTGTTATTGATTTTGTACTATCAGTGCAAATGTCAATACAGTAAAAAAAGCATGTAGTGTCTTGGTGTTACTATAAAAATAGTTGGTACATATGGAGTCTTTTAAATGGTCTCAGAGACCCCTAGATTCCTTGGGCCATTTTGACAACTGCTTGTCTATGGCAACATTACTCAAAGGGTTAAGAGATGTATTTGAACCTTCACAAAACTAGTTTCAAAACTAAAATTTCAAAATTTATTTCCCCAAGAAGAGGTATAGTCAGAGAATATGCAGACTCTAAGGCCTTCAATTATTCTGCTGGATAACATGAAGAATCCCTAAATATTTTTCACTGATGTCCTGGAGAAAAGCCACAGTATCCACTAAAGTTCTTTTAGAAATATTCTCAGAGATGTAACACTGGTATTAATGAATTATGAATTAGACTCAGGGTACTATTCATTTTATATTGCTATAAAACAAGGAGAACAGCTACCTTCTGCAACACAAAGAAATTGAATAACATTTAGAATCTGTATATTTACGTATGTGAAGGAGTTAAGCTTATGTGTAGGATTGGTGGGAAGGAGAAATGAACATATCCTTTGGGACCAAAAGCAAAGAAGTGTGACACAGGCTGATAACATCCATCAACCATGCACTATAAGGGTAGAGACAGCTGTCTAGAAAGGGAAGAGTTGGCATTGCCTCTGTTATTGGGTCACCTCCCAACATCAGTATGATCTGGAGAAGATAAAATTCTTTTGGAATGAACCAAGCTCAACTTATCAAACAACTTACAAATATGCCACCATCCATCCACCATGTGAACTACATCAGAGGCCTTTAGGCCTCAGACATTGACAGATGGAATGAGGAAGAGCAAAATAAATGAATATTTGAGTGGAGGGCTATCCTACTTTGTAGGAGGACTGGCGTCTCCCGCTGAGTGAAACTGACCCACAGTCATCCCTCCCCATGATAAAGGGCAAAGTGCAGGGCCCATCCCCAGAAACACCTCTGGAAAATATCCGGGGAAACCCAGCTGCCTGAATAGAGCTGTGCAGTTGGTTCAAGTAGAAGAGAGGGCTGTTTGCTGATGATGCTGAGTTTAAAGGTTCAAGGTTGAGCCTTACTCTGACCTGCCTGGCTCTCCCTTCCTACCACCTGTTACCCTGCTCCTATCTGCTGCTGCATTAGCATTTGGGCTGGGTTCTCAGAGAGGGTGGCTGGGCTTCCCAATGACCCAGGAAAACACTGTTTATCATGCAATCTACCAGCATTTTCCTGGCTCTTTTCAGGCTAACCTGAAGTTTTGGAGTGGGATAGCGAGGGCAGGTGAGGTCAGAGCCTCGAACCCTGCCCAGTGACCTGGGAAATTGAATGTTTTACTTAACCTGCTTTGTGGAAATTGCCCCACCCAGGAGTTGAAAATGTCAGTAAGTACAGATTGCAATTGATTATTTGTGTTGTGGAAATAAAAGGGAAGGTGATTTGGCATTTTTCTCTAAAAAATACTAGTTAGAATTTTTAAATTAGCAAGCCATTCAGGTGAATATATACTGAAAGAGAGTTGAATTCCGAAGAACAACATTCCCATGCTCTCATATCTGTTTGGGATAATTAATAACTTCCTTAATTATGAATGGTTTGAAAATCTCATTCATTCAACAAACATTTACTTAGTGGTCACTGTGTACCAGGCACTGCTCTAGGACTATGAAGTAACCCTAATATATTATAGTGACACTTAATTTGACTTATTTAAACTACTACATTTAATTTTCTTTTTTTTAACTCTTCTTGTTTTTTTATTTCTCTCCCTCTGTCTCCCTCATACAATAGAAATGTGAAAAGTGCACAAAGCATCTATGAACCCACAGGACTTCTGTCAACATGGATTTCAAAGGCAATAGCCCTGTCTCAGAGAGAAGTCTTTCTTTCAAGCCGGAGCAGCCTTGTGGATTCTGTGCAGGGGATGAATTAGAGTAAAGAGCCTCAGCCATGTTTCCTGGAGCAATTAGAGCCCACTGTCCTCAAATGGACTTACATTTATTGGCAAAAGGTGGAGTTAATAAAGCCATCAGAAAGAAATGTACTAAGTTTCCTGTGTCCCTGGAGGGATATTTGGTTGAGTCATACTCGGCATCAAATTAGATCCTGAGTTTATTTTAAAATTTTTAGGTGTTCTTACTCTGAAAAGGAAAGTGATGGCGAATGTGATTTTACCTTTGTTTTTCGGAGTCTCCTATCAATCCTGCCTCCCACTTAACTGTGCATCAGACATAAGAGATAACACCAGAAACATCTTACCAAGGAAGTGGAAGGATGGTTGTCAATTATTTTATCATTTGGACTCCATACTTACCTATTTAACAACCCCTTGATAACATAGGATAGCAGTAACAAAGCATCTTTCCCTTGCAAGTAAACCCAACCTTTTCTACACTCATGACAATGGACAGACTTCACTGTAATCAACCTTAAAATACCAGTGATTTCCTACTGGTGGGGTGGAAAGTGGGCTGCAGAATTGGGGCAGTTATTTAATAAATAGCATCTCCTAGCTGTTCCCAACGGGAAATTAGAAAGAGTGCTACAGACAACTGTTGGGATCCCAGACTAGGATACCACCATGCCAAGGTTTTGAATACCAAGCTCCCTTTGCCAAAGATCTTGAGATATTTTGGAAGAGGGATGTAAAAAACTATTTGGACATTCCAAAATTAAACAGCCCCATTTTCTCTTCCCTTTTGATTTAACTGTTTGGTGTTTGTGTAGGGAAGATGAAATGTATTGGCTGGATGGAGACAGATTGAAAAATAGGAGACTCAGAAAGGAAGGAGACAGATGATCCGGTACTCTTGTCTTCTGGCCAGTGAGCGTCCAAAGTGCTGTAATTGATGGGCATTCACCTATTACTTTATTGCCAGTGTGTTCTCTTAGCTTGGTGATATAAAGAACGTACAGGAGGAAACCTAAGAAGTGTAGGCCACACATGAATAGGCAGTAAGTGATTACAGGGTAAACTATTAGGCTACTATAGACCAATGTGGGTGTGTGATAGAAGGATAGAGAAAGTTTCCAGGCTTTCATGTTTTTGCACAAAGGGAAGACCCAGATTTTACCAATCTGAGAGTTTCTCTTTTCATTATAGGGAATGCGATAAAACATCTTTGCTGTCACCAGGCCATCAAAAGATGATTGAGGTAAACAGCTAAAAATCATAACATATTCCAACTACTCACCCATAAAGAAGAATGAAATCACATCCTTTGCAGCAGTGTGGTTGGAACTGGAGGCCATTATCCTAACTGAAATAATGCAGACATAGAAAGTCAAATACAGCATGTTTTCACTTATAAGTGGGAGCTAAACGATGGGAACACACGGACATACAATAGACACTAGAGACTCCAAAAAGTGAAAAGGTAAGAGGGAGACGAGGGTTGAAAAATTACCTGTTCACTGGGGGATTGAACAAGCTGAGCTCTTTAGAGTGGTATCTCCAGGAATTTGGAATTAGAAACGAGAGGACAGGTCAATTTCTCTCTGGGTAGCTGGATGTGTACTACTTAAATTTGGAAGTTGTTGGTGTCTATGGCATGTGGGAGAAAAAAAGATGAAACATCTTCTGAAAGAACAGAGCTGAAAGGTGTACAGAGGTCTGCCTGGATTTCTTACAACTTTTCAGTTTCTGGTTGTCATCCCTTTCCTAAGAGCATGCTTAGTTTTTCTTGTTTTCTCTAAGCTGTTATTAAATCCTCACGATACTATTTTTTCCCTTTTATTGCTTAAGCTTGGCTAGAGCGGCTCTTGTTATTTGTACTTCCAAGAGGCCTAACTTAGAAAGTGGCTCAAAAATATTGTTTGTAATCTCAAGAAACTTAAAAGTTAGACGTCTGAGAAATAGATCCACCATCCTAACAATGTTCCTTCATGTCTCTGTTGGATCATGTCAATGGTAGTCTTTGACTAAGTTTCTATAGACGTTGCTGGTAATCATTACAAATAGTTAAGTCCAATTTTAGAGTGTAGAGGTTGAAGAAGAACTAATTAGCAATGATTCAACTTTAAACTGAAAATTTGTTCAAAGTTATTTTTATCATGAGACAGAAGGCAGAAGCATAATTGAACATGTATTACAAATGTATGTTGGGAGTGAGTTCTCAGACTCTTAAGTAAACAAGGTACGATTATATGTGCTGCTTTGCTCATCTCAATTTACCCTGACAGCCAGGCAGCGAAGTTGTTATGAGTAAGCATCAAATTTCCCAAATGGAGAGATTGAAACCTAGAGAGAGGTTATGCTGGAGATCTTTTAGGAGAAGAATATTATGAGCAACCCACTCTCTTGAGCAGCCTGTGCTTCTCCAAAGTTTTTATTATAAATATAGTATGTGCCATTAAACATGATTTTGAAAAGAAAAACTTATTTCCAGTGTAAATATTTTGGTTTATTTCTTAACACATTTTTTCGAGGCATTTTTAATGTAGTTGTAGATGTACCATACGTACAACTTTGTAATTACTCTTGTTGCTTAACATGATATCAAAAGTTTCTTCTTAAGTCATTACTTAGTATTCCTGATCATTTTAAATAATCACATAATATATCATCCTGTGAATATATGTTCTGTTTGCTAAAATATATTACTGGATATTAAGAATGTTTGTTATCTTCACAACTGTGAATGAACATCCCCAGCAGTATCTTTCAAACAATATATGCCTATTAATGGCTGCTCTTTCCTCCAACTGCACAGCCTTGTCACTCTTTGGCACCAACCCACATCTACTACTTCCTTCAAGTTACTTTGACTGCACGTAGCCTGATTACTCTCAATGATTATATCAGTTTTGTTTCTTTTAAATTGACTGGACTCCATACCCCTCGGCTCACATCTAGAAAGTGGCTGTTACATTATCTGGCATTTGTCCATGTGTGGCTTTGCTTGCTTGTTATTTTACCATGTTCTCTCCACCCAAGGACTTCCTATGTTGTTGACCTCATATTAAAGATTAGTCATTTCTTATGGAAGGAGAAAGGAGGGAAATGCATGAGAAAGCAGGGAGAGAGTGAACTAGCACTGCTTTTTAAATCTTTGCTAAACTAAGTTACAGTTTTCTATTTCTTGAATGACTAATGCCAATTTTATTTCGAATCATGTTACCAGTTATTACTATACTTCTAGCCTAGCATGATACCTTTACTTATTAGGCTATAGCAAATTTTCATGGTTAGCTGCCTTCCCAATATATATCTTTTAGGTACATCTATTAGTGAGACAACACACTGTGGAAGCTTACAAATACAGTGTCTTTATGATGGGGCACATAGTGGGCATTTCAAGGCTCTTTATCCAAGAACAAGTAATTCAATACACATTTCTTGCCTCTAAGACTCTGAGATGGTACATTAATTTATGAAATAAGATTTTCCTTTGAGTGTTTTCTTCTTTTATTTGAGGCTTTATGCCTACTATGAAGTCATTTTAAAAAAGGCCACTAGACAGTTGGAAACATACCTCTAAAGTCTTGTGAAATTGGTTGGATTTTTAAGGAAAAGCTACTAGTCCAATTAGCAGAAACAGAGAGAGAAGACTGTTCCTTCACATTAAAGGATAATTCTGTTGAAAATATTGCTGTAGGACTTGTGTTTTCAGCTTTTCTTTTTTAACAAAAATATTAAAACTTAGTGGGAAAGGAAAAGGGAAGCAGGGATTGAGGAAAAGTCTATTCCTTATGGTTTCTCTTTTGATGACATGAATTAATTTCTACCTTCTGAGCAAGATTCCTGCTTCTGTGCCTTCTCGTCCAAGCTCCACGGGCAACACATCCAGAGACTGAGTAGTCTTGGGCCAAGCTTGCTCTGAGATGCACAATCTACACAGGTTAATCAAAGCCACATTTAAACATTTACCTAAGAATTATTGTAATTCACAGTAATTAGGCTGAATGTTGAGCAATTTATGTAAATAACTGTAATTAGTACTATTTTTATACAGTCCAACCAAATTTTACATATTTTCTTTATTGTGTTAGTCTCCAATATTCCCAATTAGTATTAATATAAATTTGCCTAAATCCCTGTATATTTTAGTTCTTATTTTATTCATATTCTCTCTCTGAATGCCTTCCACTTTAGATGGTAAATTACATTATGTAAATACCTTAGTGTTCTGGTATTAACATCCCAGTAAATACTCAGGAAGGAAGAAGGTTAAAGCCTGGTTGAAGGAGGTTGTGGAAGAGTAAGGATGCTGGGGACAAGATAACCTACTGTTTCTGTTCAGATCGTCTTGCAGTTGGGGAGGTCAATTGATTTTGTCAGTCAAACCCATCCACTTTCAATACCAGCCTTGCTACTAACTAGTTGGGCTGATTGTACTCATCTCTCTGGTCCTGTTTCCTCACCTGTAAAATGGAGGTGATAAGACTTATTGCATAGAGTTCTTGTAATTAATAAATGAGATAGTTTGGAAAAAGTATCAGGGGCTCAGTAGGTATTAGCTCCATTGGGATCCCCCTACCCACATTTTCACTACGTTTATTCAATTTAACCACGTTTACTGAGCACCTACCATGTTCAAGGCACTAATACCACACACTAGAAATATAAAGATATATAAGATTTGGTACCACCTTTCAAGCTGCTAATTGTATATGGGGAAAGCTTGGGTCATAACTGACTTAAAACAATGATAAGAAGCTAGGTCTTCTGTTTGAAAAATGGCATGTGAGGACTATAATGATTTAAATGGCCAGTGTCACATGCAGTGCACTGCAGATAGCAAGAATCAAGGAGGCTCTACTCGATTGGAGCTTCTTATATTTTATTTGTTTTTCTGTCTTAACTATTAATGAGAGCAGATATGTTCAGGAATGAAATTTGGAGTCAATTATGAATCATCTGTGACTCTCCCATCATCTTTCCTTGGTGTAACTGCATTTTCTTTGCTTAAGCTGATATTAAAAGGAAATGAATATTCTCTCTTTTATTCCCTGGGTGGGAATTAGAAATGGGATGAATTTCACAATCTAGTCTTTCTCATGAAGCAGAACAAAAGACAATAGAATAGTTTAAAATTTCTCTAAGATGATCTCTTGCCCTCTCTTCACCCTTGTGGATCTGGTTAAATTCCAGAAGCTGTTCGTGTGGTCGATTTCCTCAGCATCAGGAATCCAGACTAGTCCAAAGGGATGCCCACATTTTTTTAACAGTTGCATAGGGTCATCAATTATCTGAAATAAAGACAGAAAAATCAGAGAGGCTGACAAACAGAAGCCATCGAAATAAAACAGGGGAAACACAGCAAAGAGGCTCAAGCAGAGTTTTGGAACCAACATTCCAAAGATCAAAGGGCCCCAGTGATTAGATAGTTCTCTACCTCCCATTCTCCAACTTTCCCTTTTATTTTTTAAAATAGAAAAGATATCCATATACCCCCCTGAACTAGCATGCAGTTTTTTTTTCATATCAGTATTTGCCAATTTAATTGTCTGTTTACCGATGCAATTGATGTTCCTGGGGCCATTTCAGGAACAGGTGATTCCACATTCTGTCTTCTGGAGCAGACTGACCTGGCTGATAGGCTCACATGGTTACAGTAAATCACTGTTTCCCACATGCTAGCATGGTTCTTATCACACAGAAAGTGCCAACAGGTGTGAGAAGCCAAAGACAGAGCTTTTGTTCTCCCAGTAATTCCCCTTCCATATGACTAACATTTATCTGTGTCTGATGAGAGTTTGGGCTTAGGAAGGGATATGTAAATATTTTTCTGGATTTGAGTCAGAGATGAGAGTAAATTAAACAATATCTCTGGTAATTGACCTCAAAGCTGTCCCTATGCTTCCTCTTACTGATCTATTACTCCTGCCATAATGTTGGGTCTAACATTAGTAAGAATAGTGAGAACCATTGGCCGAAGCATGTCCAGTGTGCAGAAAGACCAGGGACAGCCTAGTCAATTGACCAAGGATCTGTCTACAAAATCTGAACTTGTAATCTTATGCAAGAGAGCATCCCCAAATTATAAATCTTAAAGAAAAGTCCACTCGTTTTCAAACAGCATTTCTGGTGAGACTTTAATTCTGTATCACTGTTATTAAGGCATATGGATCTTCACCTTGAATGTATAATTTTGATTAAATATTGTAGTTGAAAACAAAATAACAACAACAAAATAAGGAAACCAAGAAAACAAAGAAAATTTCTTTTTCTCCAAGAGTGCAAAATGTGCAAACTATTTGAATGGGGAGGGAGGTAGGTGCTCAGAGGTTCCTGCAGATTGTTGATAGCCAGGACAAGTCGGTTCATCCTTCTCTGTAGGTTCTTGACATGCAAGTTTTGTCTGTTGGCTATCAAAAAGCAGGCAGAAGCTTCTCCTCAAAATAAAACAGAAGCCCATCTCAAAACCTGCCAAAGAATTTGGTCATATGAATGACATTTCTAACTCCTTAAGAAGTTCATTCCATTTGACCTAAAATTTTCACCTGTGT
Source organism: Homo sapiens (assembly GCF_000001405.40). Taxonomy (NCBI): domain Eukaryota; kingdom Metazoa; phylum Chordata; class Mammalia; order Primates; family Hominidae; genus Homo; species Homo sapiens. Next base: position 221,668,849 of record NC_000001.11, on the reverse strand, counting down.
GTTTGTATCTCAAGAATATGATTTAATCACAGATGTAGCTAAAAACTTACATGCAAGTCACATTCTTTATAATAAATGAGGCTTGAAATGACTTAAATGTCAAGTGATAGGTGAATATTTAAATAAACCAAAGGAGATCTAGTGAATAGAAGATTATTCAATTATTAAATGCCAGGCTTCAAAGAGTATTCAGCAACAGAGAAAATAGCTCACAACATAATGCTAAATTTAAAAAAACTATTAACACAGTTTAAACATTTTCCCCTTTTTTTCCTCATCTTCTCTTTATGTTTTTCCTCCTCAGAGACATGTCAAAATGTTTACAGTGTTTTCTTTTCATAATTTTTGATTTTTATTTTAAAGATTTTAAATATGAGCATGGATTAAGTTTACAATCACGAGAGACTTTAAAAGAGTCTTTAAAAAAATCTCCCTATATTTACTTATCTATTTTTTTCTGACAACACAGGTCTCTGGGTCAGAAACAGATCATTCACTCAGAGAATCTTAGCAGCACTAGTTCCCCATGTCCCAATTCTTGTTTCGCGGGTAACATAGTGGGAGCCAAATTTACCTACTTGTGCAGCGGTTGCTTCATAGGAGAGAAAACTAATGTTAGTTTTCTCTCCTATGAAGCAACCGCTGCACAAGTAGGTAAATTTGATATTGATTATTGATACTTGATTGATTATTTATGATGCTTGAAGCTTCTATAAGATGGCTGGCACATGTGTCTTACCTGCCCTGAAGGGAGGGGAGAATGAAAGAGATCTTGCTGCTCTGAAATGTAAACAGATCCTCTCTGGGGAGAGGAAAGGAAGGTGTCTCTAGGTTTTTATCACTCTTAGAGTGTAAGCAAATAGTTCTGATGGAGATGGAACTTCAGATCTCTCCAGAGCAATTTACTATTTCTAATTTATAAAGCATGCTTACCATTCAATCCTTCCAACAAGGCTATCAGTAATTTGTATGTCTGACAGTGCGGAGACATGAAACAATTCAAGAAGCACTGTTTCCAAAATCTTCCACTTATAGCCACTATGGAATAACTGATATTAGATTTGCTCTTTTGCTGTAAACAACTAGAATATGGGACAAAGCACATGACACATCATGTTCAGATCTTGAGCAATAGGAACTGCAGGACTGTGACTCATAAGATAAGGGAAACTAACAAGGCAAGTCCCATAATTACCTGAGGTTTCTGCATGGGAACCTTTTCTGAACTAGCATGCACAGTGGGGGAACAAGCAGAGCATAACACTCTCACTGAGTGAGGAGACGTAAAACCAAATTCAGGGAGACCGAGGCAGCTCAAGTTGGAAGGGCTGGGTTGCAGAGAAGAGGGAATTTTTAAGAAAAATAACTCCAAACATTTGCCCAGGAATCCCCTTGAGTCTTTGCCTGAATAAGCTGAGCTTGCATCCAATAAAACTCTATGAGGCCAGGATAAGAAAAACTACTAAAGAGCTGTAAGTTAAATAATTCACAGAGTTCATAGAGAGTAGGAGGATATTCCATTTCCAAACAGCCAGAGTGAAGACAGACATTATTGAATACCTGGAACATTTGTTAGAAACTCCAAAATGGTTGGCCTTGAGAGCAGGGCTTAAGCTAGCCATAGAATAAAGCCTCCTCTGTCCTGTCCTGATAGATCTTAAACACCAATATTGAAAAAAACCAAAGTACTTGCCACATAAAAATTACAGACTCTTTAAATAAAAGTAAATATAGACAAGCGGTTTTTGACAGAGGTACCAAAGTAATTCGATGGGGGAAAGATAGTCTTTTCAATAAATTGTGTGGGAACAGCTGGATACTCATATTGGGAGTGAGTGTGGGAAGGAACTTTAACACTTATTGTAAATACATACAAAATTTAAGTCAAAACAGATTATAGACTTAAACATCAGAACTAAAATTATAACATTTCTAGAAGAAAACAGGACAAAATTGAAAAACTGAACTTCGTAAAAATTAAAAACTTGTTCTTTGGAAAACAGGAAAATAAAAAGGCAAATGTCAAACTGGGAGGCAAAAGTCAACTTGTGAATATTCATCATTCTATAATGAATATAGTGAAATATCTCATAATGAATAATATCTCATGAGAATATCTCATAGTGAAAAAATGAATATCTCATATCCAAAATATATAAATAACTCTTTCAATGCATCAACAAGATAACTCAATATTTACCCAGTAAAAGATGTGAGTGCATATTTCAAAAAAGATATCATCCAAATGGACAACATTGGCTGGGTGCAGTGGCTTACACCTGGAATCCCAGCACTTTGGGAGACCGAGGCAGGAGGATCACTTGATCCCAGGAGTTTGAGACCAGCATGGGCAACATAGGGAGACCCCATCTCTACAAAAAACACAAAAAGTAGCCAGGTGTACAGGCATGCACCTGTAGTCTCAGCTACTTGTGAGGCTGAGCTGGAAGAATCACATGCGTCCAGGGAGGTCGAGGCAGCAGTGAGCCATGGTTGCGCCACTGTACTCCATCCTGGGGGACAGAGTGAGACCTTGGTCTCAAAACAAACAAACAAACAAACAATACAAATGGGCAATCAATCTTTACCTAAAGAGATGTTTTACATTATTTGTTACTCAGAAAAGGCAAATTCAAATCACATTGAAATACCTCTATAAATTCATTAAAATGACTAAAATTAAAAAGACTTACACTCTCAAGTGTTGACATGGATTTGGAACTATTTAGATGTCTCGTATATTGCTGGTGAGAGTGTAAAATAGTGTAAATACTCTGGAAAAAGTTTGGCATTTTCTTATATGGTTAAATATATAGTTACCTTTTGACCTAGTAATTATATTCCTCAGCATTTATATAAGACAAATGAAAATAAATGTCCGCATGAAGACTCGTATATGAGCATTCATAGCAGATTCATTCACAACAGCCCCAAACTGCTAAAAAATAAAGTACTTATTAAATTATGAATGGTAAACAAACTGGGGTATAGTCATACAATGTAGTACTACTCTGCATTGAAAAATGATGAACTATTGATGCACACAAAAACCTGGAGGAATCTCAAAAGCAATATACTGAGAAAAACAGGCTGAATTAAAAAGAGTATATACTGCATGATTCCATTTGTTTGAAATTCTGAGAAAGGTAAAATGAATCTATGTTGACAGAAAGATCAACAATTGCCTGGAGTTGGAATTTGGGGTGGGTGGTTTGAATGTAAAGGGCCACAAGTGAACATTTCGAGGTGATAGAAAGTTCTGAAAGGGGAAGGTGGGGTGGTTACACAGGTCTGAATATTTGTCAAAAACTCATTAAACTCCATAATTGGATGTAACTTATACTGCAATAAATTTTGTTTAGAAATATTAATTAGAAACAAAGTGACATATCCTATAGGTCAAATTGTCTTGCGAGGGCTATAGGATTATCTCATTTACCTTTCAGAGGAGGGATATTAAAGGAAGAATTATTCTCATTCTTCAGTAAAGAAAAAACAAAATCAGACAGCACAATATTTTCTAGTGTCTAATAATACAGGCAACTGTCAAGCACATCCATTCCTGCCTGTTGTTTGATTTCCCACCATGATCGGCCTTTACCTATGCAAGTTTCCCTAAAGTATTGAGCATCTACCTCTTAAAGAAAATTACCATTTGAATTGGTCATATGACACATTAGGCTGTAAATGGAGACATTTCTAATGGTAAAACAAAATAGGGCTAAGAAGCGATTTGACCCTTTCATAGCACATTAATAACTATCCTGTTTCATCTATGGCCAGTTTTAAAATGAGATCACAAAAATCCGCCTATTCTTGTCTCCCAACACTCATTTTTCTTTCCCCTGGGTCATGTTGTTTCCACTCATTCAATTATTTATACATTTATCTATGTCTGAGAGGAAGGTGAAGTAATGCATTTACAGTATCACTCCCCGTTATATGGGGAATAAAAACAAAAACAAAAACAAAAAGACTTTCACACATTTAAAGCACTTAGGGAATTATGGTTGAGGTAGTTGACTTTGTTTATGAATTATCAGAAATGACCATGTCTCATAAAAAAAAAAATCAATCACTGGAGACAGCACTTCTGGAGTACTGAAATAAAGATCTCTTAAAATCTACTCCACAAGAGCAATGAGAACACTGGCAAAAATTCTCAAAATCAACTTTTTCAAAATTTGAAAATTAACCTAAAGATTTCAACAATCTGAGGAGCATCTATTCAAGGAAAACAGGTGAATCTTGTTAAGAAAAGTAAGCTTTGTGGTGCTTCAACCTACTCCATTTGCATTCCCTTCCCCTCAGTTCTGTAGTAGCCAGTTCCGTGATAATCACAGTAGCCATGAAATAGCAGCCTAGCAGCCACTAGATGGGCACAACAGGTTTGGTTTTCCCAAAAAGCCCTGCCCCCATAGAGTATGTCATTATTCAACCTGTCTGGAAGTTTGCTGGAAACCCTACCTCTCATGACTTGTCATTATTTGATTAAACATTTCCCTGAGGCATTTGTCAAATATAATCAGAGATAATTGTTTAACATGGCAGCTGTCTAAGTCAGGGATAATAGTTGGTACCAAAAAAAATAATAATAAAAAATAAAAAATAAAAAAAATTGTTGCTGACCAAAAAGGTTAAAAGAAAAGCTGGGGAATTAGGTTTTCGCAGGGGGTATGTTAGTTTCCTAGGGCGGCTGTAATAAAGGATCACAAACTAGGTGGCTTAAAATAATAGAAATGTATTGTCTCACAATTCTAGAGTCCAGACATCTGAAGTCAAGGTGTTGACAGGGTTTGTCACCTCTGAAGGCAATGAGGAATGATCTATTTCATGCTTGCTCCTTGCTTCTGGTGATTGCCATAATTCTTTTGGTGTTTCCTGGTTTGTGGCTGTATCACTCCAATCTCCACTTTTGTCTTCACATGGACTTCCTCTGTGTACTCCTGTGTCATCACATGGCTTCCTTATAATGACACCATGACACCAGTCATTCAACGTAGGGTCCTCCCTAAGCTGTTGTGGTATCATCTTAACTAATTACATCTGAGAAAAATATATTCCCAAATAAGGTCACATTCTGAGATTCCATGTGGACAAATTTGGGGGGACCATTATTCAACCCAGTACAGAAAGCCTTAAAAGGCTCCTGTGAAAGTAGAAGTCCATGTGCATGTCCAGGAAATATCTAAGAAACCCTTAATGCCTCTTGCTTATCTTGAGGTTCTATACAAATGAGAAGTAAAGGCTATTGCAGAAATGTGATCTGCCTGCCAGATCATTGACAGAGTGCTGTAATACACACACACAGCACTCTGGAGAGGCCAATAGACTGATTGTTTCAAGGAATTTAAGGAAATCTCTGTCTAATCATTAGTTAGCCACAAAGCAAAACAATCAGTGATTCAGTGGCCATGCACAACAATGAATACAAACTTTATGTGATTAATTCAGAAAAGTTACTAAAGAGGACAATATCAGCAATGAACAACAAAACAAACCTTGGGAAGGGAGAGGAATCTAATTTCCTGGGTTGCCACATAATAGTTTTTACAATGTTCGGTTTAAGAAAAAATTGAAACATAAAAGGTATTAGAAAAATATGGACCATACACAAGAAAAGCTGCCAATAGAAACTGTTTGATGTAGCAAACACATTGAACTTTAAGAAAAGAGCTTAAATCAGCTATCATAAATATGTCCAAAGGATTAAAGAAAATGATGTCTAAAAACTAAAGGAAAGTACAGGAATAATGTCTCATCAAATTGAGCTTATCCAGTCTGAAGAATGCAAATCAAAGAGAATTTCAAAAAGGAACAGAGCCTTGGAGATTTGTGAGACATCACCAAGCATACCAACTAAAGAATAATGGAAATCCTAAGAGAGAAGAGAGAGAAAATGGATTAAAAAAAAATCATTGAGGAAAGAATGGGTGAAATCTCAAATTTGATGAAAAACATTAATCTACACACCCAAGAAGCTCAACAAACTCCAAGAAGAAAAACTCAAAGAGATACACACTTAGATATATCATCAGATTGTTAAAAGACGGAGAATTTTAAAAGCAGCAAGGAAAATGAGACTCAGCATGTAAGGGATCTTCTATAAGGCTAACAAGCAATTTCTCCTTAAAACTGATGGAGACCAGAATAAAGTGGTATGATGTATTTGAAGAACTGGAGGAAAAAGACTGCAACCAAAAATTCTATATCTAAAAAAAATAAATAAAATAAAAAAACCTATCTTTCAAAAATGAATGAAGACATATCCATAGAAACAAAAACTAAGAATTCTTCACTAACAGATTTATACTGTATAAAGAAACTAAAGGGAGTTCTGTAGGCTGAAATAAAAGGACACTAGACAGTAACTCAAATCCACATGAAGAAATAAAGAGAACTAGTAAAAATAACTTCTACCTGATTGAAAAGACAGCTACAGAAAGCAACAATCATAAAACCGTGTTGATAGGCTTATAATACATAAAATGTAATTCACATAATTCACATGACAATGATAGCACATTGAAGGGTAGAAGAGAATAGAGCTATATAGAAACCAATTTTTGTATACTACTGAAATTAAATTGCTATTAGATTTTAGTTCTGATTCCCAGGGAAACCACGAAAAAAATGCTTAAAAACATAGTGAATGAAACAATGAAGAAATTAAAATGGTACACTAGAATATTTATTTAACACAAAAGAAGGCAATATTGGAGGAATAGAGAAACAAAAATGGCATATAGAAAACAAATAGCAAAAAGACACATGTAAATTCTACTTTATCAGCAATTACATTAAATGAAGATTGATTAGGCACTCCAATCAAAAGGCAACAATTGGCAGAATGAATGAAAAAATATGATTTAATTATATAATATCCACAAGAGATACATTTTAGATTTACAGACAAATAGGTTGAAAGTAAAAGGATGGAAACATATATACCACATAAACTACAACAAAAATTTGTTAGGAATGGCTTTATGACTATCAGACAAAATAAAATGTAAGAAAAAATTGTTACTAAAGACAAGAATATTTTATAATGATAAAAGGGTATATTCAGCTAGAAGACACGATAATAACAAACAAAAAAAACCACAAAAAATTATGTACACCTCTCAACAGAGCCCAAAATACATGCAGCAACAACTAGAAGTGAAGGGAAAAAGAGATAATTTCACCATAATCATTAGAGACTACAATACTCCACTTTCAAAATGGGTACAATAACCAAGCAGAACATTGACAAGAATATAGAAGACTTGAATGGCACTATAAACCAATGAGATATAAGTTATCTATAAAACACCCACACAACAATAGAAGAATTCATCTTCCTCCCAAATATGCATATGAAATATTCTCCAGGATAGAGCATATGTTAAACCTAATACAAGTTTCAATAAATTTTAATGAATTGAAAGAGTACAAAGTATGTTCTCCAACCACAATGGGAAAAATTAAATATTAATAACAAAAAAATTATGAAACCTATAAACATACAAATCAAGCAACAGTCAACTAATGACTAATGAGTCACAGAGGAAATCAGAAAGAAATTAGAAAATATTTAGACATGAATAAAAAAGAAAACAAAACATATTAAACCTTATGAAGTGTAGCTAAAGCAGTGATTTGAGGAAAATTTTTTTATGGCTGTAAATGCTTATATAAATAAAAGAAGACCCCGTATCAAAAAAAAAAAAAAAAGAAAGAAATCTCAAATCAACAACCTAATGTTTACCTTGAAGAATTAGAAAAAAAAGAGCAAACTAAACCCAGAGCAAGTCAAAAGGAAATAATGAAGATTAGAATGGAAATAAATAAAATGAAGAATAGAAAATCGATAGAAAAAAAGGTTGGTTACTTGAAAAAATCAACAAATTTGATAAACTTTTAGATAGACTAACCACGGAAAAGAGACAGGGCTCAAATTACTAAAATCAGGAATGAAAGGGGACAGCACCATCAACTTTCCAGTAATAGAAAGGATTGTACAAAATGCAATGAACAATCATATTCCAACAAACGAAATAACGTAGATGAAATTGACAAACTCTAGGAAGATACAAACTAATGAATCTGACTTAAGAAGAAACAGAAATCAGAATAGATGTAAATACCAAAAGAAGAGGTTGAAAAATTTACACACTCATACACACACACACACACACACACACACCAGGCCCAGATGGCTACACAGGTAAACTATATAATTATTTAAACAAAAATTAATACAGATATTTCACAAAGTTTTCATAGTTTCATATTTCAAAATAGAAGAGGAAACATTTCTCAACCCATTCTATGAGGCCAGTATTATGCTGATACCAAACCAGACAAAGACATCACAAGAAGATGATAGACTGAAAAAAATATTCCTTATAAATATAGATGCAAAAATCATTAACAAAATACTAGCAAACATAATTCAGCAACATATCAAAAGGATTATACATCACAGCCATGTGAGATTTATATCAGGAATGTAACATGTAAAAATCAATCAATGTAATACACCATATTAATAGAATAAAGAACAAAAGCAATTGATTCTTTCAATAGACACAGAATACGCACTTGACAAAATATAACAACCTTTTATGACAAAACCATTCAACAAATTAGGGATAGAACAGAACTTTATCAATTGAATAGAGAGTATCTATTAAAACCCACTGCTAATATCATATTCAACTGTGAAAGACTAAAAGCTTTTCTTCTAAGATAAGGAAGAAGACAAAGATGTCCACTGTGTGAGGTCATTCTTGTTGCTATGAAGAAATACCTGAGACTGGGCAATCTTTTTTAAAGAAAATAGGTCTAACTTGCTCACAGTTCTGCAGGCTGTACAGGAAGCATGGGGCTGGCATCTCTCAACTTCTGGGAGGCCTCAGGGAGTTTTACTTAAGGCAGAAGGTGAAATGGAAGCAAGAGGAAGGAGATGCCACACATTTTAGCAGCCAGCTCTCCGGAGAACCTACTATCATGAGAACAGCACCAAGCCATGACCCAAACACCTCTCACCAGGCCTTACCTCCAACACTGGGGATCACATTTCAACATGAGATTTGGGTGGGACAAATATCCAAACCATATCATCCATTTCTGTCACTTCTATTCACACTGTACTGGAGGCTGTCAGAGCAATTAGAAAAGTAAAAGAAAGAAAAGGCATCCAGTTTGGAAGGAAGAAATAAAACTATCTCTATTCCCAGATAGCATAATCTTGTATATAGAGTCCTTGGAAATTCACAAAATCATATTAGAACTAATAAACAAGTCCAGCAAGTCTTCAGGATACCCAATCGATATACAAGTATCAATTGCATTTTATGGGTTAGCAAAAAAAATTTGAAAATGAAATTTAAAAAACAATAGCATGTATAAACACACCAAAAAGAATAAAATGCTTAGAAATCAATTCAGTATAAAAGTAAAAATATATTTTGAAAACTACAAAACATTGTTGAAAGATTTAAAAAATCTAAGTAAATGGAAAGACATTTCATATTTATGGATTGGGAAACTTAGTATTGTTAATATAGTAAAACTTCCCAAAGTGAGCTATAGATTTATGAAATCCTTATCAAAATCCCAGCTGAACTCTTATAGAAATCAATAATCTGATCCTAAAATTTATAACAAAATTTAAAAAAAAAACAGAAAAGCTGAAACAATCTTAAAAAAGAACAAAGTTGGAGGATTCACACTTCCTGGTTTCAAAATTTACTACAAAACAGCAGGAATCAAGAGAGTATGAAATTGAATTGAAAGTTTAGAAACAAATCCTCACGTTTATGGTCATTGATTTTTGACAAGGAGGGCAAGACAATTAAATGGAGGGAAATAATGGTCTTTTCAACATATGGTGCTGGGACAACTGTGTATCCACAGGCAAAAAAAAAAAAAAAAAAAAAAAAAGATTCAAAACCTAAATATAAGAGCTAAAACTACAAAATTCTTAGAAGAAAATCCAATCTAAAACCTTGAGTTTGGCCATGTTTCCTTGCATATGACACCAAAAGCTCAAGCAACAACAATAACAACAACAACAAAATAAATTGGACTCTGTCAAAATTAAAAACTGTGTGTTTCAAAGGACAGTAATAAGAAAGTGAAAAGACAACTCACAGAATGAGAGAGAATGTTTGTAAATCATATATATGAAAAAGAACTGGTATTCAGAATATGTAAACAACTCTTGCAACTCAATAATAAAAAGATAAATAACTCAATAAAAAATTGAGCAATTATTTGAGTAGAGATTTCTCCCCAAAAGACATACAAATGGCCAGCAGCACATGAAAAGATCCTCAATTTATTAGTCACTAGGGAAATACAAACCCAAACCACAATGAGCTACTATTTTATATTCACTAAGATGGTATAATAAAAAAGATGGACAATAACAATCAAGAATATGAAGAATTTAGAATCATCATACGTTGTTTAATTTTCTTTCTTTGTTTTGAGACAGGATCTTGTGCTTTCACCTAGGCTGGAGTGCAATAGTGTGAACGTGGTTCACTGCAGCCTCAACCTCCTGAGTTCAAGTGACCCTCCTGCCTCAGCCTCCTGAGGAGCTGTGACCACAGGCAATGGCCACCACACCTGGCTAACATTTTTTTTCTTTTTTTATACAGATGGAGTCTCCCTGTGTTGCCCAGGCTGATTTCAAATTTCTGTGTTCAAGCAATCCTCCTGCCTCAGCCTCCCAAAGTGCTGGGATTATAGGCATGAGCCACTGTGCCCAGCCCTCTTACATTGTTTATGGAAGTGTGAAATGGGGAATCTGCTTTGGAAAACAGCTTTGCAGTTCCTCAAAAGGTTAACCACAGAGTTACCATTTGACCCTGAAATCCTACTACTAAGTATATATTCAAAGGAATTAGAAATAAATGTCTACAAAAAATTTTGGTTACAAATGTTCATAGCATTGTTATTCTTTTTTTTTTTTTTTTTTTTTTGAGACAGAGTCTTGCTCTGTTGCCCAGGCTGGAGTGCAGTGGCACAATCTTGGCTCACTGCAAGCTCCGCCTCCCGGTTTCACGCCATTCTCCTGCCTCAGCCTCCCGAGTAGCTGGGACTACAGGCACCCATCACCACGCCCGGCTAATTTTTTTTTTTTTTTTGTATTTTTTTTTTAGTAGAGACGGGGTTTCACCGTGTTGGCCAGGATGGTCTCGATCTCCTGACCTCGTGATCCGCCCGCCTTGGCCTCCCAAAGTGCTGGGATTACAGGTGTGAGCCACCGCGCCTGGCCAGCATTGCTATTCTTAATAACAAAAAAGTGGCAACAACGTACACGTCCATCAAATGATAATAGATAACCCAAATGTGGTATATCCATACAATGGGATTCAGTCATAAAAATGACTGACATAATGATGCATGCTACAATGTGGATGAACCTTGAAAACATTAAGCCACATGTAAGAAAGTATACACAAAAGACCACATAGTGTATGATTCCACTTACATGAAATACTCAGAATAGACAAATCCATAGAGGCAGAAAAGTAGGAGTGTTTGCCAGGGGGCAGGGGACAAGAGGAATATGGAGTGAATAATTGGTATGGGGTTTCTTTTTGCGATGATAGTAATTTTCTGAAATTAGGTATTGGTGATGGTTGCATGACTTTGTCAACATACTAAACCACTGAATTGTACATTTCAAAAGGATAGATTTTATGATATCTGAATTTATCTCAGTTTTTAAAATGCGAAACTCTGATCCTTCCTCCTGATCTGTGCATGAGAAGACTTTCTTTCTCTTCTAGGGCATATGGAAAAGCAAGATGTCTCCTGTCCTTTTTAGTGTCACCTGTACCTCAAAAAATGAGGAAAGAACAAAGCAAGAAGAAGCCACGTTTCAACTTGCTGCCATTTGAACCTGGAATGAACATGAGAAAATTTATAACAAAATTAGCTCTGCAGTTAACATCTACAAAAAGCAGCCCAGACCAAACACCAGGCCTGTGGTTTACAGGGACGGCCAGTGGTCTTGCCCTCCCTCACTTGTGAGGTTTCAGTGAGTGATGGGAAAACACTTTAGTGAGCTCTTCATCACCTAGGGAGCTTGTTAAAATGCAGATTCTGTCTTAGTAGGCCTGGAACGGGGCCCGAGATTATGCCTTTCTTACAAGCTCCTGGATGGACGATGCTAATCAGCTTTGAGGAGTGAGGTTACAGGCATTATGTAAGCAGGCATTCTATCTATCAAGGAAGCCTCCTGTATTAGTTATTTTTTACATTGCTATAGAGAAATACCTGAGGCTAGGTAATTTATAAAAAAAGATGTTTATTTGGCTCACAGTTTTGCAAGCTATACAGGAAATGTGGTGCCAACATCTCCGTCTGGTGAGGGCCTCAGAAAGCTTGCAGTCACCGTGGAAGTTGAAGGGCGAGCAAGTGAATCACGTGGCAAGAGAGAGAGAAGGGGGAGATCCATCTCTTAAACAACCAGATCTCCTATGAACTAACTGAGCAAGAATTCACTCATCACCAAGAAAATGGCACTAAACCATTCATAAGGGATCTGCGCCCGTGATCCAATCACCTCTCACCAGGCCCCACCTCCACCTAGCACTGGGAATCACATTTCAGCATGAGATTTAGACAGAACAAACATCCAAACCATATCAGCTCCCTAGGAGAGAAGTTTAGACCATGTTTTGAAGGAGGAAAGGACATATTGTTTACCAGGGCGGGCCATAATATTTCCAGTGAAGGATTAAGAAGGTTGAAAGGTAGAAATAAGTAAGGCAGGTGCAAACAAATGATAAGCCGACTGGCTCAGCTCTGCTAGAGAGATGGAGACATAATGGTGGAAAGAAATGAATAGCCAAACAACCTCGGTGGCCCACCTATATCATCTGGCTGTGTCACACTCAGCCAGCAATTCTGAGGCTGTGTTCACTGGTGCACTGTTGGTCTGTAAACTGTTCATAGGTGTCAATCTCGTTGTGCGGTCAAATTAAGAGGAAATTCTGAGGTTAAACACATTTATTTTTAAAATTTTTTAAAATGCTTATCTTTTTCTTCTCGATTCTGGGCACTTGTTTTCTGCTTTTTAAAAAATAGTTTCATGTCACCAGGTACAGGTTTTTTAGAAGTTGCCAAATGACATCTCTTTTTTCTCTCCCTTTGACATGGTGATTTCCAATCCCGACTGTTCATTCAAGTGATCTGAGAGCTTCTTAGAAATATCAATGCCCAGGACTCACCGCTAGACACTTTGATTTAGGGAGCCTGAGTTGGGGCCTGGGAATCAGTGTTTTTAAAAAGCTCTTCAAGTGATTTAAATGAGCAACCGCTGCTCTCTGATCATTATCTCACCTGACTCTACCTGCAGTGGGCAGCCTACAGGAGTAAACACTGAGTGGCCATGGCTTACCTGGTAACAAGAGGCTGCTCAGAGTGTCAAAGGCTGGGACAGTGTCATAAATTATTTATAAACTATTACCTGTGCCTGAGGGATTGTATTTTTTAAGTTAGGATTGTTCAGCAATAGTTAATGGTTGTCTGTGAGATCCCAAGTTAGGCCCCCATTCATAATGAATGTCAGCTCAAGAAACTCACACTTGCAATTTTTAAAGATGGGCGTTGGCAGTTTATAAGATATGACTGAAAAGTAAATGTATCTAAGATTTTAGAGAAGTGGAGGAATCTCCTTTTAAAAAGATTGGATTGGGGGCCAGGCATGGTGGTTCATGCCTGTAATCCCAGCACTTTGGAAGAGCGAGATGGGCAGATCACATGAGACCAGGAGTTTGAGACCAGCCTGGCCAACATGGCAAAACCCATCTCTACCAAAAATACAAAAATTAGCAGGGCGTGGTGGCATGTCTGTAGTCTCAGCTACTTGGGATATTGATATTGATATTTGGGAGGCTGAGGCATGAGAACCGCTTGAGCCCAGGAGGCGGAGGTTGCAGTGAACTGAGATCACATCACTGTACTTCAGCCTGGGTGACAGAGTGAGACCCTCCAATCCAGTCACCTCCCACCAGGCCCCACCTCCAACATTGGGAATCACATTTCAACATGAGATTTAGAGGGGACTAACATTCAAACCATGTCAGTTCCCTAGGAGAGAAGTTTAGAACATGTTTTGAAGGAGGAAGGGACATATTGTTTACCAGGGCAGGCCATAATATTCCCGGTGAAGGATTAAGAAGGTTGAAAGGTAGAAATCTGTAAGGCAGATGCAAACAAATGATAAGTCGACTGGCTCAGCGCTACTAGAGAGGTGGAGACATAATGGTGGAAAGAAATAAATAGCAAGTCAAAGAACTTCGGTGGCCCACCTATGTCTAAAAATAAATACATACATACATACATACATAAAAATGTGTTAAAAAGATTGGATTGGTTGCTTTGAATCAACCTGGAGAGAAACTTAGTCTTAATAGCGATGAGCAGTTTGGCAAGAATCAGAGAAGCCAGACATCAATGCAGACCACAGATAGTTTTGATGGCAAAGAGCCTTCATCAGGAGCTTTATTTCATGTTTCTATTTTATTTTTTAAAGTCAACTCTTCTTTTTTTTAAAAAAAGTTATTGAAGTGTAATTTACCTGTAATAAGAGAGGCTTGTTTTAAGAGTACAATTCCGGCCGGGCGCGGTGGCTCACACCTGTAATCCCAACACTTTGGGAGGCTGAGGCAGGCGGATCACGAGGTCAGGAGATCGAGACCATCCTGGCCAACACGGTGAAACCCTGTCTCTACTAAAAATACAAAAAAGTAGCCGGGCGTGGTGGCAGGCGCCTGTGGTCCCAGCTACTCGGGAGGCTGAAGCAGGAGAATGGCTTGAACCCAGGAGGTGGAGCTTGCAGTGAGCCAAGATTGTGCCACTGCACTCCAGCCTGGGCGACAGAGAGAGACTCCATCTCAAAATAAATAAATAAATAAATAAATAAATGTACAGTTCCATAAGTGAGATGTGTCTCTCTGTGTAACCATCATCCCAGTCAAGATATAGAACATTTCCATCACCCCAAAAGGTACCCCTGTGAACTCTGCAATGACTTCCTCCCCAGGCCTGCCCTAGGTAACTACACTGGCCTTATTTCATATAGATGAAACATAAAATATGTACAAACATATATGTGGCTCCTTCACTCTGGATAATATTGTTGAGATTCATTCATGTTATTGCAGGAATTAAGTTCACTTTTTAAAAAAAGTTATTGAATAGAATTACGGCTGCACCACAGGTTTTTTTTTTTTTTAATCCATTCACCTAGTGACCAACATTTGGGTTAATTTCAGTGGAGCTATTATCAATAAAGCTGTATGAAGATTTATTTACAAGTTGTTTCTTTCATGTAAATAATTGAAAGTGAAGTTGCTAGGACACATGCTAAGTGGGGCACATAGTAAATTTATAAGAAATTGTCAAATTGTTTCCCAAAGTGGTTGTAACATTTTATACTCCCACTAACAGTGGATAAGAGCTGCAGTTGTTAAATATCCTTGTCAACTCTTGTATTGTCAGTCTTCTTAATTTTAGCCATTCTAGCTGATTTGCAGTGGTATCTGATAGTGATGAGATACCATTACAAATATGGTATTCATTTCCCTGATGGCTAAAAGCTAAACAAATATCAGCCCCTATCTGAAATCATATATAAAAATTAACTGTAAATGAAATATAGGTATAAACATAAAAAGAAAAACTATATAATACTATTACAAAAAACATAAGAAAATCTTTGTGACTTTTGGGAATAGGCAAATACTTCTTAGACAACTCATAAATAGTACTTGAACATGAAAAAGAAAAAGTGATTATTTAAATTTCATCAAAATTTAAATAATCTGCCCTTCAAAAGGCAGCATTAATAAAATTAAAAGTCAAGTCACAGACCAGGAGACAATATTTTCAATGAGTACCTTTAATAAATAGTTGTGTCCAGAATATACAAACAATTCATACAACTCAAAAACAAACCCACTTAACGAAAAAGGGGGCAAAAAATTTAATAGATACTTTAAATTTATTTTTATTATACATAATCTCACAAAGTGCATAAATGTGATCATACACACTTCTTTTTTTTTTTTTTTTTTTGAGACAGACTTTCACTCTGTCACCCAGCCTGGAGTACAGTGACACGATCTCGGCTCACTGTAACCTCCACCTCCTGAGTTCAAGTGATTCTCCTGCCTCAGCCTCCCTAGTAGCTGGGATTACAGGCTCCCACCATCGCACCCGACTAATTTTTATATTTTTAGTAGAGATGGTGTTTCGCCATGTTGGCCAGACTGGTCTCGAACTCCTGACCTCAGATGATCCGCCTGCTTCGGCCTCCCAAAGTGCTAGGATTACAGGTATGAACCACCACATCCGGCTGATCATATACACTTCTAATAATAGTATTTATTTTTCCAATTTTTTACTTGGTTTTCACTTTGTTTTCCTTATCCTACTTGCATCGGTACCCAGCCCAATCCCCTGGGTACCCATGGTAACAAGCTAGAAGTGTTTCTCTAGTAATTTAATCATATCAAGGCACATACACACACACACACACACACACACACACACACACACACACACAGTTTTTGTCCAATTTTACCAAAATTAGAATATTATATTTATATTTCTGTTTGCATATTTAAAATTTTTTTAATAAGTTATCTTTACTAACATTGATCCAAGTCAACTGTCGTGATTCTAATTTTTTATTTTCATAGCAGCATACTATTCTGTCATGTGTATTTACCACAAATTATTCAGCAATTTCCTTTTCTTTCACTTTTTTCCACTTCAAAAAATGGGGCAATAAGTGTCCTTGCACATATCCTTACTTCTTGGTATTTTTTGGTTTTAGGAGTGGAATTCCTGCCAACTTGCTTTCCATATAAAAGTTGTGCTCTTTCCCATACCCCAACCAGTGATGTGGATAGGGGAAGAGGCAGTACATTCTTGTCCTTAGGTGCAGACAATCAGGTGCCAGACTGCCTGAATTCAATTCCTAGCTCCGTAACTTATTAGATGTGCCCCCTCGTGCCTCAAATTCCACATCTGCAAAATGGTAATAACAACCCTTACTTCATAGGGGCGTAGGGAAGGTCAAATGAATTCACCTGCAGAGCAATTCATGCTTGGCACATAAGTGCTGTGGAATTGTTACCTATACCCATTGTTCATTTCACAAATGTCGAGCAAGCACCTATTTTTTTCAGAATCTATTTTAGACTCCAGGGATACAGCAATGAATAAAAATATTACTCTCCCAGTGGAGCTTTCATTCTGGTGGAAAAATCTACTACAGCATTTACAGTTTAAAAATAATTTGTTTTTCTGGTAGACATAAAGTGATATCTTATTATTTGTTTTGATTTGCATTTTCCTGACTAGACGTACATTTGATCATCTTTTCACTTATAAATATGATACCTCTTTTTTTGTTTTGTTTTGTTTTTCAGACAAGGTCTAGCTCTATGGGCCAGGCTGGAGTGCAGTGGCACCATCTCGGCTCAATGCAACATCTACCTCCTGGGCTCAAACCATCCTTCCACCTCAGCCTCTGGAGAAGCTGGGATTACAGGTGCACACCACCATGCCAAGCTAATTTTCATATTTTTCGAAGAGACAGGGTTTCACCATGTTGCCCAGGCTGGTCTCGAATTTGGGAGCTCAGGTAATCCTCCTGCCTCAGTCTCCCAAAGTACTAGGATTGCAGGCATGAGCCACCCCACCTGGCCTAAATTTGACACTTCTATTTGCATCACTTGGGTTATCTATTTATGTATTTTTGCCCACATTTAAATTTTTTAACCATTTTTGTTTAGTATAAAACTGAATACTTTTCTGTGTGTTACAAATCCTTCCTCAAATCTATAACTTGTCTATTGACTTTGTATATGGCATCGTTTATCATCTGATTGTTTTTCATTCTGATATAGTATTTAACTATTTCCATTATCATTTTACGGCTTTTAGACTATAAGATTAGGTTAGGTTCCATTGTACCTGTAGTTTCTGAAATATTTCTGGCAAAAATTTTATTGTTTAGGCTTCAATGTTGAAAGAAAAAATTTTAAAGAATTATTGTTTATCTTTTCACAGGTAGATCTTTATCTGAAATTGATGTTTGAATATGGTGTTACATGGGGTTTCATTTTTCTCTTCTAAATGAGGAGTCAGTTATTCTGACCCTATTTCTTAAAAATTCCATTACTTTTCCATCTAAATAAAATGAATATTTAACATATATACCATATATCGCACTTCTGAATGATTTATTCTATTTATAAATCTGTGTGTTCCTATACCAATACCACTTTGACCTGATTATACTTACTTTTGGGGGTTGTTGATATCTAATGAGGCAAGTCGTGTTCCCTTGCTGTTCTTCACTTGCCTTGGTGCTCCTTGGAAATGTATTCTTCCATATTGACTTTAGAATAATTTTCTCTAATTTAGGCCAGGCATGGTGGCTCACACCTGTAATCCCAGCACTTTGGGAGCCTGAGGTAGGAGGATCATTTGAGCCCAGGAGTTCCAGATCAGCCTGGGCAACATGGTGAAATCCTGTCTCTACAAAAAATACAAAGAGTTAGCCAGGCGTGGTGGTGCATAACTGTAGCCTGTAGTCCCAGCTACTCAGGAGGCTAAGATGGGAGGATGGCTTGAGCCTGGGAGGTTGAGGCTGCAGTGAGCCAAACTTGTGCCATTGCACTCCATCCTGGGTAACAGAGTGAAACCCTATCCCCCCACCCCCCAAAAAAGAATAATATTCTCTAGTTTTAGAAAGCAGGAATTCTAATTGGAGTTGAATAAATTGATATATTAATTTTAATATAATTGATATTGTCTTTTTCTTTAAGAACATGGTATGCCCTTTCTTTTATTAAGATGTTATTTTTATATTTTTAATAACATTTTATAGCTCTTTCCATATGGGTACTGTGCCTTCCTTGTTACATTTATTTCTAAGCATTTTATGGATTTTACAATGAACTAAATTTCACATTGCTGTTTCTAGATGTTACTGTTAAATGAAATAAAATTTCGTAGTGTTTTTATTTCATCTTGTACCCAGTAACTTTTCCAAAATTATTCTAGTATTTTTTATCATAGTATTTTGAGTTTTGATGGGTAAAAGGAGAAATAACTTTCTTCTTTCTCATGTGTTCATATCAGTTATTTTATGTTGTTGCCTTATTGTATGTGTGAAAACCTCCAAGGAAATATAAAAAATAATGATGATAACAACCACCTCTGTCCAGTTCCTTTTGTAAATTAAAACCGCCCTACTATTTTGCTATTTATTATCATGCTATATCATTATCAAGTATATGGTATTTGTTATATTTAAATATTTCTTTTTATTCTTCATTTATATAATGTTTTAGTAAGAATGGCTCTGGCATTTCAAATTCCTTTTCAGAATCAATGAGTATGATTTTTCTACCATAACATATTGGAGAGTGGTTTATACTTACATGTTTTTTGGTATTAATTTTTCTGGCTTTCCTGAGATAAATCCTGCTTAATCACAACACGGGATTTTTAGTTACAAGTCTAAGTAAGTTTCTTTACCAGAACTTCTCAGAAACTTTCATAAGCTAATTATCTTTCCACCCTTAAGAGGGAAATTGAATAGAATTCCTCTTAAATAATTTAAAAACCACTTTATTGATGTGTGATTGACATGTAAAAAGCTGCACGTATTTAATATATTAACAAGTTGATGAGTTTGGGAATAAGAATATACCCATGAAATGAATCACCACCATCAAGGCTATGAACGTTATCTAACACCTTCCAAAGTTTCTTCCCATCCATTTTGTTGTTATTGTGTGTGTGAGGAAAGTGTAAGAACACTTAACATAAGATCTACCCTCTTAGTAAAATTTAAGCACATATTACACTACTGTCACCTATAGGCACTATGCCATATAGTAGATCTTCAGAACATATTTATCTTCTATAATTAAAACTTCACACGCTTTGACTGAAGTGAGTTTTATTTCAGATTCCCTTTCTTTCTCATGCAGAATCTGCTAACATCCCCAAGAGGTTCAGGAAATGCAACACTAAGAAATACTGTTGTTACTGGTAGTTGCATCTGTATGTAGTATAAATGACATCCTAGTCCTTAGCTTTTTCACAGGTAAAGGATAATGATCTAGAGAGAATCTCTCATGTCCCATTCATAGTACAACCATTCCAGTCTCCCAGAGTTGTTTCTACAAATGTCTTTCTCTCTTAACTCAATAGGCTCTGGGTAGCAAAGTCAACTTAATTTCAATAAGAATAGATTATAATTATTCATCTTCTAGTAATACCTATAGAATAAACTGTATATCTTTTTAAGATTAATATTTTAGAGCACATTTTACAGAGGAAGCATAAGGTATTAAGTAACTTTTTTTTTTCCCGAGGTCACATAGTTAAGAAACCAATGAGTCACACATTGAATCTGGTCCACACCTTTGACACCTTACCACATGGCTTTCATACTATAGCTTAAAGGAAGGGAGACCCATCAGTCCTAATAGGAAAAGCAGGGAAAAACTAGTAAGTAAATCCTCAAAAACTCATTTCATCTAACTGACTTGGTCATTACCACTCCCATGTGTCCCAACACCCACCTGCTTAAATCACCAAATGGTTGTTCCCACTGGATGGTTACCAGCTACCCCTTCTCACCCACCAGGGCCACACCAAACAGATAGTACTATGGGCTCTGGAGTTCAGTGCCAGCCATGGACAAGTTACGTAATCTTTACTTATCGTTTGACTGTGCATAAGTCATTTAATCTTTTAATGACTTTGTTTCCTCATCTACACCATGGGTACAATAATAACACAATCCTCATAGATTTTGTATGGATTGAGTGACGTAGCACTTAATAGCTTAAAACAGGGTCCATAACATAGTAATTGCTCAGTGTAAGTTAGTCATTGTCATTATCACTATATTTAGCTCTATTCTAATAGAGGAATGGCCAACAGTCAAATAGTGATAGTTAGGAATTAAGTTCTCCCTCCTCACACTGCACTCTTATCCAGGACTTTGTTCCTTCAATCATTTGTCATGTAACAGGATTTTGAGTTTTTTTCCTCTTTCCAGTTTGCCAGTAATTCTTTTAAAGTTACTGGATTTGATGTTGCCAGCCAAAAGACAGTAAAGCAAAATCAATATACTCCTCATTACAGAGCCTACCTTTATAGAGGCTCAAGGAACATTAGTTTTCATGGCAACCACATCACTCTGCATATAAGTGATCCTCAACAGAGAAGTGAGAGAGACATGTCAGCATGTTGGTATGGCATGTGCAGTCTGAAATGGCATGAGAATATTAAACATTCTCAATATGGTAATTATGAAGAATTTTTAAATCTGCTATATAAACTTAGAATATAAAGCTCATTAGAAGCTTCCTGGCTGTGTGATATGCTGACTCTTCAACTATACCCAAAGGCAGATGCCTACTTCAGTTGTGCCTAAAAACAGTCTTGCTTTTGTTTCACATATTTGACTGCTAGCTAGCAAGCAAAAAGTTCAAAGTGGTGCAAAGGATAGAAATCTACTATTCATGACTGCCACAGTGTTGAATGTGCCCCCAAATTTCGTGTGTTGAAAACTTAATCTCCAAATTCATATGCTGATGGTATTTGGAGGTGAGGCCTTTAGGAGGTAATTAGGATTAGAGTAGGTCATCAGGACAGGGCCCCCATGATGGGACTCATGGCTTTATAAGAGGAGGAAGTGAGACCTACACTGGTACACCATTGCTGTCTTGCCATGTGATGCCCTCTGCCATGTTACGAGGCAGCAAGAAGGGCCTCCCCAGATGCTAGTGCCATGCTCTTGGACTTCCCAGTCTTCAGAACTGTAAGAAATACATTTCTTTATAAAGTATCCAGTCTGTGGTATTCTATTATAACAACAGAAAACAGACTAAAACACCAGGCTTCATGATTTGACCACATACACATTTCTAATCTGATGTGAGGTGGTAATATTCAATTTGTTGGTAAATTAAAAATTCAGTTAATCCAGCTGGTTATTCCATTGAGGCAACTAGTTGGACAGATTTTTTTGTCCAATGTACTAAATTAACTGAGGTTATTAAGCCTTGGGTTTATATAAGCTGCATATCCTATATTTATTTGTTCTAAGTTTGGTTTCTTCATAGCCCTTTGGGATTATTGGAAAACGTTTAAACTGTGAAGTTTAGGGATTAGTTTCAATAGTTGCTTGGATTCATTAGCATACAAAAAGAAAGATAATAGAAAATAAAATAAATTAAATTAAGATTTTTAATGTAATGCCCCTCCCCTGACTCCAACAAATAGAGTAAACTCTTAGATATTACAAATAGGAGAACTGTAACAATAGTGCCCATTTATTGAATGACTGCCTTGTGCCAGGTATATTTTGGTATGTCATTTTACTTAATGGTCCATCGTTTCTATGAACAAATGTTGAATTCCATGTTATTTTCTAGGAAATCAAGGCTCAGAAAATGTCAGTTTCTTCCTCAATGACTCATGACTGGTAATTAGCAGAGTTGGATTCATATCCACATCTGTCTCCCTCTAAAGTTCTTATGCTAATCTGTCTCTTCCATGATAAAATAATATACCATTAAAGAGAAAAAATTCATAAATAACTAGAATAGCACCAACTCATGAGCTATAAAAATGTTATATTTAAAAATAATTCTGTGCAAAGTTAATTATTGCTTTTTGATAGAATTATAAGATTAATGCACAAGGGAGACAGTGGATACAATACATCTTTATATGGAAATGGTGATTTCTTTCATTTGTCATGTTGTACAATTTTTCAGCTGGTCTAGATTAGCTTTTTTAGCATTTCCAGAAAGCTCTTATTGTTGACAGAAGGAAAATCCAATTGCCTTAAGTGTCTTTTGCAGGAAGATAACTGCAGACTGGGCTAGCTGTTCTCTAGGCAGGTTTCTGTTGCTTCTGGCATCGAGGTCTGGGAGAGCATCTGAGCCATAGAAGGGAACCCTGCATAGCCTCTGCTCCAGCCGAGTCCTCACCCTCTTTACATGCTCATTCCTGAGGGCCTGAAATCCCCACTCTCTCCTCTTCTTTGTATCCCCAGCTCACACTTTAAGATCTGGTTCAAGTGTATTTTTCCCCATAAGGAATTGCTCAAAAATAATCACATTAAGTCTCTTTTATCCAAATTATTCAAGCATATATTGCTAAAATCATTTAGTCATTTGCTATCCTCTATTGTCCTTAACATGATAAGTCTTGACTCTATAATAAGACCTAGAGGGTCCTAAGAGCAAACAATCTTCAGAAACCCACTGAGCTTGAGGAAAGTTCTTCATAAACACTGCAGTTATTTACTTGAACCCTTGCTTATTCAGAAATAAATTAAGACCTGGCCTGAAAGAAGCTCTGAAAGTTTGAGGAAATCAATGCCTCTTTTATTAACTAAAATGTGGTGAGGGTTATAGCCAAAGCACTGGGAGATTCTTGTAGTCCTTTCTGGAAATGCATCAGTGTCCCCAGTAGACCAGGGGTTTCAAATCAGACTACGCGGGTCTCCTGACCTCAGCTTTCCCCAAGGTTTTGATTCAGGTGCAGTGTGCTCTGCCTCTATTTAGAACCACAGTTCAAAATGCAGCAGATCGTCTCTCAGTTTTACAAACCTCCATTCATAGATGGGCTAGAATATTTCCAGAGGTCTTGTAGTGAAAGGATATGCCCTCTGAAAGAAACAGAGCAGTGCAATTGCCATCACACTGTGGTGAGGAAAGAAATGCAAGCAGTGTTAGGCCTTCCAGGAACAGGTGTGTTACTCATCTTTAAGTCAGTGAGATAAAGTGTGGCTGCTACATGCTTAGTAGGGGCTGCTATTTAACACGGCTTCTGAAGGAAACCTTTTTCCTCCCTCCTTGTCACTGGAATCATGCAGTGATGTCTACTGCAAAGGGCAGGCTGTCTTGAAATCTGGAAAGCAGCTCACAGGAAATTGCTGTAATTAGGTGCTGTTTGGTAGAGAACTGTGCAAATCATAGCATGTCATTTTCAGGTTTAGCATTGCAATGTCCTGGAAGATTGTGAGTGAAAAAAATATCCTAGTGTTGTAGACATCCCTTGCTTTGCTTTCAGCTTCTGTGAAAAAATGGTTGTATGACTTTGGTGAACTTGCCCTCCTTGTCTAAGAAGGAATCCTGCCCATCTCTGCATGAATAGAGAGGTAGAAGTCAGTGAGGAAAATCTTCAGCCTGTCTGAGCCATGATTTCTGCTGGGCTTATTTTTGACTTTCAATGTGTCAGATACTGTAGTTTCCCAATAAAGAGTTGCTGTTTGATATGCTGATTGACTTTCTGGCTTTTAAAATGGACTTGAAATACTGTAAACAATAGGCACTCCTCTCCTTAAAAGTCAATCTGAAAAGGCCTGCCTAATTTGGAGGTATCCTATGGCTTGGCAGCAAATAATGGAATAAGCATAGCTGGAGCAAGAACGGAACTGGGGAGTCCGAGGTTCATGGGGACTCCCGGATGGAAAGGCAGGCCTGTGACCCACTGGGGAGGACAAGAAGCAAGGTTGTTGAGAATGTCCTCCTCCCTCAAATTTGGAAACAAGTTTGAAATCCATTTCCAACCCACTCAAATCACAGAAATAGGCTGGAAAGGACCAAATGAAATGAGATAATCAAATCCATCCTACAGCCAACAAAGGACACCATCCAAAATGCAAGAACAAATAAAATAAAAACCTTCTGGCAGAGCTAAAAGAAAAAGAACTGCAATTCAAAAGGGAACTGAAATTACTTTTAATAGATCTTGGTAAAGCTGCTGAGAGACCTCAATCTCTCAACTCTACATATTATTTATTGATTGGGCTGGAGCCCTTGCTGAATCTTGAGTGCTTTATAGATTTATACAAATTTTGGATTGCAGAATGCAGCCCAGGAAAAAGAAATCTTTTCTTTGGAGTCATTTCTTCTGCAGCAAGATGGTTTTGTTGTTTTTCTCATGCCTCAATTTTCTCGTCTGAGAAATGGGGAGAAGCACACAGCCATTTCTTGTCTCTTTCTCAGAACCACCTTTACTAGGCAGCCATGGTTCAGTAATTAGGACTTTTGATCTCTCAGGTTTAATTATCAATTCCTTTAAGCAAATTTTACCTTAATACATTTTACTTGTGGTTTATAAGTCCATAAATCTGCTAAAAGAGAGATTCTAAGTATTCTTGAACTCTACTGAATTAGCCTATGACTGCATAGACAACCCAGGTGTTTCTGAATTAGACTAGTTGGCCTGTTAAATGTCCTTGGCCAATTAATTATGTAAAATCAGAACTTGGGTTCTAGTCTTGGCTCTATCACTAGCTTGTTATAGTGTCTGTAACCAGTCAATGTATTTATTTATTTATTTATTTATTTCATCTGTAAACTGAGAGGATTGGATGAGGCACCTCTTTCTGTTCCTTCAAGTTCTTACAGTCTATATTATTATAATTTTGAGATTTGTGACATTGCTTCTCTTGCAAGAAGCATAAAATTTTGGCTTTAGAGACACACACAAAAAAAGGTATATTTCTCTCACTCCATTAAGAATTCCTTCTTGCCAAATTACTGACATAGTAAATTGAGGTTACAGTATTCAGTGTCTCTCCTTGGCCGGCACAAGATGGTAGTCAATCCTAGCTCTGTGAAATAGAACATTCTCTTTTTCTTTTCTTTTCTTTTCTTTTCTTTTCTTTTCTTTTCTTTTCTTTTCTTTTCTTTTCTTTTCATTTTTTTTTTTTTAGACGGAGTCTTGGTCTGTTGCCCAGGCTGGAGTGCAGTGGCGCGATCTCGGCTCACTGCAAGCTCTGCCTCCTGGGTTCACACCATTCTCCTGCCATAGCCTCCTGAGTAGCTGGGACTACAGGTGCATGCTACCACATCCAGCTAATTTTTCATATTTTTACTAGAGACGGGGTTTCACCATATTGGCCAGGATGGTCTCGATCTCCTGACCTTGTGATCTGCCTGCCTCAGCCTCCCAAAGTGCTGAGATTACAGGCGTAAGCCACTGCGCCCAGCCAGAACATTCTCTTTAAAACAAAGATAACACCAGTAATCTAAATAATAAAATAAATTTTTAAAATATGAAAGTTTTTTGTTTACATCTATTGTTAAGTAAGCAAAATTTCTATTTAAGGCTAAAGCAAGAATATATTTTACAAAGTAGCCAATGTCTGTCTGTCTGTCTGTCTATCTATCTGTGTCTCTTCACACCATGCCTCCTGCCTCTAATTATGAATCTTCAATCTTGTGTTGAATATACACATTTCCAACTTAAAAAATTAATCATCCACTCTTGAATATTTTTTAATGCACATCTCAAGTATTTCCTATTAATGTAAGAGCTTCAATTTAACCCTGAACCAAAGACTGAGCTATATTTATTTTGTTTTTTCTTAATTTATTTAGTGATGATGGGGAGAAGGTATAATCTCTGGCATTTGTTTAAAAACAAGAAGACCTAAGATAAGATGTCACCGAATAATCATACTTCTTCATTTTGTATAGATGTTACAATTTTTTTTCCAAAAATCTAGTTAAATGAGCTGATGCCCAAAGAGACCTTGCTGAGAAGAAATGCAATGCTACATTTGCCATTGCTATTTTAACAACTCACTATGGCACAGAATTGGAGGAAATGGCAGTGAGGGAGACAAGCGAGGTCTAGGCAGCATGGAATGTGGAGAAGGCCACAGCACTACAGAGGGGCTCTGAGGGAACACACCTGCATGATGGATAAAGCAAGCAATATGAAGAAAAAAATGTTTATGATTTTTGGCAGTGAATCCTGCCAACTAAGCTCATGAAAATTTTTGGCAAATCAAGCCGCCACTCAGTCTATGTATTGAGGTCTTCCACATGCTCAGCATTCTGCAGGACAATCTTGCAGCTACAAAACTCTTATTTTCAACTCAAAAATACTTCTTCAATGTCCAATAAGCACTACGCTCTGTACTTGCACAGGAGACAAAAAGAGGAATAAAATCAGAAGTAGGAAGACCCTCCAGCAGTGTGATTTAGGCCGTACTGCTACTGAGGGACTCTACTACCAAGAAGATCTCTATACAGTTTCCAACGTCTCACCCAGTCCTATTTAAAGGGTGTGGCCAAACTGACATATCCTTTGCCATGTAGAAGCTCCTGTTCAAACAGAATTTTTTCTTTCTCCAAATGGGTTTATCATCTTCTATATTCTCCTATACTTTTGCTGTGCTGTTTGGCTTGTAATGCCTGTTCCTTATTTCTCCTCCTGAAACACTCCTACTTATCTACTTACTCTTTTTTTTTTTTTCTTGACACAGCATTTTGCTCTTGTTGCCCAAGCTGGAGTGCAACGGTGCGATCTCATCTCATTGCAACCTCTGCCTCCTGCGTTCAAGCAAGCAATTCTCCTGCCTCAGTCTCTCGAGTAGCTGGGATTACAGGTGTGTGCCACAATGCCCAGCTAATTTTTTGTATTTTTTTTAGTAGAAACAGGGTTTCACCATGTTAGCCAGGCTGGTCTCGAACTCCTGACCTCAGGTGATCTGCCCCCCTTGGCCTCCCAAAGTGCTGGGATTACAGGTGTGAGCCACCATGCCTGCCACTCCTACTTATTCTTTAAGAAACCTGCCCATCTTTTCCAGATGACATTTAGTCAGTTCTCTATCACTACTAAGTGATGGTTTATTTATTTATTTATTTATTTATTTTTGTGAATGTCTAATAACATCCTTCAGGAACATTTCATTCTCAGGTATTGTCTTATGGCTTTTAGCTAAGTATTATAGTAAATTTGGTTAATGACAATTATGCAAAGCATTATAAAACAGTGATTGCTGCTTTGGTGTCCTGTGCTCATTATCTTAATCTCTTTATCACCTTTAGCATTTTCGGTATAATTTAAAGATGTCAAAGAATGCTGATGTTTTATCAGTATTTCTTATATGATCAAACTCATGATTTTTTTTTTCTCTATTGAATAATTGTATATAACTAGATTTAAGCAGCCTCTGTTCAAAATCGGCTTGAATTTTTGGTCAAATTGATATGTGATGCTTTGACAATAGTCCTGCATTATGCATGGGTGAGACATACCAGCTCTTATTCCTTTGAAATTTCTTCTGTCTGTTCCAAGGGAGTTGGCATTTTCTTCTTCCTTCAGTTGCATTGCTTAGTATGTAATGGACAATCCTTTCTCATGCATTGCAGGAACAAAATGTAACACAACTTCGTCTACTTGGTTATGTATTCTTTTCTTAGGTCAAGCAAAGCCTTTGGTAGCTGCTTTGCAAGAAAATATGAAACTGTAGTACCCTTTCTAAGGTGGAAGTGTACATCACTAGTACCTTTTCTAAGGGGGAAGTGTACATCACTAATATAAACGTGTGCCCTGCTGATCTATTTCTATGTATTTCTGCACCCACAATAACTTAATTTTGATGCCAAATTATAGAGAAAACTTTTTGAAGGTATTTTAAATGGCAATTACCAACAATACTTGCATGTCAAGTGAAGCAAAAGTATGAACAGAGATAACTGAGTTTGTGCAATAGCAACTACATGACAATTACTTCCTGGCCACGGTGACAGTAAGATACAATTGATACTATTCTTTCAAAATTTCTATCTCAGAGATGTTAAAATGTGAAAAGGGCATCTTAGAATTGGTGAGATGTGGCAAAGATTTACGGAATACAAAGAGAGATTTTCTAACAGGAAAATTCGTAGCTTGAACATTGACATCACAGAACAATAAAGAAGAAAGTAATGTGGCCCACTTAAGAAGTTTAAAAACCATAAAAAGAAAAGAAAATCTAAGGAAAGCCAAGGAAAAATATATGGAGAAATTAATAAATTAGAAACCAAAATAGAATTAATTGTTTTTAATAATTTTATATTTTCTTTTATCCTGTTATCATTTTTTTCTTGGACTTTCTGGACGTAAAATAAGATCATCTGAAAAAAAAATTCTCTCCCTCTCTCTCTCGCTCTCTGTCACTCCAATATCTACGACTTTTATTTAGTTTTACCAACCAATTGCATTGGCTAGCATGCTGTGGACTTTTGGTTTAAGATGCATATATTTTAATCACGTTCATCTATCCTATTTTGCTAAGAATTTGTTTAAAAACCTGGATTTGGAATTAAATCAAATGTTATTTTATTTAATCATTATTGAAATGATTACATTGTTCTTCCCTTTGATCTAGTCATATAACACATATAATTAACTTCCTAATAATGCAACATCCTTATATTCAGGAGCTTAACTGCATTTGTGATTTCTTATCAATTTAGCAAACCACAGCTGAACACATTTCATTTATGAAGAAAAATATTCAACTTTAACAGAGTATGTCTGAACACATTCAACTTGCTTGTGCCTGGGATGGCTACGGTCTTGGGGCTCTGGGTTCTTGTATTTTTTCTACATCAATCTCAAAACTCCCACAATAGAGAGATTAGCTCTATTTTGTAGGAAAATGTATGGTAAAGCTACAGTAGTGAAAATAATAAGGTACTGGCAGAAAACTAGACAGAGCAATAGGACAGTCTAGAAATAGATCCAAATAAATATGGCAATTTCATATCATTTTTTAAAATAACTATTTAAGTAAATAAGGTAAAGATGGAGATAATTTTAAATTATCTTCCAAGAAGTAGCATTTTCTATTTCTCCGAAATTTCCATTTACTTCTGTGAACCTTGTCCCATGGTGTTGGCAGCATGGTTGACTATGGCAGATGGGATTTCCCAAGGCTATGGAACTATGAAGAGTGAGAGAGGGAAGGCAGTTTCCCTTGTTCTATGCATTCTTCATCTCTATTGTTATACATACCTCTTAGGAAACATCTCTTTTGGGGGACATCATGACAACATCAAAAGACAAGAATGTTTGATATGGTTTGGCTGTGTCCCCACTCAAATCACATCTTGAGTTGTAATTCCCACAATTCCCATGTGTCATGGGAGGGATCGAGTGGGAGGTAATTGAATCATGGGGCAGGGGTTTCTTATGCTGTTCTCATGGTAGTGAGTAAGTCTCACAAGATCTGATGGTTTTATAAAGAGGAATTCCCCTTCACCAGCTGTCTCTTTGCCTACCGCCATCCATGTAAGACATGACTTGTTTCTCCTTACCTTCTGCCATGTTTGTGAGGCCTCTATAGCCATGTGGAACTGTAAGTCCATTAAGCCTCTTTTGCTTCCCAGTCTTGGGTATGTCTTTATCAGCAGTGTGAAAATGGACTAATACAATGTTCCTTTTCTTTTTCATGGAAAGATGAAAGAATGTATAGATTTTACGGCCATATGTTTACCATGTCAAGCATTTACTTGTGTTCTTTCCCAGGAGATACATTATGTCTTTTCAACAAGAGATTTAAAAATATGTAATACCTGCAAAATCCCTTTGAAAGGTTTTTTTTTTTAATCTAAAAATTTGCTGTTTTGTAGTGTTTCTATTAAAGTAGTTTTTAAAAAACACTTTCCCTTCAGAGTTCCAAATAAAAAACAGAGTTTTGGCTAGATATCCTTATTACTAAATCTCTTCAAAATAAGTTGATTTAAAATAATGGTCAGGACACTCCTCCATTCTTTGTGGCAGGGACTTTGCTGCAGGTAGCAGTCACCACTCTCTGTTGT
Organism: Homo sapiens; assembly: GCF_000001405.40. Lineage (NCBI taxonomy): Eukaryota > Metazoa > Chordata > Mammalia > Primates > Hominidae > Homo > Homo sapiens. Next base: position 221,638,178 of record NC_000001.11, on the reverse strand, counting down.
TAACCCCCAAAGATCAAGTGAACTACTCCAGTGAAGGGGATCTAAACTATTCAGATAAGCAGCTCCCTATCTTCAGGCAGAGGAGGGAAGCAGGGCCAGTAATGTCCAGATACTTCCTGGCTCTGGCTATGTGTGGCAATAAGACTCTTTGGGAAGATATTTATTTATTGGTACCAGAGATTCTGAACTCATTGAAATGAAGACAATGTAAGGTCTGTCCAATAGAGGGAGGCATGGTTAATTTTGAAAGAGTCTAGAATGTCTCAGAGGGGAGTGACAGAGCCAGCCTGGAAAAAGCCTGGTGAAGCTGCAGTCCCAGCACCAAGCTGGATGGAGGCTGCAGCAAAACATTCTTGGCAGAGCCTCAAGAAATAACTATGGGTGCTGTCTGCTCCAGAGAGCTGTGGGCAGGATGCTGGGAGTGGTGTGGGCCACATGTTGCTTAGTCTGCTGGCCTCTAGCCGGCCTACATGAATGAAAAACACACCCAAGCCTAGGGGGCGATGGGATGGCTAAGACTTCACTTGGCATGGTGCCTCTCCTTGGGATCAAGCACCTGCTTTCTGAGAGATGGTCCATACAGGCAGCTCCAGAGTATTTGTTTCTGGGAAAGATAAGGCTTATTGTTTTTAGAGTGAAATTTTGTTGTGAACAGATTCCCTGGAGAAATAGTAGGAAGTGGGAAGTAAATCGTTTTGGTTCTAGGCAACAGAAGGGACATTTTTAAAAGAAGCTGTATTGTCCAATTCTCCTGAGCAGGGTAGTTCTCAATTGAAAATCCTGGTCCTGGGTTCAGTTGCAGAGTCCCCAGACTTGGCATCATCGCCTTCTCCATTATCAAAATGACTCTGGCCCAAAACTTACTGTGCTTTCCTTCAAGTCCCAGAAATTCAGGCCATTGTAAGGGAGAGGGTGTCTGGGGTCGGCTGGTGGCCAGTACAGTGGATCAGAAGAAAAGGAGTCATGTGGACTCATCAATGCCACTCAGGCCTGGTCACTGCCACGTGTCTAAGCAGACACAGAAACCTCAGGGTTAGACTGGTGTCTCAAAGCTGCTATCAGTTCCTTGGGTAAACATCTATTTTGAACAATTATAAGCAAATGACTTCATCTGTAACACACAAAGCCACTGTGGTCTGAGATTGTGTATCTCTCTTTCTCTCCCTCTCTCCTTCCCTCTCTTCCTCCTTCTAATTTCTCTCTCTCTCTCTCACTTTCTTTCTCTCTATCTCACATGTGCACACACACCCACACTTTCTGCGTGCCCAAATAACACGTTTTTCTGTCTAAACTTGAATAGTTGAGAATTTTCATCTGCGTATAAAGCTTAAGTACTTACACGGACTGTCATGGAATTTTGGATATTTAATTAAAGACATTTGGGATTATAAAAAACAAAAGTCATCCAACTTCCTGTAGGATACTTTCTGTTTTATATAAGCTAGAATTGTTGAGATTAAATAGTAATATGGTTTGGCTCTGTGTCTCCACCCAAATGGGTTATGGGGCTGGTTTCACCCATGCTGCTCTTGTGATAGTGAGTGAATTCTCACGAGATCTGATGGTTTTAAAAGTGGCAGGTTTTTCCTGCACTCTGACTTTTCTCTCCTGCTGCCATGAGAAGAAGATCCTTGCTTCCCCTTCTGCCATGATTGTAAGTTTCCTGAGGCCTCCCCAGCCATGCAGAACTGTGAGTCAAATAAACCTCCTACGTTTATAAGTTACCCAGTCTCAGGTAGTGTCTTTATAGTAGTGTGAGAATGGACTGATACAGATAGAATGCTAAGAAATGAGAAGAAAGCCTGTCTGAGCTTTCGAAGGGAGTACACCAACCCTGAGGCCCCAGCCCCTTGGGGGCTTTGCACTGCATGTTGATGATGATGATGATGATGATGATGATGATGTTGATGGAGCCATCCTCTTCATCCTGCATCTCTGCATGGTTTGTTCTCCTGCTTCCTTCAGTTCGCTTCTTGAATGTCATCTCCTCCCCCAGCTTCAATTGTAGTTCATAAGAATTGTTACCCACTGAAATTACCAAATGTGTTTGTTTACCAATTGATGATCCATGTCCCCTTCAATGTTGTGAGTTCTAGGAGGGCAGGGACCTTGCCTCTCCCATTCATTGTTCTGTCCCCAATGCCTGGCACATACTGAGTGTTCAAGACATACGTATTGGAAGAGCGAGATGGAGACTGTGAAACAAATTGCTTCACCCATTTCTGGCTTCACTGACACGTTTTAAGATCTCCATATTCTTGTCCATCTGAAAGCTATATGCAGGCCCATGCATGGTGTCTACACTGCGCTTGATGGAGTAGCTGTCTGTAGCAATCCAGCATTCAGGAAAGGTACAGGCATAACTGGAAGTTATTACTCCAGTGACAACCTACTGTGCAGTGTAAGCCTTCCCCAACACCTTTCTCCTTTAGGCTGTTTTGTCTTCTTTCTCTTCCTCTAATCGCCCCTATCCCACTCTCATTTCTTGCATAGATTGCCTAATAGACCACTAACTAGTCTCCTGCGTTCTTTATTGTCCTAGGTATATCACCCTCACAGTGACCAGAGTAATGTTTTAAGAAAGCTCATAGAATCTTATACTAGGCTTGTTCTTTCCACAGCACTTGCCCCATCTTGCCCGTCCCTGACTCTTATCACACTGGCTTTCTGACATTATCAGCATAATCCAGCTCCACTCTGCCTTGGAGCCCTTTTAGTTTTGTTCCCTATGACTATGATGTTCTTCCTAGGGCTTATGAGATGACCAATATCCTCTTTCTCATTTCTGAATTCAAAAGTTACCTTCCCTGAGTGGCCTTTTTTGACCACCTAATCTTAAGTAGCTCAGCTTTCCCTGTTATTTTCTAGTATAGCTCTCTGCTTATGTGCTTATGTTTTTTTTCTTAGCTGCCAAAAATTGTAGCTCTTTTGTTTATCTGTCTCCCCATCACAGGTGGTCAGTTTCATGAGGGTTGGGGCCATGGTTTGTCACAATGACTATTGTATCTTCAATGCCCAGCACAGTACCTGGCACATAACACATACTTAGTAAACAATATTTTCTAAATGAATAAATGAAAAATACTGTTGAATAAATGAATCTCTTAGACGGTGATGAAAGTTAGGGTCTCAGTTAAAAAGATGATCATTCAAGGAAATCTTGTTAAATAAATTTCTCCTTGAACAAATTTGAGCCAGGCTCCTCTGAGTCCTCTTTCTGACTAGGCCCCAATCTTGGGCTTAGTCTAGTTTTAGCAAGAATTCTGCTTAGTCAGTTTAGCAAAAATCCCCCATCTGTGTTATCTGGTCATCCTCAGTATCTGATCAAATTCCCCATCCCTCACCCTTGATACCACGTTGGCTTGCCTTGAAAAAGAAGTCTGTTGAGTTTGTTTAGCAAGACTTCCTCCAGCCTTGATGTTTCCTCTTAGGAATGTTCCACTGACCTTCACCCTTCTCCTTGGCTATAAATCCAGCCTTGTCCTTGTTCTATTCAAAGTTGAGCCCAACCTCTCGCTCCTACTGCACAATCCCCATTGCAGTAGTCCCTCCTGAATAAAGTCTTCCCTATCATCTTTAACAAATGTCATGAAAAATGTTTGAATAGTTGTTCTCTTCCAACCTTTTCTTTATTTCTACTTACATCTTCTCACTCTCCTATGCATATATCAGCAGCTGGCAAACTTATGCCAAGGTGATTAAAAATGTATAGATGTGATACTTGGACCATCTCCTGGTCTGGCCATCTCTCACATATTGAGAATTCTGCTCACAGGCTTTGTGTTTCTAATGGAAACAGGTTAAGTTTCAGGGGCACGTTGCTTTATGTCATAACAACATAAACCGTCCCTTTCCTTAAAAGCTATGTCCCTAGAAAACTTACTATTAATATTATCATGTCCTAATGATAAATAATATTAATTATTTAATAATGATTATAATAATCATTAGTAATTATTATTAATAATCATTTAATATAATCATTTAGTAATTAATATTGCTAAAACAATTTAAATATACTGAAGGGGTGTAATCTTAGGGGACCCAATAAGTGATTTATCTTTCCTGCCCTGCTTATGAATGAATGGTGGCAGGGGGTGGTGAGGAGATAAGACGGAGGCCAAAATATCACCTTATTTGCTGAGAGAGGCTGAATAGGAGGACGTGGTTTTAGGGCTGTTGGCCAAGCAGGCTTTATCATACGGGACCCAGAATTAGGGAAAGTGCTCACTAGTCAGAGACAATTCTCCAGGCTGGTTGGGGGAGGGATCACTGGAGGTGTAGGTGGGTCTAATCCCAAGAGCAGTGTTGACTCAGGTACACCAGTTCATTTTTGCCACCTTACCAATCAGTTACCCATTCTAATTCCCCAGGGCTGAATGAGTAAAGGAAAGAAAAGATGCAAAGTGCACATTTAAAAAGAGGTTTTTTCCTTCGGAGTCCACTGTTTTTAAGAAAACTTGAAGTTGATATTTTGGTCTCCTAATTGGTTAGATGTATGAACAGGTTGACTCAAGAACTTGGTAGATGATATTCAAATGCTGTCAGGCTCATTTTCTTCAGTTACAAAATGAAGGGATTTTCACAGGTAATGTGCCTTTAATTGGAAAGATACTGTGAATATTTCCCCCCGACTGGAAAATGGCGTTTATTGTTAAAATCCTAACTTGAGAACAACAAGTTCAAACAAATAAGAATGGAAAGGCCGGGCGCGGAGGCTCACGCCTGGACTCCCAGCACTTTGGGAGGCTGAGGCGGGTGGATCACTTGAGGTTAGGAGTTTGAGACCAGCCTGGCTGACATGGTGAAACCCCGTCTCTACTAAAAATACAAAAAATAGCCGGGCTAGTGGCACAAGCTTGTAATCCCAGCTACTGGGGAGGCTGAGGCAGGAGAATCACTTGAACCTGGGAAGCAGAGGCTGCAGTGAGCCAAGATTGCAGCATTCTATCCAGCCTGGGCAACAGAGTGAGACTCCGTCTCAAGAAAAAAAAAAAAAGACATATTTTTCACAAATGAACTATTATTTTCCTTACAAGTGTGTTTTTCCAACCCTTTTTTCATTTGTTTGTTTGTTTGTTTGTTTGTAGTGGGGGTGAAGGTGGGGTTGTTTTGGGGGAAGATGTCAGAGGCAGAGATGATGTCTGCTCACTTTGGAAATTGCATAAAGCAAGGTCGTTACCAGGGAAGAACAATAAATATCACAGCAAATGGTCTGTTATTCAGGTTCTGAAACACAAAAGAGGATGAATAAACTAAGTACACATTTAGCTCCCAACTCAGTTGTACCAGTAGCCTTCTTGTTTATTAATTATTAAATCTTATTCCAAAGTTAAAACAAATTTGTGGGGGTTTTTGTTTGGTGGTTTTAAAGACCACATTAATTCATTTTCTTGTCAAATACTCAATTTTGGTGGAAGTATGAACAAGGAGTCAGTTAAAAGCCAAGCAATAAAAAGGAACACAAGAGGAAGGTAAGTGCCACTGGCTAATGGCTAGAAGACAGTGGTAGGGATGGGGAGGAGTGAATGTACAAGTTTACACTGTGACATTGTTGTAACTTGACATAATTATTTGTAGGGTTAGAGAATTTTTGAAAGTAAGGTTTAAATATACATATAACATAGAACGCACTCTGCTTCCTTATGATAATAGATCCAAAAATGACAGTAGCATTTTTTATCTTCCCATATCTACCAAAATCCTGTTAGGGGCTTTATATGTTTCATCTCCTCTAGTCCTCACAATTGTTTGCATAGGATAGAATTAGTGCCCTCATTTTACAGAGGAGATAATGAGATTTAGAGAGCTTAAGTCGATTGTCCAAGGTCACACAACTGATAAATAGCAGGCCCACAGTACTTGAACCTAGGTCTGTCTGGTTCACATGATGCTGCACCATACAGATAGCTGGTGGTAGACAATGTATCTTACTTTGTTTTACCCTCTACGGACCCGGTCTCTGCTCCATGACAGCGGAGACCACATCTATCTCTGTTAACCATATATTTCCTGTGCTCAGCACAAAACCTAACAGATAGTAGAAACTTGACAAATATTTGTTGAACAAATCTTGGGAATTTTTTTCTCACTGGGAACTATCCCATTTATATATGCACAAGTAATAGTTCTTAGGGTGGGTCTTAAATTTAGAAACCTGAAGATACAAAAAAAGATTCATTGAGAATTATTTTAGCTATGCCTTGAAATGAAAATTATATAATTAAGTAATCTCACATATCTACAGATATTAAAAGCTAGACTATAATTTTTAACACACACATAAACACACAGAGAGAAGAAATGAAAGTACAAGAAAAATTGCTAGATATTCTTTATTGAAAACTATGAGAGTTAATCTCTATTCTGATCAATGTTCAAGTTCTTTTTTTGCTCAGAGTCTGTTGCTATCCCTCTGCTGGAGTGACAGTATAAAGTACTGTTAAGAGCACAGTGTCTGAGGCCTGATTGCCTGGGTTTAAAACTTTACATCTTAGCTCATCACTTTACCAATTATGTTAATTCAGCTCCTTTAAGAAGCAGACATACAGACTGAGGGGAGGAAGCAGGAGTGTGAAGGGAGAAATTCAGATTGTGATGCAGATCTGACACATGTAAAAGAAAGGAAAGCAAAGGAGGATAGGATAGGAGGGTTCCAAGTTGCAGTGGAGTCCTAAGAAAGCTTCAGCTACAAAAGACCACAGGCCAAAGTTGCCTGCTAGGGGATTCCCTCCTGGAGGACTTCATTGCCCAGGTTCAGCCCTGGGGAAGTGTGGCCTTGGTACAAATGCAATGGTAGATCTAGAAGGGCAGCAGCAGCGGCTGCTCACCAACTATGGCCCCCATAGCAAGACATGTGAGTGTGCATTTTCCAGGCCACTACTTCAACTGTAACCTCAGCCAAAGAACTTACTTATTACCTCATCTAATTGTCTTTGCACCAAAACTCTTCTAAAGAGCAGTCCATACTCTCTGCCTCCTATTTCTGTTCTTTTATTTATTCTTGAACCACTCACATATTCATACTAATAAACTAACTGTTATTTCTACTAATAAACTGCTCTTCATTGAGATCACCAATGACCTTCACAGTGACCTATCCAATGGCTTGGCCTCAGTTCTCATCCTAGTGGATCTGTTAGAGTCCTTCATAGGGCTTGCCACTCTGTCCATCTTGAAACACTTTCTGCACTTGGCTTCTGGATTTCTCTTGGGCTTCTGACCTCAGTGCTCATTCCTTAGACTCCCTTGATGATTTGTCTTCATTCTTCTAAAATGTTGACCCAATCCAGAGTTTAGCCCACAGACCTCTTCTCTACCCACACCAAATCTTCAGGTAATCTTATTTAGCTGCATGCTTTTAGGTAGATTCTAAATTTTGGCATATCGTATCTCACATCAGTCTAGGCCTCTATTGAATTCCAAAAGTTGATTTGCCCAAAAAACAGAGTCTTCCTTCATTCTTTTTTTCATTCCCTATATTTAATCTATCAGAATATTCTGTCAACTCTGCCTTCAAAATACACCTAGAGGTCAACCAGTCTTTGCTTCATCTGCTGCTGCCACCCTGAGCCACAGATCTGTAATCTTTTGTCTGGGCCAAACCTCCACTATCTCTCCTCTGGATCATCACAGTAACATCCTAATGGGCCTCCCTGCTTCTGTCCCTCCTCCTCTACAGAATGTCCTCAACCCAGCAGCCAGATGAAGCTTTAAAAAACAAAGGTTACATTATGTCTCTCATGTGCTCAGAGCTCTTCTGTGGCTTTTCTTCACATTCAGCTAATTCCTGATAATGGTCCACAAGAGCCCTTGTAATCTGACTTCTGCTTCTTCCAATCTCCCTTCTTCCCATCCCCAACTTACTTGATTTCATCTGACAACACTGGCTTTGTTATTCCTTAAGCAGCAAACACATCCCTACCTCAGGATATTTGCACTTGCTTTTTCTTTGTTCTGAAACATTCTTCTCCCAGATGTCTACATATTTCACTTCCTTAGGTACTTTGAGTCTCTTCAAAGGTTATATGAGTAATGAGGGATTCTATAATCACTGTATATAAGATAGCAGTCTCCACCACCGTACTTTCTGACCTACCTCACCTGATTTCTTTTTTAACTATAACACTCATTATCATTTGGAATGTTACATGTTAACCTACTTATTTATATATGTTCCCTCTCTTTCTAACACTCACAGTAGAATTGCTAGCTTAATGAAAGCAGAGATGTCATCAGTTTTATTTATTCTAGTGTTTGACACAGAACAAATGAATGATAAAATGCACTGTTCTGTGTCCTATATTGTGCAGTCTAATTCCAATCCATGTACAATGTTGCTTTTAAAAATTAGAGCCTTATTCTCTTTATAAACATTTATTCAACCTGAAAAACCTTCCCAAGAAGGACAGATGCAAGCCTAGACTGAGACGATGACAATAAATACCTAACTCTTCAATGCCCAAACACTGACAAATATCTACCAGCATCAAGATCATCTAGGAAATCATGATTTCACCAAACAAACAACATAAGGCACCAGGGACCAATACTGGAGAAACAGAGATATGTGACTTTTCAGATAGATAATTCAAAACAGCTGTTTTGAAGAAACCCAAAGAAATTTATGATAATGCAGAGCAGGAATTCAGAATTCCATCAGATGAATTTAACAAAGAAATTGAAATAATTAAAAAGCATTAAGCAGAAATCCTAGAGTTGAAAAATGTAACTGACACACTGAAGAATGCATCAGTCTCTTAATAGCAGAGTTATCAAGCAGAAGAATTAGTGAGCTTGAAACAGGCTATTTAAAAATACACAACAGGAGGAGACAAAAGAAAAAAGAATAAAAATGAATGAAGAATGCCTACAAGATCTGGAAAACAGCCTCAAAAAGGCAAATCTTAAAGTTATTAGCCTTAAAAAGGAGGTAGAGAAAGAAATCAGGGTAGAAAGTTTTTTCAAAGGGATAATAACAGAGAACCTAAACAAAGATACCAACATTCAAGTACAAGAAGGTTCTAGAATACCAAGCAGATTTAGACCAAAGACTCCATCAAGACTTTTAATAATCAAACTCCCAAAGGTTGAAGATAAAGAAAGGATCCTAAAAGCAGCAAGAGAAATGAAACAGACAACATGTAATGGAGCTCCAATACATCTAGCTGCAGACTTTTCAGGGGAAACCTTACAGGCCAAGAGAGAATGGCATGCCATATTTAAAATGCTGAAGGAGTACATTCACTGAAAATCCTTCAGGTGTGAAGAAGAATAAAAACCTTCCCAGACAAATGAAAGCTAAGGGATTTCATCTATACAGACCTGTCCTATGAGAAATGCTAAAGCAAGTCCTTCAATCTGAAAGAAAAAGATGTTAATGAGCAAGAAGAAAGTATCTGAAGGTATAAAACTCACTGGTAATATAAGTACACAGAAAAACACAGACTATTACAGCACTGTAACTGTGGTGTGTAAATTACTTTTGTCTTAAGTAGAAAGACTAAATAATGAACCAATCAGAATTATTACTATAAAAACTTTTAAAGACATAGTACAATAAGACATAAAGAGAAACAACAAAAAGTTAAAAAGAGGGGAACAAAGTTAAAGTATAGAGTTTTTATTAGTTTTCTTGTTACTTGTTAGCTTCTTTGTTTATCAAGTAAGTGTTATCATCAGTTTAAAATAATGGGTTACAAGATGGTATTTGCAAGTCTTATAGTAACCTCAGATAAAAAAACATAAAACAGATATACAAAAAATAAAAAATCAAGATATTAAAACATACCACTAGAGAAGATCACCTTCACTAAAAGTAAGACAGGAAGGAAGGAAAGAAGGGAGAGACAACCAAAAACAATCAGAAAACAAATGACAAAATGGCAGGAGTAAGTCCTTATGAATCAATAATAACATTGCACGTAAATAAACTAAAGTCTCCAATCAAAAGACATAGAGTGGCTGAATGGATGAAAAAACAAGACTGATCTGTTGCCTACAAGAAACACACTTGACTTGTAAATATACACACAGACTGAGGCAGGAAAATTGCTTGAACCTGGGAGTCGGAGGTTGCAGTGAGCCAAGATTGCACCACTGCACTCCAGCCTGGGTGACAAAAGTGAACTCCATCTCAAAAAAATACATATTATATATATATATATATACACACACACACACATAGACTGAAAATAAAGAGGTGGAAAAAGATATTCCATGGCTATAAAAACCCAAAAAGAGCAAGAATACCTATACTTATATCAGACAAAATAGATTCCAAGACAAAAACTGGAAGAAGAGATAAAAGAGGTCAGTATATAATGATAAAAGGATCAATTCAGGAAGAGGATATGATTGTAAATATATATGCACCTAACACTGTGGCACCAATATATAAAGCAAATATTATTAGAGCTAAAGAGAGAGACAGACTCAATACAATAATAGCTGGAGATTTCAAAACCCCACTTTCAGCATTGAACAAATCTTCCAGATGGAAAATCAACAAAGGAACGTTGAAATTAATCTGTACTAGAGAATAAAGACACCTAATAGATTTTTACAGTGCATTTTATATAATAGCTGCAGAATATACATTCTTCTGCTCAGCACATGGATCATTCTCAAGGAGAGCCATATGTTAGGCCACAAAGCAAGTCTTAAAACATTAAAAAAAAAAATCAAGCATCTTCTCTGACAATAATAGAATAAAACTATAAATCAACAGCAATAGGAATTTTGGAAACTATAAAAGCACATGGAAATTAAACAATTTGCTCCTAAATGACCAGTGGGTCAGTGAACAGATTAAAAAGGAAATTGAAAAATTTCTTGAAACAAATGATAAGGGAAATACAACATACCAAAATCTATGAGATACAGCAAAAGTAGTATTAACAGGCAAATTTATAGGTATAAGTGTTTACATCAAAAAAGAAGAAAAACTTTAAATAAATAACCCAACTATGCATCTTAAAGAACTAGAAAAGCAAGAGCAAATTGATAGCAAAATTAGTAGAAAAGAATAAAGATCAGAGTAAAAATAAATGAATTTGAAATGAATCAAACAATACAAAAGATCAATGAAACAAAAAGTTGTTTTTTTGAAAAGATAAACAAAATCAACAAGTCTTTAGCCACATTAATGAAGAAATAAAGGGAGAAGACCCAAATAAATAAAATCAGAGATAAAAAAGAAGACATTACAACTGACATTTCAGAAATTTAAAGGCTCATTAGTGGCTATATAAGCAATTATATGCCAATACATTGGAAAATCTAGAGTCAATGGATAGATTCCTAGACACATACAGCCTACCAACACTGAGCCATGAACAAATCCAAAACTGGAATAGACCAATAACAAGTAACAAAATAGGAGGTACAATTAAAAGTCTCCCAATAAAGAAAAGCCTGGGACCTGACGGCTTCACTGCTGAATTCTACCAAGCATCTAAAGAAGGACTAACACAAATCCTACTCAAACTATTCAAAAAACAGAGGAGGAGTGGGTACTTCCAAATGCATTCTACAAGATCAGTGTTACCCTGCTACCAAAACCAAAGACACATGGAAAAAAAGAAAACTATAGAACAATATCTCTGATGAGTATTGATGCAAAAATTCTCAACAAAATACTAGCAAACCAAATTCAAAATTACATTAAAAAGATCATTCATCATGACCAAGTGGGATTTATCCTAGAGATGCAAGGATGGTTCAACATACAAAAATCAATCAGTGTGATACATCATTTCAACACAATGAAGGACAAAACCCATATGATCATTTCAATCCATCCTGAAAAAGCACTGGATAAAATTCCATTTCACTTCATAGTAAAAACCCTCAAAAAACTGGGTATAGAAAGAACATACTTCAACATAATAAAAGCCATATGTGACAGACCCACAGCTACTATCATACTGAATGGAGGAAACTTAAAGCCTTTTTTTAAAGACCTGGAACATGACAAGAATGCCGGCTTTCACCACTGTTATTCAACATAGTACTGAGGTCCTAGCTACAGCAATTAGGCAAGAGAAAGAAATAAAAGGCACCAAAATCAGAAAGGATAAAGTCAAATTATCCTTGTTTTCAGATGATATGATCTTATATTTGGAAAAAGCTAATGACTCTGCAAGAAAACTATTAGAACTGATAAACAAATGCAGTGAAGTTGAAGGATACAAAATCAACATATGAAAATCAGTAGCGTTTCCATATGCCAACAGTGAAAAACATGAAAAGGAAATTTTAAAAATCCCATTTACAATAGCCACAAATAAAATTAAACACCTAGGAATTAATGTAACCAAAGAAGTGAACGATCTCCACAATAAAAACTATAAAACACTGATGAAAGAAATTGAAGAGGACACACACACACACACACACACACACACACAAATGGAAAGATATTCCATGTTCATGGATTGGAAGAATCAATATTATTAAAATGTCCATACTACCCATAGCAACCTACAGAGTCAGTGCAATATCTATCAAAATAAAAGTGAAATTCTTCACAGAAATAGAAAAAAAATCTAAAATTTATATGGCGCAATAGAAAATCCAGAATAGCCAATGCTATCCCGAGCAAAAAATAACAAAACTAGAGGACTCACATTATCTGCCTTCAAATTATGCTACAGAGCTATAGTAACCAAAACAGTATAGTGCTGTCATAAAAGCAGACCCAGACCCATAGACCAGTGGAACAGAATAGAGAACCCAGTAACAAATACACACTTACAGTGAACTCATTTTTGACAAAGGTGCCAAGAGCATGGGGAAAAGACAGTCTCTTCAATAAAGGTTCTGGGAAAACTAGATATCCATATGCAGAAGAATGAAACTAGACCCCTATCTCACCACACACACAAATCACATAAAAATGGATTAAAGTCTTAAATCTAAGACCACAAATTATGAAACCACTCAAGAAAACATTGGGGAAATTCTGCAGAATGTTGGTCTGGGCAAAGCTTTCTTGAGTAATACCTCAAAAGCACAGGCAACCAAAGCAAAAATGGACAACTGGGATCATATCTAGTTAAAAAGCTTCTGCATAGAAAAGAAAACAATCAACAAAGTGAAGAGACAACCCACAGAATGGGAGACAATATTTGCAAACTGTACATCTGACAGGGGCTTAATAACCAGAATAGATGAGGTGCTCAAACAACTCAACAGGAAAAAATCTAACAATTTGATTTTAAAATGGGCAAAAATATTTGAATATTTCTCAAAAGGTGACATACAAATGACAAGCAGGCATATGAAAAGGTGTTCAACATCAGTGACCATCAGAAAAATGCAAATGAAAACTACTATGAGATATCATCTCACTCCAGTTAAAATGGCTTTTATCCAAAATACAAGCAATTACAAATGCTGGAGAGGTTACAGAGAAAAGAGAACCCTCATACACTGTTGGTGGGAATGTAAATTAGTAAAACTGCTATGCAGAATAATTAAGGGGTTCCTCAAGAAACTAAAATAGAGCTACCATACGATCCAGCAATCCCATTGCTGGTTATATACCCAAAAGAAAGAAAATCAGTTTATTGAAGAGATAGCTGAACTCTGATGTTTGTTGAACCACTGTTAATGATAGCCAATATTTGGAAGCAATCTAAGTGTCCATCAACAGAAGAATGAATAAAAAACTATGATACTTATACACAATGGAGTACTATTCAGCCATAAAAAGTGTGAGATCCTGTCATTTGCAACAACATAGATGAAGCAACAACATAGATGTTAAGTGAAATAAGCCAGGCACAGAAAGACAAACACTGAATGTTATCAATTTTTTGTGGGATCTAAAAACCCAAAGAATTGAGCTTATGGAGATAGAGAGTAGAAAAATGGTTACCAGAGGCTGGAAATGGTAGTGGACGGGTAGTGGGGAGGTGGGGATGCTTAATGGTTCCAAAAAATAGCTGAAAAGAATGAATAAGACTTAACATTTGCTAACACAACAGGATGACTATAGTCAATAATTACTTAGTTGTACATTTTAAAATAACTGAAAGAGTATAAGTGAATCGTTTGTAACACAAAGGATAAATGCCTGAGGGGAGGGGATGGATCCCCTTTTTCTATGATGTGATTATTACACATTGCATGCCTGTACCATGTATTCCATAAATATATATACATCCTAGTATGTATTCACAAAAATTAAAAATTAAAAAAAAATAGGCCAGGCACAGTGGCTCACACCTGTAATCCCAGCAATTTGGGAGGCAGAGACGGGCAGGTCACCTGAGGTCAGGAGGTCGAGACCAGCCTGGCCAACATGGTGAAACCCTGTCAGCCTTGGGAAGCGGAGGCAGGAGAATCGCTTGAACATGGGAAGCAGAGATTGCAGTGAGCCAAGATCGCCCCGCTGCACTCCACTCCAGCCTGGGTGACAGAGCAAGACTCCATCTCAAAAAAAAAAAAAAAAAAAATTATTCCAAGTTTAGTAGAGTTTATATCACTTGATTGCTAAAGAGAGTTTCTTTACCCATTAAGTGCTCCAGAATGCCAACTGTCTACCAGATTTCTCTTTCTTTGGCCTATGGCACTTTGTTCTCATCTCAGCTCTCTGTCCTTCCTCTTTTGTCTTTGCTGACACTCTGCAGTAAAGGGGAGATGATATTAATTTATTTTTGTGGAAAGACTCTTTTTCTGATTAGGATCTAAGCTGAAATTAGATCCAGAGATTCTTTGATTGGCTGGGAACTACCTACAGTGGGTCTTTGCTCCAAGCATATAATAGAGTATGATAAATGTATTTGCAGAATTTATTCAAATTGACTTGTGATGACATCTTTACAGGATTAACAACAATTCTTGACTGAAACGTAGCTACAATTAAGCATTAATTAGGCTGCACTTTGGTCCACTCCCTTGCAACAGAAAGTCACTCAGTGGTTGACACTGACCATTCGCATCCCTATTGTTTTCATAGGTAGAATTTCTGATGTTAGAACCTTAGAATCTTAAGGCTTTTGTGTAAGAATTGCTTAAGATGTTTTTCAGATCCTGAATTTCAATGGAAAGGCTGATGCCACCAGTTTGAAGACCCCCAGAGAGGAACAGAATCAGCATGAGAATAGTTTCTTCATCTCTTTGTCCCATGACTTCACCCTTCACTCTTCGACCAACAACTATCTCCATACTTTGGACCACTTCCAAAACACTTAAAAACTCTGGACACAAACTCCTTCGAGAGATGGATTTGAGGTTTCCTCCCATCTTCTCTTTCAACAGCTCTATGATTAAACCTCTTTTTCTGCTGCCACCCAGTGTCTCCATGTATTGACTTGCCACACACGTTGAACTGGCAACAGATCTATTATGGTTATACTTGAATTTATAACTTTAATGATTCCCTTTGGGTAGTCCATTTCAGAGCACATATAATTGTTTAACCAATCCAGGCCCCATAGCCGTGAATTACATGTGTACTACCATTTTTTCCTCTTTTTCCTCTTGTTTTCCTCTAACTCTATTAAAAATTAAAGAGATAAAATTGAAAATAGAGATTCAAAGCAATCATATTACTGCCAGAATGTCCTTCTTAGTCAGCAATTTATACCAGAACACCTCCTTCCATTATTCCTTTTTTTTTTCTTTTGGCAAATTTGAGTGAGGTATAACATACATGCAGAAAAGTGAGCAAACCATAAGTTACAGCTTGACAAAATTTTATTAAGTAAATGCACCTACGTAACCAGCACTCTTGTCTAGATGCAGAAACCTGTAAGTCCCCCACAAATTCTCTTGTGCCTCTTATAGTCAGGAACCTCAGCAAGGATAGCCACTCTCCACTCCCCAGATGCCTAATGACAAAGAACCTTTTTACTTTTTAAAACTTTATATACAGGCATCATATTGTACATTTTTGTATCTGACTTCTTTTACTCCACATTGCATATGTGATATTCACTGGTGCTCTGAGTATTGTAGCTTAGAACGCTTCCCATTTTGTCCACTTGGCAAGATCTAGATTCTTGTTCTCTCATCTTTAGACCCTCATGTGTTGACTTTGAACCAGGGTGATGCACCTTCTTAAATTTACTTTTGTGCTCTTAAGAACCCTGAAATAAAAAGCAGCGAAACCTTCTTAAATCTGCTTTTCAGGCTTTCTGTACTACTAATATGGAAAACTGAGAAGCTTCAAGAAGGGTGGTCTAGTTTATTGACTAATAGTTAGATATGCAATCAGTGAAGTCAGGCTCACAGGACTAGTTAGCAAATTTTCCAGGAGAGGAGCCAATACTGTGAGGCTTCTCAGCAGCAGGTACAATGAATAAATTAAAGGTATTCTTGAACTTGCAACTTCTTTCCAGCCACCGTGAGAGTTCCTGGCCCACTCATACTCCTGAAAGAGAGTGCCAGGAGTCTTGCCTACCTAGTCTAGCTTGGAATAGAAATGCCATCAGTTGAAAGGAGTTGATATTGTGATATTTGATGAGTTAAAAGGTGGGCAGGATTTTCTATCTCAGAATACCAAGTTCCCACAAGCTGTGTACTTGGTAAATTTGGAGGAGATGGTATAACTACAGTGGAATCTGGAATTCTCTCTCAGTTTTGTCCCTAACTCACTGAAAATTTGGAGAAGCTACTTTATCACTTGAATCTTAGTTTCATCCTGAAAAAAAAAGTAAGAATGTAACACTCTACAGTCTGTGAATGAAGCTCGTGTCATTCCTTGTGTGGTTGCGAATCCCCATTTCTGCACACTTCCTGGTATGAATTGAGCTTCCTGACCATTAACCCCCATCCAACAAGCTCTCTGCAAAGTCTGTCTCTTCCACCAAACCTTTAACAGTTATCATTACTCCATACTGCGCACTCTCAAATGCAGAGCTGGCATCCAAGCTTGATGCAGCTTCACCCTTGGCTGACAATGTTATTTTGTAACACTCTCCTCCCCACTCAGGCACAGGGTTTTTCAGCGCCTGCTTTTAAACATTGAAAGTACAGTACATCTAGAGACTCTTTTGTAATCATCCATTATATCTCATATTACATGCTGAACAGATAGACTACAAAAGGTTTGTCCTTCTGCTCTCCAAAGATGCTTTCTGCCTTTAAAGAACAGATTATGATTCACTCTATCCTGCCCCCAAAGGCATTTCACCTCCTTCCACTCCCCAAGCCCAGAAGATGGCAATTGTTCAAGATCTTTCTGCTGAGATTAACATAAGCAATTGGTAATTTGGGCAGCAGGAAAGACAGGGAATGAGGAGCCAGGCCAGAGGCAGACAATAATTACCTAATCTGGAAGAGGGCCAGGTGGATGGCTCTGATCCTCATGGCAGGAGAGCCTTTGCTCATCTGAAAAAAATCTGCTTTTCCTTAAACCTATTCAATGATCATGTTGCCCATTTAAAGACTTTAGCTAATATAATATAATCTGTTTTTTCTCAAAACAGTGTAGCAATGAGTTGTTTCCCTTGCTTAGATCCAATACTTTTCGTAGGATTGGAGGGTGACGAGGAAGAGGAAACAGGCTCCAAGCCATGACACCATGGAATGGTGATTCTTCCAACTTAGGATGTTTGCGTTTATTTATTTTGAGTTTTTCTGTTAGAGTTCCTTGTGTAAATAATTAAGCAATGGGCACACTGTGGCTAATAATTACTTGCATTTACTTAGTAATTAATATTTTATAAAGTGCTTATATGTGCATTCTGCTTTGACTCAGAAAAATCCTGTGGGTCAGGAAGTTAAGTATTGCCATCCCATTTACAGATGTAAATCCTAAATTAAATATTTTAAAATAAAATCTAAAATGCATGGCTGACTTGGCAAGACTTTAAGGAAAATCCTGAGGGAAGACAAATAAAACAGGAACAGGATTCCAATGATTCTCTTATTTCTAGTGACTTAGCGTTATAGTTTTAAGCTTTTGGTTTTCCAAGTAGGAAGTTCAGCCTAAATTACTTATATAAATCCGGGACCCCTGGGAGGGTTACCCCAGTAGTACATAAACCCATCAGAAACAACTCCCTTTTTTCAAAATTTTATAATGTCCCCTTTATTATTCTGAAATAAAATTCATAGTATAAGTTGCATAATTTAAAGAATGTCATTGCCCCAACTAAAACATAAACGAGAAGTAAGAGTAAATTATAATAAATTAACAAGTATATAACTACAAAAATTATGAAGGCACTGGAAGGCATAAGAATCAGCCGCTTACTCTTATCTGTGGACTCACCATGAGTGACAGCTATGGCTGCAGCTAATACAAATGCATGGTATCACAACTTTAGGTCTATGAGTAGCATTTTCATGGAGAATACTTTTCTAAAATGGTGCCCAACTCTTGGAAAAATTATGAGCAAAATATAGCAATAATTAATATGAAAGAAAGCTTCATTCCTGGAAATAAATCAAGATATTTTTAAAATAAAAAACTACTTTAGGTTTATATGTCTAATGACATTATCTACTAGGATCACATAATTCTAAATAATTTTTTCATCAATAAGAAAGATTTTTATTGCAGTGTGCAGTTCTGTATATTGTGAGCATCTAATATTTCTGAATTCTACCCAGTAAGTGCCAATCACATTCCTTAATTTAATGAGACAATCAAAAATGTTTGTACAACTATCCAAAACATTCTGTAAGGGTAGAAACATCTCTGTTGTAACCCACAGGGCAATATTCTCAGTGAATAAAGAAACCAGACAAAAGGGTTATGGGAGAAAATGTGTCTATCTAGTATTCAGCTCTTAGCGAAGAGCTCTCCCTTGAAAAATCTTAACAATCACATTAGTTGGGGGCTTGGATTTGCACTATGTCTATGGCACAAAAAAACTAAGCAAATTTTAGAATATTAAATAGAGAAATAAAATAAGTAAATTTAATTTATTTAAAATCAGAAAATGCAAAATCAAAAGTATGAGTAAAACCCAAGAGAACATGACATAGCAGCTATGAAAATGATCCTAACAAAATGTCTAGAAATATGATATATACAGATAGACTTTTGTATAGGTATAAATACATATCACTTTCATATATATATGTTAATATGTATGTGTATAAATTTAAGGCTTACTGACTGGAATAAATAGTTTAGATGTAGATGAAAGTCTAATTAGACCACAGAGAGACAAATAGTTGCAAACTATGAATAACTGAGATAGTAATATAGACTTAATTGGACTTTAGGAGAGATAAACAGGGGGATACACAATATTCACAAAGATAAGGTTTGAGAATTTTTACAATTGGTCAGAAACGCGAACAAATGTGTATCTGAAAGACCCAGTCCTTCAAGATGGATTCCAAGTGGCTAACTAGGCCTAAATTTAAAATAGAACCACGCAATCATTCACTGACTAGATGTCACACACATACTCTGAGTTCCTTGAAAACCCAAACACCTCTATTTAACTTTGGGACCTTCAGAACTCACTTGAACCAACCAATCAGAGCTCACCTGCCTCAGCCCATCAACCAATCATGGCTCAGCTGCATCAACCAATCAAGACTAAGCAAGTTTCACTCCTTCATTTGCATAAATGAACCTGATTGGGAACTTGGGCAGGAATTTTTTCTGTAAAAGTCAAACCCTCCCTTTGTTCTCTGAAGTACTCCACTTTATACCTAAGGCTGCATTTCCCCAGTTTACAAACTGTTCCCTGGAATAAAGTCTTCTCTCCAAATGCCACTTCAGAAAACTTCTGTTCACAGAAGACACCAATTCTGTGGTTGAGCTAGTATAATGAAACTCAAACCAGACAAGAATGAGATACAACATAAAATTACAGAATGCACAAGACAGAGAAAATCTTAAATATGCACAGAGAAAGTTATACTAACTAAAAAATGAATGTCAACTATATTTACACCTCTAATAGTAGCAAGATAAACCAGAAACCAGTGAAACAGAATCCTTGTCATAATGAGAGAAAACAAATTTAAACTTATAATTATTTACTCAGAAAAATTATCTTTCAAAAACAATTGCAAAATAAAAATGGATTCTGACACACAACAGATAAGATTATCACTAACAAATCCCCAATTAAGAGATTTTTAAAGGTGCACTTCAAGAAGAAGAAAAATGATTTTAAGAAGAGCTAAGATGCAGAAAAGAAATGTTAAGAAAAATGGTAATAGATTGGTAAATGTAAAGATTAACTGTAAAATAAACTATTTTGTGGGTTGAAAAATCATCTTAGTTCTAAAATTATAGACAGTAATAAATCTAGAGGAAGTAGCAAATGGAATTAATGAATTGCCATGTCCTTGTAGTTTTATGAGAGGATAAGGGTATTGATTGATTTTATATTTATTTCAATATGTTAAAATTATTCCAGGAGTACTATTAAAATAACAGAAATAGAGTATGTACCTTCCAAACCAGCAGAGGATTAGGAGTGGAATGAGAAAACAATAATCCCAACCCAAGCAATGCAAAAGAAGGTAAGAATAGAAGGTAAATTAAAAACAAAACAAAACAACAACAAGAGAAAAAAGAATAAATAGAAAATACAAACTAAGATAATATTAATTGAAACCAGGAGTTCAAGACCAGCCTGGGCAACAAAGTGAGACCATGTCCCAGTAAAAAGTAATAATAATAAAAATAAATAAATATAAACATATCAGGAATAGTAATCAATTTATATGGTCTGAACTCCACATTAAAAGCCAAAAATTATTATAGCAAAAACAAAAACAAGCTGGGTGCAATGGCACACACCTGTAGTTGCAGCTACTTGGAAGGCTGAGGTGAGAGGCTCCTTTGAGCCCAGGATTGCAAGGCTATTCCAGGCAACATAGTGAAATCTTGTCTTTAGAAAACAAACAAACAAACAAAAACAAAACTGAGCTAAAAAGATTTTTTAAATCCTGATATATGCTGTTAACAAGGAACAAGGAAATGCATAAACCCTAAGAACACAGAAAGATTGAATATAAAATGATGAGAAAAGATATGTCAGGTAAATTTTAACTTAAGTAAGCTTGGATGGCAAAACTAACATTGGAAAAATTAGACTTTGAGGCAAAAGGCATTATAAAGCAAAACATAAAGAGGGTAATATATACCTAATAAGAAAGCATAAAGTGTATAGAAAAATATAAAAATTTATAAACTATATATTTGCTAAGATAGTTTAAATATATGTAAAACAAAGATTGTCAAAAGTACAAAGAGAAATTGAAAAATCCACATTATAGTAGAGAATTTACAAATCTTTAATATCTTTCTCCGTAACTGTTAGATGAGAGAGAAATAAATCAGCAAATGTATAAAGATTCAAGAAATTCAATTATCAAAGTTGATCTAATGGGCACATATAGAATATATACTAAACAAATGGAAAATAAATAATCTCTTTAAACATCCCCAGCACATTTACCAAATGTGGCCACTTAAAGTCTCAACACATTTCATTTAACCTGCTTAAGCTATACTGCTTTTCTGTCCCTAAATTAAAATAGGAATTTATAAGAAACTTACCACACCCCAACTTTGCAAATTAAAAAACACATATCATAAAAATGCATGTGTCCAAATTGTTTTGAAAAGTCACTGAAATTAGAAAATACATACCAAGACAAACAAAAAATAGATTAAAAAATTGCCTAATATGAGAAAAGTGGTTGGTTGAATAAAATGTACTGCTTTAAATACATATATTTGAAAAGGAGAGACTCTGCAAATTAACTAAATAAGCATTTAACTTTAGAAGTTAGAAAAAGAATAAACTCAAAGAAAATAAAAAGAAGAAATTAATACTTAAAAAATTGAAATATAAAATAAACATGCAATGGAGATCTACAAACCAATAACTTGCTTGCTCTAAAGAAGAACAGTATGATAATTCTGTGGAAAGACTGATCATGAAACAGAGAAGGTGCAGCTAAATAATATTAGGAATCAAAAAGTAGGACGCAGCTTTGGATGGAGGAGAAATTAACATAACAAAATGTGAACCAACTTGTATCAACACATTTTAAAACTTAGATAAGATAATTTCTAAAAAAATATGATTTGTCAAAGTATGCAATAAAACAATTGGAAAGCCTAATTGTACTATGACAGTTAATAAATGTTACTGGTAATAAAAAACCTACTCACAAAAAAATAAAGCCCAGAGGATTTACAGACATCTTCTACTAATGTTTACTGAACAGCTATTTCCAAATCTTACATAAAGTTTCTTAGAATACAGAAAAATAAGAAACACTTCTTAAATTATTTTATGTGGCCATTATAATTTAGAGATTACATCAAACAAGTAGTAGGGAAAAGACCATTGATAAGGCAATCTCACACAGAGTTATGTATCTTAAATACTTGCAAACCATGTCTGGAAATATGTAAATATATCATTATCTGGGAATGTAGAGTTGATTTGAGATTAGAAAATCAATTATTATTGTATTAAGGCTGTTCTCACAGTGCTATAAAGAAATACCTGAGACTAGGTGATTTATAAGAAAATCAGTTTAACTGGCTTATGGTTCTGCAGGCTGTACAGGAAGCATGGTGCCATCTGCTTCTAGGGAGGCCTCAGAGAGCTTTTACTCATGATGGAAGGCAATGCAAGAGCAGACACTTCATATGACAAGAGCAAGAGCATGAAGGGGGAGCTACACACTTTTAAGTGACCATATCTCACTCACTTTTGGGAGGACAGTATCAAGAGGGATGGAGCTAAGCCATTCATGAGAAACCTGCCTCCACGATCCAGTCACCTCCCAGCAGGTCCCACCTCCAACACTGGGGATTACATTTAAATATGAGATTTGGGTGAGGACACACATCCAACTATATCAATTATCATCCATCGCATTTACAGATTAAAAGAGGAAAATCCTAAAATTATTCAAAAAGATTCAGGAAAAAATACATACCGAGTCATGACTTAAAAAAAAAATTTTTAACAAATAGGAATACATTATTATATCCTTAATTTGATAAAGGGATATGTTTTTAAATTTTAGCAAACATTACCCTTAATGGCAAAACATTAAAACTTTGCCTTTTAAATCAGAAAAAAGATAAGAACTTTTAGTACTGCCATTTCTATCCCACATTATTTAAGAGGTCCTAGCCAGAGGTCAGATGCAATGGCTCATGTCTATGATCCTAGAGCTTTGAGAGGCTGAAGTGGGAGGATTGCTTCAGTCCAGGAGTTTGAGACTAGTCTGGGGATCATAGCGAGACCCTGTCTCTACAAAAAATTTTAAAATTAGATGGGCACTGTGGCACGTGCCTGTAGTCCCAGCTACTTGGGAGGCTGAGGCCAAAACATGGCTTGAGTCCAGGAGTTAGTGCTCCTGCACTCCAGCCTGGGTGACACAGCAAGACTCTTGTCCTCCCCTGATCCCCAAAAGAGGTCCTAGCCAGAGCCATAAGACAAGCAAAAAAATAAACATATGCACACAAAAAACTAAGTAAAATAAAAAAATAATTGAATAAAAAGGAAAACCCAGCAGATTATTTATTGGTTACATAATTGTCTGCATAGAAAATCCAAAAGCTTTTTCAGGTATAGTGTCAGGATTAATAAAAGAGTTTAGTCATAGTGCATGAAATAAAATTGATACACTAGGTCAATTATGTTTCTAGACACCAAAAACTGAGGGCTGGAAATTCATGAGCACAAAAATTTATAGCATTTAAAAGTCAACTTGTGAAATGTGTAACCATACATTTATGAAAAAATATAAAATATTCTTGAAAGATGTTAATGCAAACAAAAGAAAAGATATATGAAATTTGTGTAAAGGAAAAAGACATTGCAAAGGTGACAATGCTTGCCAAAGTGATCTATAAATTCAAACAAAATTCCAATCAAAATCGCAACAACTTTCTCCATTGAACCAGATAGCCTGGTCTTACAATTTTTAATGAAGAAAATCAGAGCCAACAAAAATCCATGGCAATTTGGAGGGAAAATAATCATGGTGGGCACCTACCCTACCTGATATCCAGGGTTTTTCTTCATTATGCTAGATACATTGGCATGGGAATAGGCATATTGATTAATTGAACAGAATAGGGAGCACAGAAATAGATTCATACTTAGATGGAAAGTTGATACTTGACAGAGGTGGCACTGCAGTTCAGAGGAAAAACTGGGATTATCTATTAAATTAGATCAACCTCTGATTCAAGTAATTGAAGTATTAATCCCAGCTCTGTACCTGCACTATCTTACATAGGTCATTTTACTGGGGCTCATAGAATGAGGATTATAGAGGATCAGGGTGTCAAATACCTGCATAGATGCCATGGGCAGCGTGTAGGCATGGGCTTTTGGGAGCTGTCTGCCCAGAGGTAGGCAATAAGGGGATGCACTGTCTATAGAAAATAATTTTTTAAAAAAAAGCTCACTAAAGTTGGCTTGTCTGTCTTCACAGGATGCAAGCAATTCTAAAAAAAAGTCAATCATAAAATATCTTCCTTGAAAAACATTTTTCCTAAGCTCTAAATAATTAAACAGTTACTAGTTTGTTCTAATAACATATATGTAAGTTTCAAATTAGCTCATTTTTCTTATTGATGTGTTTAATAAACATTATGTTCTTTTACAAACATTGTATTGTATTCCGAAGTAAGTTGGAGGAACTCTCCAGTATATAGTCAATAAGGAACAATGTGTGGACTCAACTACAGCCATTTGTTTTGAGGGGAAGTTTGTGATGATTTAGAATGATTCCAGCTTGCTTCGAGTGCAGTGCAGTTTATCTCCAAGCCCTGTGATGCTACATAGTACCAAATCTGAACAGTAGATTGGAGACAAATATGATGGTTCAGTGATTGTAAAGACAAAGAAAAAGAACTTGAGTTACTACCATTGTCACATTATGTGACCACTGTAGGATTTTATTTGTGTTTAAAATTTACAATAGTGAACTTGAGAGCAGCCATTAGCAATCCATCCATCCATCATGACCACCTTTTTGCCTAAGCCCAAACACATCCATTCATCTCAACATGACGCAGATGGTCACCAAAAACTGGTCACATCCGTAGGTGAAATATGAACTATTTGCTATCTCATTTGTAGGTTCTTTCTAATTATAAAATCTCATGTTTTTGAAATAGATCAAGTTCCAGTTTTATATATTTTAACTATTTATCTGCAAGAAGGAAAGGCTTCACTGCCACACAAAAAAAGAAATCAACATTTTTTCCAATTCTCAAATTTTAAGATATTTATCTTCAATTTCTCCCCAGGTAGTGCCTAATAATATTCCTTCTCTAGCCCAGCAATGTTTTATAAATTCAATCATCTGAGATGTTACACACCCATATTTGACTAATCTACACATCTGAGGATAGCAGAAATCTTGTCCATGAGATGAGCAACAACTGTGACTATAAATGAAAAAAGACAAACTTTGGTTTATCTTTCAAAGCTGTGGGCACTGGTTAGAGGATAGGACAGAGGAGGGAGAGGCTTCCTAGACACAAAGTAGGAAGCTGGCTTCATTCACGTCAGGGAGGAAACATGGCCCCTGGCCATAAAGGCCTCCCAAGATGACTCATCCTGCCCTAAAATGGGATTTGTTTATTCTGGGAACTCATTTTGTCATCCTAGCCCTGGAGTTAAGATTCTAAAAGCTCGTAGGTAGTAGGTGGTTTGGGCTGCCAAGAAGAGTAATTGGATTAATGCATTTCTATTTCAGATTACTGCCAAATTAGTCTGTGCTATGTGGGCTTTTTATGTTATTGTGAGTGTGGCATAACAGAACCAGCTGCTTCTGTGACTTTCTTATCCTCTTCACATCAGACCCATTCATCCAATCCCTCTCTTATCTTGTCGCATATCAGACCCATTCATCCAGTCCCTCTCTTATCTTGTCGCACATCAGACCCACTCATCCAGTCCCTCTCTTATCTTGTCACACCTCCAGATTCTTCTTTTAAAGTCCCTGGGCAGTGCTGTTCATCCTGTTCCCTTCCTAGTCACTTGCTCTTGCTTTCAGCTTCCCACTTCTTCTCAGGCTTCTTGATGCAATTAAATAAAACAAAACACGCCAACAATCTTTTCAATTATACCAAAGCCTTATCAATTGTGATTTCACTCAGTAGGAATGTATAATAATTCAATCCAGGCCTGATAGCAGTGTATCTCTGCAGCTGCCATGTAAAAGGCAGTTAAGAAGAAGAAACGTAAAATAAATCAGAGGAAATGATTATATGGACTTCAGCCAATAAATTGTTTATTGTCAATGATCTGTAATTAATTAGAACTGGAACAGAGTTTTGTGATGTGAAGAGTATTGGCTTTGGAGGCTGATAATCAAGGGTCAAGGTCTTGCTCTACCACATTTATATTCTTTGTGATGCTGGGAAATCTGCCGACATTAGAGTTTTTCTTAACTGCTTCACAGCATTGTAATTAAATAAGCAAATATGAAAATGCTTTATATGTTGGTAAATGTTATACAAATGTAAGGGCATTACTTCTTTTTTTTTACTCATTAATTCAGACCCTACTTGGGTCAACAGTTTACACAACTGCTGTTACTGTATGAAACAGTATTACAATCACAATTATTTTAGAATCTTCTGTAATTCAGAATTTTACTAACTCAGTTAATTTCCATCTGTGAAAATTGCCTGCAACACATAAAATATCTTTTCA
Organism: Homo sapiens; assembly: GCF_000001405.40. Taxonomy (NCBI): domain Eukaryota; kingdom Metazoa; phylum Chordata; class Mammalia; order Primates; family Hominidae; genus Homo; species Homo sapiens. Next base: position 221,611,542 of record NC_000001.11, on the reverse strand, counting down.
AAGTTCAGTTTACGTGTTGACTTTAGTAGGGGATAAAGCTGTGAGGGTCTAAAGCAACTATTCTCTTGAAAAAAAATTTTTTTTTGGTCTGCTAATCTGACATTTCAGTATTATTTTGTAAATTTAAAAACTATATGTAGCTAGACATTCACAGGTGGAAGTGAGCAGTATGAATCCAGCTTTGATATTTTGGGTGCAAAATTTACTTGACCTGGATTCTGATCAATATATTGCTATAATTTACTGCCTTCTTTTCCTCAGTGACAATTTTTATGAGAGCAAGTACTTCTTTGATCTTTATAGTCTATTTACCAACTTCTTAGAACCTTCTAAGTGACTCTTCTAGGGCACATGGTTATTCAAAGAGACTTTTGCCCCTGTGACTTGATGGGCAAAAAAGTTATTATTATTATTATTTAGATGGAGTCTTGCTCTGTCACCCTGGCTGGAGTGCAGTGGCAGGATCTGGGCAACCTCCACCTCCCGGGTTCAAGTGATTCTCCTGCCTCAGCCTCCCGAGTAGCTGGGATTACAGGCATGCACCACCATGCCTGGCTAATTTCTGTATTTTTAGTATAGATGGGGTTTCGCCATGTTGGCCAGGCTGGTCTCCAGCTCCTGACCTCAAGTGATCCGCCTGCCTTGGCCTCCCGAAGTGCTGGATTACAGGTGTGAGCCACCATGCCCAGAGTAGCAAAAAGTTCTTGCAAATAACATTTTATTTTCTTTCACTGTAGACATATACACTCATTCTAAAAGTATGGAAAGTCTTAAGAAGCAAAAAGAAGAAAATATACAACTCCCTTTATACTATACCCAGAGATAAATAACTGCTGTTTGTTTTTGCTGTATATCTTCTCAAATTTTTCCTATGACATCATATGCATTTTATTAAAATTTAATGAACTTTTATGGACTTTTCTTATTACAAAAGTAATATGAGATTATTGCATAAAACTTAGAAATACATTCAAGTGAAAAGAAAATAAAACTAACCCACAATCCTATACTCAGAGATAATGGCTATTTAAATTTTGCTATATATTTTTCTAATATTTTCTTATGACGATATATATCTTTTATTAGAATTTAACTTTTACCACTCCTTCTTATTATAGAAGAAACATAAAATTACCCATAATCTTACTACCCAAAGATAAGCATTATAACACTGACATATATTCTTCTAGAACTTAGACTAGGCCTTTATGATGTCTGTACATGACTTTTTTTCCTACAAAACAGGATGATACCAACAATACTGCTTTGCAATCTTCTTTTCTAAAACTTAATAATATACAGTAACGGTGTCCCTATGTCATTAAATATTTTCCTACAACATTAATGTTAATGACTCATAATATTTTATTGTAACACAGCCTGAATTATTGAACCAATTCCTATTTTGGGGGTATTTAGGATGTTTTAGTTTCTCACAATTATAAACAACTTATGAAGAACATTGTCCAACTATCTTTTGTGTACATCTTTTAGTATTTCCTGTGGATAAATACCTATAATTGAATTTGAAAGGTTTTTGGTCCATTTGATGAATTTTCATGAATCTTTTTATAATTGATACTCCCAGTAGAAAGAGTGCCTTTTTCCTGCAGCTTTGCCCAAATTGACCACTATTTTTCTTTTTTTGTCAACTTTGAACGTTAAAATGACAAATATTTATTTTCTGTTTTGTATTTAATTTGCATTTTTTCTATCATGTTATTCATTAAATCTCATGCTTACTAATATATCTGCTGAATCTGTAGAAAGTTACCTTGATAGTAAAAACAAAAACAGGAGAAAAATTATTCAGTCCTGAGTCTGCAGTTGCATGAAGAAACTAGTGAATGTTGCATTACGTGTTCATTAATTCATGTATCCATTTATTTATTTATCATTTGACAATTCTTATTGAACACCTTCTTTATGCTAGGTCTTTTTCTAAGAGCTGAAGTAAAGAGGTGAACAATATTGATAGGGTCTTTTTTCTCTTGGAGACTTTTATAGTCTAGTTTACAACAGAGACATTAAATGAATAATAATTACATGTGATATAAGGATTATTTTTAAAAAGAAGATAAAAGGAATTATCCTGAGGTAATTATTCTTTGGTTGATCTAGTCTGTTCGATAAGGTGTAATTCACTGGAAATCCCCTACTTGGTATTGAGCTTCTTTTGTTATTGAGCAGTAGGGGAAGATGATAAATAGAAGGTACAAACAAGAAAAGATGAGAAGAATTGATTTGATAGAACTAGAAAAGTCTTGGGAATTGTAGATATTACATTCTTACTTCACCAAGAAATATTGTAAAGAAGGTGCTTCCCACCAGTCCTTGAATAATGTACAGGCATATTTTAGAGATATTGCAAGTTTTGTTTCATACCACTGCAATAAAGCAAATACACAATAAAGTGAGTCACACAAAATTTTTGGTTTCCCAGTGTACATAAAAGTTATGTTTACAATATATTATAGTCTATTAAGTGGGCAATAGTGTTATGTCTAAGAAAACAAAGTACATAATTTTAAAATACTGTTGAGTTGATGGGTGCAGGATGGTGGTTTCTGAAGGCTGGAGTGGCTGTGGCAATTCAATTTCTTCAAATAAGACAACAATGAAATCTGCTATGTAGATTGACTCTTACTTTCATTAAATAGTTCTCTGTAGCATGTGATGCTGTGTGATAGCATTTTACCCACAGTAGAGCTTCTTTCACAGTTGAAGTCAATCCTTTCAAATCCTGCTGCTTCTTTTCAACTAAGTTTTAGTAATATTCTTTTTTTTTTTTTTTTTTTTTTTTTTTTTGAGACAGAGACTCGCTCTGTCACCCAGGCTGGAGTGCAGTGACGCAATCTCGGCTCACTGCAAGCTCCGCCTCCCAGGTTCACACCATTCTCCTGCCTCAGCCTCCCCAGTAGCTGGGACTACAGGCGCCCGCCACCACGCCTGGCTAATTTTTTGTATTTTTAGTAAAGACGGGGTTTCACTGTATTAGCCAGGATGGTCTCGATCTCCTGACCTCGTGATCCACCTGCCTCAGCCTCCCAAAGTGCTGGGATTACAGGCGTGAGCCACCGTGCCTGGCCAAGTTTTGGTAATATTCTTAATCTTTTTCTGTCATTTTCAGCAATGTTTACAGCATCTTCACTAGGAGTAGATTCCACGTCAAGAAATCACTTTCTTTGCCTATCCATAGAAACAAATCCTCAGCCATTAAAATGTCATGAGATTATAGCAATTTGGTCACATCTTCAGGCTCCACTTCCAGTTCTAGTTTCTTTTTCTTTTTCTTTTTTTTTTTTTTTTTTTACTTCTACTACATTTGTAGTTATTTCTCCACTCAAGTCTTAAACCCCTCAAAGTCATCCATGGGGGTTGGAACCAACTTCTTCCAAATTCCTGTTAATGTGAATATTTTGACCTCATTCCATGAATCATGAATGTTTTTAATGGCATCTAGAATGACAAATTCTTTTCAGAAAGTTTTCAATTTATTTTTCCCAAATCCAAAAGAGAAATCACTATCTATAACAACTATAGCCTTATGAAATGTATTTCTTAAGTAACAAGACTTGAAAGTCAAAATTACTCCTTGTTCCATGGATAGCAGAATGGATGTTGTGTTAGCAGTCATGAAAATAACAAAATAACCTTCATCTTCTATACATCTCCTTAGGAGCTCTTGGATGACCAGGAGCCTTGTCAATTAACAGTAATATTTTAAAAGGAATCTTTTTTTTTTTTTCTGAGGAGTAGATCTCAACAGTTAGCTTAAAATATACAGTAAGCTAGCCAAGCATGGTGGCTCACACCTTTAATCCCATCACTTTGGGAGGCTGAAGTAGGCAGATTGCCTGACGTCAGGAGTTCCAGACCAGCCTGGCCAACATGGCAAAACCCTGTCTCTACTAAAAATGCAAAAATCTGCCATGTGTGGTGGCACACTCCTGTAATCCCAGCTACTCGGGAGGCTGAGGCAGGAGAATCGCTTGAACCCTGGAGACGGAGTTTGCAGTGAACTGAGATCAAGTCACTGCACTCCAGCCAGGGTGACAGAGCAAGACTCCATCTCAAAAAAAAAAAAAAAAAAAATTCCATTAAACCATGCTGTAAGCAGATGTGCTCTCAGGGAGACTTTGTTTTTGCATTTGTGGAGGAAGGCAAAGTAGATTTAGCATAATTCTTTTTTTTTTTTTTTTTTTTTGAGACGGAGTCTCGCTCTGTCGCCCAGGCTGGAGTGCAGTGGCGCGATCTCGGCTCACTGCAAGCTCCGCCTCCCGGGTTCACGCCATTCCCCTGCCTCAGCCTCCCGAGTAGCTGGGACTACAGGCGCCCGCTACCACGCCCGGCTAATTTTTTGTATTTTTAGTAGAGACGGGGTTTCACCGTGTTAGCCAGGATGGTCTCGATCTCCTGACCTCGTGATCCGCCCGCCTCGGCCTCCCAAAGTGCTGGGATTACAGGCGTGAGCCACCGCGCCCGGCCGATTTAGCATAATTCTTAAGGGCTCTAGGATTTTGAAATGGTAAATAAGCATTGGTTTCAACTTAAAGTCACCAGCTGCATGAACTGCTAAAAAGGGAGCCGGTCTGTCTTCAGAAGCATTGAAGCCAGGCATTGACTTCACCTCTCTAGCTATGAAAGTTTTAGATGGCATCATCTTCTAATAGAAGGCAGTTTTGTCTACAAAGAAAATGTATTTTTTTAGTGTAGCCAGCTTTGTCAATGATCTTAGCTACATCTTCTGGATAACTTGCTGCAGCTTCTGTATCAGTACTTGCTGTTTCACCTTGCACTTTTATGTTATAAACTTGGCTTCTTTTAAAAAATCTCATAAACCAACTTCTGTTAGCTTTCAACTTTTCTTCCTTGGCTTCTTCACCTTTTTCAGCCTTCATATAATTGACGAGAGTTAGGGCCTTGCACTGAATTAGGCTTTGGCTTAAGGGAATGTTGTGGCTGGTTTGAGCTTCTATCTAGACCACTCAAACTCTCTCCACTTAGGCAATAAAGCTATTTTGCTTTCTTATAATTCACGTGTTCACTGAAGTAGCAAGTTTAATTTCCTTCAATAAATTTTCCTTTGCATTCACAACTTGGCTAACTGGTTGGTGCAAGAGGCCTAGCTTTTGTTCTAACTTGGCTTTCAACGTGCTTTCCTCACTAAGCTTAATCATTTCCAGCTTTTGATTTAAGGCGAGAGACATGCAACCCTTCCTTTCACTTGAACACTTAGAGAAAATTGTAGGGTTATTAACTGGCCTCATTAAAATATTGTTGTGTTTCAGAAAATAGGGAGACCCAAGGAGAGGGAGGAAGACAGGGGAATGGCTGGCCAGTGCCGCAGTCAGAACATACATTTATTAAGTTTGCTATCTTATATGGATGCAGTTCGTGGTCCCCCAAAACAATTACAATGGTAACATCAAAGATTGCTGATTGCAGATCACCATGACAGATATAATAATAATAATACAGTTTGAAATATTTTGAGAATTGCCAAAATATGACACAGACACAAAGTGAGTATATGCTGTTGGAGAAATGGCACTAATGGACTTGCTCACTCCTTGGTTGCCACAAACCTTCAATTTGTAAAAAAAAAAACACACTATTTGTGAAGCACAATAAAATGAGGTGTGCCTATAAATGCCTTATTATGGCAGTAGCTTTATAATTGCTGTTCTGGCCCTTGATACCATCTCTTGACACCTTGTAATCAAAGGCTGTGACTGCAGAAAGCAAAGGTACCCAGATGATCCAGTCAAACAAGTATGAGTTTGTGAGAAAACAAACAGGTAATTCGACTAAATGTCTCACATCTGAAACAATGCCTCTGCTATCAGATTACCCTAACTCTTAAGAAAGGGGCCAAAGACTTATCAATTTCAGCTTCCTGGGATGTTGTCTTTCCTTTTTCTTTTTAATTTTGAAATATAGTCATGTGTCATATAACAATGTTTCCAACAACAATGTACTGTATATAAAATGGCGGTCTCATAAGATTAAAATGGAACTGAAAATTTCCTTTTGCCTAGTGACACCTTAATGATCCTGTCCCTGTGTAGGCCTAAGCTAATGTGTGTGTTTGTATCTTAGTTTTAAACAAAAAAGTTTAAAAAGTAGAAAGAAAGTTAATAAAAAAAGCTTATACAATAAGAATATAAAAATATTTTTGTACATCTCTACAATGTGAGGTTAAAGCTAAGTGTTATTACAAAAGTCAAAAAGTAAAAAAAATAAAAAGTTTATAAAGTCAAAAATTATAATAAACTAAGGTTAATTTGTTATTGAATAAAAAAAGTTTTCTAAATTTAGTGTAGCCTAAATGTATAGAGTATATAGTCTATGATAGTGTACAGTCATGTTCTAGGCCTTCACACTCACTGACTCACCCAGAGCAACTTCCAGTCTTGTAAACTCCATTCATAGTAAATGCCCTACATAGGTGTACATTTTTTTATCTATTTCATATTTTTACTGTACCTTTTCTATGTTTAGATATATTTAGATACATAAATACTTAGCATTGTGTTACAGTTACCTACAATATTCAGGACAGTAACATTCTGTATAGGCCTGTAGCCTAGAAACAATAGGCTGTACCATACAGCCTAGGTGTGAAGTAGGCTACACTACACCATCTTGGTTTATGTAAGTACACTCTACGACGTTTGCACAATGACAAAATCTCCTAATGACAGATTTCTTGGAATGTATCTGTATTAGTTCATTCTCATGCTGCCTTAAAACACTGCCTGAGACTGGGTAATTTATAAAGAAAGAGGTTTAATTGACTCACAGCTCTGCATGGCTGGGGAAGCCTCAGGAAACTTACAGTCATGGTGGAAGGGGAAGCAAACATGTCCTTCTTCACATGATGGCATCTCCCATTTCTACCAAAAGGGGAAGTGCCTAGTCCCCTAGCAAAAAGGGAAAAAGCCCCTTATAAAACCATCAGATCTCCTGAGAATTCACTCACTATCATGAGAACAGCAGCACTCACTATCATGAGAACATAACCACCTCATGATTCAATTACCTCCCTCAGGGCCCCTCCCATGACATGTGGGGATTATGGAAACTACAATTCAAGATGAGATTTGGGTAGGGACACAGCCAAACCATATCACTATCCCACCTTAAGCAATGGATGATTGTATACTGTATATATCAAAGAGTATATAAAACATATTTACATTTTCAATAATAATATTAAAATGAGTATTTGTGTAACTACCATCTAGGTTAAGAAAACATTGACAGAAGTTCCCTCTGACCCTCCAAGATGGTTTCTTTTTCATCCTCTTCCCCACAGATAACTACTGTTCTGACTTTTTGATAGTCATTCGTTTGATTTTTTTTTAAAGACGCTTTTACTACATAAGTATTCCTTCCTCATATATGTAATTTATCCTCGTGCTTATACAATTTATGCAAATAGAATGACCTTGAATATGTCTTTTCATTCCTTTTTTCTTTCATTTAATATTGCTTGTGATTTATTCATGTTTATATATATAACTATAGTTTGGTCTTTTTTAAAGAAAAAATCATGAATATACCACAAATTATTTATCTATTTTGCTACCGATGTACATTTTGGGTGTCTACAGTTTTTAGCAATTACCAAAAATAATATTATGAACATTCTTGCTAGGAATATAATTACTGGTAGCTGTGAATGTGCATGTACACATTCACTAAATGATTCCAAGCTGTTTTCCAAAATAGGTGAAGCAATTTCTACTTCCGCAGTGGTAGATGAGAGCTCATCTTCACCAACACTTAGTATTGTCTAAAATAATATTTACATTTTTGCCAATATGGCATACTCTGGGTTTAATTTTCATTATTCTGACTAATAATGATGTTAAGCCTTTCTTCACGTTTACTTGTCATTAATGTTTCTTTGTAAAATATCTGCTTAATTCTTCTGCTTATTTTTCTATAAGTTTGCTTGTCTTATTAATTCATAGTTCCTTATATATTTGGGATAGTAGTCATTTTGGATATATTTTTAGAAACTTTCCTACACTGCAGCTTGTATTTTTTCTCTTTTAATAATATCTGTGGATTAACACAAGTTCTTATTTAATGGTAGTCAAATGTATATTCTTTCTTTATAGTTTATGTTTTTTACATCTTGTTTAAGAAATATTTTCCCTTCTGTGAGCTGTAAAGTATTCTCCTATGTTACATTGTGAAAACTTTATACTTTTGTTTTTTACAATTGTCTTTATTCCATCCAGATGTTTCAGTGTGGTGTGAGATTTCTAATTAGATATCCAATTGTCCCAATACCATTTGCTAAAAAGTCTGTTGTTAGTGATCTGCTACACTATCTCTATCATAAATCAAGTGTCTGTATTTCTTGGTGATCTTTTATGATCCACAAATATACAAATATGTTTTATTTGTATATTGTTGTGCAAGAGGTGCACTGTCTTAGTAATGTTAGCTTAAAATAGGCTAGGAACAGTGACTCATACCTGTAATTCCAGCATTTTGGGAGGCCAAAGTGGGTGGATCACTTGAGGTCAGGAGTTCAAGACCAGCCTGGCCAACATGCTAAAACCTTGTCTCTATCAAAAAATACAAAACTTAGCCATGCATGGTGGCACGCATCTGTAGTTCCAGCTACTGGCAGGCTGAGGTGGGAGAATCACTTGAATCCAGGAGATGGAGGTTGCAGTGAGCTGAGATCGGCCACTGCACTTCAGCCTGAGTTACAGAGCAAGAGCTTGTCTCAAAATAATAATTATAATAATAAAGTTAGTTTAAAATAAGTCTTGGTATCTGGTAGGACAAGGACTCATACCTTATCTCCTTTAGATTGTCTTGGCTATTCTTAACCCTCTATATTTTCATATCAGTTTTGATTTATCTTGACAAGTTCCTCAAAAACTATGGCTGGCAATTTAATTAGATTGCCATGTATTTGGGGGAGAATTAGCATCTCTACAATATCAATTTCATACCAACAAATTCAATTTAGTCCTTGAATAGCTTGGATAAGGTTTTGGTTATCTGGTCCTTGAATATTTGATAGAATTATTTGGTGAAGTTATCTGGGGCACGAGTTTTGCTATGTGGAAACATTTAAAAAAAAATAAGTGATTCCATTTCTTTTCTAATAGTTTTAGAAGCTCTAGGTTTTTTATTTTTCATTTGGTTTGCTTTTATAAGTTATTAATTTTCTCATTTTATCTAAATTTTCAAATTGATTACTGTAAAATTGTTCATACTATCTCCTATCACTTTATAATAGTCCTTTTCATTGTTAATATCTATTATGCTAATTATTAAATAAATTTTGCTATAGGTTTGTCAAATTTTATTGATCATCTAAAACAAAAATTTTCAGTTAGTATTAGCTACAAAAATCTTAATTGCATCTATGCTTCCTATTTTGTTCATTTTAGCTTCTGTTTGCAAATATTCTTCATCTACTGCATTTGGATTTATATTGCTGTTATTTTTTTCACATCTTCCAATGGTTTCTCAACATTAATTTTCTTCATTTTTCTAATACACAAATTAAGGTTATAATTTTTCATTAAGAACTACTTTACCTGTGTCTCATAAGTGTGCTATGTAGTATTTTTTATTACACTATAAAACATTTTTTCTATAATGATTTTACATTTTACTACAGATATTTTAATCTATATAGTCTATCATTTACCTAGGTAATTGTTAATTTGTCTATTCTTCTGTGTATTTCTTCAGTTTCTTTTATTTCTTTTTATTTTATTTATTTATTCATTTTTGGATATGGAGTCTCCTTATGTTGACCAGGCTAGTCCTGAACTGCTGGCTTCTAGTTATTCTCTCACCTCAGCCTCCCAAAGTGCTGGGATTACAGGTGTGAGCCATTCACCTGACCTCTTCCATTTCTTTTAAATATATTTTCAGGCTATGCTTTGAGAGGTACAAAGACATTTTTAATTTTTCATCTTCCTATGGATTTGAAGCTTTTATGTTTTGACATGACCTTCTTTATCTTTAAAATGCATTTTTTCTACTTGAGGTCTATTTTGCATGACATAAATACAGTTATATCATCTGACCTTTGGTTGAAACTTGCATGGCCATCTTTTTCATACTTTTGCCTCCAACTTGTCCTTGAGACAAGAATTATTGCCTTTCAGATCATTGGATCCCCCAATGACTAAGCAAATTTTCAATAGGAGGCAGAAAGCTGAGACTTCACTTTTTCATGACCTTTAATTTTAATTTTTTTGTAATAAATTTTTAAAGCACATGAGAAAATGCAAAACACTATGGCAAACTACTGAATACTATTAGGCACCTAGCTCTGTCAAGTTCTAACTTTTCAGTTACATATGCTTCATATTATTTTTATTTCTTATTAGTTTTTTTCTGTATTGAAATACACCTATGGTGTAGTATGAAACCATCAGTGTGCAGCTAGACAACATTTTACAAAGTGAGTACAACCCATATCAAGACAGAGAATTACCAGAACCACAGAAACTTGGTAGCTCCATACCTCCTAGCCATGACCTTCATGTTTCTCACAACACTAACAATTATCCTGACTTCGAATATTGCAAATTTGTTTTTTTGATTTCTGTGATTTTATGAGCACAATCGTACCACTGAAGGTACTCTTTGTGTCTGCCTTTTATGAAATTCATCCGTGTTGTTGCATATATCAGTGGCTCATTCATTTTTATTGCTGTTTTATATTTCATTAATTTATCCATTTTACTGTTTGTGGACATTTGAGTTGTTTTCAGTTGGGAGCTATAATAAATAGTGCTCCTTTATCATTCTCACCCATGCTTTTTGGTATGTATTTGTTTGGCTATTTATCTGGCAGTAGAGCTTCTGAGTTGTGGGTATGTACATGTTCATCTTTAATGAATACTGCTAAACAGTTTTCCAAAGTGGCTTTACCAATTTTAATATCCACTGATGAATGAATTGGATATTTTTTAAGGCTTGCTATGTTCTTTGGTTTTCCTTTTTAAATTTAATCTCTCATTTCTATGTGTTCTGAGCAGAGGTGGAAAGAAGTGTGACCTTTAGATGATCCAGAAGCACTGTTTGTTTGTTTTTTTTTTTTTTTGCATTTTTTTAAGTGAGATGCTGATTATTTCATCTCTACATGCAACACAGTCAACAGAATATGAAGAAATAGAACTGAGCTTCTTTTTTCCAATTCAGGATGATGCTGACCTGAGTCCCTGTGCCAGAGAGGAGGTGCAAGGTGTTTCCATTCGTGAAGTGTAAATCAAAAAGAAAAGCAAGTACTGTATTTCATCAAGTTCTAAGATACATATTTTTCTAGATTTTAACAACTCTGCAATGCAATGTGTATAAAGTGATGGACTTTTATGATTGGCTTTGTTGTTTTGTGTATGTTTCTTGGAGGTACACAAACCAATGGTGCATCTTACACTAGTAGCATTTGAAAGCAGAAGGGACAAAACAAATTCTTCAAAATTTTGTCTGGCTGTGGGTGTCTATGATTTTTTGGCACATACAGAGATAGGCTGCCCATATCCCACTTCAAGAAAAGACTTTCTTCCAAGCTGCAAGGCATGTGGTTAGCTGGCTGCCTCCAGAAAAACCTTCAGTGTCTTTCTGAGCTTTGAAGCCAAGGTCACTTCTTTTGGGGTGATCCTCAGTCAAGGACAGAAAAAAGTGGTGACAGCTGAGATCACCCTTTTTTCAGGGCACCCTTACGCCAACAAATTAATAATACAGATGTTCACCACAATGCAAAACTCCTTTAACGGGAAAGCTTTTCTCTGAAGTGCCTTGTTGGGTTGGCAGAGGCATTGTCAGGGCAGCATCAAATTCTGGCAGCTTCCTCTACCCAACCCTGTCTCCTTCCTTTTCTTTTTATAGGTAATATTCCCCAGTCGATCTCATTCCCAATTCTATCTCAGAAACTCCTTCTCAGAGAACCCAACTGGCACAGCTGGCACTGGGAGTGTTCTGAGAAAGCAGGTGGCAAGATGGGATTTATGCATTGGAACAATTACCTTGGAGCTAGTAAGGAGGACCCCATTTTGGGTGGCAGGTAGAGCACAGATGGGCTGGGCCAATGAAGTGGTCTAACTGTTAAAACTTTCACTGATGGTATCTTGGGAGAATGCGCTGGTAGAGGGATAGGCACGGGCTGGTGGGATGATTTTAAGTATTTGAAATGTACAGGGGTGCTGCTGCTCGTGGTGACGGTGACAAATATAGGGATAATGATTTTGGATGATCATTACTAAATTACATTGATGCCTTATTCTATTATGTGGATAATGGAATGCTGAGGGCAGTTAACAATGGAAAGAACTAAAACGAAGCATGAGAGCCAGAGAGTCTCTTCAGCAGGCTACACAAAGTCCTCCTCTCACGCAGTGGTGAGCGAAGTATGAGATCAAATCTAGAATCTAATAAACAGCAGCTGAACTTCAAAGATTGGTGGATGTCCAACCAAGGCAAGTCCGTTTTGACAAAGCCAAGGCCTTGGTTGGGAAAACCTGCATATCTGACACATGACTTGGGGACATATGCATAATACCTTCAATATTTTGACTCCATAAACTTCTTTCAATAATTTCAGCCTGTAGAAGTGAGTAGCCCTTTCCCAATAAAAGCAGGTGTTTTCCTGTATGGGAAGAAAATGAGAAGCCTTTTTCTTCAAAAGGCAAAGATAATTCTTCTCTCAGGAACTTTCGTTGTTAACTGACCTCAGCATACCATTATCCATATCCAAGGCATCAATGCAATTTAGTAAAAATCATCCAAAATCATTATCCCTGTATTTATCACCGTCACCACCAGCAGCACCTCTGTATGTTTCAAATACTTAAAATCATCCCTCCAGCCCATGCCTATCCCTCTACTAGCACATTCTCCCAAGATACCATCTTATACCATCTGTACAAGACGGTAAGACACAAACAGAATCATATGCTCTCAAAGTGAGAGTTATTAGAGATTAATATCATGCTTAAATGTGGTAAGGTGGTGGCCACTATCTACTTGACTTGCTGGTTTGACCCTGAAAACGTTGAATGGGCCCTGGAGAATAACTGTGTAGACTGTCGCAGCTTCAATCTGCGGCAGCCCTAATGACAGCTGCTATTTCAGATTGCCAGAGTGGATTGATGTGGCCACAAGAATACGATATGCAGCCAGTGACTTGGCAAATGTATTCTCTATCTTAACAATGAAAGACTTTCAGAAATAGTTTGCATTCACGTGGAACAGAAAACAATGCATATTTACAATCTCACTCTCTGTTAATTGTTTTGTTAGCTCCTCTATCTGGACATCCTGCAGAGCATCACATTGCGGGTGAGGAAAAGGTGGAGAGTGCACTGGAGGCCATGGTAAGATGCATGCACTCCAGACAGTGAGAAATAAATGCTATAATAATTAACGGGTCTGCCATCTCAGTAAAATATTTAGGGTCTACTGGCATGCTTAATTATACTGTTCCAAGTAAAAGAGAAATTGTTGCATCTTGTATCTCCTTTTACAAAAAAGCATGCACAATGCCTGGTGGGACTTTTTGGCTTCTGGAAGAGCAACCCTGGCAGTTGGGTCACATAATCTGGCAGGCCCCATGGTGCTGGAGATAGGAGTGGTAGAAAATATGTAGTGTGGGCTTTATAGCAAGTTCTAGTGTAAGAATAGCAATAAACAAACCTGAATTTCTGGAGACAGGCTATACCATCTCTAACAGAGAATTGCCCAGCACTGGAAAAGAGCTCTTAGGCTCTTATGCTATTGGACTGCAGTAGATATAAAACAATTGACCATGAGACACCAAATGACCATTTGTCTGGAACAGCTGGGTCCTACTGGACTTATCAAATAAAAAAGTTGGGAAGGTGACCGCAGCAGTTGATCATAAGATGGAAATGGTATATTCAAGGCCTACTATGAGCATGAGCAGAAAGTGTCATCATGGTGCATGAGCAAGCAGCCCAAATTCTCATTCATCCACCACATTTGCTCTAGTATTCTTTTCTTATCTCACTTATGGCTATATTGGGTTAGGCCAATTACAAAGGCCATTTTGTAAAGCCAAGACAGAAGGACGAAACAACAGAGCTTGGTGTTGGAATGGGTCATCTTAGCGAGTGCGTACAAGCCAAAAATTCATGGAGACTACATGATAGCCTCACTCAGAGGATACCTTGAAAAATAACAGTGATGGGGAAAAAAACCTCCAAGGTCAGTGGCAAATAGCCTGGTCAGCTGGTTCAGAGCCTAGAAGGAAAGAAATTGGAAGAATGGAGACAAAAACATTGAGAGTAGAGGTATGTGGTTGTATATATTAGAATGGGAACCAAGTTTGGAGGTTTTATTTTTTTTTAATTCACATATTAAAGCTCATTAGAACTAGCATCTACCTTGAATGAGGCACTGAACAACCAAAGTGGAAAAAGTGGCATGGCCAATTGGTATTAACCAGTCTTTGTCAGCAGCGGCTCCAGTGTTGACAAAACAGACAGGTGAATCCTGTGAGCATAGAAGCAGAGATGAAAGCTACACATGGGATTAACAGGACCATCTCCCACTCACCAAGATCAGTTTAACCACTGCCATTGATGAATGTCTAGCCTATTAGCAACAGAGGCTAATTGGAAGCCCCTTTGGGGCTTTTCCTTGAGGAGATCAACTGATCAGTTGGTGGCAATTTATTATATTGGATCCCTCAGGATCCAATTACTATATTGTATCCCTCAGGACACCTATTTCAGGTACAAGTTTGCATTTCTGCCTTCAGGACCTCAGCTAACACCTCTATCATGGGGCTTACAGAATGTTTGATTCAGTGAGACAGAATCCCAAACAGTATAGTGTAGTATCACCTAGCATACCATTCAGGAACAGCCAGGCTCAGAGCATTAAAAAGTTCAGTTTGAAGTCACAGCTGAAGTACAAGCCCAGAGGCAAAATTCTATAAAAATTGGGCATCATCCTTCAGGATGCCATATACCTATGGAGTCAGATATGTTTCTATGGCACTGGGTCCATTGTAGAAAGAATACATGGGTTTGAGAACCAAGGCACATATGTGGAGTAGAACCACTGACCACCACTACTGGAAACTGTGCTTCGTATTTCTGAAAGGTTACTGTAGAGATAAAGGTTCTCAACACCAAAAGGGAGCACTCTTGCCAGTGTACACAGCAAGGGTGTAACGGAACTATAAGCTGCAGCTACTACCGAGGTATCTCGGGCTCCTCATGCCTAAGGAGTGGTAGGCAAGAAGAAGATTCACCGTCTTCTCAGGAGTAACTGATGCGATCAGCAGGAGGAGACAGGGCTGCTGTTACATCCCAGAGGCAGGGAGGAATCCACGCGGAACCCAGGCGATCCACTTTGGTACTTCTTTGTCCTTCCTTGCCCAGTTGTGATTGAGAATGAACAAGGGTACAGCCCTGGCTAAGAAGGAGCTCGGATCCCTCAGAAATGAGGTCTGATTGACACCATCAAGTAAGCCACTGAGACCAGTAGAAGTGGTAGCTGAGGATGAGAACAAATTTGAATGAGGAGTGGAAGAGGAAACAATGAGCAGTAGTAGTGGTCCTTAGACCAAGGGCAGCCACAAGGGCCATAGTTTGTTTCACTAACTTCCCTCTTCTATATTTACCATTAGGAAGAAAGGAGGAGCTGTTCTCTCATGTGTGTAGACAAGTAGATCTCACAGCACAAGCTTCTCTGAAAGGCAGATGGATGCAATTTATATGTGGAAGACAAAGAGACATGCCACCACATTGTTTCCCCTTCAGAGGAAGAACTGCTACCCAGCTGCAAGAAGTATGGTAAGCTGGCAGTCTCCAGTGGTTAGCTCTTTCTGAGGTTCACCTTAATTTTTGAACTGAGGTCCTGATCCTCTTGAGGCTACTCTAAGCCAATGATTGAGTCAGATGGTGATACTAAGGCATAACCATTTTTGCCCAATGCAGGACTCTTTTAATGGGCAGTCATTGATCTGGAGCCTTGAGTTTGTCAGGACTGTGTCACAGTGTGATGACACCTCAGCCCAATTCTGTTTCCTCCTTTTTCTTTTCACGAGTCTTATTCCTCAAGAAACCCTTTGCACTCCCAACTCCATCTCAGCATCTTATTCTCAGAGAACCCAACCAGGACAATTTTATAAAATCATAACTAAAAGGAAACACCACTATGCCTCCCCAGTGTCCTCAGATACCATCCAAAGCCCTAGAATATTAGAATGGAAGTAGTCACAGCTGACTTAGCTGACAGTCTCAGAGATTTAAATTCATATAACCACTAGGAGTCAAAATAGGGATCAACAGACATTCAGCACATCAGAACTATTTATGTAACACCAGACAGGCCTGAATAAAAATAGGAAATAACAGTCAAGCTAATTATTGGTACCATGTAGTTCCAGACATTCAAACATATCTACTCAAAAACAAGCAAACAAACAAAGCCACAGGAATTCGGCCAAATGATTGAGGATATAGATAATCTCAATATGAAATGATTTTCAATCTTGAAATTATTTCCTCAAATGTCCACTTCAAGAGGAGGAGAGAAAAATGTTCTTATTAATAGTAAAATATTAAAATAAGCTGATGATAGAATTAAAACATTTAAAGAGAGATAATTTACTTCTTGAGTGCCAAAGAGACTGTATAAATGATGTCAGCTAAACAGACTGAGGTTCTCACTCAAATAGATCAAAGCCACATGTTACAAGCTGCAAGACATTATCCAATGGTCAAAATACGTTCTCCCTCCCAGCCCCAGTGGAACCTCCACGATCCAAGCCCAAAAACTGCACAAGGCCTTGGACTGGCTCCCTGAAACACAAAAGGATACATTTTGTATGTGTGACCCAAACAGACCACTGCCTGGGTGGTCTGTGTAGTTCATAGGATGCAGCAGCCAGGTCCCCTGTGATGGCATTCCTATAATCTATCTTGCCTTGGTAACTATCTAATTTTATAGGGCATTCAGATAGAGCATTTGAAAAAGTAAATTGGATCATGTAATTGTCTTGCTTCAAACCTTTCAATGACTTCACAGGGTTCATAAAATCAAATTTGAACTCCTACCATGCCCTCCGAGGCCCTGCGTAATCTGACCCCTGCCTTCATTGAAGGCCACTCATGTTCACTCACTAAGCCCAGATTCTACTGGACAGCCATTGTCCATTGTCTGCTGGGGGCCATTACACAGACTTCCCCCTGTGTCTGAAGTGCTCCTCCTCTTCCTCTTTGGGAACTGGCTTCTTCCCCTCAATTCAGGCCTTAGGTCAAATGCTTTCTCCTCAGAGAAGCCTTTTCTGTGGCCAAACCCAAGCCCCTTTCCCCACTCCCCCTGCCACCAATACCCTTGCATTCTCTCCCTCGGCATCTTCTTTTTCCTTCACGTTTATATGATGATTTGCTTAAAAAATCTGTTTGCTTATTTTGCTTCCCCCCAATAGTTTACAAACTATTTGTTTCATATATGCTGATATTTCTAGGACCTTGCATAGTGTTTCGCATAATGTAGGTGCTTAATTACTATTTGTTGAATGTATAAAGAAATAATAAAAATAATAGATTACACTTACATAGCTCTGATGACATGCTCACTCTAAGCACTTTACATATATAACTCTATTAAGTCTATAGTGTAGGTTCTTTTGTGTATGTGTGTGTGTTGATAAAACTAAGGCAAAGAGCAATTAAGAATTCACAGAAGGTAGGGCAGAGCTAGGATTGGAACCCATGCAATTTGATGGTAGTGAACACAAATCTCTTCTAACATGTTCCTTTCTTAACTCACTAAATATCAGTCTTCTCAATAAAGCATTTACCATAACAGTTATTTCAGGATGTTAGATGGATGTGTTTGGGATCAGAAGGGTGCTCTGGGCCTCTGAAATCCATTGCTCACTCTGCCTGTAGCCCCACTGGCTAGACAGAGTACAATCCTGATTAATCTGGAGAAGCCCCCAATTCGTGCATCAGGAGTTTTTGTTTGTTTTTGTTTGTTTTTTTACAGACTAGTTGATGTGCGTGTGCATGTGTGAGTATGAGTGGATGTATGTGTTGAGGGATCAGTGACTGTTTACCGGTGATGTGGTCTAGTGAGCTGAAAGTCTTATAAAAGACACAGAAAGGATCAGATAAAAGAGAATAGTGACCATGTTCATTAGAGAGTACAGCAATGGAAGAGGAGACTAAAATCTCGTCAGTTAAAGGGCTTTCTTAAAGAGATTTAAAACAATAACTACAAGTTTGAAAAACTATATTTTATACACTTATAAGCAATAACTAAAAGCACTTACTATTTTCTTGGGATAAGTGCTTTGTAGTATTAACTCAGCCAACCTTCCCAATGCAGTATTTATACTCTTACCGGTGAGGAAACTAAGACACAGAGGGTTAAGTAACTTCTCTATGGTCTTATAGCTAGTATGTGTTGGAGCCTGGTTAAAACTCAGAGAGACTGGCTAGTAGCCTGGCTTCTTCACCATTATCATAATTGCCGTTAATTATTTGAGGAAACATTTTGTGATGCAGCAAAGAAGAGTCTCTCCGTTTTTGAAGCTCAGGCCTGGAGGCTGTGGGTGAAGATACCTGCGGTGTGCATGGACAACGCCCATGCTACCATGCTACCTTGACATTAGAAGCAGTTACTGTTGTCCTTCCCATAGCTTCCCCCTAGGAAGGGCTTACTGGAAAAGAAAAACATTGAGAGTAATGTTCAGAGTCTGCCAATTCCAGAAAATCTGTTAAAGCCTAAAAATGCCCCTATCTGAAGGTGTGCTGGAGCCCTCAAGGACAGTTCAGGCACCTCACTGCACCTTGCAGGCCTTGTCAGCAAGGAAATGGCTTGGGAAGGACACCATCAGAAAGGATCCAAGAGCTTAGATGGGGACTTCTGCATTACTAAAATTTACAGAAGTCCTGAGCCTGCTCTGAGAGCTGTCCTCCGCTCTCTGATCCTGAGCCATTGTGAGGGGTCATATTTAGCCCACAATCAGCGAGAACCACACTAACTTCATCATATATACTGCCGTGAAACTGCAGTTCCCCACCCAATATTGATGCACTGGTTTTTTTTGACTGGTTAAATTTTATTTGTTACATTCATTCCAACATTTATTATAGAGAATCAAAGTTTTTAAAATACTTTTTATTTTGAAATGATTTCAAATTAACAGAAAATCACAAGATTAAGAAAAGTGAAAAGAATTAAATACTTTTAATCTAGATTTTCCTATTGTTATCATTTTATCCCACTTGCATGTACGTGCTCTCTCCCGCTCTCTCTTCATATGTGTGTGTATATATATATGTATATATATGTATATGTATATATGTGTATATATATGTGTATATATGTATATGTATATATATATATACTTATATATACATATTTCTGAACCATTTGAGAGTAAGCTGCACACATAATGGCCCTTTCCTCATCAGTACTTAAGTATTATGTATTAGCAAGCATTTTCCAAGAATAATAAAATTCTCCCATGTAATCATAGCAGTTAACAACTTCAGTAAATTTAATACTGATGAATACTTTTATCTAACCTGTTATTTATATTTCAATTTTGTTAATGAACACAACAATGTCCTTTATTAGTATTTATTTTCCCTCCAGTTCAGGAACCAGTTTATGATCAGATAATGCACGTAGTTGTCATGTCCGATTAGTCACCTTATAACTGGAATATTTATGTAGCCTTTCTTTGTCTTTTTTATTGCTATTTTTGGAGGATGCAGTGCTTTTTAATTTTTTATTATATTTTAATTTCTGGGATACATGTGCAGAACGTGCAGGTTTGTTACATAGGTATACACGTGCCATGGTGGTTAGCTGCATCCATCAACCAGTCATCTGCATTAGGTATTTCTCCTGATGCTATCCCTACCCTAACCCCCAATCCCCTGACAGGCCCCAGTGTGTGATGTTCCCCTCCCTGTGTCCATATGTTCTCATTGTTCAACTCCCACTTATGAGTGAGAACATGCAGTGTTTGGTGTTCTGTTCCTGTGTTAGTTTGCTGAGAATGATGGTTTCCAGCTTCATCCATGTCCCTGCAAAGAACATAAACTCAACCTTTTTTATGGCTGCATAGTATTCCATGGTGTACATGTGCCACATTTTCTTTATCCAGTCTATCACTGATGGGCATTTGGGTTGGTTCCAATTTTTTAAATAGAATGTTCTTCATTTGGAATTTAGTTGATGGTTCCTTATGAATACATCCAGGCCCTATGTTCCTGGCCACAACACAATCATCAGGTATTGCATCTGGAGGGCCATGATGTCTGTATATCTGTTTACCTCTAAGTGATGATTGCTGTATTAGTCAGGGTTCTCTAGAAGGACAGAACTAATAGGATATATCTATATCTATATCTATATAAAAGGGAGTTTATTAAGTATTAACTTACATGATCACAAGGTCCCACAATAGGCTGTCTGCAAGCTGAGGAGCAAGGAGAGCCAGTCCGAGTCCCAAAACTGAAGAACTTGGAGTCCGATGTTCGAGGGCAGGAAGCATCTAGCATGGGAGAAAGATGTAGGCTGGGAGGCTAGGCCAGTGTCTCTTTTTCACATTTTTCTGCCTGCTTTATATTTGCTGGCAGCTGATTAGATTGTGCCCACCAGATTAAGAGTGGATCTGCCTTCCCTTGCCCACTGACTCAAATGTTAATCTCTTTTGGTAACACCCTCACAGACACACCCAGGATCAATACTTTGTATCCTTCAATCTGATCAAGTTGACATTCAGTATTAACCAACACAATTGCTGATTTTCATTACACAGTCAAGATGTTGCCTGATTTCTCTATTACAGTTACTATTTTTCTCCCTTGCAATAAGCAGTCTGTGAAGAAAATAAGCAGTCTGTGAAGAAAAGCTTTAAGACCATGCAAATATTCTATTCATCAACACTTCTCCTGCATTTGCCATCCACTGATGATTCTTGCCTGAACCTACCTTTACAACGATGGTTGCAAAAAACATGATTCCAAATCCAGCACTCCTCATATTTGCCAGGTGGCATTTAGCATTCTACTGAGGGCAACAGCTATCTTTTCTCTCCTGTAAATTTATTTATTCACTCATCTATTTCTTTATTGGATCTATTATTATTTATGTATTTATTATCAGTACAAACTCCTGGGTTCCTTTTTATACTTATTATCCTTAGATTTTTAGTTGTTTTTATTGCTTAAATTGTCCCAGATAAGGCCAGTGGGAGTCTTGTAAAGGGTTTCTATATTGTTGAGACATGCACCACACATTTTTTTAGCACTTCTTATTTTTCTCAAGCAATAAGATGTTCCAAACCTATCTTTTATCTATCCTGGCCCAGCTCTGGAATCATCCATTTCTCTGAGGAGTCCTGGTTCCTTTTAGTGGCATTACAGACCAACACCTGAGTGGTAGGTATGCTCATTGTTACTGAGGTATCTTTACTTCAAAGACCTTTCAAGGACAGTGCTGGAAAATACGTGGAGTATAAGCCATTCCTTTTTTATTAACACATATTACATTATACACATATTGACATATATATATATACACATTTACATATACATGCATATATGCAATCATGTCCGTATTTTAGAAATCATGAGTCCATAACAATACTTCCTATTCTAATCCATGCCTACAGGGTTCTTCTTACTTTCTCCATTTCCTATTTATAGATCCTTCTGTAGTTAAGAACCCTGGATCCCAACAACTTTGATGCATTTACTCTTTTGCTCAATCCTATAGTACATTTGAAAGATTTCTGAATTGCCTCGCCCATTATAAAAAACACCAAATCTACTAAAAATGGTTTTGGAGTTTTCAGTTTTCTTTATACCCTCCCCACAGTCACATATTGTGTTAATAAATGGCTTAACTTTTACAGTTTTCTTCTTCAGTAAGGTTATTTGAAATACACTGTGTTTATTTTTTTCCAGTTTGCTTTTAGTTTTAGCTTTTTATTTCCCTTCCTATCTTTGTTGATTTTTTTAATATATAGAACATTAGCATGCTTCCAAAAGTCAACATCATTTAAAAAGGTTTGCTCAGAGACATGCCATCTATCCTATATTTCTTTCATTCTATACCATGCCCACCTGTTGTAAGTACCTGACTTTATTATCTTTTGTTTTTTCTTTCACATGGCTCTTTTTGTGAAAATAAGTAGATATATGTATCTTTTCTTATTTCTCCTTCTTTCTTACAAAAACAGGGTATAGTATATGTGATATTTTGCATTTTTGCTTTCTTCATTTAATGTCTCTTCGAGAATCGCTCCATATCAGTGTAAAGAGACCTTCCTCATTATGTTTTACAGCTGCATGCTACTCCATTCTGTGTGTATACCATAATTTATTCAACCAATTTCCCATCTTGGATACTTAGGCTATTTCTAACATTGTGCTATTACAAATAATGTTGTAATAAGTCACACTGTGCATTTTTTTTTCAAATTGTAAGTTATCTTTGTGTTAAATTCTGTTGAGATTGCTGGGTCAAGGAGTAAATGTGTATGCAGTTTAGTTCAATATTGTCAAATTCTCCTCCATCTCATTGTGCAATCTTATTAGCAATGTATGTGAACACTAGTTTTATATATTTAAGGGCCTTTTATTGCATCTTGTTTCAGAAATTACTAGTTTTGGTTTTTGGCCAATTTTCTGTAAGATTTTTAGGATTTTCTTTCTCAATTTAAATTTATTTGTATGTTAATGATATCAGCTCTTCCTCCACGATATATGTTGCAATTATTTTCTTCCAGTTATTCATTTTATTTTTGACTCCATTTTTCTTTTTAACCAACCAAAGTTCTTTTTTAGTTTATACATATTTAAATTTATCAACTTATCATCTTTCATTTTATTGAATCCAGGTTAAGGAGGAATTCATCTATGTTTTATTATAGTCTTTACATATTTTCATTTTTTACAATTACACTTCTGATCCATTTGGACTTGCATTGGTGCATGGTATGGTATATATCTAATTTTATCGTTTGCCACCATTTATTCAAAAGACTATCTTTGCTCCAATGATTATAATGCCACCTTTATAATACATCAGATTTTAATAGGCTTTTGGTCCATTTCTAAACTTCTCTTCTTGTGGTCTGTATTAGTCTGTTTTCATGCTGCTGATAAGACATGCTCCAGACTGGACTCTGATCCCACATTTCCCTTCTGCACTGCCCTAGCAGAGGTTCTCCATGAGACCCCCACTCCTGCAGCAAACTTCTGCCTGGACATTCAGGCATTTCCATATATCCTCTGAAATCTAGGCAGAGGCTCCCAAACCTCAGTTCTTGATTTCTGTGCACCCACAGGCTCAACACCAAGTGGAAGCTGCCAAGGATTGGGGTTTGCACCTTCTGAAGCCACAGCCTGAGCTGTATCTTGGCCCCTTTTAGTCACAGCTGGAGCAGCTGAGACACAGAGCACCAAGTTCCTAGCCTGCATGCAGCACAGGACCCTGGGCCTGGCCCACAAAACCATTTTTTCCTCCTAGGTAGGCCTCTGGGTCTGTGATGGGAGGGGCTGCCGTGAAGACCTCTGACATGCCCTGGAGACATTTTCTCCATTGTCTTGGGGATTAACATTTGGCTGCTTGTTACTTATGCAAATTTCTGCAGCTGGCTTGAATTTCTTCTCAGAAAATGGGATTTTCTTTTTCTATTGCATTGTCAGGCTGCAAATTTTTGAACTTTTATGCTCTGCTTCCTTTATAAAACTGTATGCCTTTAACAGCACTCGTCACCTCTTGACTGCCTTGCTGCTTAGAAATTTTTTCCACCAGATACCCTAACTCATCTTTTTTAAGTCCAAAATTCCACACATCTCTAGGTCAGGGGCAAAATGCTGCCAGTCTCTTTGCTAAAACATAGCAAGAATCACCTTTGCTCCAGTTCCCAACAAGTTCCTTATCTCCATCTGAGACCATCTCAGCCTGAACCTTATTGTTTATATCACTATCAGCATTTTTGTCAAAGCCATTTAAGTCTCTAGGAAGTTCCAAACTTTCCCATATTTTCTTGTATTTTCTTCTGAGCCCTCCAAACTGTTCCAACCTCTGCCTGTTACCCGGTTCCAAAGTTGCCTCCACATTTTTGGGTATCTTTTCAGCAATATCTCACTCTATTGGTACTAATGTATTGTATTAGTCTGTTTTCATGCTGCTGCTAAGACATATCCAAGACTGGGCAATTTACAAAAGAAAGAGGTTTAATGGACTTACAGTTCCACATGGCTGGGGAGGCCTCACAATCATGGCAGAAAGCAAGGTGGAGCAAGTCACATCTTACATGGATGGCAGCAGGCAAAAAGAGAGCTTGTGCAGGGAAGCTCCCATTTTTGAAATCATCAGATTTTGTGAAACTTATTCACTATCATGAAAACAACATGGGAAAGACTTGCCTCTATGATTCAATTATCTCCCACCAAGTTCTTCCCACAAGCGTGGGAATTATGGGAGCTACAAGATGAGATTTGGGTGAGGACACAGAGCCAAACCATATCACAGTCTGTCTACTCATGCATCAGTACCACACTGTTTAATTATAGGAAATTTGTAGTATATTTTTCTGTCTGGTGGGGATAGTCTCCTGTCTTTTTTCAGTGTTTTTCTAGATATTCTTATATGTTGATTTTTCCATATGTACTACATCAACTTGTTTATCTTCATAAAAAAAATCTCATTGGCATTTTTACTAGAATCGTGTTAAATTTGTAAGCTAACTTGTAAGAACTGACATCTTGTTAATGCTAAACTTTACTAATCAGCAGGAGATATCCTTCATGTTATTCATAGCTACTTTGTGTCTCTTAGGAGAGTATTAGAGCTTTTTCTCATATAGATTTTAAAAGTTTTCTGTTAAGTTTATTCTTATGATTTTTATCTTTTGTTCCTATGTAAATGGTTTTTTTAATCTATTGTTGATTATTGTACGATTTATCTTTGCATGTTAATTTTAATGAAATTGATGGTTTTGTTGAATTCTTTAATTGCTGTATTCATTTAGTCATTAATTCTCTAGGGTTTTCCAGATATATTATCTTGCTATCTCTAAATAGAGATTTTTTTTCTCCTATTCTTATGCTCTTAGTTGTTTTATCTTATTTAATTGCCTTGGGCAGTAATTCCAGATTAATGTTAAATTTTACTAGAAACAGTGGGCATACTTTCCTGTTCCTGACTTAGTGGAAATGCCTCTAGAGTTATTTGTTAAGTAACTCTTTTATTCCCTTTTTTCATATTAGAATATGTTTTACTGATACCATACTAAGTAACTGGTGATTTATGATATGCTATGACATCCATAACATCTGGTAATGCCCATCTACTCCAATTACTCAGCATTTTGAGACAATTCATTCTTTTTCCCTGAAAACTTTCTAAATGATCTGGTAAATTTCACTATATATGCATTTTTATGATTACTTAAAATTTTACTATGCATCTCAATTTTTAAAGTCTATAGTTAATCAAAATAGTTCCTTTTCAACAAAATAAAAGGCTTTGAACAGTTTAAATCCAGACATTCCTTCTTGGTGTTTAAGCTCCTCCTGTCTAATACTTGAATTCTGTCATTTTTTAAAAATCAACCCATAGATTAGACATTTTTGTTTTATTATGTTATAATTGCCTCTTTATATTTTTATAGTTATTTACTAGTCATTTTCTCATCATTCCTATTAGAATAATATTCCTTCTGAAGCCATTCCCTTTTTATTAACTATATTCTTTACACAGTCACCTAATTGATTTTTTCTAAGTATTTAACTTACACTGTCTCACTCTTAAAGGATAATTTTGTTCAGTATGTAATTCTAATTGACAGTCATTTTCTCTCAGCAGAAGAGACTATTTGGCTTCTATTATTGCTATGGATATGTCTGCTATTAGGCTACCTGAAATTTTTACGGGGGAAGCAATCTGTGCTTCTATTTTCTTCAGTGTTCTCTAGTTTCCCTATGATGTATTAGATACATTTCTTTTTATATGCTGCTTGTTATACATTGTGTTCATTCAGTCTGCTTATTCATGTATTTAATCAGTTTTGGATAATTCTCAGTCATCATCTCTTTTGCCTCTTCTTTATTCTTTGGGTTCCCTGTTTTTGATTAGATATATGTGATACCACACCATCTTTGCTCCAGTAATTGAGATGCCACCTTTATAATACATCAGATTTTAATGTTTTTGGTTCATTTCTAAACTTCTATTCTTTTGGTCTATTCATGCATCAGTACTAAACTGTTTTAATTATGGGAGATTTGTAGTACATTTTAATATCTGGTGGGGATATCCTCTCATTCTGTTCATACTTTCTGTCTCAGTATTTCTGTTTTATTTGGGATAATTTATTCAGCTCTGTGTCACAGCTTACCAGATCTCTCTTTAGCTATATCTGCTATGCT
This sequence comes from Homo sapiens, assembly GCF_000001405.40. Lineage (NCBI taxonomy): Eukaryota > Metazoa > Chordata > Mammalia > Primates > Hominidae > Homo > Homo sapiens. The sequence continues at coordinate 221,585,104 of NC_000001.11, read as the reverse complement.
ATTTACCTCATTCACTGACTTTTAAATTTCAATGACAATATTTTTCTTTTCATAGAAATGTTCTTCTGGCAGGGTTCTTATTCAAATCTGCAGGATTGCATTTGATAGACTTTTGTTCTTTACTCATTTTTACAAAATGTAATAATTTATTTCATTTAACATTTTAAGCATAAATATTCTTTACCTGATAATTCTAATATATGAAGTACTTGGGGATCTAAATTGGTTATTGTTTTTGCTGTCATTTGTGGTGTCTTTTTCCTTGTTGTGTATGTGTGTGTGGGTATGTAAGCTCTTATTTTATTAAATTTGATCTATGAGAATCCTGAGGCCCTAAATTGGGGTTGATTTCCTCTAGAAACGATTTGAGTTTATATCTGCCAACCACTTTAGTCCCTTTTGAGGGCCACTAAATAAATAACAAAGAGGTCTTAGATTCATTTCAGGATTAAATTTTAAATTCATTTTTGAAATAGGGCTTGAACATTTCTCTATTTTGTGAGTTCGGTCTTAAAAGGCTAGCTTTTCAGTTTATCCAGTTTTTAGTTAAATTATAGAAGAGTGACTTCAAATTTACCATACTCTGTATCGTGTATCTTTTCATTTCTTTAAATTTTGAGATGTTTCAGATTTATAGTAAAATGAAGAAAATAAGTAAAGCCTGTTATACATATTACTGGTTTACATTAATAAGAAATAGCATTAATGTAGTTTTATTTGTATCAGACTCTGTTTGAGGAAAAAAGTCATAGATACTTTTGAAGCAGCTTCCCTGTGTCACACATCTTCTTGGAGTTCTGCAGGCATCTCAAAGTGTTCAGAACTGAACCTATCCATTCAACTACTCTCCTCTTGTATTCTCACAACAGAAACCAAGAAATAACTCTCAAATTATCCATATTTCAAATCCCACATTCACTATCTCGGTTCAGGCTCCTATCACCCTTTAATTTGATGATTCATTGTTTAACTCTCCTAGCTGCACTTCCTACATCTAGTCTTGCCTTCAATCCTAGTCACTGAAGAGTGTTGTTGTTGTTTTTTTTTTCTACAACATCTCACACACTTTATCCCTAATAAAAACCCTTCTGTGCAGTCTATTACTCTTGGTGGCAGACAGAAACTCCTTAGGATGGCATGGGGTCTTTCATGATCTGACCTCTTTTACCTGCCCGCACTCCCTGACACTCATTCTCTCAGTCATGTTGAATCACTGTATTCCCCCAGGTCCCATTCTCTCTTTTGCCACTGATCATTTATACACATTGTTCCCTTTGCATGTAAACGCCTCTCTAATCTCGCCAATAGTTGTCTGACTGACTCCATTAGCTCTCAGTTTAGAGTTTTCCATACTAGGAAGATGTTACTGACCTGCCAAGTTTGGCCAAAGCATTCCTTTCCTGTATTCCTCTATCAACTTTGCATGTATTTATCATACTTTTCTTTAATGCCATGCATAGTTCTTGACATAATTTGAGTTGAATAATAGCTCAGAGGATAGCCAATGAGGTCATGACAGTCCAGAGAGGTCTAATTCAGAAGTTACCAAAAGTTACTAATCCTATGAATGTGTCACAGGAATAATTGTTTAATAATTTTGTTGAGCTGTAATTGACATATAATAAACTGAAATGTAAAGTACACAGTCTAATAAGCTTTTACAAATGAATACAGCTGTGAAACCAACATCATAATCAAGATAACAAACATCAATCACCCTCATTTGGGTTTTTCCACTTCTGTATTTCAAATAAAGCTATTATGAAACTTTGGTACAAGTATTACATGGATATGGATATTTAACTTAGGTAAATATCTAAGAGTGGAATAGTTGTATCATACATCTGATGTATGTTTAACTTTTTAATAAGCAAACTGTTTTCCAAACTCATTGTAGCCATTTACATACCTACAAGCAGTGTAAGAGAGATCCAGTTCCTCCACATTCTCACCAATTTTGGACAATATAATAGGTGTGAAGCAATTTCTCATTGTGATTTTAATTTGCATTTCCCCAATGTCTATTCATGTTGAGCAACTTTTTGTGTGTTTATTTTCCATCTGTATATTTTGTCTAATGAAGTGTGGTTCAAATCTTTTCTCTTATTTGATTGCTAATTTTCTTGTTATAGAGTCTTGATATTTCTTTACAAACCTTGCAGCACAAGTCCTTTATCAGGCAGGTAATCAGAAAATATTTTCTCTTGGTCTGTGGCTTGACTCTTTTCTTGTTCTTTTTAACTTTTTATAATGAAAAATTTCAAACTTACACATAGAATAATACCTGGGTGATAAAATAGTCTGTACAAGAAACCCTCATGACACATCTTTACCTATGTCACAAACCTTCACATGTACCCCAGAACCTGAAAAAGTTAAAAAAAGAAAAATTTTGATATAATGAAAACCAGATTTAGCAATTACAAAAACAACAATATTTTTCAAAATGCAGGTTCCATAATCATTTTTATAGTATGGGGCTAGCTGTCTTTGTTAAAATAAATTAGGAAACCTCAGAGCACTTTGCACAAAGGAATATTCATTCATTAAACTTTTATTTCACATACAGAGTCAAATGGGTGGACTTGATCCCAATAAAGAAAACCGTACTTCTTACTATGGATTGCTGTCATACATTTAAAAGAGACTGCAAACCCTTTGCTTTGGCAACTATTAAGGACCGGAAAGCATACAACAAACTTTCAGAGATGAGTTTTAGTTAAAGAAAGCTTAAAGTTGAGTTACAAAATAAAACCTATAGTATTAGAAATGCTTATGTAGAATAATGCCACAAATTGTTTTTTTAACAATTTAGAAGCCCTAACTAACTTTCTTTGTTCACATTTGCATATGAAATCCCATCCCCTTAGAATCTAGGACAGCTCCCCATAATCAACCATTAATATATCAATCAGCAGTAAATTGTATACATATTAAGCGTGAAAAATAAAGATTATGAAAAGCCTAGTGTTAGATCTTGCCACCAAATTTGAATAAAATACTTTTGGCTTTCAGATTTTTGTACTCTGACTTGTGAATAAGAGACTGTGGCCTGGGGTATGTTAACAGTAGGTAGGGTGGAAGTGGGGTAAAAGAGGAAGGCAGGTGGGCCGGCACTTTGGCATATTTCCTCTTCATAAGCAGATAACAGTGACAGGAACACTGGCTACTGAGTGTCATCCAATATTCTTTTTCTTTTTCTTTTTTTTTAACACACTTGAAGAAGTCACAGGAACTTATTTTTAAAAGCTCTTTGGAAGAAAGCAAATCATTTTCTGGGCACCCTTAAATCCAGAATGGGGGACAGGGATGAGGAAACAGTATCAGGGTCCTGTCCTGTTCTACACATTTTACATTTAATACTCCTAACCCCTCCTAACAATGTAATTCTCATTTTACAGATGTTGAATCTGAGGCAGAGAAGAAACTAAGCTAGGCAGCAGGGCCTGAGAACTAATTTCCGCCCACATGATGGGGAAGGGGCAGGGCTTGTGATTTGAAAGCCAAGTCAAAAACTGAAGGTATGGCTCCTCTCTTAGCAGTATCTTTTAAAGAGCAAAAATTCCTAACTATGTTTATCAATTTTTAATTTTGTGGATTGTGCTATTGTTATTATATTTAAAAAACTGTTTTTGAACTCACAATCACAAATATTTATTCCTATGTTTTCTTCTAGAAGTCTTAAGTTTTAAGACTTTTACAGTTTTAAGTTGTACCTTTAAGTTTATTATCCTTTTTGGATTGGTTTCTGTATGTGGTGCATGGTATGAACTGAAGTTCATATTTTTGCATATGGATATCCAATTTTTTCAGCACTATTTGTTAAAATGACTATCTTCTCTTCACAAGATTGCCTGTGGATCTTTGTCAAAAATGGATTGAAGATCAATGTGTAGGTCTATTTCATTGCATTAATCTGTCTATTTTGATGCCATTACCATACTGTTTTGATTTCTGTAGCTGTATAATAGATCATGAAATTAAAAAGTGTTAGTCCTCCAACTTTGTTATTCTTTGTCAAATTTTGTTTATACTAGATCTCTTGCATTTTTATATACATTTTAGAAACAGTTTATTAATTTCTGCAAAAGCTCATTTGGATTTTGACTGGATTGTGATGAATTCTAGAAAAATTTACAGTCTGATCTATAAGCATAGCATGGTACATCTTTCCATCTATTTAGGTCTTTTAAATTTCTCTCAATAATTTTATAGATTTCCGTGTCATGTGCATGTATTTTATCAGATCATCCATAAGTATTCTGTATTTTATGATGTTGTAAATATATTATTTTATTAATTTCAGTTTTTGTTGCTACTATATTGAAATAGAATTGTTCTTTTTGTATATTGGTCTTATATCTTGCAACCTTATAAAACTCATATGTTACTTACTGTAACTTTTCCTGTAGATTCCATGAGATTTTCTATATATATATGATCATGTCTTCAAATAAAAACTTTTGTTTTTTTCTCTCCTGTCCATCTACTTATTTCATTTTTTTATTTTTAATTTTTGTGGGTACATAGGGCATATATCTATATATTTATGAAGTACATGAGATGGTGTGACATAGGCATAAAAAGTGTAATAATTACATCAGGATTAATGGGGTATACATCCCCTCAAGCATTTATGCTTTCTTTGTGTTGCAAACAATCCAATTATACTCTTTTAGTTTTTTAAAAATATACTCTATGTACTTTTAATTTTTGCTATTTGCCTTACTATACCAGCTGTCACCTCCAATGTAATATTAAACATAGATGGTGATAGCAAACATCCTTGCTTTGTTTTCTTTCACCATTAGGTATGATTTCATTTCAGCTACACATTTTCATAGGGACCATTATCGGGTATCCCTTCAAGAACAGAAATTCCCTTCTATTCTCAGTTTGTTGAGAAGTTTTGTTTTTTTCTTTTTTAAATCATGAAAACATGTTAGATTTTGTCAAATACTTTTTCTGCATCTATTGAGAGGATTATATTTTTTTCTTCTTTTAGTACTATTTATTTAATTTCCCCATATTTAGAGATCTACTTGATAGCCTTTCACTATTTGCTCATAATTTAATTTCATTATTGTTAAATAATACAATTTGCATGACTTGAATCTGTTTGTATTAGTTGTGACTTGATTTATTGACCAGGATAAAGTTTTCATATCATTTATAAAAATCTTCATGAATGTCTCACACGCACATGAAAAGATTGTGCATTCTGTTGTTGTTAGGTGGAGTAATCTATAAATACCAGTTCCGGCCGGGCGCGGTGGCTCATGCCTGTAATCCCAGCACTTTGGGAGGCCGAGGCGGGCGGATCACGAGGTCAGGAGATTGAGACCATCCTGGCTAACACGGTGAAACCCCGTTTCTACTAAAAAAAAAAAATACAAAAAATTAGCTGGGCATGTTGGCGGGCACCTGTAGTCTCAGCTACTCTGGAGGCTGAGACAGGAGAATGGCGGGAAACTGGGAGGCGGAGCTTGCAGTGAGCCGAGTTCGCGCCACTGCACTCCAGCCTGGGCGACAGAGCGAGACTCTGTTTCAAAAAAAAAAAAAATATATATATATATGTATATACACACACACATATCAGTTCCATCAAGTTGACTTAAAGTGTTTTTCAAGTCTTCAGTATCTGTACTAATTTTCCATCTTGTTCAAACAATTATTGAGAGAGGAATGTTGAAATCTTCGACTGCAATTGTAGATTTGTCTACTTATTTTAATTCTATTAGCTTTTGTTTTATTTACTTTGATATTGTGTTAGCAGGTGTGTAAATATTTAGGATGTTGATGTCCTTCTCCTGAATTGATCCACTTTATCCCTGGTTTTATGCTTTACTCTGAAATCTACTTTTTCTGATATTAATATAGGAACTCTAGCTTTCTTTTACATACTTTTTTTTTTTTTGAGATGGAGTCTAGCTGTGTTGCCCAGGCTGGGGTGCAGTGGCATGCTCTTGTCTCACCACAACCTCCACCTCTCAGGTTTAAGCAATTCTCCTGCCTCAGCCTCCCAAGTAGTTGGGATCATAGGTGTGAGCCACTACACTGGGCATTCTTTTAGTTATTTTTATCTTTTTTTAATCTTTATATTCAAAGTTGGTTTTTGTTGGCAAAAATAAGGTTAGGTCTTGATTTTTATCTATTTTTACAATCATTTTTAAAAAATCCATATATTTAAATCTTTTCTGTTAAATGTAGTTATTGATATGGTTGGCTTTAAATCTATTCCCTTCTATTTGTTTTCTATTTGTCCATTCAGTTTGGGTTGTTCTGTCCTCTTTTTCTGCCTTGTTTTGATTGAATATTTTTCATTATGGTAAAATATATGTAACATAAAATTTATCATTTTAACTATTTATTATATATTTTATATAGATATAGATATAGTTCAGTGACATTAAGTATATTCACATCATTGTGCAATCATCACAATTATTGGTCCCTTGACCCTTCTTGCTTGTGTATTTTTATAATTAATTTTTTCTTATTTGTGGGTTCATTAGCTACAACTAATTGTTGTATTATGTTATTTTGGTGATTGCTTTAGGGTTTAAAGAATACATAATTTAACTTCTCATGATATACAACCAAATAATATCACATCATATAAAGTATAAAAACCTAAAACGGTATACTTTCATTTCTTCACTTTGAATTATGGTGGTCATCCCATCCACTCTACATGTGTTATAATCCTACAATATATTGTTACCGTTTTTCCTCTAAATATTTGATTCTCTTTTGAAGAAATTTAAATGACAAGAAAAATACCTTCTACTTTCCCATGTAGTTACCATTTTCAATGTTCTTAATTTCTTTGTGTAGCTCCAGATTTTCCTATGGTATCATTTTCATTCTGCCCCATGGACTTTCTTTAACATTTTTTTGCGGTGCAAGTTTGCTGGTGATTTATTCTTTCAGCTTGTCTATGCATGGAAAAGGTCTTTACCTTTATTTTGAAATGTATTTTTTTCTAGGTAAAAGTTCTAGTTTAACAAGATTGTTTCCCCTTAATAGTTAAAAAATATTGTTCTGCTCTCGTTTGCATGACTACTGACAAAAATCGGCTGTCATCCTTATCCTTATTCTCCTGTTCACGTATCTTTTTTTCTCTAGCTGCTTTAGACTTTTTCACTTTATCACTTGTTTTAAGTAATTCAATAAAGATTTTCTTTTTTGTACCTTTTTCCTATTTCTTTACTCAAGGGTTATTGAACTTTTAAGATATGTGGATTCATAGTTTAGCCCTTTATTCTACAAATATATCACCCAATCTTTTCCTTCATAGACTCCAATTATACATCTATTTGGCTGCTTAAAATTATCCTAAGTTAACTGAAGTTTGTTCACTTTTTTCAATGTGTCACATTTTGGGAAATTATTATTCCTATGTCTTTAAGTTCACTAATCTTCTCTTTTGCAATAACTAATCTGCTATTATTTCCATCCACTGTGTTTTATCAGACATTGTAATTTTTGTCTCTAATAGTTCTATTAAGGTCTTTTGTATATCTTCCATGTAGCTAGTTAACATGTTTAATCTTTTTTTGTAACTTCTTGAACATATGGAATAAATTACAACTCTTTAATATTCTTGTCTTCTGATTCTATCATCTGTGTCATTTATGGGTCAGTGACAATTGATCTATTTTTCTTTTCTTTTTTTTTTTGAGACAGAGTCTCACTGTGTCACTGAATCGCCCAGGCTGGAATGCAGTGGCGCGATCTCGGCTTATTGCAACCTCGCCTCCCGGGTTCAAGCGATTCTCCTGCCTCAGCATCCCAAGTAGCTGGGACTACAGGTGCCTGCCACCACACCCAGCTAATTCTTGTAATTTTTTTTTTAGTAGAGACAGGGTTTCACCATGTTGGTAAGGCTGGTCTCAAACTCCTGACCTCATGATTCGCCTGCCTCAGCCTCTCAAAGTGCTGGGATTACAGGCGTGAGCCACCACACTTGGCCTGCATTTTAGTTTAAGGTTAATTTTTCTCACTACTGAGGTAAGATCATTGTTAGTACTTTAACTAATTATTCCTAAAGTATGCTTTCCTTTAATTATTAGGGACAATATATCCAGCCCTATGTGAGCTTAGGCACTATTTCTTCTAATCTTTTGCAATGACTCTTTTTCTAGCCATGGGTAGTTTCTTTATATTCATGTTCAGGTCAGTATTCAGCAGAGTTCTCCTGGAATACCCTCTACAGATCTCTGGGGTTCTCCTTCCCTGAAGCTCTCTCCTGTACTGTATTTCTCACTGTAAACTATAGCTTTGTTGACATCCCTGAAGTTTCAGCTCTAAGACTTTAATCAAAGAGAATGCAGAGCTCTGTCTAGGTTCCCCTTGTCTGTGTCATTTCCTAAAGTTACCCAGTCAGCAAGCCAGAGTGGTCATTTGGTTTCTCTCACTTGTTTCCCATCTTAGTTGTGTTTAATTAAATTGAATTTGTCTTAAAGATGCCTCTATACTTTGAATTCGTACATAGTGAACTACAACCTAACTTAGTATATAAACAAACTGCAACCTAACTTAAGAATGTGTTCTTATAACAAGTAACTGAGTTTCAGCCAATCGCAGGCTGCTGACTGAGCAGACCATGTCCATATAAGGCAAATGCTGAGCTGTAACCAATCAAGTTGTTTTGGTAAGTCCTTTTTTCTATCTGAAAATACCACCTGCCCCCCTTGCTGGGTGAAGAGCTCTGAATCTCTCCTGGTTAAACGTGCTGCCTGTTTCATGAATCATTATTTGCACAAATAAACTTTGCTAAATTTAGTAAGTCTAAAGCTTTTTTCTCTTAACAGTTATCATGATCCTTCATTATCTGAGACCATTTTTTTGAATGACACTGTTTCATATATTTTTTCACTTTTTACTTGTTTCATTCAGGAGGATAAATCCACTCCCTGTTATTTCATATTTTCCAGAAGTTCAGGATATATTTTGTTTTTAAAGTTTTCTAGGTGTTTCTTACTGTAATCAATTACGGAGGCAGCATGCCTATAAAATAAAATGGAATGAATTGATAAATATATGTTGATATGGATTCAGCTATGAGAAAAAAAACTTTGTCAGAGTCACTTATTCCCAATGCAAGAGGGCAAGTGCTTCAGAATATTTTGAGAGACGGAAGACAAAGGGAGTCTTCTTGAACTCTGATCAATTCAGTATTAGGCAGCTTTTGCTTTATAACTTCTTTTCGTCTTACAAAGTAATATCTTTCACACATGAGAAGGGTTTCTTAGTATGACAGTATATTCACTCCCTTAAGATTAGCTGTCTCTAACCATTTTGGCACCAGGCCCAGTTTCACGGAAGACAATTTTTCCATGGATGGAGGAGGGGAGTAGCTTCAGGATGAAACTGTTTCGCTTCAGATTATCAGGCATTAGCTAGATTCTCATAAGGGGCCCGTAATCTAGATCCCTTGCATGCGCAGGTCACAAGAGGGTTTGGCCCCTCTGAAAAACTAATGCTGCCACGGAATTGACAGGAGGCGGAGATCAGGTGGTAATGCTCACTCACCTGCCCCTCACCTCCTGCTGTGCAGCCTGGTTCCTAACACGACATGGACCGGTTCCCATCCATGGCCTGAGGGTTGGGGACCCCTGCTTTAGATAACAAGCCAGAGGCTGAGTGTGCTTTTTCTCACTTATAGAGGGGAGAAAAGGATCACATTTCAAAACAATTCTCAGGTATCTATCCCCACCTTCTTTCTTCCTCTTCCTTGGGATTCATAGGTGGTAGGAACTTTCCATTAACATATATTTGGTATGTGATAATAAAATGATTCCTGGTTGCTCTTTGTTAGTGGGGGGAAACCAAATATTCAGCATTCATAATCTGAGTCAGGGGCAACAACTTTACCAACAAAGATAAAGTTGTTATCATAAGATGATAAGATTCTAGACAGGGAAGCTATTGGTGGACTAAAAGTAGCAGAATGAATAAAAGAGATATGACAAAGGGCACTGTCCCAAGACTTGATCATTGGAGTTTAATTGAGTATTTTTTTAATGAAAGGGAGGAGGCAGAAACCTAGGACCTGGACTCTGGCTGATAGGGAAGAATATAGGGACTCTGGACAGAATTGAAGAAGGTGGAAGGTAAGATGACTTAATATATACTGTGTGCTCACCTCAGCAACATCAAAGCCATATAAATGACATTCAATTCATTTTCTTAGCAGAAATCAGCAAGCACTGACTGATCCCCTATTGTGTGTAGAACCCTTGGAAGAATTACTATAGGAAAGACAATGATATACAAAACAAGGCCTCTACCCTGCGAAAGTTAGAATAGAGCTGAAAGTACTCATCCAGTAAGACAGCTGAGGCACATTCCAAACTGGCATATTTATAATAAGTTAACACTGAAAAATAAACAGGAACATGTACAACATTCCAGGTACTTTACCTCATTTAATTTTCATGGTTACTCTATGAGGTGGCTGTTAACATTATGCCCATTTTACAAATGAAGTTGCGATGCAGATAGTGTAAGTAACTTACCTACTAACATGTAGCTAGTAAGTGGAAGAGCCAGGATTCAAACTTAAAGAGTCTGACTTTGAGGCCTTACCTCTTTCTGTAGTCATTGCCTATCACAAAGGGATATCAGACATAATATTTTACTCTTCAAGATGAGGACTTTGATTGTGTTAAGTTGTAATAAGCATTCTTGCTTATGTCTTATGTCCTCTCTTAAATGAATTTCTCTGGCCTAGAAAATGCCCAGTTAGAAGGAAAATCCTTGGGCAGCTGCAGCAAACTAGGGAAGCTCAATAGGTTTTTTGAGAGGGTGCCCATATGTGTACAACTCCTCCGTCAAAAAATAAGTCCCATGGAAGAGTCTATTTTATGCTTCATAGTACTCCCATTATTTAGAATAGTGCCTGGCACATAGTAGCTGCTTAGTAAACACTCAATCAAATGAGTGACTTTGGAGAAGCTAGTCTGGGTTGAAGAAAATTCAAAACAACTCTGCCCGTGCTGGCTTCCCTTTTCTCCCCAAAGTCTCCATCACATGTCATCCATCTGGGATCCTGGTCTATTGAAGAGTTGCACAATACAGAAATGCATTAGTTTGCAGGAGAACTAGTTTTTTCTCATACATAAGGCCACCTAGGGACACTCAGTGTGGCCTCACATTGCCCTGAGGTTGGCCCTGCCCCAGGCATAGTGAAGGCAGCGTTGCTGAGTTGCGGGAAGCATTGGAAATAGCAGCCGTAATTCTTGGACCTGAGCCCATCCTAATCCTTCCCCATTGGATCAAATTTCCCAGTAGAGAACAAATAAGATAGCTCCAATACGCCCAAGTACTACCTTAAAATTCACACACTTGACCTGATTATTTGCTTCCTGCTTCACAAAAAAAGTTTTCTGTAGACAAAATGACAAATTTTACTCTTGTCACCCTTGCTAAAAATGTCCTTATGCAGGTAACCACCAGATTTCCAGTCCAGTTTTCAACTGCCTTGCTCAAAAGAATATATAAACTCATAGAAGACCAGGACTCTAGCTATGAAACCCATTCTCCCGCATCATACATAAGGAAGCATTTAATATGTGCTTAATGGTGATAATAATTTACATTTTGGCATGGACCTAACAGGATGCTACTGTAGAAAGTGCTGAGCAGAATTTGATTCCCTCACACATATAACAGTTTGGCAGCCAGGACAGGAAGGAGTGGTATGCCTGGGAACCAGGAGTCACAAGCTCAAACAGAGAAAAGGTTTATGTTTGTACCTGGCCATGGATGACCACAGAAATTATGGGTACAGTACAATAACTCCATCTCCTTGTATTGCAGATGCAAAAGTCTTTTCAGGTAAATATTTTCTTTTACATCAATACCACAGAATAGCCTAACATATAGACCCAGGCATGGAGTAACTGGAATTCTAGTGTATGAAGAATCAGGTTGTTTACTTAATGGTGCATTAAAAAAAAATCAACCTAACCTAACCTCACTATTTAGGCTTGCCACACTGTTAAATTTTTTAGAATATTTATTTAATTTTATCATTCAGCCATTTATTCAGAGAACAAGTCTCTATTAATAAATTGTTCTGTGGTCTATGCTTTGAGAGACATGTAAGATGTAGAATCTAAGGTCCCTGGACTTAAATTTATAACCAACACAGACCGAGTGAAAGATATACTCTGGGATTCATATGTGTAAACCACAAATAGACAATAATTAAAGAGTAGTATTATATTTATCATAAACCAAGATTAAATCGTTTATTTAGATAAATTCAGACATTCTGATGGAATGCACTTTTCTAAACGTGTGCATAAATTTAACCCATGTCTAACCCATCACTCAACTGCATGCTGTTCAAAGACATCACTAACTTGAGTGTGATTTAGGACCTCATGCACAAAGCAGCTACTATACTCCAGATGTTCAGGAATTCAGTGACACCTGATGAAATGAGATGGTTGTTTTCCCTCCCTCCCTTCTTTGCTACTTTCCTTCTCCACTTTTATGGAGCACCTACTTGCTATAAAATACTATGGTTGGTGATAGGAATTCAAAGACAAATAAATGTCCCCTGCTCTGCTTGAGCTCAGGATTGAGTACAAAAACCTCACAAGTAAACATATAACTGCAATATGAGGTAAGTAGGGCTGAGATTTGAATTAAATATCTAGGGGTTCGAGGGAGAAAAAGTTATTTATTTTAAGAAAATACAGTGTGGTTATAACTTTTTTTTTTTTTTTTTTGAGATAGAGTCTTGCTCTGTTGCCCAAGATAGAGTGCAGTGGCATGATCTTGGCTCGCTACAACGTCCACCTCCTGGGTTCAAGCAATTCTCCTACTTCAACCTCCTGGGTAGCTAGGACTACAGGCACCTGCCAGCATGCCTGGTTAATTTTGTATTTTTAATAGAGATGGGTTTTTGCCATGCTGTCCAGGCTGGTCTCAAACTCTTGACCTCAGGCCCACCTCGGCCTCCCAAAGTGCTGAGATTCCAGGCATGAGCCACCGCACCCAGCCAGTGGTTGTGGCTTTTAAGGAAAGGGTTGCATAGCCAGTATGGTTGTTGATCAGTCCTTAGCTAAGGGAATGGTAGAGGTAACAGGTGCTCTTACTGACCAATAATATCAGGGCACCTTACATAGTAATGGAATACAAAAGAGAGAATGCTATATTATTATAAATCTCCTTCTTTTCAAAATAACTTTATTGAAATATAGCTCATATACCATGTATTTCACCCATTTAAAGTGTAAAGTTCAATAGTGTTGTACAATCATACTCACCATAAACTTTAGAACATTTTTATCATCTAAAAAGAAACTCCATATTCTAGCTATCACTCTCTTATTCCCCCAGCCCTAAGCAACTGCTTATCTACTTTCTGTCTCTAAATATTTCCCTGCTTTGGAAGATTCAGATCAATATAATCTTAAAATATTTGGTATTTTATCACTGCTTTCTTTCACTTAGGATAGATAATGTTCTCAGGATTCATTCACATTAATGCAGCATCTAACATTATTTCCTTTATGTAGCCAAATATAATATCCTCTGTATGTGTGTACCACATTTCGTTTATTCATTCACTGGTTGATGAATATTGGGCTTTTTCCACATAAATCTACTTCTGACTTTGACCCTGGTTGGGAGAATCAAGCAAGGAATAAAACCAATCAGGCCATGGCCTTGCATTAGAAATTCTGTCACTGGCTATGGAGCTGCAAAGTCTTCCAACCCAGGAGAGAAGAAATACACTACTTATTGTATCACCTTCTAAAACACAAAGAAAGCATCCAATAATTTCCAAGAAGTACTATTAAGTAATTCATTAACCAAAAAGCCACTTGAAGATTTTTGGTTTCTATCTCTTTTCAAGGTCACAGTATGTGTTAAAGATGAGGAAAGAGGGAGTAGAGATTAAAAGCTAAAAGAGAATCTTTTACTAATCCCCATATTCGTGATATAAAGACTACTGTTCCTATCACACTCAACAGTTCTCCCCATGGGTCACAAGGGGCCCCCATTTGGGGATCGATACTAAGTAGTGGAGACTGAACTAGCTATCACTAAAGATGGAGAGGATTTGGCTTCAACTCCTGCTGTAGTCCTCCTTAGCTGTGTGTCCTTGGACACATCACCTACTAAACTAGGCTTTGGGTTTCTCATTAGTTAAGTGAACTACTGTTACACAGTCTGCATGTTTTGCTAGGATAATATACGTGAAAGTTCTCTGTAAAGGACAGACTATAAAAATATCAACAAGTGTTATCAGCTCCAAATTTAGTTAAATTATTACATTTCTTCTCTGGGCTCATGCATGCAAGAAAGACTATCATTTAACAAAGGTAGAAATGAGAGTTCAAAAGGTTTCTAATAGCTCTTTAAAATCCTTTGTGACTGGACCCTCAAGTAAGCAAATCGAATGGGCCTACAATGTGTACCGCAGTCTTCTAGAGTTTGGAGGAAGCTTACAAGAACATCTGTCTTGTCTCTGTATCAACACAATTTACTAGCATGAGGACACCCAGAGAAGAACAAGCTGTAGGATGCATGAACTCATTTTCTAGAGGTAAACAATCTTCAAAGGGATAAGAAGCCTTCTAGTTTTGGAAATAATCAAAGAAAATAGAAGAAGAAAGAACCTCCTGTCTTAGCCTATGAATGAAAGCATTTATCATGAGGTCTTAAATAAGATAAATTGTCCTAGTTAATTTCAATTTCATTAGAACTTCACAATCTAAGCTGTATTAGAAAGATCACTTGGCATTATAAAATGAAAATGGCCACCTTGCTTCTCCCTTCCAGAGAAGGTAAGTGTATACTATTTTAGGGAAACTAGAGAAGGACTTGTACAATTTCTCAGGGAATCTTGACACATCTGTGTAACCATTGAAGGCTAGAACCGGAATATGGCATAGCAATAATATAGCTCATGTCTCCAAACCATTCCCCACCTACCACATATCCCATACTGTTTCATAGAAGAGGCAACTAAGGACTGAGGAAGTGGCTGGTCCAATGTTACACAGATAAGTTAGCAGGAGACTTAGAACTTGAAATCTGGTTTTCTGATTCTCTATCAAAAGCCCTTTTAACCTCTGATTCTTTATCAAAAGCCTTTTAACTAAATTCTCTTTATTGACTGATTCAAGCTACGTAACCAAGAGTCATCTCAAATGTTGTATTTCTCTTAGAATTCATATTTTAGAGTCTATGAATCATATATTCCATTCTCCTGTATCTTAGATGAAGCAATTAAGGATTAGAAACATTAAGAAATTCTTCAAAGTCATATGCATAGAGAGTGATGAGCTAGGAACAGAACAGAACCAATCTCTTTTTTTGTTTCCTTTTTTTTTTTTTTTCCAGTATTTGTCCCATCACAGTGCCATTTTCTCTCCTAAATCTTTTAGCCATGTCAGTGTTTGAAACTTTCTGTCTTTTCAGGGTGTGACTAGGGCCTATGATCACCCCAAGGAAGCTAACAAACACTAGAATGCCATGCCGGGATCACTGTTGCTTCTTTACTCCCACTTGAAAAAGTGCAATATGGTCTTTGACATTAGGCGTCTTTAGGCTTTTCTGTGATGTTACTTATGAATGAATAGGACTGAAAATGCAGTTAAAAAACTCCTTGAATGTTAAATCAATTTGGGTAACTGATTATATCTTCCCTTTCTAGATTTTAACTTGAGGACAGAAATGTGGTAAAATCAATACCTAACACATTTTTGATGTATTGAATGAATGCACTTCTCTGGACAAAGCCACGTCCTAGTTCTAGTCCATGTAATATGATGCTTTATAAAAAGCGCTTTCAATAGAAATATGCAACATTGGTATCTGAAAACCTAGGATAATACATACCAATTTAACAAACTAAATAGCCTGATCTCTTTTTTTATGAGCTCTTCCAGTTTGAATTTAATGGAAGAACATCAGTGATGAAAAATGAATGCAATTTTAAAAGTTTATTCAGTTTGATTAACATAGGCAAGATAACTTAAAAACAAAGCAAAATCTCTCCAATCACTTTGACCTCTGGGGTCATCATTTTTTCATGCTCTGGTAAAATTTAGCCCTATGTTTTAAATTTATTGACCTTCCTCAGTCTAGCTATAGCTTTCTCTCTTCTCCCTCAGCACCCTCTGCATACTTCTACCCCAGGACTTCCATGTGCTTTACTTGCTCATCTCTCCAACTACCGTGAGACCCTGAGAGCAGGGATTTAGTCTTGTTCAGTTATCCATCTTCTGTTCTTATCACACAGACAAAGAGATGGCTTGGGCTCAGCAGGCATTTATTGATTGAATAAATGTTTGTATAAACAAGTGAATAAATAAATATCACCAGTTATAATAACAAACAAGAAATGACTATAAATGTATTTCTAATTGCTAGAATATGAACAGAAGTACGTATTTATGTGTACTTATGGTAGCTCATTCTCAAATCATAACCCAAAAAATCGAAATCTCATAAGAAAGAGCATAACAAAAAAGGCCAGAAAAAAATACTGTAACATAGCATTCAGTTTTCATCAAACTTTAGAAATACAAACTCTCCAACATTTGGTGAATCAGAGACAGATAATGGTCCAATCTCAGCCAAACAGTGCTATTAAAAACACAAACAACTGAACTGCAAGTACATTCCAATTTCCCTTGTGATTCCAATTAAGATCACATCAATTAAATACACTTATGATTTTGTATCGTGGAGTTCTTGAAAATTGCCTAAAATTCAAGTTGACATTTTCTCCCTTCTCTGATAAGGAAGGAACATGATTGCATCACATTGATTGCATATTTAGCTCTCAAAGCAGCTGCACAAACATTATAAGCAATATAGCAAAACAAAAAAAATGTGTAGAGGCTAGCATCAAAGGACGCATTTTTGAGCATGTTATGGATGGTTGATTCTAATTGAGAGATGACTCAGAAATATGGATCCAGCAGAGAAATGGGCACTGCAGGAGAGAATGGAATGACTATAAATCCCCCCACCCCCACACACACCAAATCCTAACATCAGACTCTTTGTTCATAGAACCTTAAATGAACTTTCCTAGTGACAGGTAGTGACAGCATCACCACTTCAAGCAGAGTGAACACATTTCTCCAATGCCAGGCTGCCCAGGGCATCACCTCTGGAAGGAGTGTGAGTAGGGTTGGGCAATTGCTTGTTAAACATCTCTGGGAGAGAGGTCAGATTTCTACCGTTACTGTCTTCTTACCCTTCAGAAGAACTCACAAAATACCCGAACGATCTTTAAAATAGCCTAGCATGACTTCCTAGTGATGGCGATCACAAATGGTAACCTAGGTTCACCTATCTGCCTGTGTGTTAACAAATGATAAGAGCTTTAGCTATGGAGCCAGACTTTAGCTGAAAATGCTGGCTCTGCATCAATCTAAATGGAATGACCTTGAGTAACTTATTTCACCTCTCTGTGCTTTGTTTCCTCCTTTATAAAATGGAGAAGAGTACTGTAACTGTCATAGAGTTGATTTGAAAGTTAAACACAATAATGCACATAAAGTATTCCAGGAGTATAGTTATTCCTCAATAAAGGATAGCTGTGATCATTACTGCTTTCACATGTTGTTGTGGCTATTTTTCTGTTATCAGATAGATCTATGCATTATCGGTTTGAGGAGTGCTCTTAAAAAATGAAACCTGTCCCCAGTCTGCAGTCTTCCCTGCTTGCTAATAATGCTGCCAAGAGATGCCCCAGAATTGTAGGTAGGGCTAACAGTAGTCCCCTGTATAAACCAATAAAATGCATTTTCTCAGATAAATAAATGTCGGTTGGGTTCCCAGATAAATACACAGAATTTGCCTTAAAGTGCCCATATGGTGACTAAAAATGGTACACGCATAGTGAAAAAATGATATATTGCTATAAATACCCAGTACAGAATTTCAACTACCTTTGGTTTAAATAGACTTTTGGGAGCTAGTTCACAAACCTGCATAATATTATTATTTTGGATTGCAGGTAAAAATTGATTTGTAAGGAACTTTTGGGGTGTGCTTTTTCTATGTACCTAATGCAGCAAGGTGGGCAGGATAAAGAGAATATCTGCATTTTACAGAGGAGGAGTCAACTAAGATCAAGCGAGCCTGTCCCTATGGCAAAGTTTCAGGGATAGACACAATACCAGTACTCCAGGTCCAGACAAGATCTCTCTGAGATCTCAGCCTTGAGATAAGGGAGCTTCAGGTACACACTTCTTTCATTGCTCTTCTAGAATGTCCTCCCCACATCTACCTCATTCTCTCTGCTACACCTTGTTTCTGTTGCCCTTCAAAATGTAGTCTAAGAAAAAAAACAAAGAGAAGAGAAGAATGAAAGGAAAGCCAGTGCAATGTTAGCTGTGGTTTTTCTCTGTGAGACTGGGTTCCTGGTAATGCTCATTTTCTTCTTTGTGCTTCTCTATATAATCCATTTTTTTTTGGAATAAACATGTTATAGGATATAGTAAGTATATCATTATTTTTTAAATTGTTTTACAAATGCAGCACAAATTCAACCATTTCATAAAGTCTTTCTGAATTAGCTCCATTCATCTCTAATCACTCCATTCATTCAGAGCTGATGGATGTGGCTCTTGACAATTTGTACATACTCTTCCTTTCTATTTCTATTCCTTTCCTTTCTCCCTCCCTCTCTTTCTCATTCTCTTTCTTTTTTTCCCTTAAATTCCTATTACATAACAGCTTCTGTGCCAAGAAATTTAAAAATCACAGTAGTGGTAATGAACATAAAATTCAAATAATACCAAGGTTCATAGAGTAAAAGTTAAGTTAAAATATTCTTCTCCCTTTATTTTTAAATCCAATTCTTCTCTACCTATAGGTTGTAATGGTTAAGTTTGGTACATAATTTTAAATCTTTCATATGTAAATACATATGTGTATATGTTATGTATTTGTATGTACGTATGTTGTTTTGTTTTTGTTTGTTTTAACAAATAAACTGGGAAGCCAGTCTTCTTCCTGCAAAACAATTGTAATTACAATTGGGATGTTAATGCTTGACTCTGAGCGAAGGGCATGTAGGTTAAAAGGACCAGCAAGCATATCTTTTTCTGAAGGCCGTGGGTGATCATGACCTTTACACAGCCTCAGCCCCAGCACTGGTCTCACCATTTGGACACACATACAGTAGTAGCACAAACAGGCCGTTGGCTGTTGAGCTTCCTAATGACAGGTGCAAGTGCCACGTATCACATGTGCCCTCTAAAAATAGGGCTGAGAAAGAAAGGGTCTCATACCCAGACCTCTCAGTGGCGTATAATAAAATGCTCACCCTGTGAACACTTAGTGGAATCAACACTATTTTAACATCATATTGCCTGTGTCCATACTGACAGTTGTATTGAGCTCTTTAAAAAAATCAGCTAGTTACTTGGACCAAAATGTTATTTAAGGATCTCTTAAGCAGCTTTAGTCATCAGAAATCTCCTAAAGAAAAAAAAAAAGGTGAAAAGACTGAACGTGTTTGGCAGGATGAGGTCTGGTTCTTTCCATTTTCTAAGGCAAGTTCTGCCAGGGAGCCTCTCCTCTCCTATCAGCCTTTGTTAGTTGTGACCTTTCCTTCATTTGTGAAACTTCTGCAAACATAAGTAATTTTTGCTGACTGTTTTGATAATTCTGATGAAAGAAAACACTAGACTCTCATTTCCTTCATCCCATTTTCAAGAGGAAAAAAGTACCCCAGCATCACTCAATATTCCTAACATAAGGAATCTGCACATATACCCTCTGTATCTAAAGATAAAAGCTGAAATTATTTTTTAAAGAATAAAATATTCTCTCTCTCGCTCTCTCTCTTTTTTTTTTTTTTTGTAAGAATGTTTCTATAGGAGTTGATTTGTGGGAATAAATTCTAAAGCCAGAACAACTAAACAAGGAGAAGTCATAGTTCTCCTCTAGGCTGAGGAAAGTACCTTATCTTGGTGTGTTCAAGGAGAACATGAGTTCAGAGAACTCAAAAAATGCTGATGTTGTTCATTTAGCAACGATTTAGGCTGAGCACTTGCCATATTGTTAGGCTCTGCTGCATTAGGCAGCATGGAAAGGGTCCCCCATGATCTTTAACTTAGAGTGGTGGCAAGTCCTACATAAAGGGATTATACAGGTGGTATTTTCCCTTGTACACACCCCAGATCTCCCTGCTTTGATAATCTAATTCATAACTGACATGATATTATGGCAAGCAGAATTACTTTTACTGCTAAATAATAGCATGGAAAAGAGTCACAATTAGGCAGAACGGCAGCTGGATATTTGATTATCAATTAAAAATTACAAAGGGTAGAACAGCAATATTTAAGAAAAATGCCACTAATCATTTCCAATACCTCGCGTATGTATATATGTCTTAATCTTTTAGTAGACTGGTTAGTTGCTTCTCCATCAAAGGCTGCTGCTGCTTTTTTGTTGTTGTTGTTGTTCTTTTTCTTTTCTTTTCTTTTCTTTCTTTTCTTTCTTTCTTTCTTTTTTTTTTTTTTTTTTGAAGGAATCTCGCTCTGTCTCCAGGCTGGAGGGCAGTGGCCTATCTTGGCTCACTGCAACCTTTGCCTCCTGGGTTCAAGCGATTCTCCTGCCTCAGCCTCCCTAGTAGCTGGGACTACAGGTGCGCATCACCACTCCTGGCTAATTTTTGTATTTTTAGTAGACACGGGGTTTCACCACGTTCGCCAGGATGGTCTCAATCCCTTGACTTCGTGATCCGCCCGTCTAAGCCTCCCAAAGTGCTGGGATTACAGAGGTGAGCCACCGTGCCCGGCCAAGGCTGCTTCTTTATACTGGTTTGTTTGGAGGAGAAAGTGATCTAGCTAACTGAGAAGCAAGTTGATATTAGATTGGAAGAAGCTGGAACAGTCTGGAGCAGCGTGGAAGAGATAGATTTTAGACATGAGCCACAATATAAATTACCTATGAAAACTTTCCCAATAATCGAGACCCACTTCTGCTCTACCTCATCCGAATTCTACCATATTGGTGGTATTCTGCACTGCCTTGTGATTTTGTTTTTTCTACTTGTTACATGTGTTTATGCCTGGCCTCCTCAGTTTATGAGTTTCTTAAGGGAGGACACTATATCTGTCTAAATTTTGATGATCTCTTCTTGGGTCTTTAGTAAATCCTTTTAGATTGGGCTTGGCAAGCAATTGCTGAGAAAGACAGTAATCGGCCATGCGTGCGTGGCACGCGATGTCTGAGCACGCGCACGCATTCTCGCCCTCACTGTGACACCGTGACGCTAGTCCGTCTCTTCCACGGCTGCTTCCTACCCCATGGTAGGTCAGTGACTCCTTGAGCAGAGAGCATTTATTGCCTGTGGATCTGCCTACATCCTATCTAGTCCATGACCTATGCCTCCAAACATTCCAATTCACCGTCCAAGTCACAATTAGTTCCCTGACGCGGGAGTTTCCCCCGGCCGGAAGCACAGGGACTTGGGCCCACATTCCTGGATGCCGCGATTATTACTCGGCATCTGTACAGGGAACGTGGGTGCCTGGAACATCTGGGCTGCCTTTGGACCAAAACGTCTGGGTCATGTGCCCAGCCTCCCTTTTGTGACCTTCCCAAGGGGGCAGGCCAGGTCGGCAGGGAACTGGAACTATTTTTGAGAAGGCCACTGGCAGAGGTCGCCTCATCCACTGCCCAAGTACCCCACATTCTCTGTTCTCTAGGCCAAGAGTTTGTGGAGCTATTGAAATGGGAGTAAGGGAGGAGCAAGGCCAAAGGAGAGGAGGAAGAGTACGCAAACTGGCCTGGTAGGCGTGGGGAGCCAGGGCGCCCTATTCCTGATCCTGGCACCGGCTCTGGATGTTTTCAGAGGAGCCCTTGCTGGGTCCTATGCCTTAGTTGGCTTCTGTAACATGGATTGGAACAACTTTTTTGTTTGTTTGTTTTTTGTTTTTTTGTACCTAACTCACTGGAAAGTGGGAAGACCGTTAAAAGAATATTAAATTGCACAAGTAGAAGTGCTTCCTTCGGGTACAAAATTGCTAAAAATGTATTCGATATACAGGAGACTTTCAGCTGCATGGTTCTTTATCTTAGGTTTTGGCATAGAGTATTTATGAATTATCCACTTCATTTGTGTAGTGTTAAATTAAATTAGCAGGAAGCTGTTATCTGAGGCTTTGTCTGAACTTTGAGATCCTAGGTAACAAATCACAGCCTAACAGCATGTCAAACAAATCAAAACCTAACTGGAAGTATATTTTTTTGTAACAAATAGCTGGGTTTCAGCCAATGCAAACAGCTGAGCTTCAGCCAATCACAGGCAGCCAGTGCATTGCACCAAGCCCAAATAAGGCAAATATTTGTGATTTCTAATATAGCCAATCCAGTGATTTCTGTTCTTTTCCTCTGTGTTCAGCCTATACAAGCTCGCTGCTCACACTGTCTGGGTAGAGCCCTTGAACCTCTTTTGGTTCTGAGTGATGCCTAATTCATAAACCATTCTTTGCTCAAATAAACTCTATATGAATTTATTTAATAATGTTCAAATTAATTAATTTATTAAAGTATTTCTTTTAACAATGATTATTAAAATATCTTGAATTACATTTCTATTTATCGATTAATTATACTGAAACAACAATCCTGAGAGTTAGAAAAATATATTCCTCTCCTTGTTTTATAGAAACTGAGGCATAGAAAGGTGAAGCGACCTACCCAGAAAAGATTCATGATAAGAGCAGGACCTGATCCGGGAAGAGACAGCAGTGCTTTCTCTTTGGGTTCTTTTGTTTTTTGAGGTCTTAAACCCATTTTAATTTCAGACAGTTGTCAGTTACTGCTCATAAAAACTGGCTTTCCTCTCCTCTGAGTACATGGAAGATTACATTGCCTGTTCCTTCCATCCCCATCTCCAGGCTTACTCTCAAGGTTGAGTGAGCTTTGAGAGTAGTTCTAGATAGGCCAGAGGCCATCAAGAGCAACTGCAGAATTTACTGAGTTCGCTCTGCTAGCTACCCAAGCAAGTTACTTCAGATTCTTAAGGCTCCCCATCAACCTGAGAGCAAAAAACAAACCTCTGTTTTTTTTAAAAGCCACTGAGAATTTTGAAGTTGTTAGTTGCTGAGGCATAACCTATTTTGACTAATGCAGGATCATACAAATGAATTTAAAAGTTATACACCATAATAGTATTAGAAGTTTTTAATTAGAAAGAGCCCAAGAGATACTTTTCCATGAAGGAGGTTGAGGACCAGGTTTTCTGACCTCTGCCTCTACTCAGAGTTCTTTCTACCCTCATATACTTTGAGTGCATTTTGTCCAACTAAATTCTAGCTGGACAATGTCTCTTGAAGACATTACCAGGTGGCCTTTGAGTTATCCATCTGATTATCTACTGGGATGCCTCTAGTAATAGAAAATCTGTCATACTCGGAAAACATTTTCTTTCACTTTTTTTTCAGCAATCAGTGATTAAAAAGTTATTCTTTAAGCTAAGTCAACATTTTCCTGTAATGTATATTTAATTGTCCCTATTCTTTTCTCCAGAGCCCCAGAGAACATGTGTCATTCCCTTTTTATGTAATCCTTTTGAATAATTTAAACAACATGAACTCCCTAAGTTCAACTTCTCCATGTTGAACACTCTCTGGTTCTTTCCGTCATTCCTTATGTTGAATTATTCTGAAGTCCTTTATCATTTTATCTTTCTTACCAGGACAGGTTGAGTCTTTCAATATACTATTAAAAACGTTGTACCTGGAAGTACACATAGTGTTATTGAAAGTGTGCTCTAACCCATGTAAAATAAAATGACACTGTTATGTTTGCAGAGTTCTGTTTCCATCAACCCTAAATTTAACAATAACAAAATCTATCAATTTTAGATCCAGATTCTTTCATTACCGTATTAGCTGCATTCTTAACTTGATGCCATTCACCAGTTTTAACTCCATGCTATTTCTGAACTCATTACAGTCCATAATATAAAGTTTAACTGGACACTGGTCAGATGGAGTTCTGAGAAGCACCAATGAAGACATCAGTCTGGTAATAAAGATTCTTTGGGTTTAGTCATTAAGCATTTGCATTTTCTTCCAGTTGTGTTATCATTCAGTTGCACTGCTCTATCCAATACACTATGAAATCCTTGACAAATTACAGACACATGATTACTTTATTCCCCTAACCTACCAATCTAGTGATAACCTGTCACCAAAGAACATATGGTTAACTTGTTATGCTCTGCTTTTACTAAACCCATACTTGCTACTAGTGACCACTTCTCCATTTCTAAGCATATACAACTTGTTTTAGAATCCTGCTTAGGATTACTAATGTGCTTATTGGCTTATCTATATCTTTCTCCTCTGGAAATATTATGCCATCATTTACCAAACATGTATCCTATTCTCCACATTTTCTTGAAGAAAACAGACGATGACTTGGCAGCATTATTAATATATAACCCCCTGACTATCCTGAGATGACATTTGTTACAATCAATAGTTATAAACACACTGAGAGCAGCATACTCTCTTACATTTTTAAAAAAAAATTTTGTGAATATTTATTTTATTTGTTCTTGTCTGAAAAATCATTCCCCTAACTGAAAACAGATGTGAATTAGGGGGTTAAGATTAGGAGTTTAAAATATAATGAATTAAAGTGCTTAAGGGTTCCCCATTTTAGGGGGCTTATGAATTTTCACGCAAATTTTTGTGCATATTTACTAAACTATACATTGCTTCTCTCCTGTTTTTTTATCCCTTCACCACTCAACATCTCCTCTTTCTCCCCACTTGCTTCTTGCTAAACGCTTTGCCATGTTTGGTATATATAGCTTTATCACATTTTCAAAGATATCTATGACCCTCTAACATGTTAAAGGAAAAGAGAAAATGTCTCTTATCTTTATCCCTGGTGTTTAGCAGTAGAATTCTCAGTATGTTGTGGGTTACTCAATACATTTTGGTTGACTGACTAATGTTAGTTCGCTCTTTAACGTTGTTCCCTCTTTTCCAGTAAAGGAAGCTATAGTATTCTCTTTCTTATTCATGCTCCAACTCTGTCTTAAAAAGAGTCCTTTTTCTCCCTTGAGTTCTTTTTAAGCTTTAGCTTTTCTGGCATTATGTCTGCCTGCATGTTGTACTCCTTTTTAAAGATGAAATCCATTGCTTTTATGATCTTTTTATCTTTGCGTGAGTTCACATTGATTTATCTAATTAAAATAATTCTTCCCTGTCCTCATGGGATGAACTTTATGCATAGTTAAGAACCCATGGGTGGCCTTTAATGATGTGCCACTCAGCTCTTCCTTCCAGAAAACCTGTGGCAAGGAGCATAGTGACTGACAGTGTCCTGGCTGCTATTCCTTCAGGTCCACTCCTGTGGAAATTCCCTCAG
Organism: Homo sapiens; assembly: GCF_000001405.40. Lineage (NCBI taxonomy): Eukaryota > Metazoa > Chordata > Mammalia > Primates > Hominidae > Homo > Homo sapiens. Next base: position 221,559,709 of record NC_000001.11, on the reverse strand, counting down.
GCTGCTCCCAGGCAACGCCTGAAATGGTGAGGTTATTAGGAAAATAGTGGGGCTTCGAGAGCTAGGTCATTCTAGCCCAATGCTGGATAGGTAATTTCTCTTCAGGGATGGCCCATTGACTTGGCTGAAATTTTCTCAAAGCCACCCTATGCAGTTATCTTACTATAGTCTAGTTTGGTAACTCCACTGAGCAGGGACAATTTGTCCCTTTCTTGTTTCTCAGATATAATGAAGGGTGATTACATGGAAGAAAGGAGGTCAGAGATCCAGACCTAGCTTGTCAATTGATTCCTTACCTTTCTGGTTTTTGGCTTTCCAGGTTCTTGCTGGAGAGAATAGAGTGAACCAAGCCAGTGCCATTTCCAGTATCTGAGCCATCTCATTTTGGGAGAATCTAGGGAGTGACTGTCCTTTCTTTTGCCCTGGGATGTTACTCTCTTTTTCCTTCAGTTTTCATCAGCAAAATAGTAAAAATTGTTTCTCGAGGTGATAAAATCTACCATTCTCCCATTTCAGTATGTCTTCTTATATTCCTATCTTAGGTCAACTTGGGGAAAATGTTCAAACCTCAACAGGTGTTTTGAAAGAACCAGACATTAAGGATTTTTTTTTGTTTTTCTATAGATAGCTTTTTAAATATTTTCTTGGACGAGAAGCCAGCTTCTAGCATTGCATAAGATGGGACCAGACAGCAGATGTCAAACACCACTGCTGGTCAATGAACATAGGATTCTCTTTTCTAGGAAGATTAGTTTCCAAATGATGTGGCAAGCAGGGTCAAATAATGAAAATATAAAATAAAACAAAAAATCCAAACCACTCGCGTTTGAAAAGGCAGGTTCTTTGATTTCTCCATCTGACCACTGAAGAACTGATAGTTAAAGGGAAAGTGGTGACAAAATATAAAAGCCAATATTGGGGAAAATAGAGTTTCAGAAAGCCAAACTATTATAGAACTTTTTGCCAGGTGTGGCTGTTGTGAGGCCATTGATGTGCAAAAGACTCTAAAACGCAGGTGATCATTTTAAATCTATTTAATTGTGAAATCCAACTTCTTGTTCCATACTTACATAAATTTCTGTAATGAGTAAGCATGATGGGGCAGGTTTTGTAGTCTAATAAATCATCTTCTATAGAAGCAGAAGCTTCAATAGAAGCAGCCTTCTATCGTGCTGATGACCTGGCCTCCCTCTACAAATCTCTTATTTGTCCTGGTTTTAGGGACAAAATGCCCTTCTGGTCTTTACATATGGGTTTACAGAATAGATGCACATCTATAAATAAGCCAACTATTTTATGTAACTTCTCCCTCAACTTGCTTCTTGGAGATAAGTGGATTATAACTCTTTTTGCAGAACTTTGGATAAATACCAAGGAAGAGGGGACATTTCAAAGCATATATTTTAAGAGCTTTTCAGTTAAATAAGATAGCAAAGAAGATTTCATTTCCTCATCAAAGAAGCTGCTCCTGTATACCTAGTGTTATTATAAATCAGAATGAACACACATTGTTACCTAGAATTACACAAGCCATGTAAACATGTCAGCTATCTCTGCATTTCTGTAATGCTTCTAATATTTAGAACATTTTCATGATCTACAACTTAAGGAGCTGACTTCTCTACACTTAATTTTATTTCTGGAAAAGCAAGCATGGCTTAGATTTAGACTAATCATAAACTGAAGGCTTAAGAAGAATATAATTTTTATCTCTGTATGAGGATAGAAGAATCTACTGTATGTGTTTCTTGGGGAATTAGGGGGCGGCTACAAATGTGTTTGAATGAACTATCTCAAAAGCAATCAGAGAGCAGCACATAAGTAAGTGTGCCACAATAAGAGTAAGAAGCAAAAGTAAGGAGAGTTGGGAGCTTCGGTTCCTGGGTTTTGTCACCATCCACCGTCTTCACTCCTTTCTGTCATTTCTTTTAGCTTTTGGGTTGAATGTCAGTTATCTAGGATATCTTCCCTAACTAACCCTGCCCCATGGTGATTGCTCTCTTCCACTTCTGTTTAGGACTTATTAAAGCTTTGGTACTGGATTGTCACATACTTGTTCAATGGATATTTTTCCACCAGTTGTTTTGGCTAGTTAATGGTGGTGACTGTTTTGGAGTGGTGGTAATGATGATGTTTTTCTGATCAATGAGAATTTAGGAGAAAACAACCCCAAAACTCCTTGTGAGTAGGAACCTTGTGGCCTATTTCTCTTGCCACTCTTTTCTTTTCTCTTCATCATCCTTCATGTTTAATATTTAATAGGTATAAAACAAGGAACAGGTCACTGGGTAAACACATTACCTGCCAGGAATATGTTCCAAAATCTTTCTCTAAGTCTTTGCTACTCAATGAGTGGTCTGTGGACCAATAACATGGACATTACCTAAGGAGCTTCTTAAATCTGCAGGATCTGAGGCCCCACCCCAGGACCGAACTAAAAGTTATATTATTAGGAAATTCCTGGGTGATTCATATGCACATTACAATTGGGGAAGCACTGGTTTAAAAGACACTCATCTTTCATCTCCACTTCTAGCACCTACTTAAATATACCACTTCATTGATGATTACCCATAGTATCTTGAATTATTACACAACTTTTCATCACTGTGGGCTTTGTAAACTCATGCAGAACTTAGTGTATTTCATACACTTTATGCTGTTGTGGGCCATTCCATACTGCTTCATGTATGCTCATCTTATATCCTCAAGCTGACTGTAAGTTCCTTGAAAGCAGTTTTTATTTTTTGTGTCTCTGAATCTTGTTGGTGCTATGTCCATTGCAATACTCACTAATTATTAATAGCTAATATTTGAGAACTATGTGTTAGATATTTTATGATGTACTTCCATGCATTATCTCATTGGATACTCAAAATAACTCTGTACAGTTGTTACTGTTCTTTCTTCATAGTATAATGATAAAATAGTGCTTTAGGGAAGGTAGTATATCTTTGAGCTGGGACTCAAATCCATGTCCATTTGACTCAGGAGCCTGACCTTTTAGCCACTGTGTGGTACTGCTCACAGAATGTTGGTAAGGAAACAAAACTATGCTTCTGGAGGTGAACAAATATGTTTTGTGTTAACCTGATACATTGGAAACAAGAGCTGCTTTCTTCTGGCCTAGATGTTATCCTGATAAAAATAGCTCTGAAATAAGGAAAAGCAATCTTTCTCCTCTACCATCTCCACAGTCTTTTCCACATCCCTCTTGTCTCAAGCTTCTCTCTCTTTCTGTATGTATTAACCCTCTTCTCCCATCTTCTCTCTCTTTTCAGTGAAGACCCTCGTCCACGTCCAATCCTTGCTAGATGGTCTTATCAGTGGTCCTCCTGATGTCTCAGCCCTCTGAGGAAAGCATCTGGACCTGGCCTGGCCGAGGGGCACTGCATGAGGAGCTTTTTCAGGTCACAGGCTGTCTGGGCTTTCTCCGCCTGAGTGGATGTGTTTGCAAAGTGGATGAGTGACCTTTCATTCCTGGACACCCAGAGGGCCAATCAGTCTGTTCTTGCTCCACTGAGAAAACTGAATAAAGTGCTTGCCACTTGAAATGAGAGTAAGGCATAAATAACTATAAAAATAAGCAAGCCCCAACCCCCTCAAAGCTCAAACACAGTTGAAGCACTTTGTGTTTTAAGGCACCCTGAGTCTGGCAGATGAAGAAGCCTTTTCTCGTGTTTCCTCCTGCAATGTGAAAAATCACTTCACTGGAAAAGATCTCTGCCAGGCCAGAAAGCCTGTGCACCCCAGCCGCATGCTGCACCCCCGTCATGTTCTCTTCTCTCAGAAGTGCTGGGACCATCGTTTCCACTCGGGTGGCTGGCAGGATGCTTATGTAATCATCACCTGCCAGGAGCCACTGATATACACACTTGTCCTGGACAACCATGCTACCCTGACAGACGTGATTGTGAGGCCACAGGACAGCTTTGTCAGAATAGATCCTGTAGGAAACACAAACTCCAAAATGAGAAAGACAATGATCTTGGAGAACTCCCAATGGGAGAGGCTGTTCTTTGGGGGCTCTGCCACCCAGCAGTCCCCCCAAGTAAGCGCTAATGCTGCAGCAAAGTGTAAGCAACCACTACTTTTGCATTTAAAGGCTAGTAAGTCAGACCCTGTATATATGACCATAATAAACAATTTCTGTAATTTTGGTAACTTTGCATCAGATAATCTTCCTTAAATCTGCTTGAGAAGTAATTAGAATTAGGAATCGGGGAATCTAGATGGACCACGCAGCTCTGGAATTCACTATCTTTTCAGCCTTGGGTAGATCACTGCCTTTACCTTTCTGAGAGTTTCCATGTCCTCATATGGCAGGTTGGAGTCGTTTCACTGGCTTCTTGGGCAGCTTTAAATGCTAACATTTTTGAATTCCAGTGATTCCCAACTTCAGGCTACTGCTTCTCAAGCCCATTTTGTCCACCCCGTCCTCAGGAGAGAAAGAAAAGACTACAGTCTATAGCTTATATCACAACCTTCCTTCTGCATCTGCCTACACATACGAATTCACCAGTGACAACTAAATACATACAGTTAGCAACCTTTGCAAGCTTACTGGGCCCAAGTCAAGGTATTTATTCAAAACCTCATATAGGTCCATGTAATCGTTCATTCACATTGGGCTATATCACTCCCCTCTTGTGAATAAGGAAGGAAATTAATTTTAAAATAATAATAAAACCTTTCAGGAAGAAATTGACTTTGTACTCCAGCCACTGACCTAAGTGTTGAAATTCAATTAAATTGGAAAAGATCACAATTAAGATGCAATTTAATTATTTTTCATTTTATGTAAATGAGATTCCCGATCACAATGAATTAGAAATCTTAGTTTAAGCAGTTCATCAGTTGCCTATCTAAGTACGGTTTTGTTACTTCTTTGCTAAATTCCTAATCTCACAAGCCAAATGGAAGAAATGTTTCTGGAAATTTAAAGACTAAAATAATCATGCCACCCAACTTTTTCCAAGAATGCCTTAGGTAGATTGCTATACCAATTGTTTTCTAACTTGGAGCTAATTTTATTTCAAAGTTTACATGCAGCCAACAGAACTTCCTAAAAAAAAGACCACTCTTATTTAAATGCCTGGGAGAGTTCTAAAGTGATATAAAAGACATTTCTACATCTTATAGAAATTAATCCTTGTAGAAGTCTGCCCTCATGTAGCCCATTTTATGCTCTATGAAACATATATTTTTATCAACAACTCAAGACAAAGAAGCAGTAGTCATTATTTCTATAGAAAAAAAGATTAATTTGCAAATATCTATTGAGAATTCCATTTAGAATTAGTGAATTTATTTAAAAGCAAAATCACAAAGACCTGGTGATCTATTACTGCTGTTGCCATCAGAATGTTGGATAACAAACCACCCCAAATCTTAGTGGCTTTCAATAACAAGCCTTTATTCTCAGACTCATAGGTTTGCAGGTGTATTGTGCTTCAGCTGATGGAGGTTGAATGTGGCCAGTTAGCCCTGCTTCATGCTTCAGCCATGCTGTAGGCATGGCTCCAGGCTGGAGACTAGGTCCGGTGTGTTCCATATGTATTTATGTGTGCGGAAGCTGAAGGTGCAGTAGCCACCAGGCCATGTCCTTCTCGTGGCAAATCGCCTAAAAACACAGGTCAAAACAAACTGCATAAGCACATTTCAGGTCTCTGCTAATATTCCATTGGTCAAAGCAAGTCACACAGATGGTCCAAGATGGGTCCAAGGATGGGAAAATAAACTCTATCCTTAGTAGGAAGGGAGAGAATTTTCACTAAACAAACCTAAACTATTTTAAACATCTTTAGCTCAGATGTTTAAAAGCCCAAATATAAGAGCTTGTATATCTCTGATTCTAGTAGGACACTTTTTCTATTTTGTACTGTGTTTATTAAAAATCAGTAGTATATAATGATATTTAAGTAAAGTAACTACTTCTCCAGCAGTTTCTTTTCATTTAGGGCTTTCTTCTTAAAGCTGTTTGCTTCATTTTCTAGTGGATATGGTTAATATTTTAATAAGGAATAGGTAAGTGGAATATTTATTTCAACTCAGTGTTAGGCTTAGTTACAGATATCCCAAGATGGCTGTGAGATCTCTAATCAGCTTGGTGTCAAAAACTCTTGTACATGATTTTTCTTATCTATGAATGACTTTTTTTTTTTCATCAGGGAAGTAAGCATTTTACTCTTTTAGGATTGGAGGGATCATTTGCTGAATACACTTATTTTCTTCTCTGATTGTTCTGTTCTCTTTCCCTTTGCTCTTTGGACACCCTCCCCACAAAACATCAGCGGAAAGAAAGCTTACAATCATATATCAGCAACAGAAAAAATCAGCACAACAAGCCCGACTCCAGGCTGCATGTTTGGCTTTACCTAACTTCCTTTTTTTTGTTGTTGTTTTGAGACAGACTCTCGCTCTGTCGCCCAGGCTGGAGTGCAATGACATGATCTTGGCTCACTGCAATGTCTGCCTCCCAGGTTCAAGTGATTTTCATGCCTCAGCCTCCCTAGTAGCTGGGATTACAGGTGTGCGCCACCACGCCTGGGTAATTTTTGTATTTTTAGTAGAGACAGATTTCACCATGTTGGCCAGGATGGTCTTGATCTCTTGACCTCATGATCCGCCAGCCTCGGCCTCCCAAAGTACTGGGATTACAGGCATGAGCCACTCTCCTCGTCCTCTAACTTCCTTTGGAAGAGAAAATGTTCTTTTGCCTAATGGGAATACAGTTGTTTGCTGACTATTTCTGTTTACTAGGTCCTGTAGAGCAGTTTCTCAATCTTGGCACTAATGACATTTTGGGCCAGATAACTCTTTTTCGTCAGGGGCTATCTATGCGTTGTAGAGTGCTGTGCGGCATCCCTGGCCCCTGCTCACTACATCCAGTAACACCCTCAGTTGTGACAAGCAAACATGGCTTCAGTCATTGACAAATGCCCCTTGGGATAAAAACTGTCCCTGAACCACACTTTATTTAAGTTCAGGGGTACATGTGCAGGTTTGTTATATTGGTAAACTTGTGTCATGAGGGTTTATTGTATAGATTATTTCATCACCCAGGTATTAAGCCTAGTACCCATTAGATATTCTTCCTGATTCTCTCCCTCCACCCTCCAAAAGGCCACAGTGTGTGTTGTTCCCCTCTGTGTGTCCATGTGTTCTCATTATTTAGTTCCCACTTATAAATGAGAACATGAGGCATTTGGCTTTCTGCTCCTGCATTAGTTTGTTAAGGATAATGGCCTCCAGCTCCATCCATGTCCCTGTGAAGGACATGATCTTACTCTTTTTTTATGCTGCAGAGTATTCCATGGTGTATATGTATCATATTTTCTTTATCCAGTCTATCATTGATGGGCATTTAGGTTGATTCAATGTCTTTGCTGTTGTGAATAGTGCTGCAGTGAACACACATGGGGCACTTTCAATTAACAACAGGAACCTAACTAAACCCAACTAAAGGATATTATAATATAAATTATTTTTAACTGAAATGTATTTCTTCTCATTAAACAGTTTTGGAATATATATAAAGGATAATCCTGCCACCCAGGAGGACTCCTGAAATTGATTATTCTAAGTCATGGTCGCTCATGAGACAGTTACACCCACTCTGTGCCAGGCATGTTCTGTGTGCTTTATGTACTCAGTTAATCCTTCTAATCATATGAGCTAGCTACTATTAATATTATCATTTTACTTGTAAGAAAACTGAGACATAGAGGGGGTAGGTAACAGAGCTGAGGCCCCTCAGCAAGAAGGATTGGAGCTAGGACTAGGGCTGATGTGTTTCCGGAAGGAGGCCCTGCCCTCTGCATTCCACTGGGTCACATGTGGTGTGAGAGTTTAAGATTCTCCTTGGAACCTTTGGCACATTCTGTATACAAACAATTGCAGAGAGGAGTTGAATAAGGCTCCCTTTGGAAGGAAGCATAGTGATATTCTATCTGGTAGAATCTGCCACATCTTACCTTAATATTCCCACTTTAAGCACCAGCCTGGGACACCTGGTGCCATTTCCCAAAGGGTCACTGTGTAGGCAAAGTAAAGAGATGCCCCAAGAAAGTGATTTGAGGAATTCCAAATCCTTTGTGAACTAAAATATCTACTCCTGTCCTACCATAAGGACCGAACCTCTTACCCATTACAACTATGTGTCTTCAAGAGTACCCATGATTGGACTGGGGTAGTGGTGTGTGCTGAGGGATGGCTGCTTGCCTGGAAGATGATGAGTGTGCTGCTCTTTATGGTGGTGAGAGACAGAACTAGCTGGATTTCCTAGGCCGACTAAGAATCCCTAAGCCTAACTGGGAAGGTGACCACTTCCACCTTTAAACACGGGGCTTGCAACTTAGCTCACATCCGACCAGTCAGATAGTAAAGAGAGCTCACTAAAATGCTAATTAGGCAAAAACAGGAGGTAAAGAAATAGCCGATCATCTATTGCCTGAGAGCACAGCAGGAGGGAAAATGATCGGGATATAAACCCAGGCATTCGAGCCAGCAAAGGCTACCCCTTTTGGGTCCCCTCCCTTTGTATCGGAGCTCCGTTTTCACTCTATTAAATCTTGCAACTGCACTCTCTTTTGGTCTGTGCTTGTTACTGCTCAAGCTGAGCTTTCGCTCGCTGTCCACCACTGCTGTTTGCCGCTGTCACAGACCCGCCACTGACTTCCATCCCTCCAGATCAGGCAGGGTGTCTGCTGCGCTCCTGATCCAGTGAGTCGCCTATGCCACTCCCTATTCAGCTAAAGGCTTGCCCTTCCTGCACGGCTAAGTGCCCAGGTTCATCCTAATCAAACTGAACACTAGTCACTGGGTTCCACCGTTCTCTTCCGTGACCCGCAGCTTCTAATAGAGCTATAACACTCACCGCATGGCCCAAGATTCCATTCTTTGGAATCTGTCAGGCCAAGAACCCCAGGTCAGAGAACACGAGGCTTGCCACCATCTTGGAAGTGGCCCTCCACCATTTTGGAAGCGGCCCGCCACCATCTTGGGAGCTCTGGGAGCAAGGACCCCCGGTAACAGTGGCACAAAGCAAGCATCATCACTAGGCCCCTCCGCAACCTGGTGGTGTCCATCTGCATCATGTTCATCAACAAAAGGATCCCTAACATGAACCTGACCCTGGGGCATCTTGTGGTCACCTGGCTGCGCTTGCACATCTGTCAGAAATTGGTTATATTTGCCTCAACATGTCTGCCACCCCAAGATCCTCCTTCTGGCCTTTAGCTTCTGTGATTACAAGGTCTTCACCAACTTCTCTCTGCAGGGCAACTCCACAGGCGTCCATCAGCTGATCAAGGTCATCATTACACTGGTGATTATGGCCATGCAGACCCTCTGCTACCAGAAGGCCTTCTTCACCAGAATATAACACAACACTGATTCCTGTAACTTTAGGTGTAATCCTAAATTCTTATTACAATGTGAAATGTAATGTCCTTGGAAGGATGTTTTCTGCTCTCAGTGTTTTAGTTATACCCCCTTATCCAGTGTGGGCAGAAACCAAGCAGAATGAGTTTCAAGTAAACTCAATGCTGCTGCAGCACTATCAAGCACCAATACCTTCTGCTGTTATTGGTTGCTTCTCTGAGTCAGTGCATGGAGAGCAAGAAATATCTAGTCTCTGGTCAGCTTCTGCTTTGCCTATGGTGCAGCTATCTGAAATAATGGTTGTCATGGTGAACTTATCAATTCACTGGGTCACTAGGTACACTTCATCAGTCACCTATGACATGTTTGGGCACTTCAAGTTCTGACTTGCTTTATTTGGAGGACATGTGTTATTTAAAGATCCACTGTTAATTAACCAGAGTCTTGGCATTTTATGTAGTTATTTGGTGTAAGAATAAGAGCTTATATTCATTCTGTACTCTATAAACAGGAAGGAAGAAAATGTAAATTGCTACAAAGTACTCAACTGGGTTTTTATGATGAAAAGAAAGTCACCTCAAGAAGATACAAATCGTTAAATAAGCCAATTACTTTCAAAGAAGTAAAAAAATTGCATGTACAATTTATTGAATGGTAGTTTGCAAGATGTAATAGAAAAGATATTTTATTCTAAAATGAAATCTTCATTTTTAGCATACTTTTTGTAACTTAATCCTTTAAAACTAAAATTGTTCATGCTTCTTTTCAAATATGATTGTATAAATTATAGCCACCCCTGTACTACATTACATTCATATATTTACTTACTAACACACAGTCTTATTCTTACCTGGTGTCAGGCTCTATTCGGGACACAGAAATCAGTTAGAACCCATCCTTGGCTGGGGGTTTCCTGGCCTAGCAAGCCCAGTGTCTGAGCTTAGCATTTAAGGCCTGCTCATCTGTTCTTCCCACAGCTTGTCCTATTTTAGTTTGTTTTGAGCTTTGGCAGCCTCACAGTACAGCCTGATCACACATCTTCCACTAGGCTTTCCCTGACCCTTCTCCATCCACATAGTCCAAATCTCCACATCTCAGGATTCAGCCTAGAGGCAGGGTAGATCATTAACAACCTTCCGAACAGAACTGCAAAGACCTGCATTTGCGCTGCCTCTCTTTTCCTCGTCCAAGTGCCCATGAGGTCATCAATTGTGTTCCACCCAGCTCCAGTCCTCTGCAATGTGATGCTGCGGGTCCTCTGACCAGGAACGGGAGTCAGTTTCTCCACTCACTGAACCTCCATGATCCGTGGGACTTGCCTTGGCACCTGGGATGTTAGCAAACATTATACAAGCAGAGGCTTGAGAAACACCTGCAGTTTGGGGTTTGCCCTCTTGATGCTAATTGAAACCCTAAGATGACCTTGCAATTAAGGCCACGCTAGCCTGTTGTCCATGTAGCAAAGCTAAATGCTAGAGTGACTCAATCCTTTCTGTTTCATGGTCCTTGGTTTTTGGTTGGACTGGAGACTAAAATCAAATATGATATTGAGAGTATGAGTTTTGGATTCAGATGGACCTGGGTTCCTATCCCAGATCTACTCCCTACATGAACAATCCAGGCAAAGTTATTTTTCCTTTCTCACAACTGAGCATCCACATCCACAAGGACAAAAATAAATATTAGCCTCTTTGGGCTATTGTGAGGATTACATGAAATATTATAAATAAGCTCCTCAAGTCAGTGTCTGGTTCTTAATAAGAACTGAATAAAAATATTGATTGCTCTTATTATTATTTCTGTCACTAAAATTAAGTGATTCCAATCTCATTCCATGACCATATTCTCATGCAGCAATATCTTTCTCCATCATCCCCAAGCCCTTGGGAAGCTCTCAGAAAACCTCAACTCTCATCTCATACCTGTTTAACCAACCATAATTTTCCCAAACTTTTTATTTTGGAATAATGTTAAATTTACGGAAGAGTTGCAAAGACTGTTCAGAAAGCTTCACTTGGCACATCCTAATGTTAACATTTACACAACCATGGTCACTTATCAAAACAAAGAAATTGTCATTAACTAAAATAGTCTATTTGGATTTCACTGATTTTTCCATAAACGTTCTTTTTCTGTTCTGGTATTCAAGCTAGGATGACATGTTGCTTTTAGTCATCCTATCTTTTTCGTCTCCTCCAATCTGTGACAATTTCTCCGTCTTAACCTTGTTTGTTAGGACCTAAACATTTTTGAAGGGTACTGGTCAGGTATTTTGTAGCGTGTCCCTAATTTGGATTTCTCTGATATTTTTCTCATGGTCAGTTTGAGATTATGGGTTTCTAGAAGACCACAGAGGTAAAGTGGTATTCTCGTTACATCCTGTAAAAGGATGCTCGATATCCACATGCCTCATCCCTGATGGTGTTAATCCTTATCATCTGGCCAACCTAGTGTTTTCTAGGTTTCTCCACTGTGAATTTACAGAGCCACCCATGTCCAGTCCCCAGCCCTTTTTATACTCTATTCCCTGGAAGCAAGCCACTAAGCGCAGCCTACACTCAAGTGATGGGGAATTAAGCTCCATCTCTATAAATAACAAAAATTATTTGGAATTCATCTGTATGTGATATTTGTCTCTTTTCCCTATTTATTTATTCAATCATGTATTGATATCAGTAGGACTCGTGATATTTTATTCTCTGGGTTATAATCAAATACTTTGTTGTTTATTTTGCTCCTCAAATTGTTCTAACTTTAGTCTTTAGAATCTCTTTAAATTGGTTCCTGTGTTCCTTTGACATATCCCCATTATTTTGTAGTTTTGAGCACTTCCTTACATTATGACACCTTAATAACAGGCTCCAGATTCATCTTGCCTATTTCCTGCCACAGCCCTAGAATCAGCCATTTTTCCAAGTATCCCTGGTTCCTATTATTGAAGAATAGTATTAGAAGCCAAGATATGGGTTCTGGGTGTGTTCATTGCTACTGGGGTGTTATTGCTTCTAGGTCACTTCCGTGGATAGAGATAGGGGATATATGTATTTATACCGCACATATATACACAAACATATTTTATACATTTTAAATATTTCAAAATTTATGTGTGTGTCGTATATATACATAATCATGAGCTCATATTATTTGACTCTAATTTAGCCTCACAGGATTCACTCTAACCTTCTCTCATTGTTTATTTGTTACTTCTTTCTTTGACAGTGAGAACCTTGACTCCCATTATCTACAATTTATGTATTAATATTTACTTGTTCAGTTTTAACAAATATGTAAAGTGGTTTCAGAATTGCTTCCTTGTTCTCTGATTTCTTTTTAAGTAGTAATCTGTTCTTGTTTCATGGATGCAGTATCCTCTTTTATTTTTTGAGGACATATCATTCTCTAAAGTTTTCTTTCTTTTTTGTTTTTTGGATTTATCTGTGTGTGTGTGTACTTGTATGTGTGTGCATTGTGTAATGTGCATTATATGTGTCTTGGTCTCTGTTTCCATGATAAATAATTTTTCAAATGTCTGTAAACCTTCTTTGTGTATTCATATTTAACAATAGGACCTTAAAGAAAAATAGGAATTTCTGTGGGGGTAGGGGAGATAAGTGGGGATAGAGGAGATATGGTTTGGAGGGATGCACTGTAGATTGATCTTTCACTGGGGAACCTCACCTGTCAGTGTCTAGCAATAATTTCTTTAGGGCCATTCTGTTTTTTCCCTGGATGAGAAGTAAAGGCATAGTGTGAAGAATATTGAGTTGGAGATGTGGGCTGATTTATTTAATGTCTGCTTTCCTTAATAGACTATAATCTCTAATTCAATCAGGATCCTGAAGGCACACTTACACGGTGTATTAGTTTCCTGTGGTGCTGTAACAAATTGCCACACACTTGGTGCTTAAAACAAGAGAAGTTTATTCTTTTACAGTTCTGGAGGCCAGAAATTAAAAAAAAAATCAAGGCATCAGCACAGCCATGCACTCTCTGAAGTCTCTGGGGGAAAATTCTCCTTTGCCTCTTCCAACCTCTAGTGGCTCTCTGTGTTCTTTGGCGTATGGCTGCATAACTACAGTCTCGGCCTCCCTCAGCTTATGGCCTTCCCCCTGTGTCTATGTCTTCTCCACTTCTGTTTCTTATAAGGATATTTGTGATTGGATTTAGGGCCCACATGGATACTCCAGGAGAATCTCATCTCTAGATCACATCTGCAAAAACCTCTTTTCCACACATGTTGAAGTGGTTATGGCATTGACATAAAATAATTATTTATGGCATTAACATAAAAAATTATTTAAAATAATAATTATAAAATAATTATAGGGGGTTTAAGGAGCCCATAGGAACATTGAGGCACCCAGGGAATAGCAACAGTGTGAAGCCATTACCACCCCAGGCTTAAAGGAAGAAGAGTTGGAAACAATATCATGGGGGCTCAATGGGAGAGTTGCCTTGGAGCAGAAGAATCCTAGTAGTAATTACAGATAAATAAAACCTTTGCCAGAATTATAGCATAGAAGTAGAGGGAAAAGTGAGGCAGGACATACCTTGACCTTTCCTTCCCCTACCTGCCCTTCAGTCTCTTGATGGTGTCTCTTGCTGGCCAAACACAAATGGAAACCAGAGGACCTGGGAGCTGGAAGACTCAGTCCATAAGGATGATCTCCAGCAGCACAGAGCAGATAAAAGAAGGTGATGAGAACGGGTCTTAGCAAGGGCGGGGGGATGGAGAATAACTAGTATCTGTCTTCCTGCTTCAGCGCTTTATATTTGATTTCTAGAATGTAAGCACATTAATCCGAAAGTTAAATAAATAAATGAGAGAAAGGTTGAATGAAAAACCTGTAAATAAGATAAATGTCTTCACAGTGAAGAGCTATAGCTGGGATACAACCAAAGCAAATGGAAATACTTTATTAGATTTTGTGCATCTGAACACATTCATCGTTCTCTCATTTATTTTCTATTCTTTTCCCCTTTCTATTTTAAAATAAAACCTGAATATAGAAAACTAAACGATACAAATGTATACCATGGTGAATTATTTTCAGGTCAAGACTCTTGTGACTCCCATCTAGGTCAATACATAGAACTTTTCTGCCCACCTCCTCAAAACACTCTTCTGGGTACTTCATCCCATTATCCAGTCACAGCCCCCTTCATCTTTCCTACATAGCCAGCATCCTTTATAGTCATAACTTCCTTGCATTTCCTTTGGGTTTAATCACTGAGACACTATGGTTTAGATGTACCCACTTTTTAAAAACGTGTTTTGTCTTTTTAATTAATTTTTACAGTTATGATAAGATATAGATAACATAAAATGTACTATTTTAACCATTTGTATGTGTATAGTTTGAAAACATTAAGTATATCACATTGTTGTGCAAACATCACCACCATCCATTTTAATCCTGCAAAACTAAAACTCTGTACCCTTCCAACAATAATTTTCTACTCCTCCCTTCTCTTAACCCCTGGCAGCCACCATTCTACTCTCTAAAAAATGTTTTAATTTTAGGTAAGTTATCTGACAGTATTTATTAATTGTTCTATTTCTTTGCTTTAATTTTCTTCTTTGGAGACCTCTATTTCTTTGTGTTAGGTCTTTTTCTTTTTTTTGATACTTATCAAAAATCTTTTTATAACTTTCTTTAATTTTTTTTTTTTTTTTTTGAGATGGTGTCTCATTCTCTTGCCCAGGCTGGAGTGCAGTGGTGCTGTTTCAGCTCACTGCAACCTCTGCCTCCTAGGTTTGAGTGATTCTCGTGCCTCAGCCTCCCAAGTAGCTGAGAGTACAGACATGTGCCACCATGCCCGGCTAATTTTTCCACTTTTAGTAGAGACGGGGTTTTGTCATGTTGGCCAGACTGGTCTTGAACTCCAGACTTCATGTGGTCCTCCTGCCTCAGCCTCGCCAAGTGCTGGGATTACAGCACTGGCCGTACTTTAATTCTTTTATGTTTTTACAGTTTTTTTCTTTTCATTTTCTATTTCTCTTAAGGCATTATTTGTCATGTTTATTTGCTGTTGCATACTTTATAGTTTTGTTATTTCCTGAAAGTGTTTTTTTCTTTTATTTTGAAGTCTTTCTTATGTCTCCTATTTATGTGTTTTTTCCCTTATGTGTCCTTCGTGTATTGTATAATGTACTTTTAAAAATTCCTTTTAATTGTTTTAAAATAGTATATTAAAACTTTAATCCATTCTTGGAACATGTCTCTGGCATGATTTCATTGTCTGTAGAGGTGTTATTCTGATTCTTACTCTCTTTTTTATTATCTTAATTCTGTGTGATATTTGACTTTTATACTTTTCTGTTGTTTATTTTCCTGCGAAGTTAATTTATTTGCACTTTTAGGCAAATAAATTGGTTTGGTTAGCTTTTATTATTGTTTTTAAGCTTACAGAGCTCCCTCTTCTGTTGCTTCTGTGAAATGTTGGAGCTAGAGGGCTCTGTTTCCCATGTGACTTTCATGGAAACCTTCCCTTTTCTTTGTTGTTTATGCTGGTACATTTTAATTCTGCCCCAAGTAATTTAGGCTCTGCCCCCAGTAAGTCTGGCACCCTGTCATGGAGCGCTGTCCTGGCTGGCTACGATCAAAAGTTCACAGGGACTAGGTTATATGTCTACCCCTTGAGAAATTAGCAGAGATCCCTGCACTTACCTGTTTGTGGAACCGTGAAACCCTGCTAAATTCAAATTGTCTGCATTACTTTCTGGTGAATATCTTTTAGCTATTTAGGGATTCTCCTCCTCCCAGGTCTATCTGAACCTCCACTGCTTCCTTTTTTATTTTTCCTGCACAATGTCAATATCACACCGTCTTCTGGCTGTTGACCATTAATCCCCAACTGCTTGTATTTTGGAATTCATGGGGCTACTTTGACATCTCATTATGTTGTAAATGCTTTCCATGTTTTCGCTGGCTTGCTTGCTATTTGCTTTTTCTATTTTCAGGTGGGAATTCAGGAAGATCCAAAGTCTGTACTACCACCAGTGTCATCACCCTCACAGAATCACATTATCATTTAAAAAAATTAGTTTTCTCCCTCTGTGTAAATATTTTAATTGCAATTCACAGCCCAGTCCTGACATGCATGTTTGATGAGATTTCTTCTGAAGCATAGATGATATACCTGTCTGGTAGATAATGGTGGTTCAGTGGTTTTTCCTACTCCTATTCATCCTTCCTTTATGAGATTTTCCATTCTCAGATGGCTTTTGCTTTGAGTTCATCACAGGCACTTCTAACTCCTATTTTTTCTTTAAGCTCTTCTCCTCTTCCCCCTAGAACTTCTAACTCAACTCCACACCTTCCTGGACCATACTGTAAGCTCTAGTTAGGAACAACTGCTATTCTTCCCTTGTGTGTGACATGTCTATTCCTGTTACTATTTCATAGCAAACACTATCTTCCTCACCCACAAAGTCATGCCATTCAAGACATGCTTAAGGTACACCTTCCCTAACTCGTATGGTAGCCTTTTGCTGACAAATTTTCATTAAGTCAAGAAGTGCCCAGTCAACCAGCTTAACTGTGATTCTTCCCCAGATTTTAATACTTCAAATCTAGAGTGGTTTGCCCAGTATGTATTTAATTTATATGCATTTATTAGACTGTTAGATATTCTCTCCTGTGTTCTATGACTAAGGTCTGATCCTCCAACCTCTGCCGAACTTATCTCAAACACATAACGTTGATTAAAAGGGGAGATTGGGAATATCAAGACATCAGCAAAATTCATTAAGACTATGGGAAAAAAATCAAAGTTTATGTGATATCTCCCAATTCACTTGGAATTTCTCAGTTTATTCTCTGGGAATGACCAATCTGATTCACACTCTGGAGGTAGCAAGTTTGGTTTCCAGATTTCTTTCTCTGCTTACGTAAAGAGAATATCCCATTTGCTTCCAAGGTCTGAAGTGGCTTTCAACAAAAGATAGGTATAACAAAAAGCAGTTAAAAGAAAAACAGAAATTAGAAAATTTTTAGGAAAAAATTGTGGTAAACATATCAACTTACTAGATTAATATTGTCAGTACAATTTTTAAAAATTCAACTCAGATTTCTAATGGTCAATGTAAAAAGGAAAAGTATGATTACATAAGCCTAATTTGCTGGTAAAAAAAAAAAAAAACCCACAATTTATTGAAGATAATAATTTTCCTGAGATTGGGAAAGTAGGAAGGCTACAGGAAAGAATGGTAAGTCAGAGGATCTAAGTTTTATTCTTCTCTCCATTACTTACCAGCTATTTGATCGTGGACAATTTACCCAGCCTTAGCCCCCTCACAAATACAATGGAAATAACAACCCAAATTTCTGTGGGTATTTGTAAGGATCAAAGAGAATAACTATGCAAGTTAGTGTTACATGTCTAACTCAAACATTTCTGCAGCACTTCTCTTCTTTCCCACCTCTCAGGTCCTGCAGAACATCCAACCATTCTCCGAGCATGATACTTATCCCTAGATAATTGCAAATGGTGCCTCTTGAATGCTCACACTCCCTGCCAGCAAAGCCGTCTGTAAGTCCCTCACACTCCTGCTAGCAAAGCCGTGTGTAAGTGCACAAGGAAGTGAGACACACACTTCCACTGACAGGTCACCCTGGGTTCTGCCTTGGGGCATTAGGAACATTGCTACTACCACTGTGGCCTTTGCCCCTGACCTCTGTAAGTGGGACCTGCCGTCACAGTTGTCGTAGCCAGGCCCTATGTACTGCTACATAGTCAAAGCCTTAATAGATCCAAGCAGCATCGTGGTTTCTCAAATCCTCCATGCATCAGTGCCAACCAGTGAACACATATCTTTTTCCCTGTACTGTGACCCCGGGTACCAAAAACCACATTGCTTTGGACTCTGTGTCTCACAGATATGAGTAAAAACAATTCATTTGGACCTAGCTACTTGCAGAGCCTGTACCTACCCTAAATTGCCCCCTAGTCAGCCTGGAGGCCGTGAAGTTGAGTCCAAGGAAGAAAAGAGTCATGGAATACCTTCCAGTGTTCAGAATTGTTCTCTCTGGCATCTTACTTTAATGACTGAGGTAGTGTTACCAGGACAGTTTTATAGGCCTCTCTAATTCCTTAGATTAGTTTTTTCCCCGCCAATAGCTTCCTAGGTTCCTCATGCACGTATAGCCTGGAAGAGTCACTTCAAGCCTTCACTACGAGGACTCAGATGTGACTGAATCCGGAGTGAACTTCACATTGCATCAAGCCAGGAGACCTTGTGCCAGATACCCAGAGGAAGAGGGGAGAGAAGACATGGGCAGAGAAGAAATGAAGAAGAAGAGGCAGAATGCTCAGATGTGCTGCCACTGAAAGAAAGGAAAACTTCTTTCTTTCTTTTTTCTTTTTTTTTTTTTTCCTCAGGGAAGGTCTGGCTCTATTGCCCAGGTTGGATTGCAGTAGCATACTCTCAGCTCACTGTAAGCTCCACTTTTCAGGCTCAAGCTACCCTCCCACCTCATCCCACCCATGCACAGCTAACTTTTGTATCTTTTGTAGAGACGGGGTTTTGCCATGTCTTCCAGGCTGCTCTTGAACTCATGAGCTAAAGCAATCTGCCTGCCTAGGCCCCCAAAGTGCTGGGATTACAGGCGTGAGCCACCATGCCCAGTCAGGAAAGGGATGTTTCTTTGAATGTTGAGTGGTAGAAAAATGTATTGTATAATGAATGGGTACCTGGAGTCTGTATGGCTGAGCTTCATTTGGAGCTTTTTAATTTTGTTCAATGCCACAACATTTATACAAACAAGTTCAATTGTTGATGCAAATAAACAGAGGCATTTAAATTCAGATCATTTTTGTTTCAGTAGTGTATTTAGAATAAGTATAGAAGTTAAAAGTATGGGCTTTGGATCAATTAGATATGTGGTTGAACTCTTTCTCAACTACTTGTTAACCTTATGTAGGGCAGTTAAATTCTTTGACACTCATCTCTGTATTGAGAGTAGTAAGAGTTTATTCATCATAGGGAGGTTGTATTAAATAAAACAATATGTGTAAAATTCTTTTTTTTTTTTTTTTTTTTTTTTGAGACGGAGTCTCGCTCTTTCGCCCAGGCTGGAGTGCAGTGGCGCTATCTTGGCTCACTGCACGCTCCGCCTCCTGGGTTCACGCCATTCTCCTGCCTCAGCCTCCCAAGTAGCTGGGACTACAGGTGCCCACAACCGCGCCCGGCTAATTACAATATATGTAAAATTCTTAATATAGTGCATAACAATAAACATGTGGAATAAAGTTTTTAATTTTCTTTTTTTATTTGTGTATACAAATGGAGCTATACTGGGGAGAGCAGTAAGATATACGCCATTTTATAGGATGAACAGTAAAGAAAGTTATGAATGCGGGATCTTTTCTCAACAGTAGGTTTTATTTATTCGAACTCTATGCTACTGAGAAAAACTCCAAAAAAATGTGTGCAGGATACATAGGGACTTCGGAGGAAAACTCCAACTCTTCCTTGGAAATATTTCCACAGAATAGAAATTGAGAGAACAGAATTCACTTCCAGAAGGACAGCAAGCTCCACTGAGCGTAGCCATATTCCAGTCATTGTGGTCACTCACCAGGTTCCTAAAGAGCTGACATTTCTTATAACAACAGTAGTGCTCGTTCCTAGACTGTAGTAATCATAGATAATAAAGCAGGTCGGAGGCTGAGGAGAGCACAGAGATGTGATGTTGATAAATCACTGTCTTGGTCTATTCATGTGGCTAAAACAAAATACCTGAAACTTGGTAATTTATAAAGAATAGGGATTTATTTCTCATGGCTCTGGAGGCTGGGAAGTCCGAGATCAAGGTGCCAGCAGATTTTATGTCTGGAGACGGCCCCATCTCTACTTTTGAGATGGCACCTTGAAAGCTGTGTCCTCCCATGGCAGATGGGCTGGAAGTGCAAATGCAGACATCAGCTCTCTTATATATCTTTTATAAGGTCATTCATCCCATTCATAAGGCTACACCTCTTTACGAGGTGATTAAATACTTGTAATACTATCAAATATTAAAATACTTTTAATACCCCACCTTTTAATACTATCACATTGGCAATTAAGTTTTAATATACAAATTGTGGAGGGACATATACACTGGAACCATAGCAATCGTGTTAGTTCTTTACCCTTTTTGTAAGCTCTAAGATCATGAGTTAGAGATTGTCTCTATCAAAAACAAAAAACTTAGCTTCCCTCAAAGAACCTATTTAGGATCATTGTTAGAAGCAGGATCCAGATGAGAAAATGCTCACAGAACTAAAAAGAAAAAAGTTGTGGAAGAAGATGTTTAATAGGAAAGCACAACTGCCTCTAAAAATATTAACACTGTGACTAGTAGTGGCTTTACAAAAGAAGGAGAAGCCATAACTCATGACCTCAACCCTTGTCTTCCAAGTTTTTTTCTTCATCTTCCTTCACTAATTAACTTTGCTCCCACCTACCTGCTTTGGAAAGGTGGTTTATGGAGGATTGTTTCTCATTTAATGCTCCTTCTTTTACTTTCATTCCCTCTAGCACAGCTAACTCAAGTCTAGGACAGTGAAATGAAACTTTACTAAAGCCTCAGGGATAACACAAAGTTAACAAGCCCAGGTGACACTGCCACATTATGGTGGCATAAACTGTGCACTGTCCAATTGCAGGGGGCGCCATGCACGTAAACTCAGAATTAGATCATCTCACTTAACAGACATGACTTTCTTTAAGCATGTTCCCATCTACCTGATCTACCTCCTATGGAAGCATATTATCCACTAGGCTGGAGTCCATATTTAGAAACTCGTCTTTAAAAAGACCAAATCCTGGGGAATGCAGATCAAAGGGAAATAAAAATTTCTACACCCACCTGTACAAGATTTGTCAACCAAATTCTGGTTTTCTACTGGAGGAACTAATTTCTCCCAAATTGATTGACACAAGATAATTCAGAAGAAACTTTATTCCATGAGTCCAGTGAGATAATATGACCATTAACAACCACACAAAATATACTCTAATGAACAAGGGAGGGGGTATTTATATTATGGAAGGGATCTGCCGCTAATGAGCACCCAGCATGAGTCAGGCACTTCACTTGGGTCATCTTGACCACAACCCAGTGAGGTACATCTTGTGTTTTTACATTTTTGTTGTACAAAAGCAGAAATCATCTAAGAGGTTAAATAATTTTCCTGATGTTACTGTTAGCAAGTGATGAATTCATGATTAACTCAGGTTCAAACACCAAAAGTAGCACCAGCTGCCATTATTTCTACTTAATTCAAAAAGCGGCGGGGGAATGTTGAAAATAAAAATGAAATTGTAAATGAAGAATATGTTTGCAGATGGGTGCAAAACTCAACTTACAAACACAGTTCCTGGCATATTTATAAGTGAATGGGGTGGACGGGAAAATTGAATCATTTAACCCTATGATTAAAATTGCAAAGATGATTAAAGTGCTGAATTACATACATCAATGGTTGTAAGCTGCAGTGGATGAATTAGAACTCTGGACAATAAAGACATTGAAATGACAAGTCTATCTCAGAGCCTGGTTGTAAAGCAGATAGTTGGAAAACTGTGGTTCCAGGTTGCTAGAAAAGCAGAAAGGAGAGTTTGCAGGGCAGTGTTGAGTCTGAGAGAAAGTTTGGGTTCATGAGCTACGTTGCTAGCTCATGGCAATGCCATCTTGTAGTTGGGAGGCAGCTTGTTTGCAGCTTAGAGATGTTAGCATGATCTGTTACTGAGGAGGTGGAACTTTGCCAGCCCAGGCAATAAGACCTTCATTCAGGATAATGAAGAAGAAGAGTTCATTCAGGAATAAGACCTAGCACTTCTTACCCTTAATTTCTCCAACTTGGGTGGATGTGGCCTCATCTTTTTACACTTCCCATCTTTCAATTCATCACAAGACTTGGAAGTTTCAGTGATACATTGTGCTGCCATTTTCCCAAGAACTTTACACATTACACACCTACTACATCATGCTGCTTCAGCCAGGAACATCTTTCTCCTCCCTATAAAACCTATTACCTCCATCTGACCAACTCCCACTTAGCTTTTGGGCTCTGGGAAGCCTGTTCTCCATACTCAAGATTGGAATACTCCCCCATTACACTCTGTCTCTCTCTCTCTCTCTCTCACACACACACACAGTGTGCCAAGGCAATTTGCCTCCCTTTGCCTTCTTTATACTGCATTATAGAAAACTGTACAAATCCAAACACTTTATCTACAAGCATAACATCCCCAAATCCCTGTAATCTAGGTATTTTAAATGTTAAATTTAGTGCAAACTTACTCCATTTGGTAAGAATAGTCATGCATTTTGCTGCCAAAAAATTGTGTGTGGCTGTGGAGGGCTGTGTGAGATTCCACTGGGGGTATTAAAAATATACAATATAGGCACCAGATTATCTTTCCAAATCTGTAATTATGCTTTATTCTTAACTCTATCTGGCCATAAAAGTGTTAGCTAAGTGATGATGTGTCCATCCTGCACTGCATTCCACTCAATCCTCCAGGACAGGTACTGTACCCCAATCAGCACTGTATCTCCTTTTCCTAGAATGGTGTCCATACATAATCAGTGTGTTTAATACAAGAATGAATAAATAAAGATTGAGTAGTCATAGTCAATCCCCAGGTTCACCAGCTGTCCCTAAACTCCCCAAGACAGAGAATTTCAAATGAACTAAGAAGACTAGAAAATGTAGAAGAAATTGTAAAATGAGTTTGCACTTGAAACATAGCAACTTTCATTCATACATTCATTCATGAATTTATTCAACTAACATTTATTGTACAACAACTCTATGCCATATAATAAGCTAAGCCATAGAGATATTGGAACAATAACAACAAACAATACTAACACAAAACAGAGAAAGCAGAGACATTCAGAAAGAGATAAAAGACTTTGGCACACAGCAAGGTTTTCATTCATATGAGGCACTTATACTCCCTAAGGTGAAACTTGTCTATTTTGAATTCTTAGTCTGAGAAGAATTTTGTGTTAGCAATTCACTGATAGTTTTTATATCATTTTACTTAGGGATAACAAAATATCTCAGTAACCCATTTTATAAGAACTGAAGAGTTCTTTCTGTTTCTAAAGTATTATCTCATAATGAGTTTTACTTCAAATATTTAGAAATCTGGGAACCTGTTATCCATTAGGGTTTGGTCATAGAAACCTGAAATGACTTCAGATTTTTAGAGGTAAAAGAAGTTTAACACAGTGTGTTAGAGGCTTACACATCTCTAGGAAGGCTGGAGGAGTAAAAGTCAGTAAAGCTGATTTCTAAATACTAAGAAGTGCTGGAAGAGCAGGGGAGCTACCAGCAATGTGAGTGATTCTTAGGAGGATGCCCAAAGCACCAAAAGCCAAGAACTGTTGCTACCTGTTGCAACAAAGTGAGTGATTCCTAGGAGGTCTTCTGAAAAATCATCTGCAAACCCCTCCCGCATCTTCCTGTAACATCCGTAGTCGAATAGTATCTTCTCTTTCACCTTCTCTATCTCAGGTAAGCACCTCTCATTGGCGGAATTTACGCAAAAGATGTCTGGGAAATGTAGTTTCTAAACTTTAAGACTCTATAGTACATGCGACAGTTAAAAAGTAATGTGTTACTATTAAGTACCAACAAACGATATCTACCAAAGTACACCTTCCTCATAGTTGTTAACATTTTTACACAGACATTTCATCCCTATTCCTCTTTAGGCTTCCAGGAATTAAAAAACAGGAAGAGGACAAGAGCAAATGATTTTCTTCACCGAGGATGGTTTATTTTGTTTTCTGACATTTGTGTGTGTGTGTGTGTGTGTGTGTGTGTATGTAATGGTGTAAGAGAGTCATACTGGCAACATGAAAACAGAATGATCTGTTGGTAAAAGGTCTGTGGAGCTGAAGTGGATTAAGTCCCAAATATACGCTAATTTATATGGGGGAAATGACAGAATTATATCTAGGACCCAAAGTAGACTGAATTTATTTGGCTATTTCTTATATTTGGGTGCTCTTGGATACCTGTACAAGAATGTAAATACATGTACCCTGAGGTCTTCCTGGACTTCTGACACAATTTTAGAAAACTGGTGGGGGAAATGGAATCATAGGGGCAATGAGAGATTATAATTAAGAAGTCAAATATTCCTCAGTTGCTTTAGAAACATTCTCCTCTTATGGAATACAGAAATGTATAAAACTGGCTATTGAAATATATAAAAAGGGCTGCTGTTTTCTTGGTCTCAGCTTATGCTATTTTGTGAAATACATATATTTGTCTTCTTCCCCATTTTCTGACACAGAGCTCCTAAATCCTTTGGAATTTCATGGGTGATAGAAACATCTTTTGTTCTACTGGGGTGACTCTTGGTGGGCCCCTAGATATCATCAGGATGGGGACCAGTTTCCAAGGGAAGCAAGCAGGTGACTAGAGGTTTGGGGCTTTCAGCCCTATCCTCCAACCTCTGGAAAGAGGAGAGGAGCTGAAGTTTGAGCTGATCATCAATAGTCAATGATTAATCAATTATGCCTATGTGTTGAAGCCTCCATAACAACCCAACAGTGCAAGGTTTGGAGAGCTTCCAGATAACTGGACACATGGAGGTTCCTGGAGGGTGGCTCACCCAGAGAGGGCATGGAAACTCCTTGCCACTCCTCCCATACCTTACTGTATGCATTTCTTCCATCTGGATGCTCATCTCTATCATTTATAATATCCATTAAAATAAACCAGTAAACATAAGCAAAGTGTTCTCCTGAATTCTGTAAGCCACTCTAGCAAATTTGTCAGATCAAGGAGGGTGCTGTGGGAGCCCTGATTTACAGCCAATTGATCAGAAGCACAGGCCACAGCTTGGGCTTGCAACTGGCATCCTAAGTCGGGGAGGGGGGACATGTGTCTTATGGACTGAGCCCTCAACCTGTTAGGTCTGACCCTATCTCCAGGTAGGTAGTGTCAGAATTGAATTGGACGACACCCAACTGGTGTCCATGGGAGATTCTGCCAGGGAATTTCTCAGTGTTTGGGGAACCCCCACCCCACAACATATACACTCAGCTGGTGTCAGAAGCATAGTGGGAGAAACTGAATTTATCTTTTCCTATATCCTCACAGCTTACCTAAATTCAAGTGTTTAGTAAAACAACTCAAAGCATATTTGATTCTGAGCAGTGGCTTTAACGTCAAAATTGAAGAGAAATGAGTAGACTTTACTTGCAGGTTTTGTTCAGATGGACTATTCTCTAGTAATAAAAACCAAACCAGAAGCAACCCTGATCATTAGACATGATATTCAGATGCTTGAAGTCATGAGGAGTAAGCAATTTTCTGCCAGTATATTTAAAATGAATGCTCAGTTTAATCAATTCTCCTTTTACAGTTTTCAACACCTTAAAAGGAAAGGCAACCTGCAAACTAAACCCCGTAGATGCTCCAAATTATCCAGGGCATATTCAGCAAATTAAAATCAATATTAAACATCATTACATTGAAAAATCACATTACTCAGCAAGCCTCCAAAAGGTTGCAGATTTTTGAAGTGATCCATTTTTCTCCAAGATTCATAAGTTGCCTGTCAATGAATTTAACTGGATATTTATTGAAATTAATGGCAGCCTCAGCTGATTGAACAGGCTTTACTTTAGGTTTTGTTTTTATTTTTTATGGCTGTTTTCCCTTCCTTTGCCTTCCCATGTTGTATGCTGATGAAACCACAAGAAAATGAATGGAGAAAGCTCTACCATAGAATTGAGAAACAGGCTTTTCTCACCGCACCTCACAAAATGGGAAAATATTGCCAATGACGCATTACCTCCCATCCCCAGTTCATCACTGTTCAGATTATTTAAAAGCCCATTTTCACGGGAAGCCTTTCTACAGCATTGCGGGTGAAGGGCAGAAGTTTCACGGGCTCACAGGCTGTGTCCAAATCCCTATCCGCCAGGCATTTGCCTTGTCATCCGGAGCAAGCTCCTTAACAAGTCTCTTTGCCTCAGTTTCCCCACTTGCATATTAGAACTGATAATAATGCCCATGGGCTTAGAAACTGCTTAGCATAACACCTGGAACCTCAAAATAGTTCCTTAAGAACCTCAAAATAGTTCCTTAAGAATTCGCTATTATTATTTGGTTCTCTACTGGTGAAATAAAATTATATGGCTATATTTTATTCCTCTTGAGATTAACAAACTATACTTGTACAACTACAATGAAAATACCAAACTCTGTTTCAATGTGACAAATACAAGCCTGGAGAAGTGGAAAGTGATAAGAGAAGGGATGATGCCTTTTGTTTGTTTGTTTCTCTTTCCCTCCACTTCTCCACCTCCACTTCCATTGTGCCATGTTTTATAGACGTCTTCTGGGACTCTAAAAACCCTAATACCCAAAGAGAAGGTGCAATGTAGAGGAAATAGGAGGCTGTAGAGCATCCCTTTCTAGAATGCATTTTTTTTTGACTTGTGGTTAACTTCATAGCTACTTTTCCAGTATCTCCTGCACACCTTCATTTCTTTATTTACTTATCCAATATACACCACTATTTACCAACCACGAAACTGGGTGATGGAAATAAAAGTTTATTCAGTTAGAAACCCAATCCTCAGTAATCCTGCTCACTAGTGAAAGGAACAATATTAAGACACTTAATCCTTCTAGAGGCACATAGCATAGTGGTTATGAGTTCAGCCTCTCTATCTAAACTCTCTTGGTTTGAATCCTGGCTTTCTGACTTAAACTTCGGTCAAGTTACTTTACCTGTCTATGCTTCACTTGCCCATCTGTAAAATGGGGTTTTAAGTATAAAGCAGGTTTATATATACATAACTCCTAAAACAGTGCCTGGCTTATAGTTAACATTAAAAAAATGTTTCTCATTATCACTGTCATGACTCTAATGTTTCTATTGGGATATTGTAGAACGAAGATAAGAGAGAGTGGAATAAAAGAAAAATGATTAATTTATTTCTGGACACAATAGGTGCCTCAGAGGACACCCAACTGGAAATCATTAATCAGCATTTGGCTGGTCACACAGGTCTGGCACCCCAGCGAGTACTGAGGGTGAGAGCTAAAGATTTGGGCATCGGCATTATTCCACATGGGAGTGGAGGTTGAAATCATGGGCATGAATGGAGCCACCAGGAAAAGTGTGAGGGTGAATAATTTAAGACATCCTATATTTGAGAGCTGGGTGGAGGTAGGGGAGCTTGGGGAATGGGAGGCTTGACTGAAGAGGGAAGGTTGTGTGAGGCTGGGAGGGAAGTGTGCGGATGTATTAGGGGACTCAGCCCATGAATTGCCTTGGACCCTTTGCATTTACTTCTCAATCATCTCTGGCCCCAGGTTCGATTAACTTGGTAGAAAATAATTAAGGGCCCAATAAGCTTGCACAAAGGAAGGTAGAAACAGACAGGAGAGAGAGGAGGAATGACCCAGGTCCTGCTTTTCTGAGCCCCCTCCCCTTCATACACACTTCATGCCCTTAAGAACACCTTCCAGATTAAGAAAAAAACACACACAAAAAACAAACAGAAAAAGAACACTTTCATTTTCTTTAACAACTTGGGTAGTCTTGACTTCAAATCTTCGATCCATCAGACCGCATCATATACATCAAACATTGTTAAATATGTATGCCCCAAAACTTGCCTTAGGAATATGATCATTGTACACATGGGAAACTTCTGGTTCTCCTAACTTCCTTTCATCATTTAACTAGAGTAACTTCCACGTGCCTGGAATTGGGGAATCTGTGGTGAATAGAGTCTAGAGAAGGAGATGAACTGTTAAATAATTGTGAATATAAAATTATACTGGGGGAAGGATGCGGACTTGAGAGAAGAGAGCAGGGGGAGGGGGTTCTGAGCTTGTCTAAATTATCCAGAAGAGACTCCTGGATGAAGTCACTTTTATGTTAAAAGCTGAAAAATAAATACATTTTAAAAGGCAAATGATTTATTCTGAAGAGAAACAAAAGCATAAAATAAATATATTTTAGTTTGAGGGGATGAACAAAAGTAAGAGTGCTCCTGACAGAAGGGTAGGATGTGCAAAGGCCTGGAGGCAAGGGAGAGTGTGACAGAGGCGTGGACAGCTGAGATTAGTCCAGTGGTGCGGGAGCATCTCAGGGCTTAAAGGAAAATGGGGCAGAGAAGGCTGAAGGTAGTAGCACAGGCTTGATCATTGGGGCTGAGGGGCTGGAGTGTATAGGGCTTTTTATGAAGTTTCCTGTTGAAGGGAGGAAGTCCAGAGTGACTCTGAGGACTTTGCATCCAACAGTTTGGTGGTTAATGAGGTTATTTCCTAAGACAAAACAAAACAAAACAAAAACAGCAAAGAAATACCCAAAGAAGTACCAATATTTAAGGGATGAGTCAAGAGGAAAAGCCAAGTTATAAAACTAAAAGGGAATGCCCAGAGAAATAGTAGGAAAACCAGGAAAATGTGAGGTTGTGGAAGCCAAGGGAGGAAGGGACCTCAGAAAAAAAGAAACATCACCAGAACCTCTTGCTGTAAGCAAAGTGATAATGAAAAAAATATCCATTGCACACAGTGACATTGAAGTGGTAGGCAATTGTGGCAAAAGCAGTTTGGGAGTGATGGGTGCAAAAGCCCCACTCTTCCTGGATGTAGAATGGGAGATTAAGAAGGAGAGACATCACACCTGTAATCCCAGCATTTTGGAAGGCCAAGGCAGGTGGATCACCAGAGGTCAGGAGTTTGAGACCAGCCCTCAAGCATGGTTAAACCCCATCTTTACTAAAAACACAAAAAAATAGCCAAGCATTGTGGCAGATGTCTGTAATTCCAGCTACTTGGGAGGCTGAGATGGGAGAATTGCTTGAACCTGGAAGGCAGAGGCTGCAGTGAGCTGAGATTGCGTCACTGCATTCCAGACTGGGTGACAGAGCAAGACTCCATCTCAAAATAAATAAATAAATAAATAAATAAATAAATAAATAAATAAATAAATAAATAAATAAATAAATAAAAGAATGAGAGATAGCTCTAAGTAGAAAGATGGCTGAAGAAATTTCTCTGTAAAGGAAGAAGAGACAGGGACCCTGGAGTTGAAGAAGAGTGATTTCTTATTTTGTTTTTCATATGTAAGAGTCTTGAGCATATTTAAATTCTGAAAGCACACACTGAAATTGAAAGATGGAGATCCAGGAGAGACAAAGCACAGCTATTAGTGTGAGATGCTCAAAGCAGCGGGTGGGGCTGGGATCCGGAGCCCAGGCAGAGGTAGGAAGATGGACACTTTGTTCACCTTCACATGAGGGAAGCAGTCAGATAGGACTGGAGAGAAACTAGCATATGTTGGAGTGGGGTCAGGATGCTGCACACTCTCAATGTTTCTTCAGTTGAGGAAAATACATGAGTCAGGATCCTGGCAAAAACCAAATCATCAGAGTGCATAATTAGAGACCACTTAATAGATGTGGGACTAAGGTTAAAAGGAGGCATTCAGGCCAGGCACGGTGGCTTACACCTGTAATCCCAGCACTTTGGGAGGCCGAGGTGGAGGGATCAGGAGGTCAAGAGATCAAGACCATCCTGGCGAACATGGTGAAACCCTGTCTCTACTAAAAATACAAAAATTAGCTGGACGTGGTGGCACCGCACCTGTAGTCCCAGGTACCTGGGAGGCTGAGGCAGGAGAATAGCTAGAACCTGGGAGGCAAAGGTTGCAGTGAGCCGAGATTGTGCCACTGCACTCCTGCCTGGGTGACAGAGCGAGACTCCATCTCAAATAAATAAATAAATAAATAAATAAATAAATAAAAATTTCAAAAAAAAGGAAGCATTCAGAGACTAATAGCACCAGAAACTGTTACACTGTTAGTGTTGAAGGGACAAGGGGAAGAATAAGTGCAATTGAAAGCCAATGAGATCAGAATCCTTGGAACAGAGGCCACCCAGCAGGAGCTGAAGTCATGAAGTGATGCAGATACTACTAGAGATAACAGCAAACCAGAAGGACACACAGAATATTGTTCATCTACCAGTGATTTCCAGTGGCCAAACCCAAACAAAAGGCAGGTGGCAAGGAGCCTGGGACCCAGAGAAGTACAAGGAATGTACATGTAGAAGGGAGCAAGTAGAGAATAGCCATCATGGTGAAGGATGAGATAAAGTTATCTTCTGAGAATGTGGGACAAGGGTCATCATTCCCAACCTACCCAAGACTCTAGCATCATGTGGCTTTGCACAGTCTGCTAAGAAGAGTGACACACATTATAATCTATACTGGAAGGCTCAAGACTTCCAGGGTCTTCACATTTCAGTCAGAAGATCTTACGGGTCTTCTTACAGAAATCTTCCTACAGATACCCATTCTAATCCTGACAGTTCTGTCCCCAGGGAAATAGAAGGGAGGTGCATATGAACTCAGTTCTGAGTTCTGGGAAAAGAAGTAGAGAAAAGACTCAGAGTAACTTGACCTCTAAGATGTTTTTAAGATCATCAAATTTCTCTTATATCTTAGCAAAAGGCAGTATTTCTGGACAAAGTAAAACTTTCAAGTTATTCTCAGATATAACTCTTGCCACATGTTTCTTGCTCTTTGACTCTTACCTCCTGGTATTCACATCTTTGTGTAATTTCTTCCTACCAGGGTTGATCTGTGTAGCTAATAAAATACGGCGTATGTGAGGGTATACATCACTTCTGAGATTATATTATGAAAGACATCCTGGCTTTCATTTGGTTTCTCTCTCTCTCATCACTTTGTCTAAGGAAGCCATAAGCCATGTCACCAGCAGTCCTCTGGAAAGATCTACATAGATCTACATGGTGAGGACCTGACACCTCCAGCCAACAGCCATGTGTGTGAACATGGAGGCATATGCTTTAGCTCTAGCCAAGCCTTCAGATGACGGTTGTCAAGGCCAATATCTTGGCTGCAACTTCATAGGAGGGGCTAAGCCCAAGTATTACTGCTTCCAGATTCTGTGAGCAACATTGTGAAATAATTAATGTTTGTTGTTTTAAGCTGCTAAGTTTTGGGATGCTTTGTTATGTAACAACAGATACCCAATGGAGTGACTGACAAATCCCCCCCAGTGCTGATCATGTTGTCTGCTTTCTTCCACATGGGTTGCCCAGAAATGCAGCCTCATCCTGCCACTCCATCTCCCTGAGCTGGTGGCCCGCTTATCTGGAGTACAAGCTGATCAAGAGTATGAAAGTACCACTCACCATCATCCAGAAGGGCTCAGGGCACACTTCTTCAGGGGTCAGTGGCAGTTACCATGGCAGCTTTAACAGGGGTGAGTCCCTTGCTCCACTCCAACTCCCAGCTCCTCCACTTGACATCATGCAGCCTGAGTTCTCTCCTTAGATCATCCAAGTTCTTTAATGTTGTATTCAAGACCATTACCACATAAACGATCACTAACCTACTTATGTTTTCCAGTTTGTAAAATTGCAAATGTGCAAAGTCAACTGAGGAATTTATCATAAATGATGATTTCTGGGTCTTCCCTAATCTGAATCTCTGCATATGAGATCCAGGAGTCTGAATTCATAGCAAGTTCTTCAAGTAGCCCTGTTGGAGGTGATCCATGGAGCTCATGTTGAGCTCCATGTTGAGAGACAGCTTTGGAGTTATTTCTCTGTGCTGTCTTGTTTCTCCACCTAAGCCCAAAGCTTCCTAAGGGGAGAAACTGTTTTCTATACTTTGTATTTTCCTAAGGCACGAGGGCCTGCTGGGCATTCAGCAAGCTCTCAATAAAACGACTTGCAGCAAGAATCATCATTCAAATGGATGTTGACTGTAGGCTTATTTACATTCTGCCAAGTGTACCATGGCTTTAACAGAAATACATGGCATGGTTCCTGCTTTTAAGGAACTTGCAGTGTGGGCAAGGAAACAAGAGAAAGGCATGTCATACAATAGTGAACAACTCCTAACAGAGCTTAGAAGACCTGTTGTGTTATAGGGTAAAGGCCAGCCCTATTTTTAGAGGCATTAAAAAGACTAATGAAGTTAGAAAAGCTTCACGCAGAAGCCACAACATGGGAGAACACTGCACTGAGAGACAAGAAACCTGAATAAAGGTGTTTTTTTTTTGTTTTGTTTTGGTTTTTGAGATGGAGTCTTGCTCTGTCGCCAGGCTGGAGTACAGTGGTGAGATCTCAGCTCATTGCAATCTCCACCTCCTGGGTTCAAGCAATTCCCCTGCCTCAGCCTCCCAAGTAGCTGGGACTACAGGTGCACACCACCATGCCTGGCTAATTTTTTTTGTATTTTGGTAGAGACGGGGTTTCACCATATTGGCCAGGATGGTCTCGATCTCCTGACCTTGTGATCCACCCGCCTCAGTCTCCCAAAGTGCTGGGATTATTGGCAGGAACCACCGCACTCGGCCAAGCTTGTCTGTCTGTTCGTTCGTTCTTTCTTTCTTTCTTTCTTTCTTTCTTTCTTTCTTTCTTTCTTTCTTTTCTTTCTTTCTTTCTTTCTTTCTTTCTTTCTTTCTTTTCTTTCTTTCTTTCTTTCTTTTCTTTCTTCCTCTTTCTTTTTCTTTCTTTCTTTTTTTTTTTTTTTAGCATTCAAGCAACTTAGAGTCACCACTTCATTTCTCTGGGCTCTAGTTAATTCATGTATAAAGCCATAGTGGTCTGTTAGAATTGTGGTTTTCAAACTGCTCTTCAGAGCTCTGAGAAGGTAGTTGGAAAAGGGTATGTGAGATCAGGTATGGCTATGAATCCTCTATCCCTGATTTTACCTCTTTAATATATTGGGGTTTCATGAGAGTCTTAGTGTCATAAAAAGTTCTGCTGCTAAAAGAGTAATAGTAACAAGATTTGAAAACATTGAACGGCACTGTCTAAGGGTGTTTCAAAAAAACATCAATTGGAAGGTATATGAGAGAAAAGAAGACCTTGAAAATGGGGAAAATCTGTCTTCAACATGTCTGCCTCTTTTATTATATTGTTACAGGCTGTGGGTTTTCTTGGCTTTGTTAAGGATGCTGTTGTTTCACTTACACCCTTTCTAAGGCAAGGAGGGCTGGCACATAGAGGCGGCCTTGACAAGCTAGAATCAACCTGCAGTGATCTAATCCTTTCATGTCACAGTTTTTCCAATTGAAGAAAAACTATGAAATGCTGTACCTAAAACTGCTGTGGATGGCTGTGCTGTCCAATTGGACAGCCACTCACCATGTGTGGCTATTCACATTTAAATTAATTAGAGCTAAATAAAATAAGAAATTCATTTCTTCAGCTGCCCTAACCACATTTTCAGTGCTCAACAGCCATAGGTGGCTAATGTCCATCTGATTAGATAGCATGGATCTAGAACATTTTGTCATCACAGATAGTTTTATTGGACAGTATTGAAACTGGAAATAGGCCAAGAAAACAGGCACGGTTACCCTCTGGCAGAGTCCTGAGTCAATCCTGTTTCCCAGACAAAACTGAATCTCTCCCTCAAGAAAATCAATGGAGGATGGGGCAATCTCCAGGACTGCTAAGTGTTATTTATTTCTTAAGTGTCAGCCGGAAAGACCAAGACATTTAAGCTGTACAGGGTAAGAGGCTAAAAAACCAAGGCAAAAAGCAATGAAGAAGAAGTGCTTAATAGAAAAAAAGGATAGGAGTTCAAGCTATGCCGTGGAGGATTGTCTCTGAAAATACCACTGGCTGTCAGCTATGAACCTGGAACCCTACACTCTTTCTCAAGTGTAGGGTAAACCAGCAGTAGGATGAGCCTTACAAAGTCTGTAACCCAGACTCATATCAGCCCAACACTGGATCGCAATGAGATGATCTGCCCTAATCTAGCTGCCTGTCTGGAGATAGTGAGACTTCTTCCTGGAAGATAGTATTCTCTAGAGTATTTAAAAATTGAAGTTTGGGAAGCATTCAATCTATAAACATTTTATTTCCTGCTACCTTGACTCATACCCTCCATATTGCCTTCCACTGACCAGGATATCAGATATAGATAAATTAACCTACTCTTGAAGCTAATATGTTCTGGAACTTGGATGTAAAGCTACCTGACCTGGTTCTAGAATCTGCACTCAACATTACTGTCTCTCTACATTGGGTTATTCCAATCACACAAATTCCTCCATCGAGGGAGGGGAGAGAGGAATAATTTATGCCACATTTTCCAATAAAGAAACTTCTACTTACTGTTTTCTCTTATATTCAGTATTTATTATTATAAGTTTAAAAATATAAAATTGCATTAATATTGATGAAATTGATTTTATTTTGATTCTTTAATAATTTTGATATTACAGATAATGGATCTTGCCTCTTGAAGCTTAAGTATAATGTTGCTTTATATTTTGTTTGTAGATTGTATTTGTGAAGGGTTTAGAAACTTGGGACCTCTGATGTGCTAACTCAATAACGAAGGAGATGACTCAAAAAATGAATATTAAGCATCACTGAAATAGAAATATGACCATGGGAAACACATATTTGACTATAAAAGCTTCAACTGACACAATTTTCAGTAATAAACTTATTGTGTAAAGCTGTCCTATATTAGGGATCATCTTTAAAAAGCACTCGGCAGTATTGTCAAAAGAAAAAAGCAAAGGGAAAGCACTCTGGACCAGAGAGTCATTAACATAAACTTCTCTAGTGATGCTTTCTCAGCCACCTTTATTCACAAATGATATGTGCTCTACCCTTTCCTGATTCTTCGTTTCTGTTCTTGACCCAGGCATCAGTTAGCTCCTAGTGTTTCCCATTAAACCACCTGTATTCGTGCCTGGCTGTCCTCTGCAGTAGTCTCATGACTCAGGGATCACATTCAAGCCTTTCCCACTGATTTCTGGCTTGAATTCTGCCAAATTATATATCACTTGGGACACAGTGGAAGGAAAAATAGGCTTCTTGTTGAAGGAAGTAATCATTTAATGTCTCCTTAGACAGTATTTCTGATTTCACTTTAAATTTCAAGTGTCCTGAAAGTTCCCGAAATGAGCCATGCTGTTTTGTTGTTGTTGTTCCTTTTCTCTTTCTTTCTTTCTTTCTTTCTTTCTTTCTTTCTTTCTTTCTTTCTCTCTCTCTCTCTCTCTCTCTCTCTCTCTCTCTCTCTCTCTCTCTCTCTCTCTCTCTCTTTCTTTCTTTCTTTCTTTCTTTCTTTCTTTCTTTCTTTCTTTCTTTGAGATGGAGTTTCGCTCTTTTTGCCCAGGCTGGAGTGCAATGGCGCAATCTCGGCTCACCACGAGCTCCGCCTCCCGGGTTCAATTAATTCTCCTGCCTCAGCCTCCCGGGTAGCTGGGATTACAGGGATGCACCACCACCCTGGCTAATTTTGTATTTTTAGTAGAGATGGGGTTTCTCCATGTTGGTCAGGCTGATCTTGAATTCCTGACCTCAGGTGATCCACCCGCTTCGGCCTCTCAAAGTGCCAGGATTACAGGTGTGAGCCACTGCGCCCAGCTGCTGTTGTTCCTTTTCTTTGTCCTGGAGCCAAAATCCCTGTATCAAAGTGATTAGCTATCATGGAACTATATAATCTTAAGATTGGATCTTAGATCTGTTCTTAGATGACATCATAAGTACAGGGCACTAGGAAAAGATCACTTACACCAGAAATGGGTTACTTGATGTTTTATTTCTCCAAAATGGATGGACTGTCACATTAATATAAGCAGATACCAGTTGTCTATTGAAAGACAATTTTCCATGGATGTCTTATATTTCTACATGTAGTACAAGTAAGGCTCCAACTACCTTTTTCCCCCCTGGACTATCTTTTCAAGGATATTTGTAACAGCCTTGGAAGATGGAGGTAGTATTTTCCTCAAGAAAAAAGAACAGATTTGCTATAGCCTGGGATGGGAGAGATAGTCTGTCCCACTGCTACAAAAGGTAAATGTGCTTATTGCCCATTATGAAAGATTCTTTTTAATAAACTCAATATTTTTCTTCTGTAATGTAACCCACTACATAGGCAGACATCATCTGGCTCTCTGGGCCTCACCTTGTGGGAACCAGAGCTTGAGGAACCATCACAACAAGCTTGTAATCTGTACAATCTGTCCACTGCTGTTGCAACGAATAATCTGTTCTTCTTCTCTGAGCCAGGAGTTTTGTGAATTCAACCATGTCTCATGAAACTGTGGCAGTCTAACTTATTAGCTTGCAAGCAGAGTAAAAACAAGTCTTAGAAATGACCCCATTATCTTACGTAAACTGCAATGTAAATGGACCCTGTTAGACATAAAACATCTATTTGACAATTATTAATGCCGAAGAGTGTAAGGGAAGAGGCAGCTCATCAGGTTGGGCTACCTGGCTCTGGTCCAGCTTTGCCCTAGATCCTGGGATGGGAAATCGCAGCCCATGAGCCAAATCCAGCCTGTAGCCAGTTTCTTTACAGCTAGACTAAAAAATATTTTTACATTTTTAAAGAGTTGTAACATAACCAAACAAAGAATATGTGGTAGTGACCACAAGTGGCTTGTAAAGCCTAAAACATCAGACCTTTACAAAAAAGGAAATGTTTGCCAATTCCTGTACTAGAAACCTATAGCCTTTTCTTGGAGATCACAGAACTAGAAAAAAATACTGGTTGCATAATTTCCAGAAATTGTGCCTGTAATTCTAGCATGGCTTTGAGCAAAGATGAGCTCATTCTACCTCTCTCAAGCCGATGCTCAGGAGGCCATGAAAAATAATCCACAAGACTGATACGGTTTGGATCTGTGTCACCAACAAATCTCATGTTGAATTGTAACCCTCAATGTTGGAAGCAGGGCTTGGTGGGAGGTGATTGGCTCATAGGGGTGGTTTTTCATGAATGGTTTAGCAACATCTCCCTTGGTACTGTCCTCAGGTTACTGAGTGAGTTCTCATGAGATCTGGTTGTTTAAAAGTGTGTGGCACCTCCTCCATCTCTCTCTCTCTCTCTCTCGCCCCTGCTCCTGCCATGTAAGTTGTATCTGCTCCTCCTTTGCCTTCTGCCATAAATTTAAGTTTCCTGAGGCCTCCCCAGAAGCCGAGCAGATGCCAGCATCATGCTTTCTGTGCAGCCTGAAGAACTGTGAGCCAATTAAATCTCTTCTCTTTATACATTGTCCAGTCTCAGGTATTTCTTTATAGCAATGTAAGAATGCACTAATACAAAGACCCACGGAGATGCAGTGAAGGGGGCTGGGAGACTGGGCTCAGGGTCTAACAACCACAAAGATGGAGGACAAAGACTACCCCCAACTTTGTGTGTGTGCCTGAGCAGACAGGGCACTCCTCCTGATTGACATGAGCTGGAAGGTTGTATCTGGCTTAGAACATTGGTCAGTGGGTGCCATCACTAATAAATGGGTCTTCCTTTCTACCTCAATCACTAAAAATTGGCTTTCTTTAAATTAAATGAGGGAGATACGATGATTCATGTAACACCAGGGCAACATCTGTCTTGTACAACAGGAAGCGCTGCCACACCTCGCAAGAGAAACTGTGAACTTAAGGGGAAAATAGCCCCATCTTGCTACAAAATGAAACCATCACTAACACATAAAACAGCTGATACATTGACTCATACCCTCCATGTGGCCTTCCACTGACCAGGATATCAAATCTAGGCAAGGATCAGAGTTTTATTCCCACTATATCCAGACTTTGATTACCTCTTTAATCCAGAAATAAGCCTTGCAAACACTAAGCAGTGTTAGCTTAGAGGATACACATGCATTTAGGTGAATGAAGTCTCTTTAGGGTCTCTTTCATGGCTCCATAGAGGGCCTGATGGTCCTTGGCAAATGTCCATAGCAGTTGATACAGCTCTGCCAAATGCAGTTTTTAAAAATTGTCTCACAATACTATATTGTAAATAACATGCACTGTTGTCTTCCCCGCCATGCCTTTCACACACCCTCTTCCCTAGGCCTGGAATCTTCCTGATATCCCAATATCTAATAATTGAACGCTTGTTTTTCCTATCTCAGCTCAAACAGTATAAACAGTATTTCCTTGAGGAGACTCTCCAGAATAAGTAAGGACTTCCTATTTCCTGATTCTGCCATGTGCTACACTTTTTCTTCATGACCCTAACCATGCTTATATGTTCAGTGTTTCTCTTTCCACTCCCTGGGACCAGGAACAGAGTTGTGTCTCTAGTGTGTAGCACAGTACTGGGCACATAGAAAGAACCCAGACTTTGTGGAATGAACAACCAGAGCAGGCATTTATGCACCCAAGTTACAGATGAAGACAATGAGAACAGCATGCCATAGCTAGTTATGGTCCAAAGAGAATGAGACACACATGGAGAAGGCCTGAACTCAAACTGAAAATTGGAGTCAAGCTCAACAGAGACTAGGCTGGATTACTCAACCTGGAGCTGACCCAAAATTACATGAGTTAGTATAAAAGATGGTTTATTTTAAGCCATTGACTTTTGAGATATTTCTTATACAGCATTACTGTGACAATAACTGACTGATATGGGTGGGTTCTGACAAGTGAGATATTTTGTAGAAAGTATAAAAATTCATTACAGCAGTATCTATTAATGATTAGATTGATCACGGTCAGGGAGTGAGTGTACGGTATGAACAGCATGGTTCAGAAAGATTATAACTAGCCCAAGGCCAAAATGTTGCTAAGTGGCAAGCTTGGGTTCAAACTCCAGTCTTCTGAAAATAATAAACCTTGTTCTACTTTTCCACAGATGCTCCTGTTGAATTCGGCAGCACTCTGGTGATAAAAACCTACTTCTGTGGCTGTTTCTCTGTAAGTCTATGTTAGGATACTTTTGCCTCTGGGATCTTAAGACCTACAGGAGTTGCTCAGGTAATAAGTAAATGCAGGAGCTTTAGGGAAGAAAGAAGGAAGGAAGGGATGAAGGAAGGAAGGAAAGAAGGAAGAAGAAAGGAAGGAAGGAGGAAAGAAGAAAGGAGGGAAGGAAGGAAGGAAGAAAAGAAAGAAGGAAGGAAGGGAGAAAAGAAAAGAAAAAAGAGAAGAAAAGAAAAGCAACTGTCCATCCATGCAGATGAAATATATCCTTTCATTTAGGAAGCAACAAGAGTTATAACAATGTAGTTCTGGATGAACTGTCTGGCTGTGTCCCATCATTCGCATTTGGAAGGTATCATGACTTTGATAAATGCCAGTGAGAAGTCCTGGGTTGATGACTGGATGACACTTTTCCAGATTCATAGTACCAGAGCACATGGGAGTTTAACTGTCCCATAAATACTAGGTGCTATCTCTCCCCTGCTCAGAAAGCTCCCAAATCTGTTCATCTCAATGCTTTGCTGCCTCCTTCAGCACACTGTAGATTTTCCCAGCAATGTTTTGTGGTTCATTTAAGTCACCACTCATGTCCCCAGGCCAAAGCTGGGAGGAGGGAAGAGAGAATAAAAGAGCAACCTATGTATAGTGTTCCAAATGCCCACACACTTGTGCCTACATCAATTGAGCCCTCTTCTTTTGACTGCCTGAGTTGCTCCAGAATTGTGACAGGTGCTGAAAAACATACATTAACCCTTTCATGTCACTGGAAGACACGAGAGTGCCAGGATCAGAGTTTTCAAGGAGTAAAATGTAAACTAGAATCTTCTCACTAGAGTGCTCTTTGGACAGAGAGACGACTTTAAATTTCACATGGGTGAGACACAGAGCTATCACAAGTGATTTGGAGCAACAGTTATCTCAGAGCCTAGTACAGAAACTTCCACAAAGCAGAGACTTAATAAGATTTTGTTGGGCAAATAAATGAATAAACTGCATCTGTGGCACCATAAGATAAGCTTAGAAAATTCTTCCCCACGACCAAGCACTAAAACCCCTCTCCTCCAGCCAGTTGCCTCAACAGTAGCTCTGCCAGGTCTCCATTGAAGACAGAATCTGAGCTCCTTCTGGAAGATCATATAAAAAATATAGACTTCAAAGCCACAAAGGCAATAAATTCTCACTTCAAATCTAATACGTGTTTTAAGCAGGCTGCCTGAAATATAAATATCTGTTTCAAAAATAAACTTGGGTCCTTGAAATATAATCACATTGCTGTGTATAGGAAAAGTGATGGTGCTTTCTTGATAAAGACTGAACTATGCTCATCTCTTCTTGGGAACTCATCCTTTTACCAAGTTATCTACATCTCTCCACATGCAGCATTAGCTGAACTTGAAAGAAAAATATTAAACCAAGATGTCAGGACAATAAATAAGAAATTTAGGGACAAATATAAACCCAGATATTGCCATTAATTTTTTGTACCACAAGTGAATGTTACCTAAACCTAATGTCCTACCTTAAAATTGATTATCACCATCCTGAACTTCCCCCTCAAATATCAATTGTAATAAATAATATATAAATAATATATACAATAATATCATAATGATCAAATGATAATGATTAATAATAATAACTACATGTGTATATATGGCACTTAAGTCTTTCTGAATGGTTTTTTTACATGCCATTCTCCCAAACACTCTGGGATAAGGGAGGTATTTAATGGGTGAATGAAATAAAACTTAGAGATGGTGGCTGATTCATATGTATCTAAGGTCCTCACCAGTAATCCTGCATGCTGGTCTTCATTTCCTTCTAGAATACCATACACTCTCTCCATGACCATGATCAATCTAATCATTAACAGGTATTGCTGTAATGAATTTTTATACTTTCTATAAAATATCTCACTTGTCAGAACCCACCCATATCATTCAGTTATTGTCACAGTAATGCTGTATAAGAAATATCCCAAAAGTCAATGGCTTAAAATAAACCATCTTTTATACTAACTCATGTAATTTTGGGTCAGCTCCAGGTTGAGTAATCCAGCCTAGTCTCTGTTGAGCTTGACACCAATTTTCAGTTTGAGTTCAGGCCTTCTCCATGTGTGTCTCATTCTCTTTGGACCATAACTAGCTATGGCATGTTTTTCTCTTAGTGATGACAGAAACACAAAATGGAATGAATAAAAATAAATAAATAAATAAATAAAAACACAAGAGGGATGAGCTTAAACATGGCAGGCCTCCTAAGTCCTAAGCTCAAAATGGAAACTCTCTCATGCCCATCCACATTCTATTGGTCAAAACAGGACCAATGGCCAAATGCAGAATCAATGGAGTGGGAACTCCACATGCTTCTTGTGAAGGGAAATACAAGTAACATGACAAAGAATATGAATGACAAGCAGGGGCGCAACCTACTACATTGCCCCAGACAGAGCATGAACATTCTGTTGACTTGAATTGCACAATAGATTGATTGCAACATCAACATATGAAATCCATTGTCTTAGAAAAGGATATGTTCACTAGGAAAAAGAAAACAACTACAACAATTCCCACAGCATCAGATTTTGTTTTGTTTTGTTTTGTTTTGTTTTGAGATAGGGCCTCACTCTGTTGCCCAGGCTGTGGTGCTGAACATGGCTCACTGCAGCCTTGACCTCCAGGGCTCAAGTGATCCTCGTACCTCAATCCCCTGAGTAGCTGGGACTACAGGCAAGCACCACCATGCAAGTAATTGTTGTATTTTTTTGTAGATAGATAGATATTTTTTGTAAACTTTTGTAGTTTCACCATGTTGCCAAGGCTGGTCTCAAACTCCTGAGCTCAAGCAATCTGTCCACCTCAGCCTCCCAAAGTGCTGGAATTACAAGCATAACCACTGCACCTGGTAGGCATCAAATTTTGAATAGAGAAGTTAACCATGATGAATCAACACTTGCTTGAATCGTTTGGTTCTCCCTCCTCCTTGTTCATTGTCTTTATTCTGCTCATCTGGATGTTGCAAAGATGTAAAGATTTTTTCCTTTGTTGCTATAGAGTAGTGCTAACTCCATCATTCTGGCAGAAGCACCAACACCCAGATCCCAAAATTAAGCATCATTTGAAGCTATACTCACTGAAATACAGTTCTTCTGGGCAGAACAACTTCAGAAAGGACAAACATTGGCTTTCTGGCCACACGGAAGAGGCAAATTTAATAAAGGAAGAATGGAAGTAATGTTTCAATATCACCAGGATAGCCTACCTGAAATTTCTTAGTACAAATGAGAAGCAATGTGGCCCATGTGGCTGCTAGATGAGCACGTGGAAAGAGTGATCTTAAGTTTTCCACTGATCCTAATCTAATCTGTTGTATTTTCGTGTACCCTTAATTATCCATTTAAAAAGCTAATTATTGCTGTTGTGGTGGTGGTGGTTGCATGTATATACGTGTTTCAAAACCATCTGACACAGCCTATTCAATGCTTTCCTCTAGTTCATACCTCTGTACTGGTTTCCTGTGTCTGCCACAGAAATTGCCACCAAGGTAGCTTAAAGTAATGGAAATCTGCTCTCTCACTTTTCTGGAGGCTACAAATCTGCAATCAAGGTGTCAACAGGCCATGCTCCCTCTGAAGGCTCTGCGGAAGAATCCTTTCTTGCTTCTTCCTAGTTTTGATGGTTGCTGCCAATCCTTGGCATTCCCTGGCTTGTGGCTGCAACACTCCAATCTCTGCCTCAATCATCACATGACCTTCCTTGTGTATCTCCTTTGTGTCTCTGTGTTCAAATATTTCTTCCCTTTCTCCTGTAGATATACCAGTCATTGGATTTAGGGTTCTCTTGATCCAGTATGATCTTATCTCAACTGGATTATATCTTCAAAGACCTTATTTGAACGCCTTATTTCCATAACGGTCACATTTCCAAGTACCAAGGGTTAGGACTTAAACATACCTTCTTGGGGGCCACAATTTAACCTATTATATCCCACTACACAGTATATGCCATGACAGAACCTCTTTCATGAGACCAACATGAAATGTAGAGTGATATGATTCTTTATGTGATCAATGAGTATTTGCAGACAATGCAGATGATTCCCCTGAGAATATCATGGCTCCCTCCCTTACTTATTTAGATATCTGTTCAGGCTGGGTGCTGTGGCTCATGCCTATAATCCCAGCACTTTGGGAGGGGAGGAAGGTGGTTCACTTGAGCCCAGGAGTTCAAGACCAGCTTGGGCAACATGGTGAGACCTTGTTTTTACCAAAAAAAAGAAAGAAAAATACAAAAAATTAGCTGGGTGTGGTGGCACATGCCTGTAGTTCCTGCTACTTGGGTGGCTGGGGTGGGAGAATCATCTGAGCCCTCGAGGTAGAGGCCACAGTGAGCCATGATCACGCCACTGCACTCCAGCCTGGGCAACAGAGTGACACCCTGTCTCAAAAATAAATAAAATAAAATAAAATAAAAATCTCTGTTCAAATGTCAGTACATCAGGCACATGTTTCCTGACTATGCAATTGAATGAAACACCATACCTCAGTGCTCTCTAGCTTCCACTCTATTTTTTTAGAACATTCATTACCACCTGTTGGATTTTATATTTATTTGTTTATCTATTTTCTGTCTTACCTCATTAGCATATAAACTCCAGGAGAGAAGAGACTTTGTCTGTTTTGTACATTCCTGTCCTCTCAAAGTCTTGCTCATAGACTACTACATCAGAAAGGCTTAATATATATTTATTGAGTGAAGGAAAGACTGACTTAATGAAAATGATAGCAAAAATAGAAACCTTTTGAATGCATTTATTTTTATTTTGAATAGGTTTCCATGACTTCTAACTTGCCTCTGCCTCCCATCTTCTCTCACCAATGGCATGATTACTAGGGGTGGAAGTGAATGACCTAGTGATTCAAACATAGCTTTTTTAGACAGTGAGATCATTCAACTTACTTATTTTAATGCAGAAATAAATCATACTCCTCCTGCCCACATTGTCTATATATATAAAACTACTAAATGTTCATGTTTACTTAAGAAAAGCAATGAAAGCCATCATTTCCAGTTATGAGAATTATTAATGGATGACTAGCAATTTTATCATGTTAAAATAATTCTCAATCCAAATTAAGTAAAAAAAATCAAATATTAAGCAATAATGAAAATAATCAAGTGCCAAGGATAAGAAAATTACTGACAGGATGATATCATTGGTCGGTTCATTGGCCAAACATAAGTAGCCCCATCCTTGTTATAATAAATGACTAAACCTTGTAGTGACGAAGCTGAAAAGTACAGGTGAAGTAACAGGGAGGAAAGATAAGAGACAAAAAGAAAAGAATAATAGAAGACAAAGGAGAAGTGATAACAGAAAAGGTGGCAGAGTTTAGAGTTAATGAGAGAGAGGCCAATGAAAAATATAA
Organism: Homo sapiens; assembly: GCF_000001405.40. Classification (NCBI taxonomy): domain Eukaryota; kingdom Metazoa; phylum Chordata; class Mammalia; order Primates; family Hominidae; genus Homo; species Homo sapiens. The sequence goes on along the minus strand of NC_000001.11, from coordinate 221,515,182 downwards.
GATGACCACTACAGTGTACCCAGAAGGTCATCTTAGAGATGACTTAGTAAGAGTGGAGAGAAAACACTTCAGTTAGACTAGATTAAAGAAATCAAGCTCAGGGAATACACTGGGACTTTGGAGGAACTGAAAATCATTAAACAACTACTTGTTCTGTAGCTCTCTTCCTCTTGAGTCAATTGCATCAGCTTCTTCTCAAATGTCTCTTAATCCCTCTTGGTCTGAAGCTCCAGTGCCTAAATCCACATGATCTTCTATCTCATGTGTCCAACCCTGACTGACTCCACTTTTGAACCTCTGTTTTCAATTTCTGGGACAGAAATTTAATTGGCTCAGCATGGGTGTTATAAGACCCTTGGCCAATCAGCAGTGGCTGGGTAGGTAGTAGGCTATCGAGTTGTAGCTAGGTTGCTCCTTCTAGGCTATGAGTGGAGAAATTCCTTTAGGAAGGTGGGAAGGAAATATGTGGTGGTGAATATCATTGACATTTCTAGTATAAAATCAAACAAGAGCACCATGGGGTCATTAAAGCAATGTTCTTTGAATTGGCATTGTTTTCTGCTCATTCATTACCCCTTGCTCAAGTGGTGCCCATTATTGGGAATATATTTCATATTTCCCAGAATTCCTTCTCTCCTCAAATTTATCCCCAGTTCTCTTTTTCATAAGTTACAAACTACATCATGCCACAGTGACTATGTAGCCTTTTTGTGATCCATAACCATAGGATCAACCTAATGGTTCTCAACTTAATTATAATTTCTTTATTGACATAAATCGCATTTCATAGATTGTTTTACTGCTTATGCTATAGGTATGTTAGAATCTCAATAAAAATTGATTAATGAGGAACATGTGTCAGTTGGAGCCCTTCATATTTCTATTGCTTTAAAGGAATTACCCTGCCTCTCTAGAAATGCCCACATTTAAAAAGTAGATTAGTTTGTAAGCATTCTGTGAAGGAAAATATAAACTCTACGTATGTCCGTACTCCTAATAGCACCATTATGTTTAGATGGTACTACCTAGAAGGCACACAAATACCACACACGAATTGTCTATGAGGCACTTATGTAATTTGTGCTATGCTGCCCTTGAGTGAAATTAACCAGACAGAAATGAAAGTTACTGTGGTTGTTGAATGCAGCAAAATAAACTTATGTTTAAATTATTATATATATTTTTTATTTAGATTTATTTTGTGTGTTTAAAAAGTTTTGTTTGCCAAAGAGAAAGAACAAATATAAGAAGTTTATGTCCACATTATTATAAAAACAGTTCTGGGGCCGGGCACAGTGGCTCATGCCTGTAATCCCAGCACTTTAGGAGGCCGAGGCAGGCGGATCACAAGGTCAGGAGTTTGAGACCAGCCTGACCAACATAGTGAAACACCATCTCTACTAAAAATACAAAAATTAGCCGGGCATGGTGGCGCTTGCCTGTAATCCCAGCTACTCAGGAGGCTGAGGCAGGAGAATCGCTTGAACCCAGGAGGCAGGGGTTGCAGTGAGCTGAGATCGCGCCACTGCACCCTAGCCTGGGCGATAAAGTGAGACTCCATCCCCAAAAAAAAATAATAATAAAATAAAAAACAAAACAGTTCTGTACATGTAGGAAAATAGCATAGTAACATGTTGCTGAAAAAGTGCAAGATCATCTGTGTTATATAGACTCAACTGACAAAGAGCTAGTCAAATTTGAAGTAAAATAAAAATGTTCTAATATTTTATTGCCTTATATTGCATGGAATTGATTTATGCCTTGTCCTCTATAAAAAGCTTACAGCATGCCCTCCTTCACTTAAAAAAAATAAAAAGGTGAGTATTTATAGCTGAATAATTTGTGTGACTATTCAGAAGGCAAGTTTCATCATTTCTAATGATGAAAGGCAAAACAAAGCTTTAGGCTGATAAAAATTTATTTTAAAAGTCACGGCATTGTAAGGAAAGAAAGTAACTTTTTCATGGAACTTATTTATAAATTTAGTCTATTTACTAAATATTTTTACAATGCTGATGTGAATCGTGGTAACATTTGTAAAATGCTTCCCTATTAGATGCTAGTTAATCCAGAGTTGCATTTGAATTTAAGGCCAACTGTCTTTTCAGGAAGTATCGCAGAATATTGTGAAGAAAGAAAATCTGTAATGACCAGAATATGTAACTTTCCTGCTTTGAAGAATGTGCATACTATTGCATCTTTCCCGGTACATTAAGATTAGAAGTGTTACCCAGTGACTGCTGGAAGGATCAAAGCCAACCTTAAAAAATGGCTTAGGGAAAACTCTGACCTGTGTTATGTTTTCAGAAGTGTTTGGTGATGATGAAGCATCTGTAGGCTTTGAAGTCATGCCTGTCCAAATTACATTAGCATGAATTCTTAGAATGGTAAGTACTACTTCTCCTTCACACTCCATCTACAGATAGGACCCATAAGAAAGAAGAGTAAAATGAGAAGATTGTCATGGAAGACAGAGTTGTCAGTAGCACTCAAAATATGTTTTGCTCCATGGTTAGCATAAGGAACAATGACAATGGTGGACTATAAACTTCTCTTAAATATTTTTTTTTATTTTAAAGTTTGTTTGAGCCCTTGACTTCAGAGTTTAATTCAATAATGTTTCAGGAAAACAGCCACATTATACCACATAAGTCAAGCAACTTATGACATCTTCCTCATTAGTAACAGAAAGTGGTAAAATGGCCAAAAAAAAAAAAAAAGAATTAAACAGCTATTCATTGAGCCCCTTTTAAAAAAAATCGTCAAGGCATTTGCTACCTGTTGAATAAATGAATGCGACAGAAAAAAAAAAGCAATAAATGCCACAAAATCCAAAGTAGTAATGTTCACTTGTAACCGGAGGGATTCAGGGAAGTGTTTATGCAAACATCACATCTGATAGCCCTGAAAGATTAGGTAAGGTTTAAAAGCTTACAGTTGGTGGAAAAACACTGTAGGTAAAAGAAAGCTTAAGCGAAGACCTGCCACACTAACAAACAGAGGGGCGAAGGTGCATGAAGGGAAGAGGTCTTGGAGTAATGAGCCCAGATCTCAAGGGCCTCACAGAGCACGCTGAAGAGTCTGTTCTTGATTCTCTAGGCCGTGGGGAGTCTTCAAAGGCATCAGAGCAGGGAAGTGACACCATCTGGGCCCTGCTTTAGTAAGATTTATCTGGCAACAGTGGATGAGATATGCTGGAGGCAGAAGAATGTGCTGCAGGAAGATCAATTAGGAGGCAGTCAGCATGGTCTAGATAAGAGATAATGAGGGCCTGAGTTAGCCTGCAGACAATGGAAACAGAGGTAAGGGGGATGGAAGTGAGAAAGATTTCACCATTAAACCTGTCACATTTGCAACTGAACAGGTGTGGGGACAATGATGAGGTAGGAATAAAATCCTATGAAGTTATTCAGCCTGTGGCTATGATGCCATTCACTGAAATAGGGAAAGATATTTGGGATGAAATATAATTCCATTTTGAATACTTTCAGGGGTCAGCAAGATTTCTAGACAGAGATATCTCATGAACAGTGGCGAATACAGCCCTGGAGCTCACGAAAATAGACAGTGCGTAATAAATATGTGTGGGTTGACTTACCCCATCTTCCTGGTCCTGAAAAAGGAGGGAACCAATATAAGTATGAAGGCAGCTGTGTGGTACAGAACTGAATGTGTCCTTGGAAAAGACAGTGGTCCATAGAGTCCCCACAGACAGCACAGCTCGGGGAGGACCCCAGTCTTTCTCAGAGCCAGGCTACCAGGGCTGGCTGAGGCTCTGAGCTTCCCTTTCTTCCCTTTTCATTAACAGTTGATTGTGGGCATCCCTTAAGGGCTCAACCTTCACTGCTTATCTCTGCACTTGCTCACTCACATGGGGTCTGGGATCTGACTTCAGACACTCAGCATCTGAGCCAAGTGCATCTCCCTCCTCTAACTCCTGCAAGATAGCCATCAATCCCTGTAGCACCCTACCCATTTGATCTCTGCTCTGCCACACTCCAAATATTGCAGCTCTGAAGTCATCCTCCTCCTGGGAAGTGAAATTCAGAACCACTCTCTAAGGAAACCAGGTTTCTGGCTGCATAGTCTAAGAGTGGAGGGTTTTTTTGGGGTGTCCCAGCATTTTGCTGTAGAACTTTGTCCTGTCTGCTCTGTGCTCAGAGTGCAAAGTCCATGCCCTGTCTGGCTTATTTTCTACATGCACATAGGGCACCTGGCTATGTGCATGTGGATCAGTTGCAGAAGCACTCGTCAGGAGCTCAGAAGCATAAACTTGGCCCACGGAAGCAGGAAGCATGGCTCAAAGAGGAGGACTGTAAAGGTTCATCAGTGGGCCTATCAGTATGGTAGAAAATTATGGCTCTGCAAATGTTCTCTGTTTGTAGTCCTGCAATCATACTAGAAAAAGAAACAAAAAGATAAGACTCAAGTTTAAAAGCCGTTAAAATTCCTTCTTTCAGAAGTCTTTCAGAAGTCGAGAAAGATTCCCATACACATTATACGGTATAGACTTGTGGTAAGGAGTCTAAACTGGAATCAGGTGGGTTTAAATCTGCTCCTCAGTGGCTGTTTGACTAAGGACAAGTTATTTAAACTTTATATGATTCTTAGTTTCCTCTTTTATCAAGTAGAGACAACAAAGGCACCTGTCTCATAGGGCTGATATGAACAAAGAAGGAGATAGTGCATATAAAGTAGTACATGTGCAGTAAACAGGAGCTATCATTGTTGTTTTTATTATTATCTTTTTGTGGGCATAGTTTCTTGTAAACCATTTGGGGTACTTTCTGCACACAGAATGCAGGATGATGAAGAGCTACAGTGTTCTCTGATTTTTTTTTTTTTTAAATCAGTTTCTTTGTTCTCCACATTACAAAAAAGCTACAACTCTGAGCTAGGAATTTTGCACCAGGTCCACATAGTAGTATCTGTAAATTCCAGAGCTCTAAAGCAAATTAGAGGAAACCCTTCTCCAGCTGGGGAGTCCTGGAGCTTCTTGGTAGGTGCTGGTTAGGCTGATAAGTTTTGTGATATTTCTTAACAGGCTCTCTCCAGCTGAGCGAGTGTGTGTAATGTTTTGTTGGAACATGTAACTTAAGCAAAATTGTGAAATAGGCTAAGTTGGCCTTCAGAAATTATTCCATTTTTAAAGTTCATACCCTTAATTCGTATTGACAACTCTGGACACTTAAGTCTTTTCTTCTTTTTCTAGATTTGCTTAACATATTTTCTTTTGGGTACATACCCAGTAATTGGATTGCTGGGTCAAAAGGTAGTTCTGTTTTAAGTTCTTTGAGAAATATCCAAACTGCTTTCCACAGTAGCTGAACTAATTTACATTCTCACCAACAGCTTATAAGTGTTCCCTTTACTCCACAGTCTTGCCAGCATCTGCTGTTCTTTGACTTTTTAATCATAGCCATTCTGACTGGTGTGAGATGATATCTCATTGTGGTTTTGATTTGCATTTCTCTGATGATTAGTGATGTGGAACATTTTTTCATGTGTTTGTTGTCCACTTGTATGCCTTCTTTTGAGAAGTGTCTGTTCGTGTCCTTTGCCCACTTTTTAATAGAGTAATTTGTGTTTTGCTTGTTGAATTGTTAAAGTTCCTTACAGATTCTGGGTATTAAACCTTTGTCAGATGCACAGTTTGTAGAGGTTTTCTCCCACTCTGTAGGTTGTCTGTTTACTCTGTTGATAGTTTCTTTTGTTGTGCAGAAGCTCTTTAATTAGGTCTCACTGTTCAATTTTTGTTATTGTTGCAACTGTTTTTGAGAACCTAGTCATAAATTCTTTCCAAAGCCCTATGTCCAGAGTGTTTCCTAGGTATTTCCTAGGTTTTCTTCTAGTATTCCTATAGTTTGACATTTTATGTTTAAATCTTTACTTTAACTTGGTTAATTTTTGCATATGGTAAAAGGTAGGGGTCCAGTTTCATTCTTCTTCATATGGCTAGCCAGCTAACCCGGGACAATTTATTGAATGGGGAGTCCTTTCCCCAGTGCTTACCTTTGTCAACTTTGTCAAAGATCAGATTGCTGTAGATGTGAGGCTTTACCTCTGGGTTCTCTATTCTGTTCCATTGGTCTACCTGTCTCCTTTGGTACCATTACCATGCTGTTTTGGTTACTACAGCCTTATAGTATGGCTTGAAGTCAGGTAATGTGATGCCTCCAGCTTTGTTCTCTTTTCATAGGGTTGCTTTAGCTATTCAGGCTCTATTTTGGTTCCATTTGAATTTTAGAATAGTTTTTTTTCTAATTTTGTGAAAATGACATTGGTAGTTTGATAGACATAGTGCTAAATCTGTAGATTGCTTTGGGCAGTATGGCCATTTTAACAATATTGATTCTTCAAATTCGTGAGTATGGAATATTTTGTTATTTGTTTGCGTCATCTATGATTTCTTTCAGCACTGTTTTGTAGTTCTCCTTGTAGAGATCTTTCACCTCCTTGGAGAGATGATTTTCTAGATATTTTAATTTTTTTGCTGGTTAGTGTAAATAGGATTGCATGTTTTATTGGCTGTCACCTTGAACATTATTAGTATATAGAAATACTACTGATTTTTGTATATTGCTTTGTATCCTGAAACTTTACTGAAGTTATGTATTAGTTCCAGAAGCCTTTTGATGGAGTCTTTAGGGTTTTCTAACTATAGAATCCTATCATCAGCAAAGAAAAATAGTTTGACTTCTTCTTTTCAAATCTGGATGCATTTTATTTCTTTCTCTTGCCTAATTGTTCTGGCAAGGACTTCCAGTACTATGTTGAATAAATAGAAGTGGTGACAGTTAGCATCTTTGTCTTGTTCCAGTTCTCAAGGGGAATGCTTCTAGCTTTTGCTCATTCAATATGATGTTAGCTGTGGGTTCGTGACAGACAGCTCTTATTATTTTGAGGTATGTTCCTTCAATACTAGTTTGTTGCAGGTTTTTATCATAAAGGGATACACGATTTTATAAAAGGCTTTTTCCACATCTATGGTGATTATCCTATAATTTTTATTTTTAATTCTGTTTATGTGGTGAATCATATTAATTGATTTACATATGTTGAAACAACCTTGCATCACAGGAATGCAGCCTACTTGATCATGGTGAATTAACTTTTTGACATGCTGCTAGATTCTGTTTGCTAGTATTTTGTTGAGGACTTTTGCCTCCACGTTCATCAGATGTTGGACTATAGTTTTCTTTTTTCATTGTGTTTTTGCCAGGTTGTGGTATCAGGGTGATGATGCCTTCATAGAATGAGTTAGGGAGGTGTCCCTTCTCCTAATGTCCATGATGATCTCTGAGGATATTTTGTATTTCTGCAGGATCTTTTGTAATACCACTTTTGTCATTTCTGATTGTCCTTATTTGGGTCTTCTCTCTTTTTCTTTTGTTAATCTAGCTAACAGTATATTGATCTTGTTTATTCTTTCAAAAAACCAACTTTTGGTTTCATTAATTCTTTCTATGGATTTTTGGGTCTCAATTTCATTCTGTTTCACTATGATTGTAGTTGTTTTTTTTCTTCTGCCAGCTTTGGAGTTAGTTTGTTCTTGTTTGATTCCTCCAGGTGTGATGTTACAGCATTAATTTGAGATCTTTCTAACTTTTTGAGGTAAGTGTTCAGTGATATAAACTTTCTTTTCAATACTGATTTTGCTGCATCCCAGAAATGTTGGTATTTTGTGTCTGTTTTCACTTATTTCAAATATTTTTTTAAATTTCTGCCTTAATTTCATTGTTTACCCAAAAATAAGTCAGGAGTAAATTGCTTAATTCTCATGTAATTGTGTGGTTTTTGAGAGACCTTCTTGGTATTGATTTCTGTTTTTAGTCCACTATGGTCTGAGAGTATGGTTGGTATGATTTCTATATTTTAAAATATTTTTTGAGACTTGCTTTATGGCCAAGCCCGTTGTCAGTGTAGGAGTATGTTTTGTGTGCAGATGTGAAGAATGTATATTCTGTGGTTGATAGGTGGAGTATGCTGCAGATATCTATTAAGTCCAATTGGTCAAGAGTCAAATTTAAGTCCGGAATTTCTTTGTTAGTTTTCTGCCTCAGTGATCTGTCTAATGCTGTCAGTAGAGTGTTGAAGTCCACCATTATTATTGTGTGGCTGTCCAAGTCTTTTTGTTGGTCTGAAAGTACTTGTTTTATGAATCTGAGTGCTCCAATATTGGATGCATATATATTTAGGATAGTTAAGTCTTCTTGTTAAATTGAAAGTTTTATTATTATGCAATGTCCCTTTTTGTCCTTTTTTCCTGTTGTTGACTTAGAATTTGTTTATCTGATATAAGAGTAGAAACCTTTGCTCTTTTTTGTTTTCTATTTGCATAATAGATCTTTCTCCAACCTTTACTTTGAGCCTAAATGTGTTAGCACATGTAAGATGGGTCTCTTGGAATCAGCAACTAGATGGGTCTTATTTTTTTATCCAACTTGCAACTCTCTGCCTTTTAAGTGGAGTCAGTGTTTAGACCATTTACATTCAAACTTAATGTGATAAGTAAGGTTTTTATCACATTGCGAAGTTATTAGCTGGTTGCTTTGTAGTTTATGTGGGGTCTGTGGGTTATGTGCTTAAGTGTGTTTTTATAGCAGCAGGTATCTTTCTTTTGTTTCCACATTTAAAAGTCCCTTAAGGGTCTCTCATAAGGCTGGTCTCATGCTAATGAATTCCCTTAGCATTTGCTTATGTGGAAAAGATTGTAGTTTAGTTTAGTTTATGAAGCTTAGCTTGTCAGGATATAAAATTCTTGGTTGGAACTTCTTTTCTTTAAGAATGCTGAAAATAGGCCCCCAATCTCTCCTGTCTTGTAAAGTTCCTTCTGAGAGGTAGACTGTTAGCCTGGGGTTCCCTTTGTTGGTAATCTAACATTTTTCTCTAGCTGCATTTAAGATTTTTTCTTTAGTGTTGACCTTGGACAGTCTGGTGACCATATGCCTTGATGATATTCATTTCGTATGTAGGTGTTCTCTGGATTTCTTGTATCTGTATGTCTACCTCTCTAGAAAGATTAGAGAAATTTTCTTGAATAATTTCCTCAAAAATGTTTTCCAGGTTGTTTATTTTTTTATCCTTCTTTCTCAGGAATGCCAATAATTCATAGATTTGGTCTCTTTACATAATCCCATATTTCTTTAAGACTGTTCATTTTAAAAATATATTTTTTCTTTATTTTTATCTCACTGGGTTAGATCTAAAGACTGGTCTGCAAGCTCTGAAATTCTGTCTTTTGCTTGGTCCAGTCTATTGATAAAGCTTTCATTTGTATTTTGAAATTCCTCAAGAAAGTTTTTCAATTCCAGAAGCTCTGATTGGTTTCTTTTTAAGATGTTTATCTCTTCCTTCATTTTCTGGATTGATTTAGAAGTTTCTTTGTGCTGATTTTCATCCTTGTCATGGATCTCTTTGAGCTTCCTTGCAATTCATGCTTTGAATTCTTTATCCATCATTTATGAGTTTTCATTTAGATTAGGGACCATTGCTGGAGAGCTAGTGTGATCCTTTGGTGGTGTCACTACATTCAGAATTTTTGTGGTGCCAGAATTCTTGTGCTACTTTCTGCTCACTTGGAGATGCCGATACTTCTAACTTTTACAATTATTTTCATGTGGGTAGTATTTTTTCTTTTTCTTTCTTTCACTGTAATATTATTGTTGCTTTTTTCTTTCTTTTTCTCTTTCCTCCATGCCCTAGAAGGTGTGACTGTAGAGAACGTTGGGTAGGGTCTTTTGGCTTTGCTTCTATACCCCTATGTACTTCTTTTGGCAGATTTTATATTGGGTTGTGTGTTTTGACCTACAAACCAGTAGCTGACTGCGGCCAACATGGCTAGGTATATATTTGATCTTTTTTTCAAGAGGTGCTTTCTGTTGCCTCAGGCAATGAATGGTCTGATCTGTGGAGTACACAGTGGTCTGAGCTCCCTGCTCTGCCCCAGGGGCAGCAGACAAGATGGGCAGGCCCAGGTCAGCAGGCACACATATAGACTGCCTGATAGCAGGTACAAGCACTAGTAGTAAGGGAGAATCCAATGGGTGACCAACAAGTGCCTTGAGGTATGCTCAGGCATGGGGCTAGAAAACCTCAGCTCCCAGTTCTCTGCATGGATGGCAGCGGGGAGTGGGGTCCCTAAACTCCTAATCCAGGAGAGTGAGTGCTCCATTTGCCAAGAGATCTGCCAGGGCACAGAATGCAGAAGGCCCCACTCCACCACAATCTCTGCACAGGAAGGGTGGGCCAGCTCAGACTGGTAATCCAGATGAATGGGTCCTCCAACTGCCCAAAGATTTGTCTGGGTGGGTATGGGGCAGAGGGGGCCCTGCTTCACCACAGTTGCTGTGCAGGATGAGTGGGCTGGCTCAGGATGCTGATCTAGGGACTAGGTGCTCTGAGTGCCTGGGCGCTGAGCAGTGAAGGCCCTGCTGCACCATAATCTCTATATAGGAAGAGTGAGTTGGCTCGGGCTGCTGGTCCAGGTGAGCGAATGCTCCAGATACCTGGAGATCTGTCTGAGTATGGAGTAGAAATGGTCCTGCTGCACCATGATCTCTGTGCAGGAAGGGTAGGGCCACTCAGGCTGCCAATCTGTGTGAGCAGATGCTCTGAATGTCTGGAAATCTACCTGGGCATGGAGGGGAGAGGGCTTCCCTGCACCAAGATCTTTGTATAGGAAGAGTAGGGTGACTCTGGCTGCTGAACCAGGCAAGAAGGAGCTCCAAATACTCATAGATCTGCCTGAGCATGAAGCAGAGAGGGCATCCTTGCTCCAGAATCTCTGCACAGAATGGTGGGGCAGCTTGGGCTACCAATGTGGATGAGCCAGTGCTTTGAATGTCTGGAGAGCTACCTGGGAGTGGAATGGGGAGGGCACTGCTGTACCACATTCTATGTCCAGGAAGGGTGGGGTGGGTCAGACTGGTGATCCAGGTGAGCATGTGCTCTGAATACCTGGAGATCTGCCTGGACATTGAACAGAGAGGGCTCTACTGCACCAAGATCTCCCCACAGGAAGAGTGTGGCACCTCAAGTTGCTAGTCCATACAAGCAGGTGCTCTTAACGCCTGGATATCTGCCTTGGCGTGAAGCAGAAGGGCCCACTTAACCATGATCTATGCCCAAGAAAGGTGGAGTTGCTTAGGCAACTGAACCAGGTGAGTACAGAATGCCTGGAGATCCTCCTGGAGGTGGACCCGACGGGTCTCTACTGTACTGTGATTTCAGAGGAGCAGGCTGGGGCACCCAGCAATGATACATGAGACTAGTTCTAGGTCACCATGCTGGCCCTGGCTGCAGGTCTTGTGGCCCAGGATAAATTGCAGCTGCCCCAGGCCTACAACGGGGGAAAGCACCATTCCAGTGCCTACAGCTGAGGCATTTACTGCAATTCTGGCTGTGTGTGTCCCTACCCTATTTTAGAACAATTTTCCAATCTCTGGCCTAAAACAAAAATGCCTGCATGGCTATATTGCTGGGTCACCAAAGAATGGCTGATTTTGTGTGTGCCTGGGTTAAAGGTGGCTTCCTGTTCTCTGTCCCAGGTCAGGGAAAATGCCTGCAGCTTTTCCCAGTGTCTTTCTCTCTCAGCACCTCCAAGTCTATCCCCAAGATAGCTCAGGGGCTTGGGGGAAACAAAGCACTCTTCCTCAGCCTGGGTTGCTCGGATCCCGTGGAAAGGTGAGTCACAGAGGGAGGCTCCCGGCCTCTCTCAAGTACTGGGGCTTTACTCACTTTTATCAGCTGGATGCTGTGACAGGGCCTGTTTGCTCACGTTCTCCTCTCTGGGATCTGGGGTGTCCTTCATGATTTTGGTGGATTCTCATTTTCCTTCTTGAATTAAAACTAAAAGAGTTGATCTCTATGTACTATCTTACTATTTCCAAGTAGCCAAGGCATGCTAAAAGCCTCTAATCCACAACTTGGAAAGAAAAAGCAAGTTGCTTTTTTGACTCACCATTATATTTTGAAATCTTGATCCATTTTAAATGCTGTGAACATACCACCATTTATATTTTTTCTACCGCTTTGAACATTTTACCCTGTCTTCCGTGTGCTTATTCAGGAGTTATCCATAAAAAAAGGTCTACAAATATGTCCTCAACTTTACTAGATATGCCAAATTCCTCTTCAAAATGGAATATAAATTGTATCCATTAATTTTCCCATCAGTTCTGAATGAACGTTTTTACTTCCCTTCACTTTTGCCAATATTTGCTATTATCGGATTTTAAACATTTTTTGCCAATTTTGGGGTAACAAAATAGTAACTTTTTATTGTTTTAATATGGATTTTCTGCTTACTCATAAACTTAAGCAGGTTTTTATATATTTATTGACAATTTATATTTATTCATTTGTGAATTGCCTGTTTATGTCCATTGCATACTTTTCTAATGGGCAATATGGCTTATTGATTTGTAGGAGTCATGTAAAGTTAGTTATATGCATTGTAAACATCTTCTCCTTGTCTTTTTTCTCTGTCCATGTACAAGTTTAAAGTTTTAATATATCTATATGCCAATATTTTCCTTGAAGGTGTGTGGGTTTTGTATATTGTTTGACAAATTCTTTCCTATACTAAGATAAGGATTCCAGTAATGTATGTATGATGGTTAATTTATGTGTCAACTTGACTGGCCTCAGGGATGCCCAAGTAGCTGGTAAAACATTACTTCTGGATGTATCTGTGAAGGTGTTTCTGGAGGACATTAGCATTTGAATCAGTAGACTGGGTAAAGAAGATCTCTCTCACCAATGTGGGTGGGCCTCATCTAATCTTTTGAGGACATGAAGGGTAAAAAAGTCACATTTTTTGCTTGGCTATAACATCCATCTTCTCTTGCTCTTGGACATTGGAGCTCCTGGTTCTCAGGCTTTTGGACTCCAGGACTAGTACCAGTGACCCCACCCCCACCATCATCTCTCTAGTTCTCAGGCTTTCCAATTCATCTGGGAGGTACCCCATTGAGTTATTAGACCTTTGGTTCTCAGGCCTTCAAACTCACTGAATTGCACCACTGGCTTTCCTTGTTTTCTAGCTTTCAGATGGCAGATCATGGGACTCAGTTTCCAAAATCATGTGAGCCAATTCCCATAATCTGTCTCTCTCTCTGTCTGTGTACACACACACACACACACACACACACACACACACACACTTATTCTATAGGCTCTGTTTCTCTGGAGAACCCTGACTGTGTATCTGTATATGTGTATATATGTGTGTATGATATAGGGACTTAATTTTTTAAATTTTCATTAAGAAAATAATCAAATAATCACGATTTCAGGACCAAATTTGGGAGGAAAATATGTATATATATATCCCCTAACAAAAATCTACATGACTGCTTCCAACCTGAGTTTTCCTTTTGGTCTCTTTGTGCCCTTGCTCCCCAGGCATGGGAAAGAACAGATTCAGACTAGCATAGGAAGACCTCACTCCTAAGGAACTTTTCTCAATAGCTTTCCAGGGTTGGGGCTGATTTTTTTTTTTTTTTTTTTTTTTTGAGATGGAGTTTCGCACTTGTTGCCCAGGCTGCAGTGCAATGCGTGATCTTGGCTCACCACAACCTCCACCTCCCGGGTTCAAGCGATTCTCCTGCCTCAGCCTCCCGAGTAGCTGGGATTACAGGCATGTGCCACCATGCCCGGCCAATGTTGTATTTTTAGTAGAGATGGGGTTTCTCCATGTTGGTCAGGCCGATCTCAAACTCCCGACCTCAGGTGATCCACCTGCGTTGGCCTCCCAAAGTGCTGGGATTACAGGCGTGAGCCACCGCACCCGGCTGGGGCTGCTTTTTTGGGAAACAGGAAAGGCCATGAAAAACATATCCCACTACTTGCTGCAATATTCACTTCATTGTGCTTCTATGAAAGATATACAACTTTGGACCTATGTACACGTGAGGCTTTAAAGGAAAATGAGTCAAGACATAAAATTACCTACTATTTTATCCTTGGAACAGCCCCGTTGATGAATTCTTGGAATAAGGGGAGAGCGGCGCTACTGTTGATGAACAAGGGAGTCAGTCAGTTATGGCACAGCATCAGTGCAGTCCAACCCTCTAGCAAGAAATGTAAGCAGGACCAAATAACACCTCTAGACTCTGCAGGTATAGCCTGATGTTTGCTCAATCCAGCATCAGATGTCTCTGAAGTCTAAGACCATTTTTAAACCAATCTGAAGTCTAGGACCATTTTTAAACCAATCTATCCTTTCCCTACTATTTTTAATGCCACTTTTGTTACATAGCAAGTTGTCGCACATTCATGAGCCTCTTTCTAGGGTACTTTGTTCTTTTGATCCAGATCTGTGCCAATAATATTCTGTTTTAAATATAACAATTTTATAAACAATATTAATATTGATCATGTAAATTCCCCTTATTATTCTTTCCTTTCAAATTTTTTTTGTCTTTTTTGACTCTTAATTCTTTAATATAAATTTTAGGCTCATTCTGTCGAATTCTGTCCATAACTCTGTAGTGATTTTCATTATGATTATATTGAGTTTAAAGATTAATCTGAAAATAATGTCCATCTTTATAATATTGAGCATTCCCATTCACACATTAACATACAATTGGCCCTCTGTATCTGCGGGTTCTGTGAATTCAACCAACCACGATTCAACATATTTGGAAAAAATAATAATAATAATAAATTAAAAATGTAGTATAACAACTATTTACATAGCATTTGTATTGTATTAGATATTATAAGTAACCTAGATATGACTTAAAGTAAATGGGAGAATATGTGCAGGTTATGTGCAAATTCTGCACCATTTTATATAAAGTACTTGAGCATCTGCAGATTTTGATATCAATGGAGGGTCTAGGAACTAATTCCCTATGGATACCAATGGATGACTGTAGTTTATTATCCTATTTACTCTATGTTTTCTTTTATCTAATTCAATAAATTAGTTTAGTTTACTTCCTACAATGATGCCTTTTGTTAAATTTATTTCTATGTTTCTCATTGCTTTGATGTAATGTAATATGTATTATAAGCAAATTATTTTTCCTAAACATTATTTTTAGTTGCTAATGTATAGGGCTGCTTTGATTTTTTAATGTAATAATCTTGTATCCAACAATTTTGATTATTAGTTCTTATAATTTTCATGTAGATGTTGAATTGCCTATACAAATAATCTTAGCATGTAAAAATAAGATTTGTGTTCTTTCCTTTCCATTTCTTATATTGCATTTTATTTTTCTTATGTCATTGCACCGGCTAAGATCTCAAATTAAGTGCTAAATAGAAAAATAATTTTAAAAATTCATTTGGCCTAGTGTGGTGGCTCACACCTGTAATCCCAGCATTTTGGGAGGCAGGTGGATCACCTGAGGTCATTAGTTCAAGACCTGCCTGGCCAACATGGTGAAACCCTGTCTCTACTAAAAATACAAAATTAGCTGGGCATGGTGGCACATGCCTGTAATTCCAGCTACTTAGGAGGCCAGGCAGGAGAATTGCTCAAACCCAGAAGGCAGAGGTTGCAGTGAGCTGATATTGAGCCACTGCACTCCAGCCTGGGAGACAGAGTGAGACGTCATCTCAAAAAAAAAAAAAAAAAATTTGTTTTTTCTGGCTTTAATGAGAATATATGTGCATTATATATATATAATATACATGCATTATAAGTTTATAGTTACCTTTAATTAACACAAATCAAGTTGATAAGATTATAATGTATAGGCATTTGAGTGTACAAATGCTTTTTGAAATCTATTCAGATGATTCTTTTGTTAATGTGTTAATGCGGTAAACTTCATTGATTAATTCTTCAATTGTTAAATAAAATATCTTTCCAAAATAAATCTAATCATTAATAATACATTATTGTTCCTTATTTTTCAATTAGTGAATTTAGGCTGTTAAACATTTAATTTTTTGAATCTACTTATAAATTAGAATGACTAAAATGGTACTTTTTTGGACTGATATTGACTTATTTTTACCATCAGGTATACTTTCCTCATAAAATATATTGGAATACTTTCTTAATTTTTCTATATTCTAAAACAATTTTTAGATGATACAGACATTTTCTCTGATGTTTTCGTAAAGTTGCCTATAAAACCAGTTTGTTTTGTCATTGTTGTTTTGTTTGTTTGCTTTATTTTTTAAAGAATTGATTTTATAATACTGATTATTTTACCTGATGGCTATAATTTTTAGAATTTTTAAAGATTTTTAATATGTTTTAAAAACAGAAAGTTACCCTTTCTCCTAAAATTTCAAATTTCATGTTATAAAATTGTTCATAGTATTTTTTAAAAAAACAATGTTACCTCTAGTTAAGTGTCCTTTTCTATTTTCTCATATTATTTTTTGGTGCCTTCTCTCTTTTTGCGCTGATTAGTATTGTCAAAGTTTTATTTATTTTATAAATCTTTGCAACCAAACACATCATAGATTTATTTATTTTTGTTTGCATTCTATTTTCTTAATATCTGATCTTGGTATTTTTATTTCCTTCATTTTGCTTCCTTTTTACTTTCTGTTCTTTTTCTAACTTCTTGACTTGGAAATTTTATTTATTATGTTTTCAGGTTTTTTACTCTGAATTTTATATACAAGGTTCTAAAATCTTCCCCAAGTACCATTTAACTCTATTACATGTGTTGACATATTTTAGTCTTATTTTTTACCACTAAAATTTTTTAATTTATAATTTGATTTCTTGTTTGTTTCATGATTTTTTTATGTTAAAATAATTAGGTGTTAGCCAAGCACAGTGGCTCACGCCTGTAATCCCAGCACTTTGGGAGGCTGAGGTGAGCAGATCACTTGAGCCCAGGAGCTTGAGACAAGTCTGGGCAACATGGTGAAAGCCCCGTCTCTACTATAAAAATACAAAAATTAGCTGGGTGTGGTGGCTCACACCTTTAGTCCCAGCTATTCAGGAGGTAGAGGTGGGTAGATGGCTTGAGCTTGGGAGGTGGAGATTGCAGTGAGCTGAGATGGCACCACTGCACACCAGCCTGGGTGATAGAGCCAGACCTTGTCTCTAATAATAATAATATGTCCATTTATATTTGGCTTTTATGTCCTTTTTTTTTTTCTTTTTTGCACTATACTCACACAACAAGGTGGTTGGTATATAAGCTCTTTGGAGTTTGTTGAAATTGTACCAATCCACTATTTACAGAAACCTCTTTAAGATGCAGAGACACATTCTGCCTCATGCAAATTATTGTATAAAGCATGTTTTGCTGATACGCTGTCTTTGAGCAATCAGAACCAAATCTTTAGCTTTATTTTTTACTGAAGATTCCAAGTATTCTAAATTTGATAGGGGAAGAAAACATTTTTTCAGCCCCCAAAAATGGAAATATCCATAATCAAAAAACTTCATGCCAAACTCTAGTTTAATTTAAAATATATATTTTAAAAAACACCCTGGACCCACATAAAAAAATCATACAATAAGCTCACCTTTCTGGGATATTCTTTTAAACATAACATTCTGCTCCATGCTAGTGCTAGTTATGTTCTCATGACAGGTAGTTGTAGACAAAGAGGCTAAGATAATTCTGCCCAATACACCTTATTTCGTTAACTTTAAAATACACATTTTTTTCATAACATTTTGACATATTTGAATAGAAATGTTTCTATTATACAATAGTGCATTGTAGGTTAATTGGCAGACCCCTTTTCCCCCAATCTTTGTCATGGTATATAAAATAATGATCAATCATAAAAATTTGTGGTCTTAAATTAGATGAAATATATGGTGTTCAAGGCACCTGGGATTCCAAAGTGTCAGATTGTCTCCTTCATCTTTCAAATCTCTGAAGGAAATCTGTGATCTTGCTATATCACTTAACCAAGTTGAGCCTCACTTTCTTCACTTTACAGGACTGTTGCGGAGGGAAGTAAGTGAATGTGTCCAAAACACTTGGAAGTTTGCCTGGAATCCAGTGTGTGCTATACCAGAGTCCTAGTTAGGCGTGGCCTTGAACAGCCCTGAGAATGAACATCTGAGAAGCGTCAATGTGGGATGCCCTGAGATGCAATTAAGAGGAGGAAGGAAACCATGGTTCTATTTTAACATGCCAGCACCATGTAAAAGGTTATTTCTTATGGTTTTCCTTTCAGACCAATTCAAGTGCATATTGGTAGATAATAGGGGTATAATCTGATTTAAATTCATCGATTTTCCTTGTCCCCCACATGAGTTTGCCCTCTTTATTCTCATGAGTCCTTCTTTTCATTAGGAGCTCTAATCCCCTTGCCCCTGCCATTTCCCACCCTGCTCCAGGTGTACTGTCTGTGAAGTGGGGCAATTCCCCCAACATCTTGATGAGAGCAGTTGCAGAAGTCTGAACAATGATAATTCTTGCCAACATTTATAGCTAATGTCTCTTCCACTGTTCTTATCAGACTTATAGTGCAGTGGAGCACTCGCTGCTGACAAGGCTAAAATGACAATGTGATTCTTGTTACTTATTCCTCAGTGGAAGAATGGGACTAACATTCAAGAGAGAAAAATCAAACTCCTTAGCTCTATAACTTTGCTTATAAACAAAACCTGAACTTTCATGCCTCATTCTCAACTTGCAAGGACAGCCAGTCCTTGTCGCGCTATTGTGTCCCACTTTGATGCCCCAGTAGTCCAGGCTCCTTCTCACTAAACACTTGTCATTCCCATAAGCATCTTCCCTTAGCCTTTGGTTCTTCCATGTCTTTCTGCTCACTATTTGAAGAATGTCATTTTCCCTGTTCTATTTTGTTTACCTTCTCATTGTTTTTCAAAGTTCAATGAAAATAGCATCTTTCCCATCATTTTTCTATTTATCAAAACACTTACCAAACACTTAACCTGGGCAAAATAAGGATAAGGATAAATAAGGATAAATAAGATAAGGATAAATAAGGATAAGGATAAATAAGACACAATTCTTATCCTCAAGGATTCTCACAGTCCACTGGAAGAGAGGAACTAGTAAACTGACATATTTTAACACAGCAGATAAAAGCTATTACAGCACTATTAACAACAACAACAACAACAACAAACCTCTGAAAATACATAGGAATGAAGCCACAAGGAAGGTTCAATGATGTCACACTGGAGCTCTATGGAAAGATGAATAGATTTATATCTATTAAGATGTCGTCCTGCGCAGAGCAGAATATGTTAGATGTGGGGCCATGAAGGGAGACATCAGTGTCTGTCTGAAAGGCCCACATGGTAGGAGGCAAGGAGTGACAGAAAGACACAATGGGAAAGAGACATGGAGGCCAGAATGGGGCTGACTTTGTCTATTAAGCTAAATAATTGGAATATTATGGGGCTAGCAATGAGGTGGCACAAAGATTTAGGAACAAGGAAGAGATGTGATCCATTTTTATTTTTCACTAAGATTCATTTTAGTTTGCCAAATGTTGTCACAGACTACCACAGATCTCCTTTTCAGCTTATCAGAAATAAAGATACCAGATTTGCCACATCAGCTTCTCCTGGGGATCAGCACAGGCCACAGGAATTCTGTTTGTTTGTTTGTTTGTTTGTTTGTTTGTTTGTTTTGGAGATGGAGTCTCATTCTGTCAGCCAGGGTGGAGTGCAGTGGCACAATCTTGGCTCACTGCAACCTCTGCCTCCTGGGTTCAAGCGATTCTCATGCCTCAGCTTCCCAAGTAGCTGTGATTACAGGTGTGTGCCACTACACCCAGCTAATTTTTGTATTTTTAGTAGAGATGAGGTTTTGCCATATTGGCCAGGCTGGTCTCAAACTCCTGGCCTCAAGTGATCTCAAACTCCTGGCCTCAAGTAAGTCTGCTTAGGGCTCCCAAAGTGCTGGTATTCCAGGTGTGAGCCACCACGCCAGGAATTCTTATTTTTAAGAGCTCCCTAAGACATGTATGAGGATTAGTTTTATGTGTCAGTGGGAATAATGGATACCTAGATAGCTGGTTAAGTATTATTTCTGGCTATGTCTGTGGGGAAGTTTCTAGAAAAAATTGGCATTTGATTCAATGGACTGAGTAAAAAGATCCACCCTCACCAATGCGGGTGGGCAACATCCAATTGGCAGAAGGTCCAGATAGAACAAAAAAGAGGAAAGGGGGATTTACTCTCTCTCTCCTGAAACTGGGACACCTTTCTTCTCCTATCAGAACTCCAAGTTCTCTGGGTTTCAACTCAGGGACTGGCACCAGCAGTCATTCAGGTTCTCAGGTGTTCAGCCTCATACTAAGTTTCATCATTGACTTGGACTGAACCATGCTAATAAGACAGCCTGGTGGGAAGGGCTCCCTGGAAAAACTCCAACCAGCCTGCTCACTGGGAGGAATGTGCACTGGGCAGAGCCACAGAAGTTCGTGCTGTTTGCAGCGGGGAGGAACCTGGCCCCTCCTCTTCCTGGGTGGAAGCTAGGATTCAAACTGCAAGGCAGGAAGCACAGGAGCAGGGACTCTGGCCTTGTGGAGAGTCCCTGTTCTTCCTTTCTTTCCTTTCTGCCCAATAAATCCCATTCTATTCACCCTTCAAATTGTCTGTGAGCCTAAATTTTCATGGCCGTGTGATAAGGACCCCCGTCTTTAGCTGAACTAAGGAAAAAGTCCTGCAACACTGGCATCTCAGCTTGCAGATGGCTTGTTGCGGGACTTCTCAGCTGCCATACTCATGTGAGTTAATTCCCTTAACAAATCCCCTCTCAAATATCTATATATATATATACTCTTAGTTCTATTTCTCTGGAGAACCATGACTAATACAAGCTGTGTGACAAAAAGCTGACTTGGGAATCCCTAGGTAAAGGATGGCCTACGAGAGGAACATCAGTCAGTAGAAACCAGTTAGCGAATGATTAGGGTAAGAGTGGGAAGAGATGGCAGTTTCCTCAGGAAAGAGAGGAGAGCTCAGATGCAGAGGCCTGCTGAAGTTGCCCCAAGATGAGTCAGAGAAACCTCTTTTATAGTCTCCTGGACACAGTCATTTTACTTTTATTTTATGTCAATTATTTTATCCAAAAAGAATTATGGAAAATATTTATTGGCTAGATCATCTGCTAGGCACTGGAAATATAACAGTGAACAAAACAGGCAAGGACATAAAAACAAATACCTAAGTGAATACAAGAGCAAGTTACTTTTAGATAATTCTAACATTTTTGAAGATATTAAAACAGGGCAATGTGATTGAGCCTGACAGGAAAAGCTTCTTTGAGGACAGGAAACTTGAGATGAGATCTAAGTGGAAACTAGGAATAATGCATGAGAGTATTTGAGGAAGGAGAGAGGGGAAGGGGAGCAAGAGCAGAGTGAGCAAGGTGAGGTGGAATAGTAGATGAGGTCGGGAAGGGAACAAATCCTAGATTTTATAGGGCTTTAAATTGTGGAACGTGAATAAAGTATGGGAAGTCCAGGTTTTATTCTAAATGCTGTTAAACTATAATTTTCAAAAGTTAAAATTATGACTCTACCACAAATATGAAATGAATGCACATCACTAGTGTAATTTAGTTCATTCATTAATAAGGAAACCAGTAAAATGTTAAACTGGTTCAATCAGAATATGATATATATATATATACATCAATATATCTGAAGAATACACAAACACACACACACACAATCAGGAATTGTGAAATAAATTTGCCAATAGAAGCAAAACTCTTAATAGCTATAAGACAATACAACTCAAGACTTAGAATAACCTTTTCCACAGGGTAGAAATCAATTGTATTCTGCCAGGAAAAATCATTTGCATTTCTATAAGCAAGAATCATTTATATTATTACATTTTTTTTTACAATTTATGACTTGTAAAATAAGCCTAAATCCTATAGAATGAGATAATCCTAGAGGGTCATCCAGAGAACATCTAATATTCTCATTAAAAACACACTAATATGGTTTGCCTGTGTCTCCACCCAAATCTCACTTTGAATTGTAATAATCCCCATGTGTCAAGGGTGGGGCCAGGTGGAGATAATTGAATAATGGAGGCAGTTTCCCCCATGTGGTTCTTGTCGTAGTGAATAAGTTTCAGGAGATCTGATGGTTTTATAAATGAGAGTTACCCTGCACAAGCTCTCTTGCCTGCTGCCATGTAAGATGTGACTTTCTCCTCTTTTGCCTTCTGCCATGATTGTGAGGTCTCCCTGGCCACGTGGAACTGGCAGTCCATTAAATCTCTTTTTCTTTATAAATTACCCAGTCTCAAGTCTGTCTTTACTAGCAGTGTGAGAACTGACTAATACAACACCCAGTAATCTCTTTTGCCATTTCAAATCATTTACATTTTTTTTCCTACAGAGCAATGGAAAAACTTTTGGAGACTTTTAATCAGGAGAGTAATATGACCTGATTTACATTTTGAAAACATCACCTTTACTGTACAGTTGATCTTTGTATAGCATAGGTTTGAACTGTGCAGGTTCACTTATATGTGGATTTTTTTCAATAAACCTATTGGAAAAATTTTTGGAGATTTTTGACAATTAGAGAAAACTTGCAGATGAACTGCATGGCCTATAAATATCAAAAAAATAAGAAAAAGGTATGTTAGAAATGCATGAAATATATGCAGATACTAGTCTGTTATCATTTATCATATCAAAATATATGCAAATCTATTATAAAAAGTTAAAAAATCAAAACTTGCACACACAAACACAGATCACAGATGGTGCCATTTACAGTACGGAGAAATGTTAAAAAAGTAAACACATATTAAATCATAACTGCATAAAATAACTGTAGCACATACTATACTACTTTTATAATATAATATATGCTTCCTCTCCCACCTCCTCTACCTCTTCCACCTTTATCACCCCTGAGACAGCAAGACCAACCCTCTCCTTTCTCCTGTTCCTCAGACTACTCAATGTGAAGATGATGAGGATGAAGACCTTTATAATGATCCACTTCCACTTAATGAATAGTAAGTATGTTTTCTCTTCTTCATGATTCTCTGAATAACATTTTCTTTTCTCTAGCTTTCTTTATTACAAGAATACAGTATACAATACACATATCATACAAATATGTGTTAATTGACTGTTAATGTCCTCAGTAAGGCTTCTGGTCAATAGTAGGCTATAAGTAGTTAAGTTTTCGGGTCTGGACTCAAGCGATCCTCCCACCTCAGCCTCCTAAGTAGCTGGGACTACAGGCATGCAGTACCATGCCTGGATAATTTTGAATTTTTTTTGTAGAGATAGGGATTTGCCATTTTTCCCAGACTGGTCTCAAATTCCTGGGCTCAAGTGACCTGCCTGCCTTGGCCTCCCCAAAGTAATGGGATTACAGGCATGAGTTGTTTTGGAAGATTCAAAAGTTATACATGGATTTTCAGCTGCACAGGGTGTCAGTGTCCCTAATCCCCTCGTTGTTCAAGGGTCAACTATATTCTTCTTTCAGTCCATTATCATTGACTAATAATAAAATATTGTGTCTTTTTCACTATTATGTTCCCAGTGTCTAGCACAGTTCCTGGCAAAATGATTAATAGCCAGAAAATGTTTGTTAAATGAATGAGAAAACAAACGGACTTTGATATGGTTTGGCTCTTTTCCCCACATAAATCTCATCTCAAATTTTAATTCCCATAATCTCCATGTGTGGAGGGTGGGACCAGGTGGAGGTAATTGAATCATGGGGGCTGTTCCCCCCTGCTGTTCTTGTGATGGTGAGAGTTCTCACGAGATCTGATGGTTTTATAATGGGATCTTCCCCCTTCGCTCAACACTTCTCCTTCCTTTCACCTAGTGAAGGAGGTGCCTTACTTCCTCTTCACCTTTTGTCATGATTGTAAGTTTCCTGAGGCCTCCCAAGCCATGCTGAACTGTGAGTCAATAAACCTTTTTCTTTTATAAATTACCCAGTCTCAGGCAGTTCTTTATAGCAGTATGAAAATGGACTAGTACAGACTTAGTGACTGAAATAATGTGGAAAGTTGAGCAGATGCTGAAGCTATTTACAGAGTAAGAGAATGAGTTGGAGTAGAATTTGAAAGGAAAATAGCACTGCCTTTCTTTAATGCTTTTTGATACCTCTGTGAGAGAGAGATTGGTTAGATCTTCATCGAACCTGCTTCCTCATTGGAACACAGCTGGAATCCATTTCCCAGACTGCCTCATGGTCAGATGTGGCCATGTGACTGAGTTCCGGCCAATGGAGTATGAGTAGTAGGGACTCCAGGACTGGCTCATTCAGTCTTCTACCACACAATCTTCTTCCTCTTTCTCCTTCTACTGGATGGATATTGATAACCAGAGTCATTTTGGAAACTACATGTTCAAGCTGGCAAAACCTCCATCAGCCTAGAAAAGCAAGAGGTTCATCAGTATTTTAAAAATAAACGGTATTTTAATTTAGCATTTACTTAATTTTGTTCCCCAGTTCCATTGTTTACATTTCCATGTTTTTCTCACAATTGTAAGCCTGCAGTGTAAAGCTTCTCAAAGGGGTTCTGTTAGCATTGTCTGGGCAATTCTTTTTTGTGTGGGGTTGTGCTGCACATGACAAGACACTTAGCTCCTGGGTTTCATCCACTAAATGCCACCTATGCAATGTGACAAAGAACTTCCCTCAGTTAACAATGACTTTCAAAAGAGAACGTCCAGGACATTATTTATTCATCCTTTTCTTTTCCACAGCAGTTAGCACAGTGTCTTTGAGAGAATGAACATGGAGTAGCAAAAGGAACTTAAAGTTGGAAAGAATGGGTGCCAACTCCTAACTCTATCATTTATTAACTATGTGACTTTTGGTAAGTTTTTTATCTCTCCCTTAGCTTCTGTGTCTTCATCTATAAATTGAAGTCAATCGAATCTACTCCACAGGGCAATTTTAAGAATTAAATAAATAATGTAAGTAAAAAAAAATTTTTGCACATACTAGGTGTTTCATATATTTTTGTTTCTATACCTCCTTTACTCTCATTTAAATTAAATAAAAATCCAGAAATAATTATTACAACATTATTTCTTCTAGTAAAGTTTGTGGCTCAAATCTTTTTAAAGAAAATGTGTATGTGTGTAAGATTGTGGGTGCGTGCATGTAATTGGCATGAGATCTAGAAAGGTAAGTATGCAGCCAAGCACCATGGCTCACTCCTGTAATCCCAGCACTTTTGGAAGCTGAGGCAGGAGCATCACTTGACCTCAATAATTCAAGACCAGTATGGGCAACATAGTGAGACCCTGTCTCTACAAAAAAAAAAAATAATAATTAAAAATAATTAGCTGGACGTGGTGGTGCATGCTTGTAGTCCCTGTTACTCAGGAGACTGAAGCAGGAAGATTGTGTGAGCCCAGGAGGTTGAGGCTGTAGAGACTTGTGATTGTACCACTGCACTCCAGCCTGTGTGACAGAGCAAGACTGTCTCAAAAAATAAAAAGAAATAAAAGGTAAGTGTGAAAAGATAAACAAAATATTTAACACAATATCTCTGTTTTTGTTATATTATTTAATTTGCTTCAATAGCCAACATAGCATAAATGACTTTTGTAGTTTGAAAAGAAAAATTCAAGCAATAGTCTAAAAGCACTTTTAAACCAATTGAATTGGATTGGAAAGCATAGTGCTTCTCACTTGGTACGACAGCAAAGAATGGGTTGTTTCTGACTGACAGATTTTCAGTTTGTATTTTTGGTTTATTTTATTTTTAGAGTAGAAGTTAAAGGAGAAGAAAATGAGATCTTTCCAAGCCTTCCTGAAAGAAAATGAGAAATACGTCATTGGCTCTGAAAGCACAAATGTGATGAAGCTGAGACCAGGCCTTGCAAGGAAGGCTGATTGACAGGATGTGAAGCTGATGCAGGGCCATTTGTTGGGGTGATACTGCAGAGCACCAGCTGGGTCTGTAGATAGAGGCAAGTAATGACAGTGCTGCCTCTCACCTCTCCCATCATCTTGTGCCTTCCTGTGTGCCTAAAGTCAAGAGGACTTTACTTGTGTTTGGGGCCTTCTCTGATTAACACAAGGCAGTGGCAGGGATGGGGGCAGCAGAAAAAGAAAGAAGCATCTTGTGACCCAGGAAGACAGTGGCCTTGGCATATTTGTATATAATTTAGAAAATCAGGATCTATGTACCTTGCTTGACTCATAGTAGGTATTCAATAAACTGTTGTACTTTCTTAGAAAAAAAAAGCCATGAATAAATGCATCTACTCGATATCACCCATCTGACAGGAAATAATGTCTATGTGTGCATATAGGTTTTGTGAAATGGGATGGGTGACACAAGACCAGGATAAAATATGGCATGCACTGATACATGCTTAATTGACATTGTAAATCAATTACTTTTTTTTTCAAAAGTGGATAGGAACTAGAGAGTTAGGAAATGACTGCTAATGTGAGCTGCTACTAAATGCATTAAAGAATTAAGCAATCTTCTTAGAACTTTCCTGAGATATGAGTATGAGATATCGTGGGTGTAATGAGCCACATTGCTTTGAGGTTTCCACAGTCCTGTGTAAATAATTACACAAACAAAATCTTAGCCATTTGATTATTGATAATAAATACTTATCAAGTTTCATTGCACACATGCTAATGCCTTTTGAGTTGCTAGGCATTTCTTAAGTAGGGAGGCAATGAGGCACTTAAGCAACATGGGCAGGAGAGAGAATTCATTGCTCCCTTTACACATACTTCAGGTGCTTCTTGAATAGAAGTGACAGGGTTTGGAATGGTGACATGAATATTTGTTGTCCATCAGTCAATTTCCCAGATCACATATTGTTTCTGACAGCATCTTCCCAGAAGATGGAAACCAACTTTTTTACATTCCATGTTATAGCATTTCATGGATCCCTTTCCACATAGTGTTCACATGGGAAAAACACACATTACGATGCTGTCTAGTGATAGATGTGCACCACAAAATCATCACAGGGCTGAGTAATTCCAAGAGGGGTTGAACATTTGTGCCAAGAACTTTCTAGATTAGAAAATAAATACATTTGTTAACATCAAACATTTTGGTGAGACCAGAACCTGGCCACTTCTTATGGATGATAAGTCTGTATTTTTTATTTCATGGCCAGATTTCCTATTCCTGGGACCTAATTATCCCATGCATAGCGTTTCCGGCAGAAGTACAGAAAGACAAACAGTCTCATTTAATCTATTTGATTTCTTTTCTCCACTCCCTCAAGGTACAGAGGCAAATTCCAGTTTAGTAACCAAGGCCTGAGTCATCGAATAAATAACTCAATTTCTCATCCTTGTTCACTGAGCCAGTTGTATAAACAAACACAACGTTTTTTTCTATGTCAAGTGTGTGAACGGGTTTACCGGGACATTGCATTCGGAAATTGCATAGAGATGCTGAAAATCATTCAGGGTGAAAGGAACAGGGAGAATGGTTACATAGCCAATGTCCAAAGCCTAAAATATATCTCTGGAGATTAATTTTCAATGCAGATACAGCAGATTAGTTCTCAAATTAAAGAACTAGGATCTATTAATTAACAGGTAAAAGCAACTAGCATAGAACTTTAAGGTTCTATGCTAGTGCATAAGGCACAAGGATAGAAATCATTTTGTTTGAGATAATTTGTTGAATAGATATGGTTGGAGCATTCATTTCTTTGTTCATTGAACTAAATATTTTTGAGTGCTTAGAATGTTCCAAGCTCTCTACCCATAATAAGGATATAAAAATGAGTAAGTCCAAATCTGGAAGGCCGAGACGGGTGGATCACAAGGTCAGGAGTCCGAGACCAGCCTGGCCAACATAGTGAAACCCCGTCTCTACTAAAAATACAAAAATTAGCCAGGCATGGTGGTGCGCACCTGTAGTCCCAGCTACTCGAGAGGCTGAGGCAGGAGAATCACTTGAATCTGGGAGGCGGAGGTTGTGGTGAGCCAAGATCTCGCCACTGCACTCCAGCCTGGGCAACAGAGTGAGGCTCCATCTCAAAAAAAAAATAAGTTACATAGTCCAGTGATGTAATGATGAAGATAGGCTCGAGGCATTATAGAATCATCAAGAAGAGGCACCAGCCCAGCTGAGAGGGTCCCTAAAGAACATCCCACAGAAGCTGGTGCCCAGAAGGAGGCTTATGAAAAGTAGCCAAATAAAGAGCTGGGGATAGGAGCTGGGGCTGAGAGGGAGTAAGGAGGAAGGCAGTGAGAAGTATTACTTCTCCTTCCTACACTTACTCAAAGGAGACCTGTCTACTGACTCAAGTTTCCAGAGACAAGACAGACAGTAGCAGTTTCGAGAGCACAAGCTGATGAAATGGTGCCCGCCATCTCTACCTGAGTAACAAAAGCTGCCACATGTCCCTTGTTTACCACATGGTAGACACTGTGCTAAGTGCTGTACACACATGGTCCTCCTTAATGCTTACAGCAACCCTAGCAGGTTGGTATTTTTTTCTCATTTTACAGATTGGGAAACAGAAGGTCAGAGATGTTAGGTAACTTGCTCAAAGTCACACAGAGAATAAGTGGAAATTAGAAACCCTGATTCAAGCTGACCTGACACTAGATTCCTCATTATTTTGTTCTGTAGTGGTTTTAAGGTGGGGTCACTGACTGAGAACCTAGCAGGTCAGATCACTGTCTAGATAACTGAAAATACTGATATCTGTCCTCTGGATTTGTCAATTGTGTGAAAATGTTATTGAATGAAATTAATGACTGTCAGGTAGAAGTAGAATTGATCATGCTCTATATGATGAGGACATAGACATAGTACATAACAGGTGGCAGCTAGAGGAAGACAGATTGAGTCTCAATTTGCAGAATTTGCCAATTATTTGAAGCTCCTAATGATGCATGGACTTCCTCAAGAAAGAAATCTATCTATCTATCTATCTATCTATCTATCTATCTATCTATCTATCATCAAGAGAGTTCAAAGCATTGGTTCACACGTTGTGGAAGCTGATGAGTCCAAGATTTGGAGAACAAGCTGGCAGGCTGGAAACTTAGAAAGGGTCTCTAATGTTGCAGTCTTGAGGCCAAATTCTCCATCGTGGAAAGTGTCTACATCAAGCTTGAATATTGCAATATCACAATGCAGAATGTAATGAAAATGCAAGCCTCTCCAAGGTGTCTGATGTAGTATTCCCTTTGGGGAGCCCCAGGGTGCCTGCCACTCCTGTGGTTTCTCACTGAGAAGGGTTTTTTTGTTGTTGTTGTTTTGTTTTGTTTTTTTTTTGGTTTTTTGGGTTTTTTTTTTTGACGGAGTTTCGCTCTTTTTGCCCATGCTGGAGTGCAGTAGAGTGATCTCAGCTCACTGCAACCTCCGCCTCCCAGGTTCAAGCAATTCTCCTGCCTCAGCCTCCTGAGTAGGTGGGATTACAAGTGCCTGCCACCACGCCCAGCTAATTTTTTATATTTTTAGTAGAGACGGGGTTTCACCATCTTGGCCAGCTGGCCAGGCTGGTCTTGAACTCCTGACCTCAGGTGATCTGTCTGCCTTGGCCTCCGCTGAGAAGGTTTTTAAGCCACTCACCCCCTACAGGTTGGCCTGATCCTTGTAAGAAGGCTAGAGCTGAAGCTTTCCCTTAGATGGAGATTCTATCTGGGAAAGTGATATATTCTCAATCAAGAACCTTATTTTTTAGAGTCTAATATGACATACAGAGAAACAGAGATTTCTATAGCAAGGCAGAATAAGACACACAGAGAAGGCACAAAGAAGCAGAAGTCACAAGGCAAACAAGCTGAGAGTTAGAAGCCTTGGGTAGCAAAAAGAGTGGAAAAGAGTTCATTGGTAGCGCAAGAAGCAATGTTAGCAGTCAAAATTTCCCCTAATGGTGGAGCGCAAGAGTGGAGAAACAGATTTCCTGGCTTTTCAAGCAGCACTGTAAATTTGTACTGAACCCATTTCTTTAGGTAACGTTGGGTGGGGAGAGGACCTTATTACCATACTCTTTGGGCTTTCATATGAGAAGGGACTTGAACTTGGTTCCCTAGAGATTCCTCTTCAAAATATATCCTCCCAACCCAGTCTGCTTTTAAAAAATCCTTTCTAATATTTGGGTATTTTCTATCATCATCCTGCACAATGCAAGCATATCCTTATTTCTTGATTCATCCACTGTAGACTGTATATATTACCATTTGCTCTTGAGAAACATATATTTTTATATAAAAGTTAAAAAATTCTCCACAGTGGCAAATAAGAAGAGTTTAAAAATGATCAATGCAATCATATTAAATATAAAGAATATTCAGAAAGGCTATCTCTCCAGGCACCTTTGTTCTTCTACTGGTAGAAAATGCGAAAGGAAAAAATAAATTAAAAAGGGGGTAAGCGCATTTTTATGTGGTTACTCTCTATATTTCCAGCCACATTCTTCCCTGCAAAGAATGGAGGTACAAAACCAGTAATGGTTTCTTCTCTACAAATGTATTTCTTCTCTGCAAATCCTTTATTTACTCATTTACATTTTTTAAAAAATTATTTCACCACCAGAGTCATTCCTGTAGAATTTTATCTTACTATAGACATTCAAATTTGCTGCAGACATGCAGCCTAGACAAATTGGCTCTGACTCTTTTATGCAAGCATAATAGATGTCTTTGAAATCCTACTAATGAAAGAACTGAGAATCTGGGTACTGGCCACTCTGGATTCATCGCTAAATTCTGCCTGTTTTCCAAATAAGCAGCCTATCTCTTGCCCTGCACACTTTCATAATCATTGCTAGTATGCTAAAAATCTGCTTATCCATTTCCTCTTCTAGGTTAAATCACAACTTCTCTGAGAAATGACAACAGGACTGTCCTTTGGCCTTCACACTCCCCATACTATAAGTACTGAGTGCTCAGCTCATGTAGATGGTCTATCTTCTGATGACTGCTAAAGTCAGGTCATTGGCGATGCCAGCTCTGGGGTAGGACAGGGGCAAAACCATACATTGCCCTTGAAGCTATATCCATCAAAGCCCTCTATTTACAGAATCATAGCCTGAGATGAGCACTAAGAGAAGCCACCAACCTACTCATTTACCCTTCCTGCTGACCTGGGGTAGTGAGGGGAATAGAGAAATGGGATAGAGAGACATGCAAGAAGTATACTCTAGAGTTTTTTGCCATGGTATTCTGTGTTTTCATAGATTCTATATTTGTCCATTTGACATTCATTAATTATAGGACCAAACTAATGGCCAAACATATTTATATCTTCCTGGTGATTCAGTTTTCATAGGTGCATGAAAATCATATTCTAAACCATCCAAACAATCCTGGATCTATACCCATAACCACCTTCTTTAACTTTTACATACCAAGACAATATTTCCCCTGCCCTAAATCAACCACGTAGGGCCTAGTACTAAACAACCAGGGACAGTCCCTATGCCCCAAAGCCTGCTGAAATTATTCAAACTAACGTATCTTAAGCTGTTTCCCCTGCCCTGCCTTGCTTTTCCCATGGAAACCTCACTAAAGGCTATAGCCTTACTCCCACTTCTCCTGTCAAACCTGGTGCTTCCCGTGAGGCCCTGCACAGCACACCATGCCTTCTCTCAGGAACTGTAAAAGCAATAAATTATTTCTGTGGCATTTAACTCTCCATGCTGTCACTCAGTCACCTTTATAAATTAAGACCCAGGCACACGCAAATTAAGTCCTATGAATGAGTCAAGTAGCTCATTCACTTAAGTCTAAAACGAAGAATAAAACCCCAGGTTCCAGAAGAGTACCAGCTGCACCCTGCTTTGCTTCCTCCCCAGCGACCTGGAAGGCATGTACTTACAGCAAAAGTCACTAACAAGCTAATGACATCTATGTCGCATTTTATATAGCTTTAGTCTGCTGCCCAATATTCTAGTCCTTTCAATCCAAATCTGTCAATTTCACACACACAAAAAAAGGGCTGAGGTTAAGACAGTAAGAAGACAGAAATTTTGTTCTTAAATTGATGCTTGGGGCCTGAGCTCAAAAAGTTATTTCCTGCACAATTGATCACCCCACCCTGGTCAACTTGTCAGGCAATAGCACTAATAGAATGAAGGGAATGTTCCTGGGGCAGCAGTGGGAGCAGAGGCCCATGAATGAGAGGATGGTTTAGCATTCACTCAAGATTCTCACGGTATTTTTACATATAGGAAAGGTGAGCATGCAGACAAGACTAAATTCACAGTTAACATGTTTAGTCTTGGGTTTGTGTTCTACATTATAGTCTTAAGAAGCTATTCTCTTTGCAGTTTATATCCCTGGAAAATAATAATGAATACCTAGAGACAATGATTGCTACGAATGCTGGGGGAAAGCTCAGTAACCTGACCTCACTCCACATGAAGATTCTCAGACTTATATAAAACGAGACAATTGTCTTCTGCCCTTTCCCAGGTGGTGATTTGAGGCCTGATAATATCTGCAGGTTTTTTTTAACTTTGATTTTAATTTCAGAGGTATGTGTGCAAGTTTGTTACATAGGTATACCCATGTCACAGGGTTTGTTGTAAAGATTATTTCATCACCCAGGTATTAAGCCTACCACCCATTAGTTATTTTTCTTGATCCTCTCCCTCCTTCCTCTGGAAGGCACCAGTGTCTGTTGTTCTCTATATGTTCATGTATTCTCACCATTTAGCTCTCACTTTTAAGTGAGAACATGTAAATATCTGTGGATTTTACCAATGATATTTTGTAAGAAAAGGTCCAATTTTAGGCATAATTGGAGTTGAGGGCATGTGGAGGATGGTAGGATGGAAAAGTGTTTGTAAAACCTGCCCTCAGAAATAAAAGCTGAGAAAGTAAAAGTGGCGTTTTAATAGCCAACTCTGAGGGAGCCTGAAAAACAAAACTGGGTCCATGATTCTAGACTGCATTACTTTTCCATAATTGAATAATTCCCAGGAGTCAGATGTAGGTTTGAATCCTGGCTCTGTCACTTGCTACGTGACCTTGAGCAAATTGCTATGTCCTCAAATCCTCAATCTGTAACATAGGAATGATAACACCCTTTACAGGAGACAGCAATGTAAAGCACTTCACATTGTTTGTACTTGATAAATACAGTTGATCATTGAACAACACAGGACTAGGGGTGCCGATTCCTACACAATAGAAAATACACCTCTAAATTTTTACTCCCCTCAGACTTTAATATTAATAGCCTACTGTTGACCACAAGCCTTACCCATAACATAGTCAATTAATACATATTTTATATGTTATATGTGTTATATACTGTGTTCTTATAATAAAGTAAGCTAGAGAAAAGAAAATGTTATTAAGAAAATCCAAGCAAGAAAAAATATATTTACTATTCATTAAGTGGAAGTGGATCATCATAAAGGGCTTCATCCTCTTTGCCTTCACATTGAGTAGGCTGAGGAGGAAGAGGAAGAGGAAGGGTTGATCTTATTATCTCAGGAATGACAGAAGCAGAAGAAAATCCACATGTACGTGGACCCGCACACTTTAAACTTGTGTTTTTTAAGTATCAACTGTAGTCCTCACTATTATTTGCAATTTTTAAAATGTTTTCTGTTTCTTTGTGTTCTTTGCCTTTGAACACAGAAAGGTGTTCAAAGAATTAGTTCCTCTCTGGGCTCCAGCTTAGAAACTGTACTTTCAAATATCAGCTCTGGAACTTGTGGGCTGGATGGTTTGGGGAAATTGATGTAACCTCCTCCTCACTCCTTGTGCTCCTTGTTCCTGTAAAAAGGGAATAATGCTATTCCAAATGTTTTGGGAAGACCAAAGGCACTAATACGCATAAAGTACTTCCACTGTGTCTGACTTCTCTTGGCAGGTCACTCACCTCACTGTCCCTCAGTTATCTCCCTTCTAACAAGTGGATAATGGTGTGCTTACTTCACTTAGGTGTGTAAGGAGTTTAACTGACTTAGCATGTGTAGTAGACCTAGAAGAGTCCTGGGACATAGGAAGTGCTCAGTAAATGGTGGTTATTTATTACAGTAAGTGCTCAGTAAATAAGAGCTAGTACTGAAAAGGAAGATGATGATGATGATGGAGAAGAGAATGGGTGAATTCTCTGGTGCCTCTTGTAAAGAGAGCTGTTCTGGAATGTGACAAAGGTTTGAAACTGAGCAGTATATGTTCTTCCTGTGGAGCTCTTTGCTGAAAAGTCCCACAATGTGAATATTGAGAGGCTGACCACCAGGAGCGCGGGTGAGGTGGTGAGTTCAGTAATTCAATTTAGAGAAAACATCACTCTTCAAATACTTCCTCCAAATCTATTATTCCTCTAGTCCCTGCTTCAAAGTTGCAATGAAGTCATTCTTGACTTTCTTGGCTTTCACCCTTATCATTTCATATTCAATTTGTCACTAGGCTATATAATTCTACCTCAGAAGTTTCCCGAAATTTACTCTCTCCTCTTTTATTTTGCTTGAATATGCTCAGGGTCTCTAACAGCTCCCTTTCAGCCACACCAGCTCTTTACAAAGATCTGTCCCTCTCAGTTGATTGTACAGACCCTGCCCTGTCATCTGGCATGTCCCCTCCATGTCATCTTGCCCCCATGGCAGAATCTCTGCCATGTTCTATGCCCACATGCTGGGCCCTGTTCTGTGCCCGCCTCCGCATCCCATGTCCTTGCAACAGCAAATTATTTTTTGCTTCCCCAGTGATACAGTTTGGATGTTTGTCCCCTCTAAATTTCATATTCAAATGTAATTTCCAGTGTTGGAGGCAGGCCCTGGTGGGAGGTCTTTGAATCTTGGGGGCAGATCCCTTATGAATGCTGAGGGTCGACCCGTTGGTGATGAGTGGGCTCTTGCTCTGAGTTCACATGAGGTCTGGTTGTTTAAAATTGTGTAGCACCTTTCCTGTCTCTCTCTTGCTCCCACTCTCACCATGTGACACTCCTATTCCCCTTCACCTTCTGCCATAATTGGAAGCTCCCTGAGGCCCTCACCCTATGCAAATGTTGGTGCTTTGCTTCTTGCATACCCTGCAGAGCCATGAGCAAATTAGACCTCTTTTATTTATAAATTTCCCAGTTTCAGATATTTCTTTATGGCAGTGCAAACACACTAACACCTTGAGGTTATGACAGGCTGGATGAAGACACTGGTTCTTCTTGGCCTGTCCCCAAAGCCACAAGCCAGTTTTACCCACTTCTAAATCCAAGGTTTCCTATTAGGAATTCAGCTTCTGCCAAAGCTGTGGGCCCACGCCTGCGTGCCTCTGTTGCTGTTTCATCTTTTATCTTTCCAAATTACTGTAACTGTTTCCTCACTAGTTTCCAGGGCCTCAGTTTCTCCCCATTCCAAGCGTTATCTACTCTGCTTCCAAAGTGAATGTCCTGTTTTAAAACCTCCAGCATCCACTGACTTCTCACTTTCTGGTGAGTTATCTGCTGATCCCGCCACTGCATACAAGAGCCGTCTCAGTCTCTTCTGACCCCCCGACACACTAACTTTCTTGCCATTTCTGGAGTATGCTCATCGCTTTAGGCCACCCACCTTAGCACACACTGTTTGATCTTTTCTGAAAATCTTTCTTCTACTTGACTTCCTTGCAGGTTAGTGGATTTCCCATTAGCTCAAATGTCTCCTCATTTTAAAGCCTTTCCTGACTCTTCCAGAAAGAATAAGGCTTTTGCTCTTCTATGTCCTCATAACTTTCTGTTAATTTTGCCTTTCAATATTTATTTCATTATACAATTATTTTAATTTTTGCACTATTTCATTCAAAAATACGTATTGAGTGTTTACCGAGAGCCTGGCACTCTTCTGAGCTAAAGGGACAGAGTGAAAAACACAACAAACTGTCCATGCCCTCAGAGAGCTCACATTCTCGGAGAGACAGACAGTAAATATGTGACAAACAAGTAAACAAGGCATGTAAAAATTGTGATAAACACTCAGGAGAAGATAAACAAGATTAGGTATTAGTAATTAGGGAAGGGCATCTATATTGATAGATGCAGGCTGTGAGGGTAAATTTTATGTGTCAACTTGACTGGATCACAAGGTGCCTGGATATTTGGTTAAACATGACTCTGAGTGTGTCTATAAGGGTGTATATGGATGAAATTAACATTTGAATCAGTAGACTGTGTAAAGCCTCATCCGATACATAGAAGGCATAAATAGAACTAAAAGGCTGAGTAAGGGAGAATTCTCTCTCTCGACTGCCTGTCTTCAGCTGGGAAGTCAGTCTTTAATGTCTTCTGACTGGGGCTCTGAGTTGAATTACACCATCAGCTCTCCTGGGTTTCCAGCTTGCCAGTTGCAGCTCTTGGAACTTCTTGGTCTCCATAATCACAAGATAACATACCTATAGCTATATCTTTATCAATATCTTCTATTGATTGTTTCTCTGGAGAACCCTGACTAACATACAGACTTAAGGAAAGTCACTCTGAGAATATGGCATTCATGCTGAGCTCTGGAGAATGAGAAAAACAAAGCAAATAAGCCCTAATATGAACCAGAAAAAAAATTCTAGTAAAATGAAATATGAGAGCAAAAGCCTGAGGCTGAAAAG
This sequence comes from Homo sapiens, assembly GCF_000001405.40. Taxonomy (NCBI): domain Eukaryota; kingdom Metazoa; phylum Chordata; class Mammalia; order Primates; family Hominidae; genus Homo; species Homo sapiens. Next base: position 221,478,762 of record NC_000001.11, on the reverse strand, counting down.
AGCCAGAGAGAAGGCAGTTAGCATGAGATTAGATTGGAGAGGGAAGCAGAAATCAGGTCATCTGGGTCTGATTGGTAAGGAAGGAGCTTCAATTCTTTCTCCAAAAGCATTGAAAAAGCAGAATAACTGTCCTTCAATAAATATTTGTGTGACAAACGAGTTAATGGATATATAGTTATTTTCCAAATGGTGAAAGCAATTTGAAAACTCTAAAAAGGATGGCACTATTTTTGTCCCTATTCCTTGATAATTTTCATTTAAAGGGCCCTGGCAGTAGGGTAAAAGGGAAGGATGCTGATAAAAGTTGGCTCTGTCGTATCAGAACAGCAGAGGATGATGGATGTGCACCCTCCATACGAATGAGTTTCCTGACATTTTTGCCGTTTGGGGTTTTTATCTGTTGTTGCAGAATATGTGTGCACTAATGCAGACTACATCTACCAAATATCATGAGCAATGAATCATCCGCTCAGCAAGGAACGAGTAAACTTCACCTCCTCCCAGGAAGCTGGCTGCAGCTTTGCACAAGAGCACCCTCTTCTGTGCAGTTGCAGCCCCAGCCTTCAGAGAGCAGGAGCGATGGCCTTGTGCAGTCCCACTGTGATCCCCATTCTAAGGGAAGCACAGCTATGCAATAAAAAGAAGTCCTTATTAGTTTCCTTCTTTGCCTCCACCCTTCAGAGGATCACGTAACACCAAATTCCTTTGGAATTATCTAGGAAGGTGGAAAAGACTAGGGAGTAGAGTTCGAGACACTTTACTGAAAGGGAAAGGAAATAGCTTTCCACCCAGTAAAATTCTACTTCATTACCTAACATTACAGGGATTTTCCAGGATGCTCAGGTAGACCAGCTCTAGAAACTAGGGAAACAACGTGATGTCCAGAGTCCACCGGGCAGAGAGATGCACAGAGATTTAAAAAGAGGGACATTGTATAAGCTCAGCACATGTAGCAGTTTGTGTTTTGCTTTGTGTGTAATAACTTTAAGTCAAGGGAATTGGGGCTCTAGTATAATTCTATACTGCTTTAAGTACAGTTCTTTAAAGCAGAATCCCTTGTACAACGGAAAACTAACTACAATTGGGGACCTGGCACATGGAGTTCACCTAAATATTTATTAAACAAATAAAAATATTGGCTTCCCATGTCTTTCAGGGGAGGGAAATATTGAGCCTTGTCAGCCATTCATATCTTATTTTACTGGTTATTTCAAGTAACTATGGCCACAATAACATTGCATATAAAACAGCCACAAAATCTCGGGAGCATACAAAAATGCATTTACGCAGCTTGCAAGTGTGCTGGTTGGCTCTGCAGTACTGTTGGTCTCAGCTGGGCTCATTCATGCATCTGCAGCAGGCTGGGGTCAACTGGGGGGCTGCTGATTTGGGGTGGCCTCAGCTCTGGTGGTACAGCTCCACTCCCCATGACTTTTATCCTCCTCCTGGGATGAACTGTCCGTTCTGGGCATATTTTTATCCATAGCAATGCCAGAAGTTCAAGAGTGTAAGTTGAAGCATGAAGATACTTTTCAAGGCTGCTGCATCATGGACGCTAATATCCCACTGACTGAAACAATTCACATAGCCAAGCTCACCATGAATGGAACAGGAAATTCTGTTCTTCCAATGCAGTTATGGGAAGGGAGTGAATATTTCTGAACATGAACTTGATCTTTCACTCAGACTTTTCTTGTAAACCGAGTAGAGGCAGGACAAGTTAGCATGTGCTGTGAAAAGACCCCAGGACACAGAGTCCTGGGCCCGGCCAATTGAATCAATGCCTATTAGTCCTAAAAAGGACCATATGAGGTTGGTAAAATTCACCTCATTTTGTAGAGGCAGAGGCTTAGGCTGGGAACAGACACAGAAAATCACTTAAGACCATTGAATCAGGAAGTTGTAGACTCAAACTTGAACCCAGAGCTATCCTGTCCCCAATCCTATGCTCCTCTCCACCGTATCTCAGGAGCTTCCCCCACCAAGTTGCCCTGACTGGTCTCAATTTTGCTCTTTAGATCAACATAGAAGAAATTTAGCCTCTTTTCTAGAAGTCTGTCTTTCATGGTTTTGGAATCAATTCCCCTGTTTTCTTGACAAAAATCAAGCATACCCGCCTTCCTGCCCTTCTTTCCAGCTCTGTTTCCCCAGAACACTTACTGTCCTGAGTGTCTGAAGATTGTAAGGATGAGGGTGATCATTGGCCCTGGATTAAAATATTCAGGGAAAACTTTACTGAAGGAGCAAATTTTAGAATGAAGACAGGTGACAAGTGACAAAATACACACACACACACACACGAGAAGTAATTAAGGCATTTGACTTGTGCTAAAAAACAAGATGAAGACTTGGGGAAAGATGAGCAGATCTGGTTGGTGAATATCAAGTTGTGTTTTTAGACACACTGGTCATAACATGCCAGGATATTCAGCTGAAAGAGGCACATTTTAAGAAAGAAATAGAAAACAGAAATATTTAGAGCTGACCAATTAGAATGATGAGAAAACCCAAAACAATACAACTTGAAGAATATTTGAACATGCTCAGGGTCTTCAGCTGGGGAAAGTGAAGATTTAGGAGCAAGAGCTCTGCTAAAACATGTTAAAAGTTACCACCTTGGAAAATAGACTGGGGTTCTAAAAGGCTAAACTAATACTTCAGGATAGAAATTAAATATTTCCACTCAACTCCATCATTACAGCAGGAAACATCAGAGCTGCCCGACGTGGCTCAGATTTCCTTCGATGACAGTAAATCTGGCTGAAGTTTTATGGAAAGGGTGAACTATCACTTCATAGAGAAGTAGTCAAGCACACTGAAATTGGAGAACAACTTGGACTAGTTGAACTTTAAGATCTTTTCCAAATTTAGAAATTCCATTAAATGGAAGGAAATAGTTTTTATTATTAATAACAAAGTATAATAACAATAAGAGCAATTCCTTAATATTATATTATGCTTTGTAGTTTATATTATGCCATCATATGCTTGAAACAATTGTGAGGCAGGTAGAATAGGTATCTTATTTCCATTGCATTCAAGGAATCAAGGCACAGAGAGTTAAGTGATTTCCCTATGGACACACAGAATGTGGAAGAATTAAGATGAGCACTCAAGCGATGCCTGTATATCATCCTGGCAGTGCCTGTATATCATCCTGTTGCTGCCAAATTTGATCATGAGGAGAAAGTTGATGACCATTCTAGACACTGCTGAAGGAAGGAATAGCTGATTACAGGAAGATCAGCAAAGACTGTGTTAAAAGGGCTCAGGGTCATTTTTCCTTTTATTATCTAGTAGGAATATAACCATGATCCCCAACAAGCCAGGGAACATCCTTGTACAACCACACACTTTACAAGGGCTTTGCTTTGAATCTTCCCTGAGACATCACAGGAAATGGGATTCCTTGTGATACAACTCAGTTCAAGGCAAGTAAATCCATTTGGCAACGTGTTGTTTGACAAATTTTAAAATAGAGGTTTGATTTGCTTTTTATAGTTACCCCTGTTTTCACCATTGAGGACAGTAACTCCTCAAACTTTTGGGCATATAATATGTGTGTTTATATATATATATGTATAATTTGGATATATATATGTATAATTTGGATATATATGTGTATATATGTATGTGTATGTATATATGTATATATGTGTATGTATATATGTATATATGTGTATGTATATATGTATATATGTGTATGTATATATGTGTATGTATATGTGTATGTATACATACGTGTGTATATATGTGTATGTATACATGTGTATGTATACATACGTGTGTATATATATACATATATACATATATATCCAAATTATACATATATATATCCAAATTATACATATATATATATAAACACACATATTATATGCCCAAAAGTTTGAGGAGTTACTGTCCTCAATGGTGAAAACAGGGGTAACTATAAAAAGCAAATCAAACCTCTATTTTAAAATTTGTCAAACAACACGTTGCCAAATGGATTTACTTGCCTTGAACTGAGTTGTATCACAAGGAAGCCCATTTCCTGTGATGTCTCAGGGAAGATTCAAAGCAAAACCCTTGTAAAGTGTGTGGTTGTACAAGGATGTTCACTGGCTTGTTGGGGATCATGGTTATATTCCTACTAGATAATAAAAGGAAAAATGACTCTGGTCCTTTTCACAGTCTTTGCTGATCTTCCTGAAATCGGCTATTCCTTCCTTCAGCAGTGTCTAGAATGGTCATCAACTTTCTCCTCATGATCATATTTGGCAGCAACAGGATGATATACAGGCACCGCTTGGGTGCTCATCTTAATTCTTCCACTTACTTTGTGTCCATGGGGAAATCACTTAACTCTCTGTGCCTTGATTCCTTGAATGCAATGGAAATAAGATACCTATTCTACCTGCCTCACACAATTGTTTCAAGCATATGATGGCAAAATATAAACTACAAAGCATAATATAATATTAAGGAATTGCTGTTATTATTATTATATTTTGTTATTAATAATAAAAACTATTTCCTTCCATTTAATGGAATTTCTAAATTTGGAAAAGATCTTAAAGTTCAACTAGTCCAAGTTGTCCTCCAATTTCAGTCTGCTTGACTACTTCTCTATGAAGTGATAGTTCACCCTTTCCATAAAACTTCAGCCAGATTTACTGCCATCGAAGGAAATCTGAACCACGTCGGGCAGCTCTGATGTTTCCTGCTGTAATGATGGAGTTGAGTGGAAATATTTTATATATATATATATATATATATATATATATATATATATATATATATATAAATAATGCATTCTCACGTTAGGCTGTATAGAAACATCTACAGAAATTTATCCCCTTACTCTCCCTTCCCTCCACACTCTCTTCCCTGCAGCTCACCATGGGGCTGGACTAGCAGTAAGCAAGGAAAAGATGAATTCAGCTCCTTCTCCACCCACTGCTGTCAGCCTTACACCGAACGCTAATTTTCCTTCTGAAGTGGAGGGCTCTTCACTCCCCATCTCCAGTGACCTGCAGCACTCTGAAGCCGGGACGCTGAGACTCATTCCGGACACTCGTTCTCAGATAATTTTTCAGCTCCCTATCAGCATTGAACAGCCTTGACTTCCCAGACTGAAAGAAGACTAATTAAAATGACAAACCTCACATTGATTTATTACCACATGGGTGAAAACAATAAACAACCATGACATTGCTAATGTGTTTGGTTCTTGCTCCCATCCCTTTCCCCACCTCCCACACCTGCGTTGTGATGGAGGCAATGGGGAAGACGGTGATAGTGCAGTGAGTTCTCTCTGCCCTCTCATCCCATGAGATAGAATATGGAAGCCCCTGCAAGGGCATCCCAGGTTAGACATGACTAAGGGCTTTCTCACACCTCCTCTCTTCCAGTCCCAAGGGCAACACAGGGAGGCGGTTGTTATCATCTGCATTTCACAGATGAGAAAACCGAGGTCTCCAGAGGTTAAGTGATTAACTTAAGGTCACATAGCTGCTAGACAGATTATTAATTAAACTCGATCACTTGAAAGGACCAATAATTCTTTGCTCTTTAAAAGCATTGTTTTTTAGCAGTTAAAGTGCTTGAGCAGTAGCTACATAGCAAACATTTGGTGAACATTGACTGTATGCAAAATGCTGCTCTCAGGGATAAGAGGTGAGAAAAATGGACCAAAGGGAGCCCTCTTCAAAGAAGGAGCAGGGTACTCAGGGGAAACCCCCGATATAACTTTGAGGTCCCCAGTGACACTCCATGCCAGATGTGTCTGGCACGAGGGACCAGAGGCGTCTGATGCCCTAGTGTGCTGAAGTATAAGCTTGTATTGTTTAACATCATTCTTTCATTTATTCATTTAGACCCTCTCTTGAATCATTCCTTCTACTGCTTCCATCTCATTTCTCTTAACTCATGGCAAAATCCCCAGAGTATGATGCACATCCTTCCAGGCTCCTAGTTTTTTGTAATAAGTACTCTTTAGGCCAGGTGTGGTGGCTCATGCCTGTAATCTCAGTACTTTGGGAGTCTGAGGTGGGCAGATCACCTGAGTTCGGGAGTTTGAGACCAACCTGGCCAACATGGAGAAACCCCATCTCTACTAAAAATACAAAATTAGCCGGGTGTGGTGGCACATGCCTGTTATCCCAGCTACTCGGGGCTGAGGTAGGAGAACTGCTTGAACCCAGGAGGCGGAGGTTGTGGTAGGTTGAGATCACGACATTGCACTCCAGCCTGGGCAACAAGAGCGAGACTCCACCTCAAAAAATAATAATAATAATAATAAGTATTCTTTAGTAACAAGCATTTACATTGTGCAAAGTCAGGTCTCAGCACGAGAGTCCGTTCCACAGATTGCCTGTGACCAGCCAATCTAATAGTTCTCACATGGCACGCTAAATTCTCTCTACATTCAGCCTGTTTTATTTTCTTTATAGCATTTACCACTCTCTGAAAGTATCTTATGGTTTTGTTTATTAGTTAATTACCTGCCTCCCCTTCTATAAGGACAAGTCTTATTTATTGTTATAAGCCTAGGACCCAGAAGCAGCTAGAATGTAGAAGGAAATTAGGGAATACTTGTTGAATGAATGAATAAACAAATATCCTCACTCCATCTACAAATTAATCACTCTCCATAGTGCTATTCAAATCTACTTATCGAAAATCATCAGAGATTTTTCTATCACACATGCTACAATTCAGTCCCGTGAAGTTGCTTAAGAATTACAGATAATATGTGTAAACTACCTAGCATAGGGCCAGGCACATAGTAGGCACAAAATGCAAGCTACTATAATAATTACTTAAGGAGTAAGAAATATTTACGTGCTCCCAAGACCTTAGTGCTATTCTGAACACTATGAAATGTATTTAGTAAAGAAAATTAAATTACATATTGATAACAACCATTATATTAGGTGCTGAGGTTAGAGATCCACGTTATAAACCAGTATTCTGTGCATTTATAACCTACTCAAGTTAAAACCCACATGAAAGTTAAATATGTATTGAATAATTGAAGAAGCATTTGCTTAACAGGATAGTATAATAATAATTGTTATAACTAACATTTATGGAATTCTAGCTTTGTGAAAGTACTTTATACACAGGATCTCATTTAATTTTCACATCACTGTAGGAATTATTACAATCCCTCTTTTATAGATGATGAAAAAAATTGAGGGAGGCGATGTCATTTGAGAGGTCGCAGAGATGGAAAATGAATTAGTTTGGACGGAAACTTAAGCCCAAATGTCAATAAAGCTCATTCTTTTTAGCTCTTATTTAATGCTGGCATAATAAAATGCTAATCTGTGTGGTGTTGATCATTTTGAACAAAGCATATAAGATATGGTGCTAATTTTTCAAGTTCAGAGGCAGTGAATTTGAGCTACTCTGAGCTGCGTAGTTTAGAAGACTGGTCAAAGACTGATGCAGCAATGGAGTTCCACAGGGATTGTTCCAGGAGTGTGTTTGGAGGATGGGGAGGGTGATGGTGGAAGGTGGTTCCTGCAGTGAAATATATTACACTTCTCCCATTAGGTCTATACCAGTACTGATTTTCCCTAGGGCAATGAAAGTCAGGTGCATGGTTTAGAGCTATTATGTAGAGGAATGAGAGCTTACTGCAAAATCCACTTTAGGAAAGACCCTTCCATGTTCTTTAGCAGGTGTTCACATTCTCGATCATGTGTTTAACGCCTGACATGAAGGCATGTTCTCTTTCACATGAGAACTTACTGGCCTATGGTCTTGAATAGTCAGCCTTTACCGAGTTGGCTCTGAACTTTTGCCTGACACCATGATTGAAAGACTTATTAATTGAATAACAGAAAGCTTGTTATTTCGACCTCCTTTTGAAAATGGGAATGGAGCATAGGAAAGATGTGAATACCTTTGAAAGGAGCAAAAATAAAATAGAGATGTGACCTGGGAAAGGCTGATAAATAATTTGAAAAGTGCTCTTCACAGAGTTTCCAGACGAATTGAGATTCTGATGCCACACTGTAGACACTGCATTTTTGTTTGCTGGAAATAATTTACTTACATAAGTGTAACAAATTCTTCCTCCTTAGAACAACAAAAACATGTCTGAGAAGGCCTGTGGCTTAGTTAGGATGGATCAAGTAATTTTTACCTTGTATGAGCAGGGCAGGAATTTGCAAATGTTGACACATCATGACATTTCACTGAAAGCCAATTAACAGGGAAAAACAAACATATACGTTGCTTTGGTGATTATCAACTGGTTGGTATTGGAGTGGATCAGTTTAAAATCTTCAGCCTTAGATTATGCTGATAACAGTTAATCATGTCTATTGGTTAGAAGGGTTAGAAGCGTCCGGAATGTACATTTGTATATGGCTGAGTCAGAGGTGGAAGACAGAGCACAGAGAAAAACACTTTAGAAAAAGACTTGATAAATCAAGCATTGCCATGCTCAGCTCTTTTAACCCAGAGTGAGAGGAATATCAGCAAAAGGGTAAATTAAAATAACCTTTCTGGTGGTACCTTCTATGTACCTGATTCTCACTGGGAAAAAGAATGACTCAGATCAGGAGTAACTGGAGACTGTGATCCGCAGGAATGAATTATGTTCTCTTCCCTCCTTGCTCCCTACCCACCTGCCAAAAAATGAAAGGTTGCTTCTGTTAGGTGCTAAATGATCTTCCGAGCCTCCGTCTCACTCATGAGTTAAGCCAAAGTAGCATAAGAAATTTCCTACCTCAGAGATATACAGAATTGAATAAAGTACCCTGCCCTTAAAGAGGAAAATGAAACCACAAGCCAATGATTATATTGGAAGCAATCTTTCAGCATCAGGGAAACTCAGCTCCCCAAAATGCACATTCTCCCTTCCTCCCCTATTCCACCTCATCTCTTTCTCACTATTTAGAACCTATGGTTCATGAGACAGTATAACAAACTTAAAATTATCTTGGCCCAAGGTGGAAATAAATCCACAACCACTAAAAATGTATACATTTAGCCCATCAGAAGAATTATTTCCCCAACATTCTTTCCGAAAAGAATTGCTCTGCCACAGGGCACAGCCTCCACGCTTGTGGATACAATGTTTCATCTTTGACAAACGTTACCATCTGGTAGGCATCCCTTAAAACCAGCTGTGCATAGTGCAGCAGAAATCTGTACCTCTACAGTCCTCCTCTCTCTTCTGCAAGCCTCAGTGAATCCCATGTTTGTTTTATTACAAAAATGATGTTGGTTTCTTATACTAGATATAAAGACAAATAACATTTGCTCTTCAGTGTGAAATTGGAACTGGAATAGACTCCAGTCTATTTCCTACTGAGTCCTTCTCGTCATTATCTTAAAATATTAGTTTTCTTTTTCAAAATAAAATTGTGTGTGTGTGTGTGTGTGTGTGTGTGTGTGTGTGTGTGTGATCTTCACTTAGAATGTCACTGGCTGGATCTATCAGGGCAAAATCTGGACCCCTGCCCTCAACTCTCATTCAGGACAAGCAACAGAGAAAAGCCAGTTCTCTAATTTTCATCATGGTGTAGTAATATATGATCCCATGTGTGTCCTGAGATTATTCTAATCCTAGCTGAAAAGAGCCCTTGGGAACCAGGTGGGTATTTATGCCAATCCACATCCTGCCTAAAGTATGTGAAGAGTGGGAGAGTGATTTCAATTTCATTTTACTGAAAAAAATTAACATATTCTTTGATTAAGCAGCATAGATGAAGTTTCAACCATATATATTGGATTTGAAGAAAAAGTTGGGAAGAAGGTATGTTTTTTTCTCTACCACTTCTGTATAGTCTTAGGAATCTTCTCCACTTGTTTTATTAATTAATAAAGAAATTCCATCTGCGCTGTTGGTGACAGACTGGGCGACTCCCAGTCACTTCTCGTTGCCATTTGACTTGGCTGTTCTATAACGGAGGAAAACACAAGAGCAACAGGCTGTAATCGATTTGTGGAAAAGTGCTTAAATTCCTCCACAAGTTGCACACTCCAGCTGACACATACAAAGGAATCCATGTCACAGCCATTCTTATAGTGGCCAATTTATGACATAATGACAAAGTATAAGAAAATGTGCTGATCCAGGGCTCTGATCTAAAAGGCATTCAGCAAAGCCTGGTAGCTCCACTGGCGGGCTAGACCCAGAAGAGAAATAATAATCACTGCAGTTTGGTTCTCAGGAAGCACCACCCCTAGGGGAAGGGGGAGAGCACCACATCAAGGGAACACCGTGTGGGACAAAAGAATCTGAACAGCTGCCCTCGAGCCCCAGATCATCCCTCTGACATAGTCTACCCAAGTGAGAAGGACAGAAAAACAATTCTGGTAATACGACAAAAAAGGTTCTTTAACCCCCCCAAAAGATCACACCAGCTCACCAGCAATGGGCCCAAACCAAGACAACATCTCTGAATTGCCAGAAAGAAAATTCAGAAGGTTGATTATTAAACTACTTAAGGAGGTACCAGAGAAAGGTGCCTACCAACTTGCAGAAATTAAAAACATGTTACAGGATATGGACAGAAAATCCCCCAAATAAGTAGATAGCATAAATTAAAAAAAATCATGACTTCTGGAAATGAAGGACACACTTAGAGAAATGTAAAATACACTGGAAAGTCCCAACAGTAGAACTGATCAAGTAGAGAAAAGAACTTCAGAGCTAGAAGACAAAGCTATCAAAATAACCCAATCCAACAAACACAAAGAAGAATATATCTATCTATCTATCTATCTATATATATACAGCCTCCAAAAAATTTGGGATTGTGTTAAACAACCAAACCTAAGAATAATTGATGATCCTGAGGGAGAAGAGAAATCTAAAAGAAAACTTATTTGAAGGAATAATCAAGGAAAATTTCCCCAGCCTTACTACAGATCTAGACAGCCAAATACAAGAAGCTCAAAGAACACCTGGGAGATTCATCACAAAAGATCATCGCCTAGGCACAAAGTCATCAGGTTATCTAAAGTCAAGACAAAGGAAAGAATCTTAAGAGCTGTGAAGCAAAAGCATCAGGTAACCTTATAAAGTAAAACCTGTCAGAGTAACAGCAGATTTCTCAGCAGAAACCCCACATGCCAGAAGGGATTGGGGTCCTATCTTTAGCCTCCTTAAAATAAAACAATTATCGGCCAAGAATTTTGAATCCAGTGAAACTAAGCTTTATAAATGAAGGAAACATGCAGTCTCTTTCAGACAAACAAATGTTGAGGGAATTTGCCACTATCAAGCCAGCACTGCAATAACTGCCAAAAGGAGCTCTAAATAGTGAAACAAATCCTCAAAATGCACCAAAATAGAACCTCCTTAAAACATAAATCTCACAGGACCTATAAAACAATAACACAATGAAAAAAAGCAAGGCATTCAGGCAACAAATAGCATGATGGATAGAATAGTACCTCACATCTCAATACTAACGTTGACTATAAATGGCCTAAATGCTCCACTTAAAAGACACAGAATGGCAGAATGAATAGGAATTCACCAACCAAGTATCTGCTATCTTCAGGAGACTCACTTAACACAAAGGATTCACATAAACTTAAGGTAAAGGGTTGGAAAAAAATATTCCGTGCAAAAGGACACCAAAAGCAGGCAGGAGTAGCTATTCTTATATCAGACAAACAGACTTTAAAACAACAACAGTTAAAAAAGACAAAAGGGGACCTTATATAATGATAAAAGGACTAGTCCAACAGGAAAACATCACAGTCCTAGTTATATATGCACCTAACTCTGGAACTCCCAAATTTATAAAACAATTACTACTAGACTTAAGAAATGAGATAGACAGCAACACAATAATAGTAGGGGACTTACATACTCCACTGACAGCACTAATCAGGTCATCAAGACAGAAAATCAACAAAGAGGACTGGCGCGGTGGTTCATGCCTGTAATCCCAGTACTTTGGGAGGCCGAGGTGGGCAAATCATGAGTTCAAGAGTTTGAGACCAGCCTGACCAACATGGTGAAACCCCATCTCTACTAAAAATACAAAAATTAGCCGGGCATGGTGTTGCGTGCCTGTAATCCCAGCCACTCGGGAGGCTGGGGCAGGAGAATCGCTTGAACCTAGGAGGTGGAGGTTGCAGTGAACCGAGATCGTGCCACTGCACTCCAGCCTGGGTGATAGAGCGAGACTCTGTCTCAAAAAAAGAAAAAGAAAAAAAAGAAAAAAAAAAAAGAAAATCAACAAAGAAACTAAGCTATACCTTAGAACAAATGGGTTTAATAGATATTCACAGAATATTCTACCCAACAACTGCAGAATATACATTCTATTCATCAGCACATAGAACCTCCTCCAAGATAGACCATATAATAGGCCACAAAATAAGTCTCAATAAATTTAAGAAAATCAAAATTATATCAAGTACTCTCTCAGACCACAGTAGAATAAAATTGGAAATCAACTCCAAAAGGAACCCTCAGAACCATGCAAATACATGGAAATTAAATAACCTGCTCTTGAATGATCATTGTGTCAACAACAATGAAATCAAGACAGAAATTTAAAAATAATTTTGAACTGAATGGTAATAGTGACACAACCTATCAAAACCCCTGGGATACAGCAAAGGCAGGGCTAAGAGGAAAGTTCATAGCCTTAAATGCCTACATCAAGAAGTCTGAAAGAGCATAAAGAGGCATTCTAAGATCACACCTCAAGGAACTAGAGGAATAAGAACAAACCAAACCGAAACCCAGCAGAAGAAAAAAAAATAATGAAGATTAGAGCAGAACTAAATGAAACTTAAACAAAATAACAATACACAAGATTAATGAAAGAAAAAGCTGGTTTCTTTGAAAAGATCAATAAAATTGATAGACCATTAGTGAGATTAACCAAGAAGAGAGAAGATCCAATAAGCTCAATTAGAAATGAAATGAGAAATATTACAACCAATAACACAGAAATACAAAAGATCATTCAAGGCTACAATGAACACCTTTATGCACACAAACTAGAAAACCTAGAGGAGATGGATAAATTTCTGGAAATATAAAAGGCACTCATGCAACAATATATATTGAGAGCACACTCTGTAACATGTTCTTAAAGTATATCAAGAAACAACACAGATACCTATGCGCACACACACAAACACACACCTTCCTTACACAAAAAATACTGGTTTAATGGAGTCCACAACCTGGCAGAAAAAAATGGAAAGTAAATAATAAATAGAACATATAAATGGGATACATGATATATTAGAAGGTAAAAAGCAATTTGTCGAGAAAAAATAAAATAAAGTAAGCAGGAGAAGAGTTTGGGGACACATTGCCATTTTAAAGAGCATTACTTAGGGTCAGCCTCATTCGTAGGATAGTATTTGATCTAACACTTGAAGGACATGAGGGAGTTAGTAGTGTGGATATCCGGAGGCAGAACTTTGCAGGCTGAGGAGACTAGCAGTGCATAAGCCCGATGGGTCAGAAAGGTGAGAAGCTAGTGTGGCCAGCATGAGTGGGTTAGAGGGAGACAGAGTACATATAATGTCAAGGAGCTAATGATGGCCAGATCCCACAGGGCATTTTAGACCAATATGAAGACTTAACTTTTACTCTAAGTGAAATGGAAAGTCACTGGAAAATTTTGAACATAGGAATGACATGATCTGACTTAAAGATTCTTCATGTAGAGAGACTGGATAACAGAGGGACAAGGTGATCAGCAAGGTGGTGACCGTAGAAGTCTGGAGAGAGATGCTGATGAGTTAGAATCATGTTGTAAGTGGTGGAGGTAGTAAGATATAATGCAGTTTTGTTATATTTTGAATGTACAACCATCAGGAATTTTTGACAATGAGAAATAGGACATGAGAGAAAGAGATGAGTGAAGGATAATACTAAGATTTTTATTTTGAGACACTGGATGCAGGGGAAGGGTGTAGGAGGAGCAAATGTAGAAGGAAGATCTGGAATTCAGTTTTGGACATCCTGAACTTAAAATGTCAGTTAGACAACCCCAGTGAAACTGTTGCCTCGATCATTGGATATTCCAATCTGGAATGAAGGAGTAAAGTCTGGACTTGTGATATACATTTTAAACCATCAGATTGGATGAGATCAACAAAGGAGTGAATGAAGCTAAAACAAAGAGATGAGTTACAAGAATTGACTCCAAAGTACTTCAACATAAAGGGGTAAAGAAAACAAAGAGAAACTAGCAAAGGAGATTTGGAAGAAGTATTCAGAAGGTAGGAAGAAAGCCAAGGATATATTATTTCAGAAGTAGAGAAGATATTTCAAAAGGTGGAAATAATCAATCAATCATCTCAAATCCTGTCAGTTGGCCAAGTTAGATGAGATCAATGATAATTGACCATTGAATTTGGCAATAAGGAGTCCAATGGTTACCTTAATAAGGCATTTTCTGTGAAAAGGTAGAGGTAAAAACTCAACTACGGAGTGGAAGGAAATGGAACAGCCAGTGTAGAAAACAGCTCTTAGAGGGGTTTTGTTGCACTGGGAAGCTGAGTGAATTAAGAAGGTGCTATTTTAAGATGGAAATAATCCAGGAAAGAGGGATACAAGAGACAGCAGAATTGCTGGAGGAAAACCCTTGAGTGGGCCAAAGGAATTGCCTCTAGATAGGAATAAAAGTTGTCTTTTTCCCCTCTTGAATTCCTTTTGGGATCATTCCACTAGCTTCAACAATGATACATCTCCTTTACTAAAAATGGAGAGGTGGGCTCTCTTTGAATAACTATCAGTATCACAAAATGGTTGATGATTTATCTTTGTTTGTGACATTAATTAAGGAGCTTAGTGGTTATTTCTTGTGAGTGGCAGGAGAAGATATAATGACGGACCAATTAATTCTATTTTTCAAAGCACCATATTCAGACACCAGCTACTACATAGTTGTGTGTTCTGGGTCACAAAATAGACCAGATGGAGACAGTGTGTGTAGATCAGTGCCAAATTCTACATGCAACTGGAAAAATGATTGCAAAGCACTTATTTTGCTAATAGTTTGACAGTATATTTATCTTCACATATATTAACAATTGTTATTATTATGAGCAAATCTAGTATGACTATGGAAACTCTTTTCAAATATTTTCCAGCTTGCCCAGATCACACTTCCATTCCCACAGCAAGATCTTGATATTTCTGATCACATTGCATTTTCCTAACTCCTGCAATTTCTTCCAGTTGCAACTCCTCCCACCCTATTTCAATGTCCTAGTTAAATTTACCATCTGCGGAGCCTTCCATGATCATCACACCAATGTGAACTCTTCTCAAGACTTCTAGAGCTTTTTTTGTATAGCACTCATTCAGCATTTGTAATGTGATACTTTGCTTTAGTTGTGTGTATAATTATTAAAAGTTTTCTCCTACTAGATTCAAAGCCCTTGAAATATAAGAATATAACATTAATTAATATACTCTAAAACCCCTTATCTAGTAAATATTCACAGATATATATACATATATATAAAATAAATGAATGAAGAAAGGAAGAAATACACTTCTATAAAGGTAATGGTGATCATAATTTTGCCAATAATATAAACAAAATCTGCTAAAGGGGCTTGTACAAATAAAATGTGAATTTTATCTGTATAAAATCTCTGGCTTTGGCTAAAGAGAAAGTGCCTAGAATGTCTTATCATCTTTTTTGCATTTCATTTAAGGGAGGATTCATTATTAAAGCACAGTGAGGATAGCTAAGAGCTTTTTATCAAGTTATATTTCAAGCTGATTATTTTCAGCAATTACTGAACTGGGGGGAGGAAGGTGGTGGGGAAGGAAATGTGGTAGAGAGGAAATTCTTTAAAGTAATGATTGACATCAGAAACTGGTTAGATGATCTAAAACAATAACACTTTTCAGCAATAGTGCTCTTCTTTCAGAATCATAAACTAACAGTCAATTGGCGAAGTAGAACACGGGAATTCTCTGAGCTTTCAGAGCCAGTTCTTTCTGTCAGTTACCTGTGGTGTTCATTAGTAGTACCTCCTAGGTCTGCACATGCAATAAGCACTTACTGAGCATTTAGTATGTTCCAGACATTGTTATGAGCACTTTTTAAGATGTATGACATATTTAATCACTGCCACAAATGTATGAAGTAGGAACTGTTACTATCCCATGTTACTGATCCCAGAACTAAGGCAGAGAGATGTTGCATAACCTGTCTAAAATTACAAGGCTTGTAAAAGGCAACCAGCCCCTAAGAGTCTGACCACTGGCCGTACAGGGCCTCAAAGTTTCTGGCAGACTTACTATTCCAAGCAAGTTAGAACAAGCCTGAGCATTTGGTCATAACCAGTCATTCTCCTTTCTCCAAATCAAACCCCTAGTTAATATTAGGGCAAGAGAAGGAGATCTGAGGAGAATAAGCAATAACATAAAATTTAAAAAATTGAGTAAAGTAGAATAAAATAAATTCATTTATTGAGGCTGTGTAAGTAGGGTGCCTAATTTCTCTCCTGTCCATAAGGGGAGGCTTTTACAGGGGTGGGTGATGACAGAGTCAAGGAAGCCTTAGAATGTGTTGTGCATGATTTCCCACAATTTTAGAGGTTGGTAGGTTAGCTAGTCCTGGGTACTTGCAACTAACAAGATTAGAATGTGTGTTTAGTTGTATTTCCCACGTCTCTGCAGAAAAACTTCTTTCAAGGGAAATGTGATGACCTCAATCTTAAAGCAATCACTTTCTTTAGAAAATATTATTATCGAATTAGTCAGGCCTCATTCCCATGGCACTCAATAGGAGGGCAGGATCTTTCACACTTGAATAGTGTGTAATGGGGTCTCCACAGGACAAAAGGAGTTTATTACCAGAAGAATGTTAAAGAGAAGGTATGCTGGATAAAGAAAACCTGTAAATAGCATATAGTCCTTTACATGTATTCCTGGTGAGAAAGGATGAAGGTTTGAAATAAGGGATAATATAAACAGGGGAAGAGGTGCTCAACATCTTAGTCACTAGGTTAAAGCCAATCGGTAAAGTACAATGAGATCCATGCCACACACTCACTAGAATGGTTAAAATAAAAAAGCTGCAAATAACAAGCATTAGCTAGGACGTAGAGAAACTGGAGGCTCATGCATTGCTGGCAGGAAGAAATGGTACAGCCATTTTAGAAAAGAGTTTGTCAGTTTCTTAAAAAATTAAACATATATTCATCACATGACCCAGCAATTCTACTCCTATATATCTAGCAAGAGAAATGAAAACATACGCCCACAAAAAGATAGGTACACAGATATTTATAACAGCATTATTTATAGCAGCCCCAAACTAGAAACAACCAAAATGCCCATCAATGGATACATAGACAGACAAATTGTGGTATAGCCATAAAATGGAATACTATTCAGCAATAAAAAAACAAGGTAATGACACACGTTGCAACATAGCTGAATCTCAACAACATCACGCTAAGTGAAAGAAGCCAGATGCAAAAGACCACCTGATTCTATTTATATGAAATGTCCAGAAAAGGCAACCCATAGAGACAGAAGGTAGTTCCATGGTTGTCAGAGACTCAGCAAGTGGGGATTAATTGCAACTGTGCCCCAGGGAACTTTTGGGGAAGGGAAAGTGTTCTAAATCGGGATTGTGGGGACTGTTGCACAAATGTATAATTTTACTCAAACTAATCAAACTTTACACTTACAATGGGTAGATTTCTGGTTTTTAAATTCGTAGGTTGGTGCAAAAGTTATTGCAATTTTTGCCATTACTTTTAATGGCAATTTCAATATTTCAATAAAGCGATTTTAAAATGATGTCAGGGGAGAAGTGAATAAGATGTATTTGAAAGAAGCAGGAAAAGAAGAATATAGAAGATTCCAGACTCAGTGGCTGGTTTTCTGTGAAGGACAAGTGAGAAGAATTTAAGGTGACTTTGTGGTGATGCTTAACAAATACAAGAATGATACCAAGTAAGTGCTCAAAGAAACAACAGTAAAACTAAGTCTATATGATCCTCTTCATTTTATAAGCAAAGCAACTCTCTTTTTCTAGTCCCTTAAAAGTTTAGGATTGGAAGAAATTTCATGGCTTCATTTTCTTAGCTCTCACCAGAGTCTTGATTCTTTAAAAGAAACACTTCCAGAATGTCTGATACAAAGAAAACTAAGAGCATGTTAATTCTCAGGAAAGGCTCTGCTAGTAAGGGTTATGTTTTATTTTAGGAGCACAGAGGCTAAGATACCTTTAGAAACCTTGGCCCACTGGGGACATAATAAACCTCTTCTTTTTTTAGCCTCTTCCCTGAAGTAATCAAAGCTTCTTCTCACTGTTACATGAGTTAAACAGTACAATATCTCAGAGAGAGAAATTTCTACTTATACATCAGTTAATCCTACCATTTCTGATGATTTAGTTTGGAAGAAAGCTAGCTTTCCCTATGAAGACTAGATTTCAAAAAGGATATTCTTCTAAATTTTTGGTTTTTTGTTCAAGAAAAACTCAGTACCTGACTGCTTTCCCCAAAGCTTCCCCAAGTTAATTTTTCATTAGCCTATGGATGAGTGTAGTCTGACTACAAAGCTACCTAGATGCATTTCTCTACCAATACATTGAAAATAAACTTAGCTTGGAAGATTTGATACAAAATTATTTAGTACAGTTTACAAATAAATAGATGATCTATAACTATAGAGTTTTTAAACATCAGGAGAAAAACATTATATAGGACATAGTTTCATATTAATATTCCCTATCACATAAAAACACTACATATTGGCTCTTTTATTACTAGTATATTTCATGCAATTATTTGAAATCGTACATCATTTTGTTTTGAAATTTATTTTATATTCTGACCAAAAATCAAGGTTGGAAGAAGGAAAAAAAACGAAATGTATTACTAGAAGGTATAAAAACTTCTGTCCTATCCAGATTCATTTTTGAACAAAGGCACACCTTCTGTTTAGGTAGAAATATCCATTTATTCTTCTGAGATGTTGGAATGCTATGGAACATGGTTATACCTGGCAATAATTACCTGCCTTGTCCTTGGCTGGAGGGATCTAGAATCTCCACTTCACCCACTAAGGAGTTACAAGGGTACTTAACTGTTGTTAGTGAGCAGAACCAAATTTTGATTCAAGCCACTTACTAGAAATTGAGCAACAACAAATTTCTGGTCTTAATAATTCCTACATGAACTCTACAAGATAAGTCTTGAATGAAGTCCTACCATCTTCACCCATTTTCTTATCAGGTGACCAGTTATAAGGTCTTGAAAGATAACTATTATTCCTTTACACTGGAATTTTCCTAAACAGTTTGAAAACTATTTTCCTATCTATATGTAACATTTGGCTTTTCTGAATAAGTATAAAATGATAGAAGGAAGCTCTTCTAAGTTTCCCCAACTTCTCTTCTCTTCATAAATCCATGAGTAAGTTACAAATTTTTTTAACGCCTTCAAACATCCAAGAGAAGTGTATCTACCAGTTTAATATGCAGGTATCAAGGATAATAGAATCTTGTAACTTAAGGAACAATGTAGATGAAAAAGTCTCCAAATGCAATCTCTCTCAGGTAACAAGAAGAACAGAAATTTCCAGGTCACTAAATTTGGTGGGAAACTCAAAATAAGGCTTTTGCCTTTAGTTTACAGAAATAAGACTACAGATGTACTTCACTTTAAGAAAATCCAATATACATGGAACTTTATCTAATTCAAGCAATGATTACTCAAATTACAAAATGATTCTTTCCTTCACATGGAAAGTTTCCAGTAGATGTTCGTTACTGATCATTTCTTGAGAGAGAGGCTGGTCAAAAGAAGACAGAGAAGTTCAAAGCTAAGATAAATAGGAAATTAGACATCATTGCTCATCGAAGATAAATTTGAAGTAAAGATGAAATGCCTCTGAAATTAGACCATGAACAATTAGAAACACATTTTGATGAATAAAAAATGGGATTTGCTGTAACCATTTTATAAAATGAGGCACATCCAGAAGGTCTTCCTTTTTGTAACAGTATCTGCACCATTGCCTCTTGCCTCTCCCCAAACAACTGTTAATAACTTGGTCCCAGGAAAAGCGATACTATATTTCTAGCTTGTGTGGTGGGACTGGTTGCCTAGCATTGCAGTAAATTTTACACAACAGTTGGCAGATGGATCAGACTAGCTCGGCTAAATGAATTAAGCAATCACGTAATACTGCAGGGCATACTAAGGAGGAATGTCTAAATTAGAGCACTTGATACTCCCTTCTCACAGTCCCACTTCCCCCTGTATAATGCTTTGGCTGAACAGGCTGTAATTTGATATTAAACAAGGTTCTTATTAAGTAGATACAATGAAATAATGCTGAGTTTTTGTTGCATTAGTGGAGTTAAATGCATTTTATTAGCACTCATTAGGAAGAGGAAAAACTTGGAGCTAAGGATTCATTAGCCAAAAGCGGCCCCTGTGAGGCAGAGCGATTAGACTGCTTGGGGCCAGAGAACAGGATCCGGGCCACACACAGCAGATTCTGGAAGTGTGTCCTCTCTCCTCCATGACTAAAATATCTGACAGTTTGGGAAAGAAATGTTAGGTCCAACTGCAGGTCAGCTGAACATATGCGCTTCTTTCGAGAGCTGTTAATTTGACAAAAGGCAGAAGCCCCAGAAAGAAAGCACAATTATGATTTACATTTTAGATCTGAAAGGAAGTTGTTTACTTTAGGAATGGGGAAAAAATGCTACCAGCAATTCAATTTTGAAAGACATATCATGAAAATTGCTTTTATCGTATTTTGTTTTTAGGAGAAAAACACATCAAGTGGAAACATTTATAAACAAAATAAACTTTATTTCTTAAGCTTCTCATTAGGAAGACTCACCACATAAGAAGAAAATCTTCACAATTTAGCCAATGTGAGTAGTCTGACTCAACCATGGCTTAGGTTCTGCTTCTAAGTGACTTTGCATACTGCCTCTTCAAGGCCTCCTCAGCAGCAACTTACATATTCTGCTCTTATCAATACTCGGAATACACAGGGAGAAGGGATGGGCCCAAAGGGAGTTAAGTGAGATGCTTACACACACATATGCACACACACACACACACACACACACACACACATGCACATACCCCTCATTGCTTTGACATGAAAGTTTTTCCCAAAAGTAAAATGAATGATATTTTGAACAGCTATCCTCATTTGATTAAAATTCACTAAACAATTTTGAGATGAAGGGTTATATGATAAATTTTAAATAATCCTGGAAATTCAAATTTTGGGAGTTTGATTGTCCTGTCGTATCTCTGTGACATAACTGCATGCAGTGGCCAATTCTGTGAAATGTGTCCAGCTACTAGCCTAATATTAACTCTTATTACATTTCTACTCACAAATTTTTGTCTCTTGGATTCTACTTTCTCATACCCATCATCTGATGGAGATCTACCTCTGGCTTTTCTACAAACCTAGTAGATTCCAAACTAACTCCATCATCGACCCTCCCAGGGACCTCCTCTTCTCCCTCTTTTAATGCCACTACCATCCTTGCAATCATTTACGTGTGAAACCTTCACATCCTTATTTTTCTTACTTCTCACACGCAATTGTCTTACTAATCCCTTGGATTCAACCTCTGCAACACACTCACATTCATCTTCTCTTATAAGTCATATCTTCTTCAGTTGTCATTTGGACTATTGCCATGGCCTTTACAATGGAAAGGCCTTCCATCTCTATTATTCCCCATTACACTGCGTTATGCACGCTGACATCAAATTAATCTTCCAGGAGCACAGTTCCAAATGATTGGTTTTCTTGCCTGAAATCTTCAGGGGTTTCTATTTTCACAATCTATAAAACAAGCATGATATAATCTATTACAGAGTTGTAGAGTTCAAGCAAGATACCACATCAAGCCCTCTACTCAGAAGTCATCACATACATAGTCAGTGCTCAGTAAAATATTAAGTGTTTTCCACACTCTTTCTTTTGACCAAACTAAACTCTTTATGGCTTTCTGTACATGCCACCCATAATTCATTCTTCTTTACCTGTTCTTATTCAATTCTCCTCAATTGGAATACAGTGCCATCAACTACTCACATTTCAATTCTTTTCATCCTCTGGGACTCAGCTCTCTGTGAAACTTATTATCATCTCTGTTTTCAATATTTATGGCACTTCAGTTAGCATTCTTTAGCTATTCTTGTCATTTTCTTATCAGTTTGCTACATGCTGAAAGTTAAGGACAGAATTTGTATCTATTTTCTCATAATGACTCTCAAAGATCTCATAACTACATTATGGAGCCCTGTACAATTCAAGGAATCTATTCTTGCCTCTCTCCTCTAACTTCATCTTATGATCTTATGTCTGTGCAGAAATGGAGTGCAGTGGAACTTGAAATGAAATAAACTTTGTGTTGATAAAGTGGCACTTTATGCTCAGATGCTCACGCTAATGTGCACAAGTCAAGTATATATTTTCTTCCCATTCTATCAACTTATATTAGCAGTTCAACATAAACAGCCAAGTCTTCCTTAAGATGTTATAGAAAGTATATTTTGGTTATTGCCTTGTATTTTTTTAGATCAAGAGGTAACTATAAAAGCCAATTTGTTTTCATGTCCATTTATGTCCCCTTTTAACTCCCTTTGGCATGGGCATGTACCAGCCATATCCTCTGTGTGCACATCATATAACTGTGGTCTCTAGAACAGACATACTCATGAAGATATTCAGACTGTGCTCGCTGAGCAATGAAAAACACTCTAGAGTTTTCCATTGAAAATCCTTGATTCTGGCCAGGCGCGGTGGCTCACGCTTGTAATCCCAGCACTTTGGGAGGCCGAGGCGGGTGGATCACGAGGTCAGGAGATTGAGACCATCCTGGCCAACATGGTGAAACCCCGTCTCTACTAAAAATACTAAACCCCGTCTCTACTAAAAACTTAGCCGGGAGAGGTGACGGGCGCCTGTGGTCCCAGCTACTCAGGAGAATGAGGCAGGAGAATGGCATGAACCCAGGAGGCAGAGCTTTCAGTGAGCCAAGATTGCGCCACTGTACTCCAGCCTGGGCGACAGAGCGAGACTCCGTCTCAAAAAAAAAAAAAAAGAAAAAAAAAAGAAATCCTTGATTCTATAAATCTATTTTGTTATTTAGTCTAAAAAACAATTATTGATTTGTATTTACAAAAAGGAATAATTTCAAAACATGGCAATAGGGAAGTGGTACAAATAGAAGTAACACCAACAAGTTATGCTCTCTGAATGGTTATTATATCAGGTGTTCTGCTTCTGGTTTTAATGAATCTTCAAAATACCTGTAATAGGTATGCCAGATAAGAAAGCTGACTCTTAGAAAGTTTAAAACATTTGAGAAGGAAATAAAACTCATTTTATTGAATAATGAGATAATGTATGGACAATATGATGATAGTAGAGTAGTATTCAATGACTTGGACAAATGTTTACTCGATAGTATTATATGAAAAAATAAAGCTGATTATAAAACAATTCTATGACTCCACAATATATACAAAATATATTTAAAAAGGAAGGCTAGACAGATAACATATCAAAATATTGCAAGTGCTTATCTTTGAGTGATGAGACTACATCGACTTAATTTTTTGGTATTATTGTTATTATTATGTGCTTCAGCATATTTTCTAAATTTTTGTAAGGATGATACGTTATTTTTGTATGAAAAAAAGAAATAAGACCAGTTTTTATTTGCCTGTTGCCCATATGTATATATGTGTGATTTTAATTAAGGAAACATATGAAGGATTGATGCCGTTTGTATCACTCTAAATCATTCTAGACCAGCACTTTGGTTGTACGGGTAAAATGTTGAAAAATACTCTGAGCCCAAGGCTGACTCTTCTAGAAAGACTCAAGATTGTGCCTGGGGTGTGTGCCCTTCATGACTTTTTCCATAATGGTTTCTAGCCAGAGACTCCCATCCCCCGCTACTTTTGCCACAACCCCAGGGAACTCTAAAAGCAGATGCAGGGAGCTCTGATGGCTCTTTCTAGGCAGGTGACAGGTTCTCAAACATTTCCCTACCTTCCCAGAGCCCCCTTCAACTGTTGCTCCAGATGACACAGGGTTTCCTGGCCTGCTTCCCTCATTAAGAGGCAATCTTATACCAGACTCAGTGACACTGAGGCCAGCACAACCAAATGATTGAGTTAGACAGCTAATGGTTCCCTTCCAAGAGTCAGGTCCAAATATAGTTATAAAAAAAGAAAGAAAAAAGAAAGAAAGAAAAGAAAGAAAGAAAGAAAGAAAGAAAGAAAGAAAGAAAGAAAGAAAGAAAGAAAGAAAGCAAGCAAGCAAGCTTCTGGTGTAATCTTACAGGAGAGGACTAGAAGTTGCTGTAACACACTGAGCAGCAATGCTAGCCATGAGTGCCTGTGGCAAACTGCAACACTTTTATTCATTTTATTTGTTTGTTTTAATACAAAAATTTCAAAGAAAATAAGTTTTATAAATCCCCAACATGGCCAGCATTGCATTCCTAACATGAAGTTCCCACAATGAAGAAGAATAAAAAAAGAATAAACCAAAGGTTGAGTCATTGGTATAAAAGCAGACACACAGACCAATGGAACAGAAGAGGGAACCCAGAAATAAATTCGTCGAATTTCAGCCAATTGATTTTGACAAAGGTGTCAGGAACATACAACTGAGAAAAGACATGTTCATCAATATGTAGTGCTGGGGAAACTGGATATTCATATGCAGAAGAATAAAACTAGACCCCTATTTCTTACCATATACAAAAATCAAATCAAAATGAATCAATGACTTAAACATAACACCTGAAGTTATAAAGCTACTAGAGGCCGGGCACGGTGGCTCATGCTCGTAATCCAGCACTTTGGGAGGCCGAGGTGGGTGGATCATTTGAGGTCAGGTGTTAGAGACCAGCCTGGCCAACACGGTAAAACCTTGTCTCTACTAAAAATACAAAAATTAGCCGTGCGTGGTGGCATGCACCTGTAGTCCCAGCTACTCAGGAGGCTGAGGCAGGAGGAGAATTGCTTGAACCCGGGAGGCGGAGGTTGCAGCGAGCCGAGATCGCGCCACTGCATTTCACCCTGGGTGACAGAGCGATACTCCGTCAAAACAAACAAACAAACAAAAGCTGCTAGAAGGCTCAACACTTTGGGAGGTCGAGGTGCAGGGATCACCTGAGGTCTGGAGTTCGAGACCAGCCTGGCCAACATGGTGAAACCCATCTCTACCAAAAAATACGAAGATTAGCCAGGCATCGTGGCAAATGCCTGTAGCGCAGCTACTGGGGAGGCTGAGGCACGAGAATCACTTGAACCTGTGAGGCAGAGGTTGCAATGAGCCGAGATCGTGTCATTGCACTCCAGCCTGGGCAACAAACTGAAACCCTCTCCTCACACCCCAACCCCCAGAAAAAAGCTACTAGAAGAAAACATAGGAGAAACATTTCAGGAATTTGGTCTAGGCAATGATTTTATAGCTAAGTCTTACATAACATAGGCGACGAAAACAAAAATACACAAATAGGACTATATTAAACTAAGAAGCTTCTGCACATCAAAGGAAATAATCAAGAGTGAAGAGATAACCTGTAGAATGGGAGATAATATTTGTAAACTACTCATTCAATCAGAAACTAATATCCAGAGTATACAAGGAACCCAACTCACCAGAAAATAATAATCACAATAATCTCATTAAAAAGTGGGCAAATAATCTGAATAGGCATTTTTCAAAAGAACACATAAAAAATGACCAACAAGCATATTAAAAAATGCTCAATATCACTGACATCAGAGAAACGCATGTCATCTCACCTCAGAATGGCCATTACCAAAGACAAAAAGTAACAAATATTGGCAAAGATGTGGAGATGAGGGAACTCTTAAACCCTGCTAATGAGAATGTAAATTAGTACAGCCATTGTGAAAAATGGTATTCAGGTTTGTCAAAAAACTAAAAACTATCATATGATCCAGCAATCTCACTACTGGGTATCTATTCAAAGGAAAGGAAGTCAGTATATCAAAGGGATATCCACACTCCCATGTTTATTGCAGCATCATTCACAATAGCCAAGATATGGAATTAACCTATGTGTTCATCAGTGAATGAATGGATAAACAAAACGTAGTATTTGTACACAATGGAATACTATTCAGCCATAAGAAAGAATGAAATCCTGTCATTTGCAGCAACATGGATGGAACTGTGGTCATCATGTTAAGTGAACTAAACTAGTCATGGAAAGACAAATATTACATGTTCTCACTCATATTTGGGAGCAAAAATAATTGATCTCATGGAAGTAGACAGTATAATGATGGTTACTACAGATTGAGAAGGACTGGGGGCAATGGGAGATGAAGAGAGGCTGGCTAATAGGTACAAACATACAGTTAGATAGATAAGTTCCACTGTTTAATACTACAGTAGTGTGGTCATAGTTAATAATAATGTATTATATATTTTATAATAGAAGAGGTTTGAAATGTTTCCAACACAAAGAAATGATAAATGTTTGAGTTGATGGATATTCCAATTACCCCAATTTGATTATTATACATAAAATATAAAACTATTATTTACCAGTAAAAATAAGAGTTTAGCAACAACAGCAACAAATGGGCTAAAAATCTGAATAGATATTTCTCCAAAGAAAATGGTCAATAAACACGTGTAAAGATGCTCAACATCATTAGCCATCAAAGAAATACAAATCAAAATCCCAATTAGATGTGACTTCACACCCTCAAGGATGTCTATCATCAAAAAGACATAATGACAAGTGGTGCTAAGAATGTAAAAAATTCAAACACTCATATATTACTGGTCACAGTGTAAATTGGTATAGCCTCTTTGGCAATCAGTTTGGCAGTTCACCCAAGGCTAAACATAGAGTTACCATATGACCCAGGAATTCTACTCCTAGGTATATACCTGAGAGAAATGGAAACATATGTTCACACAAAAACTTTTACACAAAGGTTCATAGCAGCATTATTCATAAGATCCCAAAAGTGGAAACAACCCAAATGTCCATCAACTGGTGAAGGGAAAAATAAAATGTGGCATATCCGTATAATAGAATATTATTAAACAATTAGAAGCAATGAAATACTGATACAGGCTACAACATAGATGAAAGTTGAAAACATTATGCTAAGTGAAAAAAGCCAGTCACAAAAGTCTACATGATTCCATTTATATAACACGTCCAGAATAGGCAAACATATAGAGGTAGAAAGTAGATTACTGGTTGTCTAGGGCTTGGGGTTGCAAGAAAATGGCAGTAAATATTAAAGGCTACAGGATTTCTTTTTGGTGTGATGAAAATTTTCCAAAATGTACTGTGGAGAAGGTTTCACAAGGAATATCCTTGATGAAGTTGTAAAAAATTATTACATTTTATTAAATATTGACCCTCAAATACAAATTGTTAAAATAGATAATAAACTAAGAGCTATGTATAAAGCACTTCTGCAGCATAATGAAGTATGATGGTTATTTCAAAGAAAGGCAACTGTGTGATGGAGTTGAAAGAACGGACAAACTGCAGTTATTCAGAGTTGAGTACTTGGTAGACAAGTTTTTAGAAAATTGATGAAATGAGGCCATCACTTCAAAGAAATCATTGACAGTATTTGTTGCCAATAATAAAATCTGAGCTTTCAAGAGAAAATTAGAATTTTGGAAAACTTACATCTACCAATGTGTGCTTGATGACTTCCCAATGCTTAAAGGCTTTTTCTGATGAGATGAGTGAAGATATTCATGAATAGAATTTTTTAAAGTTGTATAATGAAATATGATAACATTTACAATATTTGCCTAAGGTAACTAATAATTTCCATATGACCAATGCATGATGTTACACAATCCAACATGGGTACAAGATTTGTTTAAAGTGCAAGATTTTAAAAAATGGATTTTAATGAAATAGAGTACAAAAATTTCATGCACATTGCCACACTGAAACTAACCTTTGAGACATTGTTACTTGTCAAGTTTTGGTGTAGTATCAAAGAAGATTATACACAACCATCTGAGGGGATATTAAAAGACTCCTCTTTTTCAACCACGTATCTGTCTGAAGCAAGCTTTATGTTAGCCAAAATATATAGCAACAGATTGAATGCAAAAGAGCATAGGAGAATTTATTTGTTTTTTATTAGACCAGGTATTAAAGAGATTTGCAAAAATTATGAAACATGCCATTCTCACATTTTTGGTATTAGAAGATGTAACTTTTTAATACAATGGCATTACTTAACATGTAATGTGTTTAGAATTGTTTTAAAATTAATAAGTACATAATTTAGAATTTTCTTAGTTTTAATTTCTAATGTCATCAATATTTTTAGATATAACCAACACAAACAACAGCTTTTTCAGGTCCTGAATAAATTTTAAGATGGTAAAGGAAAAGTTTAAAAACTGCTGTTTCTCATTGTTTCTGTGTTCCACAGGAACATTCCTTTCAAGCTGCTCACAGGGGTAACTTTCTTGATAACTCACATTTATGGACTTACTTCACTTC
This sequence comes from Homo sapiens, assembly GCF_000001405.40. Taxonomy (NCBI): domain Eukaryota; kingdom Metazoa; phylum Chordata; class Mammalia; order Primates; family Hominidae; genus Homo; species Homo sapiens. The sequence continues at coordinate 221,450,257 of NC_000001.11, read as the reverse complement.
CCTGTCTCACTTCTCCATTCCAAGACCACAATTTCTGGGATTAACTTCCAAATAAATAACTTATATGAAAATCCTTATCTTGGGATCTACTTTTGGAGAAACCAAATGAAAAGAAGCCCTTCCTTAGAACCCTTGCTTTTTCAAGACATAGTTTAACAGCAATTGAGTTTCATTCTTTTATTTCACAGAAGGGAAACAGAAAGTGAGATAGGTAAAATGACATAACCAGGAGCATACACATCGTTTATCTGACTCAACTGACTCACATCATTTTCATCAGCCACAGCCTTCTTAAATCAATACGGTTCCAAGGCCCACCACATCTACTCATCATTGCCTTTCCCATCACCACCATACAACATGGGAGAATAAGCATACTCATGCCACGTGTATTCCCTTTCATATTTGTCTCCATATTTGAAGTGTCTTTTTTTGCAATATCCTTGGGGATCTAGAGCATGAGACTTCTTTCTGCTTGCAACTCTTGTTTTATCATCAGTAATTTCATAAATTCTAAATCCTGGGGGCTCTCCCATACCTGTGAGGTACAGGAGGATAAAGAGATGTGTACAATACGGCTTCTCCATAAAATCTCATATTCTTCTTGTCATGCAAGATGCATGTGGTACCATGTTCTAATCTTAGGTAATTTATCCATCGGATTCTTTTACTTTCTTTGTTCTTCTATTTTCCCTTTGGACTATACTCTGCTTAAGATTTTTAAAGATCAATCTAAGGGTCTTTGTGATTGAGATAATAACAGAGAAAAGCATAACCAACCTTGACTTCTTTTGTTTCTCTGGACTTTTTTGTTTTGTATTGTTTCATGTGCAGACTCCTGATAGCTAACATTAGATTGGTGCAAAAGTTATTGCGGTTTTTGCCATTGCTTTCAGTGGCAAAAACTGCAATAACTTTTGTATCAACCTAATATTTATTGATCACCCATTCGATGTCATGTTTATCCTCCATACAGTTTGCAAGGGATGCAGCTGGAATACTTGTCAAGGGTTCTGACCCCAGAGATCATGCCATTAGCCTTTCATTGTCAGAATGACTAAGATTCGCCAGCCTAGACCCTGCTGCTTTTATTTCTTTAAGCCTGAGTGACCATCCTGATACTTTTCTCAAACTTCAAAAAAAAATTTGATATTCGATTCTCCCCATCTGGGTCATTTGGCAGCTAATTTCAAGTTCAGTTGTTTCCAGTCTTTGGATTTTCATCCCGATCTGGCCGCGTCACCTAAAAGATTTTTATAAAGTGAACTATTTATGTATTCTAGAATTATTCACTACTAATAAGACAACACTACAATACTCTTGTCAACTATAAAAAGAGTAGAAATTGTTCTTTAATTTAAAAAATGTGAACTGTGTCAACTTTCTTTGGACTTGGTCTTTTAAAAGTGACTTGGGATTAGAGCTCTGAATAGAATAACTATGCTGGAAGCAAACACAGCACTCTTTCTACAAGACTCCTCTCGGAAGCCAAGAATTTTATGTGTTCGGCAGAGGTTTATATTATACTCGAGAGTTCACAACAGGCTTCATTGGCATGCCAACCACAGTGGCAGACCCCCTTTTTTTTTTTTTCTTGTGAGCTCAGGGCATTATAAAGAAGAAATAATACACAATAATTAAAAACTTCTGAGATTCCTGTTTGAAACCTATGGACAAATATTATTTCCAACAATTGGAGCAGAGCATTTTATTTCCAAAAAATGTCTGAAGACAAGCCACTTTTGTTCGGATAAAAAAACCAACCAACAAGCATAATCATTTGAGCTACTCTTTGTATCATGCTTTGTTGAGTATACTTAGAACTGCTGAACAGGACACACATGAATATACAGAATGACCCAAGAACTGAGTTGCCTTGGGAATGGGAAATAAGACACGTTACTAGTGCATGCTAGGATTAGGATGAAGTGGTGTGTATTTCTTAGTTTTAATGGCAATATTGTGGGTTGGGTTTGGATAAAATCCCCAAGTGAAAAATTCTGATTCCAAGCTTAACTGAGCACTTTATTTTAATTATTATATTTTTATTTTTAATACACTGTATTTTTTTCCTTCCGATTATAGGTTAAACACTCATTCATTCACTCTTCATTCTTTTAATAGTTTTGAGTAGCTTTTATGTGCCAGTCATGGGCTAAATCTTGAAATATTAACTTAAACAAGATAGAGTCCTTGCCATTAAAATGCTTACAATTTAGAAAACATATGCTTCTGGAAGAAAATATGAAATGTTTTTAAAAGAATGAGAAAGGAACATTTTAAGAGTAATTCTGGTTTGACTGCCTATAACTGCATAATGTGCCGTTATGCGACGGTGGCTGGAAAGTCACTCACATAGCTGACAATTGACGCTGGGTGTTGAATGGGAAGCTTAACTTTGGCTATTGGCCTAGGGCCTCAGTTCTTCTACATGTGGGCCTCTCCAAGGGCTACCTGTGTCTCCTCACAGCATGCCACCCAGATTCTACAAGGCAGGAAGTAGACATTGATCATCCTTTTAAGATTTCAATTCAGAAGTTTCAGAATATTATTTCTGCCGCATTCTGTTGACCAAAGGAAGTTACAAGTTTGGCCCAGAATTCAAAGGCAAATACATGCAAAAAATAAATAAATTTAAAAAAGAGGAATTGTCAGGGGATGTCTTTGGATGCTAACAGCCACAAGTGTATTATTAAGGAGTGAAACATGTGTTGGACTTCTAACCTTCTAGAACTGTAAGGACTCATGTGATTAGGTTGGATTCACTAAAATAATCAAGGGTAATATCCCCATCTCAAAGTCCTCAACCTTAATCACAACTGCAAAGTTCCTTTTGCATGTAAGGTGAGATATTCACAGGTCCTAACATTAGTATGGAGAAATCTTTGGGGAAACCATTATTTTGCCTAAATTACTTCCCTTAAAATATAATCAAACCAAAGTTACAATACTACATTTACTTTCTTTGTTTGTCTAGTGCTCTCCCTTCTTCGTGCAATTATACAAGTTCATGCATCTCAATTCCACCCTGCTTCAAGGCACAAATTAAATCTGACTGCCTCCACGAAGTCTTCCTCAATTATTTTATTCTTTGTTGATATTCTTCTCCCTGGAGCTCCTTTCATACCTGATCTATTTTGTCAGGAAATGGCCCTCTTCATTTCATATGTGTTATTTGGTTCTTCCCAAGATTTGTCTGCCCCTTACAGGGAAGGAAGGGAACATGCCCAAAAATAGCACCCTGTCCTAGCTCGTCTGTGTTCATGCTTCAAATTAGTAAAAGCTTCCTTACTGCTCTCCATGACTTTAATCTCTTAGTATTTAAATCCTTCCTACACATTTCAATTTTAAAATGCTCTCTAAAATGCCCTTCCAGTTATATCACATTTCCACTCAATATTTTACAACGTGTCCTATTGCCTTTATACTAAGAATAAAACTCTTTAGTCCTTCAGTCAATGCCCACCTACTCTGTGGTTAGAACCCTTCTCTCCTAACATATAACCTATTCATCACCCAAAATAGCATTCTGAAGAGATGTTTTCTCTTGTACCCATAGAGGGAGGGAGAGAAAGGGAGGGAAAGAATACAAATTATTTGCTATTTCCTTCCCTCTCTCCCTTCCTTCCTTCCTTCCTTCCTCCTATTTAAAATATGGATATCTAGTTGTTCCAGCGCCAGTTTTCAAAACATTATCCTTTCTTTATTCTCCATTAAGTTACTTTGGTTTCTTTGTTGAAAAACAATTGTTCAAATATGTGAGTTACTATTTTATGACTCTCTATTCTGTTTTACTGATCTACAGCTCTATCCTTATGTCTTAACCATATTGTCATGATTATTATAGCTTTATAATAAAACTTGAAATCCTATGACATAAGAACTCCAACTTTGTTTCTTTTTTAAAACTATTTTGGTCATTTTGTGACTGGACACACTAGCTCATGCCTGTAATCCTAGCACTTTGGGGAGACTGAGGTGGGAGGATTGCTTGTGGCCAAGACTTCAAGACCAACCTGGCCAAGATAGTGAGACCCTATCTCATTAAAACAAACAAACAAACAAAAACTATTTTGGTCATTTTGGGTCCTTTGTACTTCCTTATAAATTCTTAAATCAGCTTAGCAATTCTACCAAAACAGAAAACAAACAAATAAGCAAAAACACCTCTTTCTGGGATTCTGATTGTGATTGCATTGAATCTATAGATCAGTTTGAGCAGAATAGACATTTTGATAATATTGAGTCCTTCAATTCATGAGGACTCATTTGTTTGGGTCTTCTAATTTCTCTTTGCCATGATCTATAGTTTCCAGTGTATGATTGGCTTTTTGTATCTCAGGATTCCGCATCTGCAGAATCAACAAACCATGGATCAAATATATCTGGAAAAATAGCAATAAAACAGTAAAAAATAGTACACATAGAAATACAGTATAACAGTTAAGTAGCAGTTACATTGTATTAGGTATTATAAGTAATATAGACATGATTTAAAGTATACAGGAGGATGTGCATAGGTTACATACAAGTGCTATGCCATTTTATGTCAGAGACTTGACTGTCCTTGGATTTTGTTATCCACGGGGGTCCTGGAACCAATCCCTCATGGATATCAAGGGACAAGACTGTATATGTCATGTGTATATTTTGGTAGCTACATAAAATGAAGTTGAAAAGTGTTCTCTTCTGTTTTCTAGAAGAATTGTGTGGAGTTGGTATTCCTTATTCCTTCATTGGTAGAATTCAGGGATCAGAAAACTTCTTTTAAAAAAATCAGATAGCATATATTTTAAGCTTTACAGGCCAAACCATCTCTGCCACAACTATTCAATGCTGCCATTGTATTGTCTATGACAATACAAAAATGAATAAGCATGGCTGTGTTTCTACAAAACTTCATTTATGGGTACTGAAATTTGAATGACATAACTTTCAGATGTCAAGAAATACTATTTTTTTTCAATTACTTCCCAACCATTTAAAACTGTAAAAACTCTCCTTTGTTTGTTGGTTGTAGAAAAACGTGTTGGGCCACATTTGGTCCACAGGTCAGTTTGCCAACCGCTTGTATTCACCAATGAAAGCATTCTGGGTCTGGGGTTTTCTTAGAGGAAGATTTTTAATTTTACATTCAATTATGTAATAGATGTATGGTTATTAACGTTATCTATTTTTTTGAGTAAGAATGAGTACTTCATATTTTCCAAGGAATAGAATGAAAATACACCTGGTTGTTTATTTTTATTAGCCAGAGTCCTTGTTATAAAATTATAAAATATATTCTTCATTTTTTCAATAATAGCTTTTCTTGACTTCCTTAATAAAAAGTTCCTTCATATCATCCTACTTTATTAAGTAAAAATGTTAGTAATTTAACTTATTTATTGTATTATATTTTATTTTATTATTTATTTATTTATTTGAGATGGAGTCTCGCTCTGTCGCTTAGTCTGGAGTGCAGTCGCGCTATTTGGGCTCACTGAAACCTCAGCCTCCTGGGTTCAAGCAATTCTCCTGCCTCAGCCTCCACAGTAGCTGGGGCTACAGGCATGCGCCATCACACCTGGATAACTTTTGTATTTTTAGTAGAAATGGGGTTTCACCATGTTGGCCAGGTTGGTCTCGATCTCCTGACCTTTGGTGCTCTGCCAGCTTCAGCCTCCCAAAGTGCTAGGATGACAGGCGTGAGGCACCGTGCCCGGTCTTAACTATTTTATTTTTCAGTTCACAGATGAGGGGAACATAATGTGATGAAAGAACACCTGGAAAACAGCCAGGATGCTGGAATTTTAGTCTTAGAAGCTAGTGACTTTGGGCAAGTCATCAAATATGCATCGTCCTCTGTTTCCTTACTCATAAAAGTGGACATTGAGAAAGGTGATCAATGAGTTCTTCATCAGCTCTAAAGTCTGTACTGCTGCTTCTGTACATCTCTGTTAATATATTTGGAAACAGAACAAACACTATGGCAGAAGTCACACCTACCATGCCGGCTGCTGAGAGGATTGAATGAGTCTGCAGCTCACATGGATAAGGGCCTGGTCCCCAGTAACCACTGCATAAGATCTACCTAGTATTCTATTCAGTATTTCATTAATCAAGTCTTACCTGATTTATGTCTTTGGTTATTAATTTCCCAATTTGTAAAATGAAGTTCTTGGATTAAATGAATATTAAATGTACCACCACCGAAAATTGCTTTGATTTTCCTCACTCAAGCGATTCATATTTTTAAAGATTCTACACCTTCCAAAATTGCATGTATTGAATAATAATTTTATTATTCTCCCACTTTAAATACTGACCATCATGCATAGATAAATATTTTACTCTGGTTTTCCACCCCAAGTGTTAAGATCAGAATGTTTAGAGCCTTCAAAAACAAGGGCTGAGGTGGAGCTGGTCATACAGAGACCTATCAGCTGAGGAGTCTCCCATGGGGATGATGGGAAGTGTGCTGTTATTTCTTGTACCCTAGGACTAAGGGCAGTAGAAGGGAAATGACTGATCTAATTTTTTTTGGGGGGGGACGGAGTCTCGCTCTTTCACCCAGGCCAGACTGCAATGATTTATCTAATTTTTTTAAAGGAAATTTTTTTAATTCTAATGTGCACACTGCAAATTGAAGCTAATTATTAAAACTTTTGCTTTTTCTTATATAAAATTAAAGCCTGCTTGTTGTAGAAAAGCGCAAAGGTGAAAACTTCACCCAGGAACACCTACAGTGCTCAGGCAGGTAATCAAAATATACACAAAGTGAGTAGGTCCTTGGAGAATAGTGTAAAGAGGGGTAACAGAACAGAAAAGGTTAAGTGAACAAAAATGTCCAGAAGTCAAACGCAACCTTAAGCTGTCAGTTTGTAATCTCTCATTTAAAACCATCATAATTTCTTCAGTCATAGACTACCGCTGTTAAAAATATAATGTGGGCTGAGAGCGGTAGTTCACTCCTGTGATCCCAGCACTCTGGGAGGCAAAGGCAGGTGGATCACGAGGTCAAGAGATCCAGACCCTGGCCAACATGGTGAAACCTCGTCTCTACCAAAAATAAAAAAATTAGCTGGCCGCAGTGGCACGTGCCCGTAGTCCCAGCTACTCGGGAGGCTGAGGCAGGAGAATCGCTTGAACCCGGGAGGCGGAGGTTACAGTGAGCCGAGATCGTGCCACTGCACTTCAGTTTGGTGACAGAGCGAGACTGCATCTCAAAAAAAAAAAAAAATGTAATGTGTGTTCTTTCAGTTCTTTACCTATACACATAATAGTATGTTCATATATGTTTAACTTTGTAACAGAAATGATAACCTAATGAACATTTTTTCCTAGGTTAGTTTATTTAATATACCATGAGCATTGTTTCATAAACACACTATTTTAATGGCTGCACAATTCTTTTTAACACACGCCTTTATTCAATGATTTCCTCTTTGGGGACATTATGTTGCTCTCTTCCAAATGTGCCTAAATGTCCAAATAAACATCTGAAAGTCTTTGAGGTAACCTGGTTCCAAAATGGTTATTCCTATAGCTTTTCACTTAGATCTGTGTGGACCCTTGAAAGCTGGGTGGTCTCTTAGAGGCAGAAGGTTCCCAGAACCTGAGGTGCTGTCTGGTCTGGGATTTATGAAATCAGCGTCTTGCTGTTTGTTAACACACAAAGTGTGTGCTGATGGAAGGATGCCACATCACATTTATGTTTTGTCACCAAACATGTAGTGTTTGATTAAAAAATTGGGAATTGATCAAGCATGGAAAACATTAACTTACATTTTACCTGAAGTTTTCTTGATATAACTTTGAATTTTATTTAAAGTAGAATAAAAATGTTCCCATAGCAAAGTACCGTCACTTCAAATAAACCTTTTCCTTTCCACTTTCTCAGCAGAACCACTGCAGCAATTGCCAGCTATTTGGTGAGTCCCTTCTCTCTCTGCTCCTAATCTGCTCCTCATTGTTCTGAAAACAGTTCCATGACCATGTCACTCTTTTGTTCACTGACCATCAATGGTTCCTCACTGTTCACAGAATAAAGCTCCATTTTATAGATAGGCATTCAAGGCATTTCACTTGAGGCTCTAAACTGCTTTTGCCACCTCATTTTCCATGTTCTCCTTCATAAATTGTTTGCTATAGTCAAACTGACTAATACGAAAAACTATCTTTAACCTCCGCCTGCATGTATTAAGTGGATTTTCTTAAATACCTACAACAACCCTGAAAAGTGCAATTGTTATTTTTAGTCTGTATATGAAGAACCAGTGCATAAGGGAAAGAGGTAGGATTTGAACCCTGAGTTTTTCCACTATGCCCATTTTTTTCCATTTTTTATTGTGGTAAAATACACATAAAATTTACAGTTTTTACCATTTTAAGTGTACAGTTTAGTGTTACTAAATACATTCATAATGCACATCCATCACCCCATCCATGTCCATAAATTTTTGTCCTGTAAAACTAAAATTCTATACCCATTAAACAATGACTCCTCTTTCTCTCCTCCCCTACAGCCCCTGAAAAACACCATTCTATATTCTGTTTCTATGACTGTGATTTCTCAACTATATCATGTAAGTGGAATCATGCAGTATTTTCTTTTGATGAGTAGCTCATTTCATTAGCATCCTGTCCTCAAGGCTTATCCATGTTGTAGTGTATGGCAGGATTTTCTTCCTTTTTAAGGCTATTTTGTTTATCCTTTCGTCCACTGATGGACATTTGGGTTGCTTCCTTGTTTTGGCTATTATGAATATGGCTGCTATGAACATGGATGAAGTAAATATCTCTTTGAAACCCTGCTTTTGGTTATAGACCCAGAAGTTCCCACTAAGCCCTTTTGCTTTGGATTCCCTACGCAGAGCCCTCTAATTGGACTTTTACTTTCCTGCCTTTGAGCTTTTCCTTTTACTGCGCAGCCTACCTGGCCTGTCCTATTTTGGTTCCCTGCCTATTGAAGTCCTGTTTATTCTGCAAGGCTCTTCTATTTGTACCTAGCCCAATGCCTTTCACACAGTAGGTGCTCAATAACTAATATATAGTTAGATATATCTTTGCCATATCTGTGCTAAAACAACATAAAAAGGTAGGAGGCAGAAATGATGTCTTATTATCCCTTATGGCCTGCACACAGTAAACAGTTTAGGAAAAGTTTATTAAATAAATAAAGTCCCCATGCCCCCTGGAACAAAAGGTATGCAGGGCAGTGTATTTCATGGGCTGTCCAAGACCTCATGTCAGAAACGTATGTTTAGGCAGCAAGAACACACAAGAGGCAAGAGAGTAAGAAAGTACGCTGGAAAATTTTGCTAGCTGGGTCAATTCCAATTTGGCAAAAACAAGCCTTCTGCTTTTTCTCCAGGGTTCTTTCTCCCAGCATCACTTATTAATGCTAATTAGTCAAGGGTGTGCCATGATGCAGAACACTTGTGACCCATAAGGATTAGAGAGAGACTGTCATTTCTCAAATGACCCACGAGAGGCAGCCAGAGGCAGTGACGGGGAAGGAGAGGAGGGGAAGAGGAACTTCTCTGCAAAGAATCGCACTAAAGTAAGTGCAAGTAAAAATAAATCCACATATAAAACAACTGTACAAATGTTAGCAGTATTTTCACAGCTGGGTTTCTTTGCCTAAAATACTTAGCACTTACTTTAGAAAACTCACTTCTAAACATAAATGGTCTGACTGATCACAGAAGCTGAACCCTGATACAACTCTGACTTTGAACTTGACTTCTGCCCAGATGGGAATAAAAATAATGACTTCTTCTAAGTAAGAACCTTAATTGCCATGAATTCACACCAGACTGTGGTGGGTGACCTTTACCTCACATATGAGGAAATTAAGGTAGGGCTTGGTTTAGGAAGCTAGATTCATAACAGTCAGCATATTTATATCCAGATTAGGCAGGACTCTGGATTTAAAACACTTTCCCTTGGAAAACACCGACTCTGTCTGTTTCCATGGCACTAAAAACACCCCACTTGAATAACTGCCCAGTTACTTATCATAGCAGGATTAGTGGTCTTCTCAAGGCATCTGCATTCACATTCCTGGTATTTATTTCCTGTAGATATTGGTTTCAAAGACTGATGCCACAGGACATGAATAATCACGGTGACTCACTTTTAGGGACTTTCCCCTGGGGAGTGCCACCTACAGAGCCTCAGAATGAAGTGGGCACATATTAATTAAAATATGTTTCATCTCCAAATGACTATGACAGAAGCTATACTGATGAATATGACAACTAAATACAAAATAATACCGCAATGACTAGCAATGATTCAAATATTGTGCTCATGATGTTATCTTTCATCCATTTATTTAATAAATGGATTTATATAATGAGTGACGGGACTTCTATGTGTCAGAGTGCTGGTTAGGACAGGCCATGTTTCAATAAATTTACAACCCAGCAGGCACTGTTCCTATCAACTAATGAGATTTTTAAATTTAATATTTTTTGGTCAAAGCAAGGGAGTCTTCAAAATTACCAAAAAATATATTTGGTAAGGAAACAGTAAACAGAACCAATTATTCCTTCTTGGTTGAGTTAAGAAAACACGCTTTGTGCTTACACTTCCCATAGTGATCAGGGATTTCTCACCCCTTGAATTTCTGTAGCATAAATTGTTGACGTCTCTTCACTTCCCTGTCTCATTTCCTTGCCCAGGTGGTGAGCCCTGTGCATGAGCCTCTGCCTGACTCATCTTTGTATCTGCAATGCCTCACACATGCCTCATATCTCCCCGCCAGGCAAGCAGTGTTAGTGAAAACAGGATGTCATCAGTTCAGTAAAGAAGAGATTGACAACAAACTGTGAATAGAAAAGTCAAATAGGAATGCATTGGCCTTTAAAAAAATTATTTTCCAAATTATCCTATAGTAAAGTTGACTTTTTTCTTTGATGTACAGCTCTATGGATTTCCACATATGTATAGATTTGTGTAACCACCACAAAGAGGATACGAAACAGTGCCATAACCCCCCAAAGCTTCCCCATGCTGTCCCTTTATATTCACCCCTCCCTCCACCATAATCCCTGGCAATCACTAATCTCTTCTCCACCATTGTGCTTTTGTCTTTTGAAACTGGCATCTCTTACTCAGCACAGAGTTATCTAAGTTGTTCTTTTTTATGACTGAATAGTGTTCCATCATATGTGGTATCACAGTTTATTTACCCTTTCACTCATTGAGGGACATTCAAGTTATTTTCAGTTTGAAGCTACTGTGTAAAAAAAAAAAAAAAAAAAAAAAAAAAGCTACTCTGAAGTTTTGTTTATCAGTTTCATGTGAACATACATTTTCATTTTCCTGGGGTAAATACTCAGGATCGGCCTTGTGGAGTTATAGCGTAGATGTATGTTTCACTTTATAAGGAAACTGCCAAGCTATTATCCAGAGTTGCTGTAGCATTTTCCAATTCCAGCCATCATGTATGTGAATTCTACTTACTCAGCATCCTTGTCAACACTCTGTGTTGTCAGTATTTATTTTGGACATTCTTTTTTTTTGACGGAGTCTCTCTGTTGCCCAGGCTGGAGTGCAGTGGTGCGATCTTGGCTCACTGCAACCTCTGCCTCCCGCGTTCAAGCAATTCTCCTGCCTTAGCCTCCAGAGTAGCTGGGATTACAGGCGTGCGCCACCACGCCCAGCTATTTTTTTTTCTTTTTCTATTTTTAGTAGAGATAGGGTTTCACCTTCTTGGCCAGGCTGGTTTTGAACTCCTGACATCAGCTGATCCACCTGCCTCGGCCTCCCAAAGTGCTGGGATTACAGGTGTGAGCCACCACGCCTGCCCTTATTTTGGACATTCTGATAGGTGTGTGGTTGTAGCTCACTGTTGTTTAAATTCACATTACCTTAATGGCTTGTGGTATTAAACATCTTTTCTCGTACTTTATACAGCAGTCCCCTCTTATCCAAGGTTTTTCTTTTTGCAGTTTCAGTTACCAGCAGTCAACTGTGTCCTGAAAATATTAAATAGAAAATTCCAGAAACAAACAATTCGTAAGTTTTAAACTGCACACTGTTCTGAGCAGTGTGATGAAATCTTGCGCAGCCCTGCTCCGTGGGACATGAATCCCCTCTGTCCAGTGTATTCATGCTGTATAGGCTACTTGCCTGTTAGTCACTGAGTAGGCATCTCACTTATCAGATTACTGTCACCACATCCATCGCATAGTCATTTTATCATCTCACATCATCACAAGAAGAAGAGTGAGTGCAGTATGAGATGAGGGAGAGACCACATTCACATAACTTTTATTATAGTAAATTATTATAATTGTTTTATTATGAGTAGTTATTTAGGGTTCAGTACGATCCACAGTTTCAAGCATCCACTGGGGGTCTTGAAATGTATCCCCTGTGGTTAAGGAGGCGATGGTGGGGGAGTCTCCTGTGTCTTCTTTGGTGAAGCATCTGTTCAATCTCTTTGTTCATTTTTAATTGGGTTATTTGATTTCTTATTGTTGAGTTTTGAGAGTTTGTTATGTAATCTGGATATAAAGTTCTCTGTTAGATAGGAGATTTGAAAATATTTTCTTTTAGTCTGTGGCTTGTCTTTTTATTCTCTTGGAAGTGATTTAGCAGAGCAAAAGTTTTTGATTTTGATAAAATTTCATTTTTTCTTTTTTGTATCATGCTTTTGCATCATTTAAAATTCCTTTCCTAATCCCAGATAATGAAGATATTTTTCTATGTTTTCTTCTAAAAGTTTTACAGTTTTATGATGAATACATTGCCTTTTGATGAACAAAGAAAATGGGCTACTTGATAATAGATTTCCTTCTTGGTGGTGTAGTTTGCCCTATTGATTTTGGAGAGTTGTAGGAGCCTTCTGGACAGGGCTGCATGCCTGGGAATGTCTCTTGCATCACACACAGGCAGAACCGCAGTCTGCTATCCACCATCAAATATTCAAAAATAGTCTGATAAGCAAGTGTTTTTTCATGTGTGCTAGAATCATATGATGATAATGCCTGATCTGAACCAATGCGAGACTACTTTTGTTTATTTTATCCCTACTGATGTGACCACCACACATTCAGTAATAGAACTCTTCATGTGTTGAATTAGGGGTCCTACTCCAGTCCCTGATCAGAGTATTCCACAATATTCAATGTATAGACTGTGTTACATATCTACCGTCTGAAAATTCTGAATTCTGAATAGTGGATTTGTTCACAAGGGTTTCAGAAAGAGGATTGTGCATCTGACATTTAAATGGTTCTTGTGATATGATAGTTCTCATAGTCGCAACGAGGAAGTCTTCTTCCAGTGTCCCCAAACCTGGCCAGAAGTTCACATTAATTTGACTGAGGATGGAAAGAGGGGTCACTATATTTACTACATTATTCAATCCAAATTAATATGTTTCTCTCATGACAAAGGAGGTTTCTTGATATCTTTTCCCATTCTTCTTTCTGGTGATAAAACTACTGACCAGTCAGCCTCTAAATATTGGAGAAGGCCTTGACTTTCACATGATGATGTATGTATATGAGTACACACATCGGTTAGAAACAGGATGGGAGGCCAGGGTTAGACCCAAGCAAGGACACCCCAGCCCTCTGCTTGCCAGGACTGGGATGCTGTGTGTCCATCTGGGCCAACTGGAAACAAGAAGAAAGACAGGGCTTGTGGCATGATTTGGGGCAGCCTGTGCACAGTGGCTGGCACAGAGCAAAGGCCCAATAGAAGTTAAGCAAAGGGCATTCTGACCACGATGTCTGGTCATTTCAGGTGTGACTGTGCCTATAATTGTACCATAAGGAATTCAGCCCATGCGACTAAGCTATGCCTTTCTCTGTAGTAGCTTAATGGGAAATCAGGGCATCTCCGGCACTGTAGTGTGTCACTTCATCAGACATAGAGCCAACTCACACATTTGTCCTTCTGATGCATGTCTTTCCTCCTCCTTTACCGATGCAAGTAGAGTGAGAACCCATGCTATGATTCCACTCCCTGTCTAAAACCAAGTGTACTCTGAGAAAGTTAGAAACTATTCTGTATCTGCTTCCAGAAGCTTATCTCAAGACTTAAAAATTGAAGAGAATAAAATTAATAGCCAGGAGTAACAAAAAAATAGAGAGATTTTAGCTTGCCATTTCTTTAAGTTATGTATTTTTGTCTTGTGAGGTTCAATTTGGAGAAAAGCACTTAGACACGAGGCAGGGTCGGTTCAGGGGCAGGGCCATATTTAAAAGCTCAAAATGCTTGCTTTTGTGGTGACAAAGGAATCGACACTTCTTTTTTCTTCCCCAAAGGAAACAGAAGCTTATTATCCTGACAGAGGAAATGCAGAAATTTGTAGGTGGAGATTAACCCTTACTCCCAAACACTGAGGCTCCTGTTCAACTTCTTGCTTAAGAGATTTTAGTAACTTTTAAAAATTCTTAGCATGCTACATTGGTTGGCTCTCCAAATAATTCAGAAAACTTGTGACCTGAAGCTTTCATGGAGTTGATGTAACTGTTCTGGAAATCTCTTGACTTGAACTTGAGACTCACTCACACACAGCTGCAGTATGTCCACCATCAACAGCAATCTGTACCCAGAAAGCAGTGGGAAATGGGGAAAAAACAAGAGACAACCTCAAAGAAATCTAGGTCTTTCCTGAGCTGCAGTTCTACATATTGACCACCAGGTGTCTATCTTCACACAAGCAGTCTTGCTTGGATGATGGTGTACTACTTGACTGTGGGATTATTTTAAAAATGAAAGCAATTTTTTAGATATGGGTATATATGTAAGTATAAATGTGCAAATGTAAAGTGAAGTCTCAAAGCCAAACTTAATAATTTACAATTCCTTATCTAAGTAGGATAATCAATTGAACCTTGTGTTGATCTTCTAAAGTTGTTTGGAAAAACTAATTGGGGGAGTAAATGGCCAATAGATTTGGGGAATGGTGAAAAAAAAATTGTCCTCTTCCTAAATTTTATCATGCTTTTTTTTTAAATTTCAAGATTCTTAGCATGCAAACAGGTGTATGTTCCCAGGAACATGGTTTTTGGTAAAAACAGACGAATTGTATTCTGAGCTGGCTTCTGTACTCTGTAGTTCAATTTCATAGTTCAGTTTCTATTGTAGCTTATTTTCCAGTTTCAATTCTAGGCCCTGATACAGGTGAAAAATATCTCTACCAGGAAGTGCAAGAATAAGATTTGACTTTTTTTGTCCCATAATTGGAAGTGACATTATAGTAGAATTAGATAACTCCAGTAAGGTTTAGGATGCACAATTTATGCATTTATGTCAATCTTAGAAAAGAAGTGCTCTTTTGGTCTGTAAAGAAAGGTCACCAGATTAAACAGTTTCAGGGATATCTTTTATATCTCTCTACTTTTGTTTGTTGTTCATTTGTTTTGTTTTGCTTTAAGTTACCCAAAAAATAGTTTCCATAATTTTAGGAACCTTCTGTTTTCATTCTCTTCCTTGCCAAAACATGGAGGTCCCTGAGAGCCCTAGAGGCCCTTTATATCTTTAAATAAATTATATATAGAAGAGACTTAAAAAAATTACCTAGTACAGAAGTACTTTAAGAGAAAGAACTGTACCATCCTATGCAACTATTTTAGTGAGGCCTGAGGAGGAAGAAAACATAAATATATTACATCAAAGCACTGCGTGGAGACTGAAGACTTTCCTTTTGGTTGTTATTTTTAAGTTTTATTTGGTTTCATTTATTGTTTTGATACCTTTGAAACATTAAAATAAGTTTCTCCGGTGACTATATCTATCAAGCTCTTTATTGGGTGGTGCTCTCACCAATGTTGGCTTCTCATTTCTGTTCCCTCAAATATTTATAGACAATGCTTACTAAAGCTCAGTTTGTTCCCAAATTTTGTGTTTTTTGTTTTTTCTTTTCTTTTTTCTTTTTTTTTTTTTTTTTTTTTTGAGACAGAGTCTTGCTCTGTCGCCCAGGCTGGAGTGCAGTGGCGCGATCTTGGCTCACTGCAAGCTCCACCTCCCGGGTTCACGCCATCCTCCTGCCTCAGCCTCCCGAGTAGCTGGGACTACAGGCGTCCGCCACCATGCCCAGCTAATTTTTGTATTTTTAGTAGAGACGGGGTTTCACCATGTTAGCCAGGATAGGATGGTCTCGATCTCTGACCTCGTGATTTGCCCGCCTTGGCCTCCCAAAGTGCTGGGATTACAGGCGTGAGCCACCACGCCTGGCAATTTTGTGTTTTTAACACTATTTTTTACAATACGTTCATTTGTTCATTAATTTGATCAAACTTTTTATTACTCACTGTGAACTTCATGCTGTGAATAGAATAAAAATGATTAGGAACCAGTCTCCTCTCTCAAAAAGCTATTAAGCCAGTGAAAAGAATTTTGTGAGCCATCTCCTAAATACACTTCTGGATCCTATTGAATAACGTGGAAATATGTTACGCTGCAGGCATTTGTGAAATAAAACAAATTTCTGTTTTATGTCATGTAATGTGCTTTCAATATAAAATTGTTATGTTTAGAGAGCATCGTCACTACAATACATGAAATAATAAGTCATGTTTTTGCAATGGAGGTGAAACATAGTGATCTACATGTTTACATAAAATTACCATGCAAATTATATCTCCAATATTATTTATTAAACTAATGGATGTGAGCAGAGAGGTAAGGACTGATATCAATGTATCTATTATATGAAGAGGAAAATAAAAATTCACTTTGCAAAATTATTTTCACTTGGCTTTAGTTGTCTGGATATAATTATTTTACTTTTATTATTATATTTAAGTCATTGCATCTGTTTCCAAAATGTTCTGTAATGGAAGTATTAACAGGAAGCAAGTTCTGCAACTGAAACCGCTTTCTCTCCTACCATAGCATCTATGGTGATGAATGAACATAGGAAAAGAAATAAAAGCAGTAGAAATCTGGAAGGAAAACTTCTAAATGCTTAGGTTAACTGTGGCTAGAATGAAATGGAGAGGAACCACCTCTCTGTTTCCTTTGAAAACTATTCTTAAAAATCCCAGAGTGCATGTTATAACAATTGCCAAAAGGCTAAATGAATGGGTTTTTCATTAGGCAAGATAAAATGGTGGAGAAAAATTTGTTTTTTTTTTTAAGGATGTCAATACTGGTCTAGTTACTATGCTTTGAAAAGAAATCCAACAGGTTCATATTGCTTCATAAAACTGTGAAAATAACAAGCCTGCTTAAGTGGAAAGGGCCCCTTTAAAGTCTGAAAGATAACTTCAAGGTCAAGGAAGTTCTTTGTATTCTTTCATTTATTTGCTGAGCTCTGACTAGTTTGCTGACTATAAACCTTTACATTCATCTTGCTATTTTCCACTTAAGGTGGTCATTTGTTTATTAATTCACTAAATATTTATTGAATGTCAGCCAGCATTCAATAATGGGCATGTAAATTAACAGATATGGGTCTTACCATCAAGGGGCTCCTTATCTAATGTGATAGCAAATGGGTCCCTCAACTCATTAAAAATATCGAATTATTGAATTATAATAATGTGAACACAATTTCAGCAGTTCAGAGGGTTGATCCTGACAATCACCCATAAGTGGATATTTAAGCTTGTCCATAGTGTTTAACTAGTTTTTTGATAGCCATGAGGTGGTAGAAGGCATTTTAGGAAAAAATAAAGAATACCATGAAAAATCATACAGCATGTAATTATATGCTTGCAGACAAAGCGTAGAATAATGTAGCTGGAGCATATGTGCATGGAACAAAAGTAGCAAGAGATGAGGACAGAAATAGTAAATTAAAACTAGGTTACGATAATTCTTGATAGCATTACAAGGAGCAAAGAACTCATTATGTAATAACTACATTTACAGAATACAGTTAAAAAGAAAAAAATCCTACATCACAACTTTATCACTGAGGACTCTTCAAATTCTAAGTAACTGAGCACCTAGGCCAAATAGCTTAAACAAAAAGAGAACTAATTGGTTTGCATAAATGCATGTGTAGACTTCAGGCATAGCTTAATTCAATGACCAAATGACATCACCAGGACCAATCTCTCTGTCCTGGGTTTGCTCCATACTAGGGATCTTGGTATTAATGCCTTACCTCACTTTGTTGCCATGACCTTAAAAGCACACTTTGAGACTGACATTATCCAGATGGTAGAGTATGAAGCCCCAGACACTTCTTTCCTCCAGTGGAAACACTGATTCAACAATATATAGACCAATTCCCTTTATGATAAAGTAGAAACCAGTTAAGAGGCTTCTGCACCCCAAGTGAATGCAGAAATCAGCCATATCAAAGCCATTAGAAAAATTTATGGCACCTTAATACCATAATCTCTCCCCTTGTCACAGCACCACACATTTGGGAAGAAACTCCTAGCTCCCAGCCTCTCCCTAAGGAGGAAAAAAGAAGTTTCAGCTGTATGTCCAATGTTCTGACTTTTTGGGAGGTACCTGAGGGACTGGCTTCTGTTTCACCTGTCTCAGAGCACTGATTGGAGCCAGCATACTCTAGATTTCTGGGAGCCACTGAGAACAAAATAGAGATGGGAAGCTTATTGCTGCTTCAGAGGGCTTACAGTAGAGCATATAGGGCTGAAGTGGCCTCTCAGGGGAGAAAGAGAAGAGTGGAATATATATCAAGCTTTCTGACTTTTCATCAGCAACTGGTTTTTGTCTAACTCAACTTGGGGTGCTGATGGAACAAGCATACTCTAGCTCTTTGGGGGAAGCTGAGAACAAGAACGAGCTGGGAGCATGCTGCTGTTTTAGAGGACCCATGGTACAGCAGACAGACATCAGAGGGAGCCAGAGATTATGAGCTCCTAAAAAAAGAAACAAGCAAATCTCTATAATTAAGAATCTACATGCAAAAGTCCAAAGAAGACACATCACAGAAAAGATTTGAGAGGGCTCCAGAATCCCCAGCCAATCTTAATGATGATATCATTCCCTGTACAAATCCAGTGTGTACAAATTGGGAGAGGTGGTTGTTTTTTCAAATGTGTAAGTACCAGCGCAAAGTTTAAAAAAGCAGGAAGAAACAGGGAGAAATGCTCCAATAAAAAAAAAAATAAACAAATCTCCAGAAATCAACCCTAAATAAATAAGTGTATGAATTACCCAACAAAGAATTCAAAATAAACTTTAAAAGATACTCAATGAGCTCATACAAACAATGACTGAGCAAAATAAGAATTTCAACAAAAAGATACAAACAAAAACAATAGAATAAGTGTTGGAGCTGAAGAATGTTGTAAATGAACTGAAAAAAATAACTAATATTGTAAACTAAAATTAGAATCCTAAGCCCCCACCCCACACTAACTGAATGGACCCCATTTTGGCCAAAAAAACTATAGAGAAATCTTAAAAACTGAGTTCCCAGCCATGATGGGACAGGAGGTCAGACATGCCTTATTATACACCCTCTCTTTTGCAGTTTAGACACAATGACTGACCAGCATTAATGTTAAAATAGAGATCTAAGACTGACAAAACAAACTCTTTGTGGCAATGAAATGTCAAATTATAAACAGGACCCAAGGCCATGCCAGGCAAGAGTTAAGTCATGCATCCCCTACACTTAAAAAATAAACTATGTTCTAACTGCCACAAGATTTTTCTTTTTCTTTAGCAGCTAAACAAACACTGGTCTTGAGATAAGCAGTATCTCAAAAAAAACTTTCAGCTCTTCTACCACCAGCCACTGACTAACTGACCACTCTGTTCTACAAGTCATACATAACTACAGCTTTAATTAGACAAGAAACTAATTTGTCTGATAAGATTACCAACTGTGGACCTGTTCTAGCCAGTTTAGAGGTTATGCACTTAAGTGCCTTCATGTCCCTCTTCGCTTTTTGAAATATAAGCCCTAATTGTAATGCAATGAGATGTTGAGTCAGAATCACCTGCTTGAATATTTGTAGCTCCTCCTGTAACCTGTTGAATATGTATGTTAGTCAACGCACTCAGCATAAGGCTCCTACCCTAATCCCCGCTCCTTCAAAGTGCCTTTCTCCGTTATTTGCCAGGTGCTATGCTTCCCAGCTGTGGATAGTGACCTTGAAGGCTGTAACTTTCACAAGAAATGAAGTCTCCTCTCCTTTCTAAATTTATAAATTTTGTGATTTTTCAGTTAACAGTGTTTAACAGCAAGCTTGATTAAGCAGAATAAAAAATCAGTGAACTAGAAGACATTTGAAATTACCCAGTAAGAAGAGCAAAAAGAAAAGAGAATAATGGAAAAGACTGAAGAAAGTCTAAGGGCCTTATGGGAACACTATCAAAACACACATACACACACACTATAAATGTATATACTCTCTCTATATATATATTAAACATAGGGAAATAAATAAAAGCAGTACAAACCTGGAAGCAAAACTTCTAAATGCTTAGGTTAACTTTGGCTAGAATGAAATGGAGAGGAACCTTTTCTCTGTCTCCTTTGAAAATTATTCTTATGAATGGTTTCCCTGAGAGAGATATATATATATATATCTCATATATATTTATATATTACGAATGTATAATATATATATTCGTAATCAGAGTTTCATAAAAAAGAAGAAAGGGACAGAAAGCTTACTTAAGTAAATAATGGCCAAACATGTCCCAAATATGTGCAGGAGATAGACAAACAGGTTCAAGAAGTCCAATGGAACCCAAATAGGATGAATCCAAAGAAGTCAGCACTGAGACATATTATAACCAAATTGTCAAAAGCCAAAAATAAACAAATAATTTTGAAAGCAGCAAGAGAAGAGTGACTCATCACATACAATTGAGCAATATATGACTATCAGCAGATTTCTTAGCAGGAACTTTGCAGGCCAGAACAAAGTGGGATGATATATTCAAAGTACTAAAATGACAACTAAACGCCAATTAAGAATGTCATATTCAGCAAAATTACTTGTCAAAAATGAAAGAGAGATAATGACTTTTTCAAAGAAATAAAAGGCAAGAAAATTTGTCACCACTTGGCCTCACTTATAAGAAATGCTAAAGGAAGTCCTTCAAGTTGGAACAAAAAATATGCTAAACATTAAGACAAAGCATATGAAAGTATGAAGCTTGCTGATAAAAGTAAATATATAGACAAATACAAAATGCTATAATACTATAACAGTTGTGTGTAAATCACTTTTAGTTTTGGTATAGAAGTCAAAAGACAAAAGTATAAAAAATAACTATAATTATAAAAATATGCTAATTGATACAATAAAAATGCAATTTGGTATATCAATAACAAAGTATGGAGAGGAGGAGTAATACGCAATTGTGTGTGCAACTGAACTCATGTTGTCATCAGCTTAAGGCACATTGTTATAATTATAAGCTATTTTATGTAAGTCCCATGATAACCACAAAAACAAACCTATGGAAGGTATACAAAGGAAAATGAGAAACGAACCAAAGTGTATCACTACAAAAATCAATGAAACACAAATAAAGATAATGAAAAAAAGTAGGAACAAAAGAACTATAGGACAGATAGAAAATAATTTTTAAATGGCAATAGTAAATCTGTTCCTGTCAATAATGACATTAAATGTAAATGAATTGAACTCTCTAAACAAAAAACATAGAATGGCTAAATAGATAAAATTTTTAAAAACATAGTCACATACTCTCTGCAAGAGACTCAGTTTAGATTAAAAATAGTGAAAAAATAAAAAGAAAATATATCTCATAAAAATGGTAAGCAAAATCGAGCAATGGTGGCCATAATTTTTTAGGCAAAATGGATTTTGAGTCAAAAAGTGTCACAAGAGAAAACATGGATATAATACAATGACAAAAGAGTCAGTTCACCAGGAAACATAACAATTATAAGTATATATGTACCAAACATCAGAACACCTAAATGAATAAAGCGCACATTGACAGAACTGAGAGAGAAATAGACAGCAACACAATAATAGTAGAGAAATTTAATATTCTACTTTCAATAATGGAGAGAACATCCAGACAGAAGATTAATAGGGAAACAGAGAACTTGAACAGCACTATAACCCAACTGGACCTAATAGACATATACTGAACATTTCACTCAACAGCAACAGAAGAAACATTCTTCTGAATTGCAAATGAAATAGCCTCCAGGATAAATCACATATAAAGTCGCAAAAGCCTTAACAAATTTAAAAAGATTAAAATAAGTATTTTTTTGACTGTGATAGAATGAAACTAGAAATCAATAGCAGAAAGAGATCTGAAAAATTCAAAAATATGTAAAAAATAACATGCATAAATATGCAGTGGATCAAAGAAAAAAATCAAAAGGGAAATTAGAAAATGTCTAGAGACAAATGAAAATAAAACACAACATATCAAACCATATAGGATGTGGCAAAAGTAGTTCTAACAGGAAATTTTATAGCAATAAATGCCTACATTAAAAAAGAGAAAACAGGCCGGGCATGGTGGCTCATGCCTATAGTCCCAGCACTTTGGGAGGCCAAGGCAGGTGGATCTCGAGGTCAGGAGATCGAGACCATCCTGGCTAACACGGTGAAAACCCACTAAAAATACAAAAAAAATTAGCTGGGCATGGTGGCGGGCACCTGTAGTCCCAGCTACTCGGGAGGCTGAGGCAGGAGAATGGCGTGAACCCAGGAGGCAGAGCTTGGAGTGAGCTGAGATTGCGCCACTGCACTCCAGGCTGAGCAACAGAGCGAGACTCCATCTCAAAAAAAAAAAGAGAAAATATATCAAATAAACAGCTTTACCCTAGACCTCAAGAAACTAGAAAACAAAGAACAAACTAAGCCCAAAGTTAGCAGAGGGGAGGAAAGAATAAAGATTAGAGCAGAGATAAACAAAATTGAGAATAGAAAAATCAATGAAACTAAAATTTTTTGAAAAAAAAACTAATTTGACAAACTTTTACATAGACTAAATAAGAATATAAGAGAGAAGATTCAAACAAAATCAGAAATGAAAGAGGAGACATTACAACAAATACCACAGAGATAAAAAGATTTATAAGAGGCTGAACAATTACATGCCAACAAATTGGATAACCTAAAAGAAATGGATCAATTCCCAGAAATATCCAACCTTTCTGGTATGGTTTGGCTGTGTCCCCACCCAAATCTCATCCTGGCTTGTAGCTCCCACAATTCCCACATGTCATGAAAGGGACCTGGTGGGAGGTAATTGAATCATGGGGGCAGGTCTTTCCCATGCTATTCTTGTAATAGTGAATAAGTCTGATGAGATCTGATGGTTTTATAAAGGGAAGTTTCCCTGCACAAGCCATCTCTTCTCTTGTCTGCCACCATGTGAGATGTGCCTTTCACCTTCCACCATGATTGTGAGGCCTCCCTAGCCACATGGAACTGTAAGTCCATTAAACCTCTTTCTTTTGTAAATTGCCTGATCTTGGGTATGTCTTTATCAGCAGCATGAAAACGGACTAATAGAGTAAACTGGTACCTATAGAGTGCGGCATTGCTGAAAAGATACCACAAAATGTGGAAGCGACTTTGGGACTGGGTAACAGGCAGAGGCTGGAAGAGTTTGGAGGGCTCAGAAGAAGACAGAAAAATGTAGGAAAGTTTGGAAGTCCCTAGAGACTTGTTGAATGGCTTTGACCAAAATGCTGATAATGATAATGGACAAGGAAATTCATGCTGAGGTAGTCTCAGATGGAGATGAGAAACTTATTGGGAACTGGAGCAAAGGTGACTCTTGTTATGTTTTACCAAAGAGACTGGCAGCATTTTGCCCCTGTCCAACTTTGAACTTCAGAGAGATGATTTAGGGTATCTGGTGGAAGAAATTTCTAAGCAGCAAAGCATTAAAGAGGTGACTTGGGTGCTGTTAAAGGCATTTGGTTTTATAAGGGAAGCAGAGCACAAAAGTTCAGAAAATTTGAAGCCTGATAATGTGACAGAAAAGAAAACCCCATTTTCTGAGGAGAAATTCAAGCTGGCTGCAGAAATTTGCATAAATAGCGAGGAGCCAAATGTTAATCCACAAACAATGGAGAAAATGTCTACAGGGCATGTCCAAGACCTTTGCAGCAGCTCCTCCCATCACAGGCCTGGAGGCCCAGGAGGAAGAAAAATGGTTTTGTGGGCTGGGCCCAGGGTCCCTCTGCTGTGTGCAGTCTAGGGACTTGGTGCCCTACATCCCAGCTGCTTTAGCCATGACTAAAAGGGGCCAAGGTATAGCTCAGGCCATGGATTCAGAGGGTGCAAGCCCCAAGCCTTAGCAGCTTCCACGTGGTATTGATCTTGCAGGTGCACAGAAGTCAAGAATTAAGGTTTGGAAACCTCCGCTTAGATTTCAGAGGATGTATGGAAATGCCTGGATGTCCAGGCAGGAGTTTGCTGCAGGGGCAGGGCACTCATGGATAACCTCTTCTAGGGCAGTGTGGAAGGGAAATGTGAGGTGGGAGCCCCCAAACAGACTCCCCCACTGGGGTGCTGCCTAGTGGAGCTAGGAGGAGAGGGCGACCATCCTCCAGACCCCAGAATGGTAGATGCACTGACTGCTTGGACCATGCACCTGGAAAAGCTGCAGACACTCAATGCCAGTCTATGAAAGCAGCCTGGAAAGAGACTGTACCCTGCAACAGGGAAAGAGCTGCTCAAGACCATGGGAACTCACCTCTTGCATCAACGTGACCTGGATGTGAGACATGGAATCAAAGGAGATCATTTTGGAGCTTTAAGATTTGACTCCCCTGCTGAATTTTGGACTTGCATGGGGCCTTTAGCCTTAATTTTGGCCAGTTTCTCCCATTTGGAATGGCTGCATTTACCCAATGCCTGTAACCCCATTTTATCTAGAAAGTAACTGACTTGCTTTTGATTTTACTGGCTCATAGGTGGAAGGGACGTGCCGTGTTTTAGATGAGACTTTGGACTGATGACTTTTAAGTTAATGCTGAAATGAGTTAAGACTTTGGGGGAGTGTTGGGAAGGCAAGATTCATTTTGAAATGTGAGGACGTGAGGTTTGAGAGGGGCCAGGGGTGGAATGATATGATTTGGCTGTGTCCCCACCCAAATCTCATCTTGGATTGTAGCTCCCATAATTCCCACATGTTGTGGGAGGGACCCAGTGGGAGGTAATTGAATAATGTGGGCGGGTCTTTCCTGTGCTATTCTCATGATAGTGAATAAGTCTCATGAGATCTGATGGTTTTATAAAGAGAAGCTTCCCTGCACAAGCTCTCATTATCTCTTGTCTGTCACTATGTAAGACGTACCTTCCACCTTCCACCATGATTGTGAGGCCTCCCCAGCCAGGTGGAATTGTGAGTCCATTAAACCTCTTTTTCTCTAAAAATTAGTCTCATGCATGTCTTCGTCAGCAGTGTGAAAATGGACTAGTACACTACAAAAACTTATTCATGGAGAAATAGAAAAGGTGAAAAGACAAATAAGAAATGAAGAGATTGACTCAGTAATTAAAAACCTCCCAACAAACAAAATCCCAGGGGCCTTTTGACTATTCTTGTCCTTTTGCTTTTTCATATAAAAGTTTTAAGATCAGTTTGTCAAGTTCTATGGAAAGCCCTGTTGGGGTATTGATAGGAATAACATAAAATCAATCTATTAAATTTGTGGAGAATTGACATAGTTGTAACTTAAGTCTTATTAACCATGTACATGGTTTATATCTTGGTTCAATTGGGTATGCAAAGTCAATCAAAGTTTCATAAAGGTTTTACCTTTTTATCTTTGTGGATGTTTTATATTTTAATTGATACGGTAAGTGATGTCTCATCATTATATCTTCTAGTTGTAGCTTATACTTATAGACAATCTGCATAAATTTCTCTAAGTCTAAAAGTAAGTGTCTGCAAATTCCTCTTGAATTTCTATGTGGATTATATCATCTGAAAATAATAAGATTTTTTTCTTCTAAAAATAGATTTTTGATTAATGAACCAAAAAATAGATTCAACAGAACCTCTAATATAATGTTAAATGAAATTTTGATAGCAGGAAGATGTGTAATGCTTCTAATTTTAACAGAAACATTTTGAGTTTTACTATTTAGAATAGTGATTTTAAAATGTTGTTGTAGTGCCTTTTCTTTCAGGTTGAAGTATCCTCCTCTTACCTGAGTTTATTAAGGAATTTTTAAATATAAAGAACGAATGTTGAGTATATTGCATGCTTCTTCTGCATACATTGAAGCAATCATATGATTTTTTTGGTTTGATTTGTCCATGTCATTAATCACATTAATAGATTTTTTATGATTGACCCAGCCTTGTATTCCTGGAATATAATTAGCTTAGCCAGCATGTATTTTTGTTTTCTACAATATGGAATTCAGTTTGCTAACACTTTTCCTTAGCTTTTTTCATCTATGTTTATAAATCAGAACTTGTCTGATTTTGTTCTCAAAATGTTCTTTTCTTTGTTTAATATGCAGGTTATATGAGCCTCATAAAACTAGTTGGGAGTGGCCTTATTTTTGCAATTCTTTGGAAGATTTGGTATAAGGACAGAATTCTCTGTTCCTTAAACATTTGAATAACTCATCTCTAAGCTCATTTTTTGTCACATGGTGTTCTTAAATCAGTTTTAATATTTTCTGTCTATTTCATCTAGGTTTTAAAATATGTTGGCATACACTTTTAATAACATATACCTGTAAGAAAATCTGCTGCATCTATAATAACGTCTTTTAAAAATTTCTAATATTTTTTGGGGAGGGGGACCGTTCCTTTTTTTCCAGGTTAATCTTATCAATTTTTATGTCTTTTCAAACAACCAGCTTTTGTCTACGTTTATCCTTTCTCATATAATTATTTTGTATTTTTATAATTATTGTTCTTTATTATTTTATTCTTTTATTTTACTTATGTTCATTATGATGATCCTTCTAATTCCATAAATTGAATACCTAGGTAATTAAGTTTTAACTTTCCTTCTTTCTAGGATAAACATTTAAGGCTGTATACTTTTTTAAAACTACCATTTAGTTAAATCCCACAAATTTTGAAAGTAGTATTTTTATAATCATTCTGTTCCAAGTACTAATTTTCACTAATAATTTTGTGTGTTTTTAAAGACAATTTTTATTTTATTTCTAAACTTACGGACTTTTTAAATTACACTTTTTATTTTAGAATACTTTTAGAGTCATAGAAAAGTTGCAAGGATAATGTGTAGGATACAGAGAGTTTCCATATACCCTACACTCAGTTTACTTATTATTAACATCTAAAAATATTACGGTAAATTTGTTAAAACTGAGGAAGCAATATTAATATGTTATTAACAATTAAAGTTCATACTTTGTTCATATTTCTTTTGTGCTTATCTATTTTTTTTCTGTTCCAGAATACATTTCATTTATCTATCTTGTCCTTTGAACTCCTTTATATAGTAACAATTTGTTAGACTTTTCTTGCTTTTGATGACTTTGATAATTTTACAGAGTATTTGTCAGTCATTTTGTAGAATGTTCTTCCTTTGGATTTGTCTAATCGTTTTCTCATGGTTAGCGGGTTATGGTTTTTTGGGGAGAAGTAAAATGCTATTTTCATCACATCATTTCAAAGGGATGTAGTATTGACATGACTTATCATTAATGATGTTAACTTTGATCACTTTCCCTCAAGTAGTGTTTGTCAAGTTTCTCTACTGTTAAGTTATTCTTTTTTTCACTTTCTACGTGCCCTTTAGAAGGAAGTCACTATACACAGTTCACATTACAGGATGGAGACTTATGCTCCTTTGGGGAGAGGGCATGAGGATATTTATGCAAATTATTTGAAATTTCTCTGCATGGTAGATTTGTCTCTTCTCTGTTATTTGTTTATTCAATAATTTATTTATGTCAGTATAAACTGATGGATATTTATTTTATACTTTGTGTTATAATTTAATTGTAGGCTATTTATTGCTTTGCTTTCAAATTATTTCAGCTATGACTTTTTATGGATTTTTAAAGTTAAATTTTTTTTTTTTTTTTGAGACGGAGTCTTGCTCTGTTGCCCAGGCTGGAATGCAGTGGCATGATCTTGGTTCACTGCAAGCTCCGCCTCCTGGGTTCATGCCATTCTCCTGCTTCAGCCTCCCGAGTAGTTGGGACTACAGGTGCCCACCACCGCGCCCGGCTAATTTTTTGTATTTTTAGTAGAGACGGGGTTTCACCGCGTTAGCCAGGATGGTCTTGATCTCCTGACCTTGTGATCTGCCCGCCTCGGCCTCCCAAAGTGCTGGGATTACAGGTGTGAGCCACTACCCCCGGCCATAAGGTTAAATATTTTAAAGTTTAAAAGCCATCTTTTGACTATCTACTTCTATTTCATTGCATTGTGACTAGGTAAAATAATCTGTATAGTACACATTATTTATGATGTATTAGTGTTTTTAATATCCTATCAGATGGTAAGTTTTGTAAATAATCCAAATACCTAAAATAACTTTCATTTTCAAATCATTGAAAGAAATTTCCTACGTATGCTGTTAGATAGTAACTTTACTAGATTTTTTTCCTCTTTTTAAAAAATTAATTATTATGGGTAAATAGTTGTATATTTTTATGGGGTACACGTGATGTTTTGGTACAGGCAAACAATGTGTAATGATCAAATCAGGTTAATTGGGGTATCCATCTGGATTTTTTTCTGTTTAATATAATGAAAATATATATACATATATGAAATCAGAAATAGATATAGAACTCTCCCACCACTGCGATGGTAAAAAGTCTCACATTTCTCTTTATACATCTGCCATTTTATTTATATATTTTGCAACTGCATTATTAGAAATATTCAAGATTAGATGTGTTTATTTTCCTTGATAAATTAAAGCTGAAATCTTATGTAGTAGCTTTTCTTTTTTGAGACAGAGTCTCGCTCTGTCACCCAGGCTGGAGTGCAGTGGTACAATCTCAGCTCACTGCAACCTTGCCTCCCGGGTTCAAGTGATTCTCCTGCCTCAGCCTCCTGAGTAGCTGGGACTACAGGCACGCACCACCATGCTTGGCTAATTTTTATATTTTTAGTAGAGATGGGGTTTCACCATCTTGGCCAGTCTGGTCTTGAACTCCTGACCTCACGATCCACCTGCCTCAGCCTCCCAAAGTGTTGGGATTACAGGCATGAGGCCTTTTTTTATCTTTAATAATGCTTTTATTAAAGTCTTACCTTTCTGACAGTCTAAAATTACATAACGTTTCCTTTGATTAGTGTTTGCCTGGTATTTTTTTTCAATAGTTTAATATTTCCTGTGTCCTTATGTTTTAGAAGTATCCATTGTAAATAGCACATGTTGGATTAAAAAGATATATTAGTTTCACAATCTTTGTCTTTGGATAGGAAAACAATTCATATTTATTATGTAACAATATAAGCACATGTATTTCTACTTTACCTTTGTATTTATTCTGCTTTTCTAAGTTTCTTCTTTGTGCTTTTCTTACTTATTTTGTAGTGCTTGGTTTTCTTGGAAAGTGTACATTCTGGTATTTTTAGTGATTACCTTAGAAATTTAGTATGTGTGTACAACTTACCAACATCTATAATTCATTGATATCTTCTCCCTTTAACAGTATAAGAAACTCAAAAAATTTAGATTATCTTTTTCTTATTTTATATATTACTATTGATTAATACATTTCCTGTGTTTCAATCACATGAGTAGGCTCAAATATATATTTTAAAGTTTTTAAAAATTCAATTTATTCTCCATTTTTTTTTAGTTTGTATTTTTTAACAGTATCTTACTCCTCATCTTGCTAGAAATAGAAGTTCCACCCTACATTTCCGATTTTCCAGAGAACTCCTTAAAATATCTACCGGGTTGGCTTTCACAGTACCTATCTGTCACATGATTATGACATGTATGTATTAATTCTCTCCTCCTTTAATGAGAGTCTCTTGACAGGAGTAGGCCACCACGAAGAAAGTTTAAAATGTTGGCTTTGCAGTGAAGTTTCCTGACGCCTGATTATCTTTGTCTGGTTTAAGAACATAATTGTTTTTCTCTTGTTCATCATAAAAATAATATTTCTTTTTACTATCTTCTTTACTCAAAAAAGTGGATTTTTAACAACCTTTGGATTATAACAATGCACTGGAACAATCTTCCTTGTTATACACCAATTTCACTTAAAATTTGTTTTGTGGAGGAAAAACATCAAAGCATACCCCCACCTTGTAGAAAGACATGGAATATCTGAGCATTATCTGTAGCAGGCACATCTGGTACCTGAAAAAGCATGGAGAACTTAAAATGTACCTGCCACAACTACCAAGACTATATTTAAGCAAGGAACATGTCCAGGTTGATGAAGAAACATCTCTGGTATGAGACACCACTTGTGAAATATGGAACTTATTACTGAGTTTTCAGCTATTAACAATTGCACCAAATGGTCTTGTGACTCAGCTGCACAAGAAAGGTTTATTCTTGGCTGAATACAATCAATCAACACACCCATTCTTGAGTTAATGTCGGCAAAACCCAGACTCCAAGCCAATTTTTTCCTAGGGCTCTGACTCATAAAGTCTCACTATTAACATCTTCATTCTAAACACAACTCTCACCTAAGTGATAGAGCCTGGATAGTTACAGTATGGACAGAGAAGGAGTGCCTTGTTACCCCAGGATGGGTGGCTGCAGTTGTACTCGTCTCTGCCTGGGGGAGGCTGCCTACTGGCTTTGATTATAGGAGCCAACACTGGGGATCTGGGCCAAGTTCCACTCTCGCATGTAGGAAGCACACCTTCTGCTGCCTTTTTCTGCTGCCTTTATGAAAAATCATGGGTATTAATATCATAAATCTCAGTGATTGCTTAGACAGTCTTGCATATTAGGGCCCCATTGTTAGTTTGCACTTTGCTCAGACCTTGCTCTAATGCCGGGCTTCTTTCAAATTATTTTGGCAGGTGTGTTGGCTGTTCAGCAGTTATTGGGAAAAAGAATGAGGGAAACAGAGACTAGGCTCTCACTTCCTTCTACAGTTCTGTGGCCTGCCCTGTCCCCTGTGCTACAAACCAGATTGGGAGGGGTGAGGTTGGCATCTGGGCCTGGAAGTAGAGAGTGAGAAAGGACTTACAGATTATCCTATCCCCTCATCCCAGTTGACCTGAAACTTAATTTGCCATTACATTTCCCCACATATTCATAGTGATTATATTCCTCAGATGTTCTGAAATGATCCCAGTGGAAAATAGCCCATTCTATTGTTCTTAAGAGAACATTTATATTTATATTTATAAGAGAACCTAAATTTAGGACAAACCTAAATTTGGAGACTGTTTCCATAATATCTTCACTCTGCTACAGGCTTAATAGATAATTTCTACCGGTATTTGTACTCATTTGAGTTGAAATTAGTTACAATGCAGAGTTTCAATTGATACACATTCTAGTCCTCTGGGACCTGAGCTCTCTTCCTTCTCTTTTGACTTTCAAAGACATGATTTAGGGTGGTGAGTCTAGGGACCAAGAGAAGTGAGGAACAAAAAGAGACGGATCCCCTGTGCAGACTATGAATTTGCTTTTTTCTCACCCAGGACACCCTCCCTCATTGGACATGGCCCGCCCAGGCTTGGCCAGGTTGCCAGGCTTTAAGGATGGTATCCTGGACATGAGAATTGCTCCAGACTCATCCTCTCCCTGCTACCTGTGCCTTTGTGTCTTCTATCACCAGCTGATTTCAGATTTAGCCACAGTTAGAATCCTCAAGCACTTGATAGCTTTGTCCCTTTCATGCCAGCATTTAATTCTGGTGTATCTGGAATCCAGCTTGAATCACAGCTTAGGAATCCACATATCAGACACGCTCTCCCCACCATGATTTCCCCAAGACTTCACTCTACTACCATCCAGAAATTCAGGAAAGAGATATAACTACTGCATATCTGACTTGAATGATATGGTAGAATTGTCCACTGGGCAGTTAAAGTGTGCATACTGATTGAAGCTTATTTTTCACTCTTATTTTGCTGTTCCACTAGTATTTTAAGCTGCCAAAGAAACCTCTTTCAGCTGTTCTTTTCCCAAACCACTTTAACAGCAGTTGCTTCTGTGACCAGATAAAAATTCATAAAAATTAATCCAGTCTGTTTTCCAAATTGGCTTGCAATTTGCATTATTATCAGAAATATATGAGAACATCCTTTTTTATCACATCTCTGCCAGCAGTAAGTATTATGATTCTTTTTAATTTTTTGGTAGTGTGGTAAGTACAAAGTCATAGCACATCATTACTTTAATTTGCTGGTTTGTGGCTTCTACAGAATTTGAGCATATTTTCATGTGTTTGGCGGCCATTCGCATATAATTTTCAATGAGTTGCATGTAACTTTTCTTTACTCAATTTTCTAGCAATTAATAAAAGCTATTTGGATATTATAATAATTATTTATCTTGCCTACTATTTGCATTATAAACATTTCCCCAAAGTACACATTGTTGAAATTGCTCATATTTTTCCACACATATTTTTAACTTAATTTAGTAAATTTAATTTTATTTAAAGTTTTAATTTAAAAATCAAGTGTCATTTAATTTAAAACATCCATCTTCCCGTTTATAGAGTTTCTTTTCTTTTTTTTTTTTTTTTTTCTTTTTGAGATGGAGTCTCGCTCTGTCACCCAGGCTGGAGTGTAATGGTGTGATGTCAGCTCACTGCAATCTCTGCCTCCTGGGTTCAAGTGATTCTCCTGCCTCAGCCTCCTAAGTAGCTGGGATTACAGGCATGCATCACTATGCCTAGCTAATTTTCCTATTTTCAGTAGAGACAGGGTTTCGCCATGTTGGCCAGGCTGGTCTTGAACTCCTGATCTCAAGTGATCCACCTGTCTTGGCCTCCCAAAGTGTTGGGATTACAGGCGTGAGCCACCACCACCAGCCTTAGAGTTTCTAGTTTTAATCAAGATACTTCTCTTACCTCTAGGTTCACCTGGGATCTCCCAAATATGCAATCTCACTTCTAAGAATCTGTCTTATAAGAATAAAAACACCAGGACATAATGATATTTTCAAAAGGATATTATTTTACCATGTTTCAGTAAGTATAAAATAAAATATAAAAATAAATGTCCATCAATAGGGAAATGATGAAATAAATTATGGTAGACAAGCACTGTTAAATGAAGAAAGAAAGTTATAATGGTTGTCTTGAAAAGACTTCTCAGGAAATATTTTTGAATGACAAAAGCAAGTTGTAGGAAATTATGTGTTACATGAATCCATACTTATAAAACAAAAATGCCAGAAATGTATGTGGGAATATGTGTAATACATATGTGTTTATATCCTTTCTCTCTCTCTCTCTTTTTAGAGACAAGGTTTTGCTGTGTCACCCAGGCTGGGATGCAGTGGTGCAATCATAAATCACTGCAGGCTTGAACTCCTGGGCTTAAGTAAGCCTCTCACCTTAGCCTCCCAAGTAGCTGTGACCATAGGCATGTGCCACCACATCCAGCTAATTTAAATTATTTTTTGTTTGTAGAGACAGGATCTTGTAGTGTTGTCTAGACTTGTCTCAAACTCCTAGCCTCAAGTAATCCCTCCACCTTTATCCCCTAAAGCACTGGGATTACAGGTGTGAGCCACCATGACCAGCCTGTTTATGTCTTTATATCTGTATAAACTTAAAAAATATGGAAGGTCATATGCTGATAGGGATGGAAAGCACTACTGGGGAGGTGGGGAAAGAAGAAGATGGAGGAGAAGAGAATAATAAAATAATTAGGAAAGATTGTATTAAAGACAAGTATAAAAATTACAATACCCACTTCAAAAATCAGCTACATTTTAAATCTTTGTTTCCTTGAATGCCTCAGCTTACTATAAAATTCACCCTTCATTTATTTTCAACATGTCGTCAAGGACACAAAACGAGATTATGTAGTCGATAATAAGAGTATGGTGAAATAGAAAAAACTTAGGCTTAGCTCAGCTTACAGGTATCTGGTGACTTGTATTAGTCACTGTCTCTTGACACCCAGAATAGTTCTAATGATCTGCAGATCTAATGATCTGCAGATCTAATGATCTGCAGGTCCTTCCCAGCTTCACCCGTTCCTCATCTATGATCTAACCCAGGATTTCTCAGGGGTGTCACTATTGACATCTTGGGCCAGGGTTCCTTGCTGAGTGGGTGGGTGGGGTGGGAGGTGCAGTCCTGTACATTGTAGGATGCTAAGCTGCCACATCCTTGGTCTCTGCCTAATAGATGCCAGACGTCACTCAGTGGTGACAACCAAAAAATGTCCCTTAAGGGTGCAAAATCACCCCCAGTTTTGGACCATTAATCTAATTTGAATGATTATTATATCCTTTTCCTGAAATTTATTTTCTCTGTTAACTGAAAAGAACACTGCTCAAAATTCCTTTGAAAACTGACCTCTGAATTATTTGTCCTTTATTTTGATTAAGTGTGTGTCACCTTATCATTTGTGTGAGAGAGATATGAGCTTGTTGTTTTCCTCTCTGTATTACACAAACAAGTTATAATGACTCATTCATTAAAGGCACAGGGAAGCTCAGCCTTCAGGTGCTCGGGGAATGTTCACAATAAATCACAATGATCTGAATTGTTTTGAGTGACTATTATATGGCTAGGGAACAATGACTTCAACTTTGTTTTTTAATGAGGGAAGTTCCTTTCTATTTTTTTTGCTTTATTTCTACAATAATCACGTGTACACAAGAACTGCTTTATTCTTTATTGCACTATATTTTCTTAGAATTCTGGGCTTTAACGAAAGTGATACTCCAGGATAAAGGAATAAATCAGGAGCCTAAAAAACCATAGGCTTTGATGGTTTTGCTTTAAGGTAGTGTCTGAGTTTGGAAAGTCCAGAGAGCTCTGGAATTCTGAACAGCTCAGTTGTTACAACCTGAGGAAAATTCTCCAAACGTCATACATGGATTAATCCCACTCAAGGATACTCCTGGATTTGTCTAGGTCATGACTTTCAAGCAGTTTTCTCAGATAATCAAGAAGCACAAAGGTCTACAAAACCATCATGTTGACAACACTGATTGTGTGATTTTTGTGTGCGCAAATGTAATCTGAGACTTGGTTTTGTCATAACCTGTTAACGAGGTTGAATGGAAGTGACCAACCCCATGACCTCCAGCAAGTTGGTGGCTACTGAGATTTTTTTAAAGAACTTAATTATTCCATAAAACCAAATAGCTTAGACCAGTTCACAACACCAGCAAAAGTTTTTTATGTTTATATCCATCTAAAAACACCATTCATTCATTCATTTAATAAAAATTGTCTAAGTACCATGTGCCAGGCATTAGGCTGGGGATACCGTGGTGACAACATTCTCCCTGCCCTTGTGGAGTTTAAACTCTAGTGCAGTAAAGAGACATTAATGACTTACTGTCATAAATCAGTGTTCCACGTGCTGAGGCAGGAGCACTGGTGCTGTACAGGATCCGTGCTACTTACAAGGTCAGGGAAGACTTCCCCCGACGAACAAATGCTTACTCTGAGATTTAAAGGATCATTAAGAGTTAACTGAGCAACAAAAGGAAGGAAGATCATTTCAAGAAGAGGACTTTGCATGTGCAAATTTCTTGTGATGAGGGTAGGCCAGCGCCACTGGAACAGAGATGGGAAATGAAGAGAGAGATGTGAGATATGCTTGAGAGATGGCAGAGGCCAGACCTTCTGGTTCAAAATAAATTCTGCCTCATCCTATAAACAATGAGAAGACTACAAAGAGCTTTAGGAAAGAGTTGACATAATCAGTGTTATTTAAGCAGAAGTTTGACACAACTATGTTTTGAAATTCTTCTGCCTGAGTTTAAAGAATGGGTACGAGAGAGCCCAGAGGGGCTGCCGGCAGATAGTTTAGATGAGTATTTGACTAGCCCAGGCAAGAGAAGATACTACTTTGCATTAGAGTGAATATGGCAGTGGTAGTGAAGATGGAGAAAAATGAACAGAGTCCAGAGATTTTTATGGGGTAATAATTGGAATCTGTGGTAGGTATTGCTAGGGGGCGAAAGTGGGAGGAGGAAGAAAGAAAATATGAGAATGGGCTTGGAAAAACTGGATTCATGAGATGCACAGTATTTTTTTCTGAATTTCAGATGAGGTTCAGATAACTTAATTAACTTTCCCAAGGTCACAGAGTCAATCCATGGCACAGCCAGGGTTGAACCCAGGTGAGTCCAACAGCAAAGCCAGGGGTTTATTTATGGCTGAAACAGTTCTTACAAGCTTTGTAAGATCTAGAAAACGAGACAATTTTTTTTTTTTTTAAGACGGAGTTTTGCTTTTGTTCCCCAGGCTGAAGTGCAATGGCATAATCTCGGCTCACCACAACCTCCGCCTCCCAGGTTCAAGTGTTTCTCCTGCCTCAGCCTCCTGAGTAGCTGGGATTACAAGCATGCGCTACCATGCCTGGCTAGACAATTTTAAAAAAAATAAAAACTGGAGTTCTGGTACTTTTGATGAAATGGACCTCTTCTTACAATTTCACCCCTCCCAACCCTCCCAACACACACTTTTGCATGTGACTTACACTTCATGTCTAGGAAACCAATTAAAATATGGTTCTAGAAGGAGTCAGCAGTGTTGGCTGCATTGCTTTCCAATCATTCCAAACCCCACCATGAAAAAGAAAGAAGAACTAGATAGCAAAAGAAAAATGCAAGGATGATATTCATATCTAAAAATAAAACTAGATAGCAGCTTTTCTCCACAATTCTCAAACTATAAGGGGTTGAGGACAAAATACCAGCACCCATAAGCCCTGCATTGGTGTTTGAGTTACCTGAAATAACCACAACCAGAAGAAGCCCAGAGTAGCCAGAGCAGTGGTAAGTGTCATGGGCCAGTTCTGGGTTAGCACCAGGAGGGGTATTGTCCAGCACAAGTGTGGATTAGAGGAAGAGGCCTGTGGCGTATCCTAAAGGGGCTGGAGCAGTCAATCCCCAATAAATCCATAAAGCTAACCCCCAGAACTTCCTTCCACATGGATACACACACACACACACACACACACACACACACACACACGCCTGGAAGTGGAATCAAGATAAGTTACCAGTAGACAACCAAATCGTAGATGAGGGGAAGGTTGTGCTATAAAAGCTTCCCACCTCATAAATGAAAATTAATGATAGAATTAGGATGACCCCATTTGCAATTCCCCAAATTAGTAAGGGATCTAGTCATCAAACAAAATTGGCTGTTAACGTCACAAAAAGAGAGATACCCAGATATCGAATGTCTCCCATTGTAAAAACATACCACTGCCTACAGTCCTGACACATGGATAGAAACTGAGTCAAAGCAGGATCTGTCTGATCTGATCCAGTTTGCAGCCAATACTGAGAAGAGAGGAGCAGGCTGAACTGAACTTTGTGTTGGCAATCAGCAAAATCAAGACTGTGGAGAAATATGCAGGTCAAATGCCCTTTTTTCTTTAACAGATAAATTATAAGGAAAAGAAAGGGATAAAAGGAGAAGACTTAAAAGATGTATCAGTTTTCTTTAAGTGGATCAGACTAACTGAAGCTCCCAGGGATGTTCACCGAAGTAATAAAAGTATAAAGAAATTCACAAAAGTGAAGAAGAAAATACAAGTTTGTGATTAAAATTGGACAGAGAGGATTATGGTTGGAATGGCTTCTAAGGTGTTAACAAATTTTCTCTCTTGACCTGAGTGATGGTAACAAGAATTTCTGCCTTGTAGTAACTCATAAAACCCTGCATTTGTTTTGTGTGGCAATTCCTAAAGGATTTAGAACTGGAAATACTATTTGACTCACCAATCCCATTACTGGGTATATACCCAAAAGAATATAAATCATTCTATTATAAAGATACATGCACACACATGTTCATTGCAGCACTATTCACAATAGCAACGACATGGAATCAGTCCAAATGCCCATCAATGATAGACTGGATAAAGAAAATGTGGTACATAGACACTATGGAATACTATGCAGCCATAAAAAGGAACAAGATCATGTCCTTTGCAGGGCCATGGATGAAGCTGGGAGCCTTTCAGCTTGCTTTGTGTCTTTCTGTACATATTTTAATTTACAATGCAAAAACAGAAAAAAAGCAATGTAATTTACTTGGACAGGCCCCAGTTTATTCTAAAAAATAAAATAGGTAGCTAGAGAGAGAGGCTGTCCTTCTTGCAAAAGTGAAATATTCAAAGTTTGCTTCATATTTCCTAAATATCCATAAGAATTGTTTCAACTGATAATTAATATAGGAAATGAATTTACAAATGTGATCTATAGTTTTATCTCATCTCTACCTGAGTTAAGTGACATAGTACCATGTCTAAAATTTATGTAATCAATGTACAGTCTGTATCTTCAAGGTTACCTCTAATTGTGATCAAATCTGTACATTCTGAATGGCTGGCTGGGACAAATAATCAACATCTGAATGAACAAAACCCAACAGTTACGTAACTACAGGGTTGAGAAAGGAGAATGACCATGGTTGATGGCAAGGTCAAGAACTTTGGGTGGAAAATGTCTCCCGTATCATATCAGAAGAAAGTCCCCAGAGCAAGGAATAAAAGGATAGTGAGTGTTTAGGAGCTTTCCTGGGTGCCCAGAATATGTTTGGTTTATTACTGTGATGTTTCCGCAGCTGCCTGCTTGTAGAAAGAGCTGCAGGAAATCTGTCATCTTTCTTCAAAACAAGCAAGGGTCACTAAAGCCCCGTTATTGGGCCAAAGCAGGAAATACAACAAAGCCCAACATAATATGGTTCTATTGAAAGGAACCTGACTTAGGAAAGAGTGGCGGATTTTTCTTAGGATTGTTAGTCTAAGCTGTTCCCAGACCGGTCATGATTAAAAGACATGCTTATTTAATGATCAACAGCTTATGACAAATCACAAAGGCTATCAATAGGAGAAGGAAGCCTGTGCATCCAGATGTAATCCTTTTCTGATGTGCCAGGAAATATTAACCATTGATGACAAAGTAAAATAAAACAAAGGTGATTGTTGCCATGCCATTTTTGGATGCATGCCAGGACTATGTAACTGCCCATGGAGATGGGAAGGTCAGGCAGAGTCACCCATAGGTACAATTATATAGGTTCTGGTGTTGGCTGCTCCATCAAGATACCCTGTGACTTCAGGTAACACATTAAACTGAAGAGAGAGAGAAATCTCTTTTCTTGTAAGAAACGAAAAAAAAAAAAAAGCTTAGTAATCTCTCCATGATATTTATATTAGCAAGGTCGTTAGTCAAAATAGCAGGTCACCTTTCAAAGGAAGTCACATCATGTATATTCTAGGAGGTATATGGGACCTCTAGTTACAGTGCTTTTAAAGAAAATATGTGCATTGTCCGTGTGCCAAGGATAAAATTCTACTAGATAGTAACTGACAATATACGGTGAAGTCTCAACTTCTATTTAAAAATGGATACTTAGAGTTACGTAATGGTTTTCTCTGGAGAAGTTAACAATGATTTATTTATTCATTCCTCCTATGACCCAAATAAACATTTTGTAAGACCGATAGCTGTCATGTAACTCTCTATCCTAGTGTGCGCTGGATCCTCCCATGAGGGGGATCCTCCCTGAGGAGGATGTAAATACTAACATCCCCCCATGAGGAGGCCTGGACCCACCCAAGCCTTGAGCTTCTGAAAACCAGGGCTTTTGATATATTGAGAAATTCCTTGTCGCTAGAGAGTGAGAAATGAAGATTGATCTGCTGTCCTAAGCCCCAAATCTATTGTGCTAGGGGTAATAGAGGCCTTGATTCTTTATGAGCATTAAGCCACAGCCCCCCAAGCCCGTCTTCTTTCCACCATGTATGCCCATTTTGCCTCACTATTTGGCCTTTTTCTTTGTCCATAGCTCAGTCCCCTCTATCCAGGCCAGTCAGCTAGATCTTTCCTTCTTTCCTTCCTTCTCGCCCTCACTCCTTTCTTCTCTTTTCCTTAAACTATCATTGAATCCAAGTGACTCAAATATGAATAAAAAAATCAAAAGAAGTTCAATTTTCCCACTTCTTCCCCTTTTTAGTCTCAGTTAGAAGGGTTATTACTGCCTTCCCAGAATAAAGTTCCTATGGCCAACATAGCCTGGGTTGTATCTCACAGGAGGGACCGCAGCTCAGCCAGGATTAAGACTATACATTAACTCAAGTCTGAATCTCTGATCTTCCTTACATTTTTAAGTCTTAAGAGTGACTAGAACACGCAACATTATGTAGCACTGGCCCCATACTTTGCAAATGTAGAAAACAAACTGTTTTCAGCTCCAGAGCAATATTCTAGGAAAGGAAAACTTTTATTCCTAGACTCCCCAACTACATTTTTTTTTTTTTTTGGGACTGAGTTTCACTCTCATTGCCCAGGTTGGAGTGCAATGGCGCGATCTCGGGTCATGGCAACCTCCACCTCTCAGGTTCAAGCGATTCGCCTGCCTCAGCCTCCCGAGTAGCTGGGATTACAGACATGCACCACCATGCCCAGCTAATTTTGTATTTTTAGTAGAGATGGGGTTTCTTCATGTTGGTCAGGCTGGTCTTAAACTCCTGACCTCAGGTGATCCGCCTGCCTTGGCCTCCCAAAGTGCTGGGATTACAAGCGTGAGCCACTGTGCCCAGCCCCAACCTGTGTTCTTATCTACAGTCCCTCTTCTGCATTTCCAAAATTCAAAATGTATTTGACAGCAAATATTCACCTCAACTGACTGATGTGATTTATAGTTTTTATGTATCATGCCAAGTATGAATATTCATATACTTTGCTTCAAAATATGAGTGTTAGATTATAGGGTACTTCTGAAGATCCTATTAGAGGTGATATGTAAATAACTGGTATACATAATCTGACTAACTCTGAATTCAGAAACACACATGACTCCACGAATTTTAGAGAAGAAATCATGGACTTGTATTGCCAAAGAGCACTACAAAGCTGATAGAGTTAAGATAGATGGAGATTTAATTTTCTTCTGCTACAGCAAGGTGTAATGCAGTCTGTCAGAATTCATAATTGGGGAGCTCAAAGCCAATGAGAAGAAATTACCTAGTAAAGATTAATTTTGGCACAATGAATGTATCAAATCTGGGGAGGAGATCTTAACATCCATTTTTTTCCTTTCTCTCCAAATGTCATTTAAGACATTATTGTCCCCTTGAGAACTTGAGGTATTTGTAATGATAGCAGACCCAGTCACCAGGTCTTATTTGAAATACCTTTCCTTCCCATGGCAGGTAAGTGGCTCCCAAGAGGTGCAAGAGAGAACTGGCCCAATGTGAAAGCATTTCTAAGGCTTTGTTGGAGTTATATTTAGTTACATCTCATCGTCCAAAGAAAAAGACCAAGGCAGAGTGGAAGAACAATTGATGGTACTTATGAGGGGTGTAACTACAGGGAGGGGAAGAATCTGTGTCCATTTTTATAACTTATCACAAATTCCTGTCACAAAGAAGGAAACATCAGGAGGGGGAGAAAAGTGTTCCCTGTTGGCATCCACTGTCATACAGCTACAAAGCAATGAAGATAGGATTTAATCTGATTCTAGAGCCTGCTCTTAATAACCTGCTCCACCCGCTATACTTTCTGTTTGACTGACTCCTACGTTTTTGCACAAATTCCCATCACATAGAAGGAAACAACAGGAGGGGGAAAAAGTATCCCCTACTGGCATCCTCTGTCACACAGTTACAAAGCGGTGAGGACAAGATTTAATCTAATCCTAGAGCCTGTTCTTAATAACCTGCTCCACCCCCTATTCTTTCTGATCGACTGACTCCTAAGTTCTTTGCAGGAGAAATGGACTCTATTCACCAGCATGGACTCAGCCAGCAATTTAAGTCTAGGAGCAAATAGAGGCTGGCATGTAGCTGCTCCATCGTCCTGGCCATTGCAGGGCTCATGGATTATAAACACAGGAATGATATGGGTGACTGCAGCACCAGCATATCCTAGAGTTCCTGTTCTGGCCTCAGAGGGGATTCCCTCTCTTAATCTCCTATCACTATCCAGGTATTTAGATGCAAATACCACAGAGGTGCAAGCCTCAGGTGTGAAGTAAAAGGATTAAGGCCAAAGATTCTGATCTATGCCCTGTCTTCAGCATGCTACCCTAAGGAAATCCACTTCACGACAGTTTTTAAGTAACTCAAATCTTGGAAGTGCAAAGTAGGTTTATTGAAATTTAAGTCTACCTTAATTTTTAAAAATGACTGCATCCGAATGAAACATACTGTGCTTTCAAAGAAGAAAAGTCTCTGGGCTTTTTAATTGCTTTTTCTCCTTCTCTATCCTGTGACTCTTTCTATCTTGAAGTGTAAGATGACTATTGATCCAGAGTTCCTTGAATGAGGCAGATTATCCCATTAAAAGGTTTTCTTTGGCTACTAAAAATCAGTTATAATATTATCCCATATCTGTTAGTTTTCTATTGATTTCAAACACTTCAAATCTCCAAATACAGAATTTGGGAAGGAGTAGTCCAGGAGTTTGAGTGATAATGTTGAAGCAGTGAGGGAAGAGAGTTTTAGGGAAGGAAGAGATGAGTGTGGGGCTTGGAAGAGATATGAGAGGCTATATGGCTTGATTATGGACTCAGATAGTAAGGCCAGGGATTTAAATCATACAGCAGCACACTTAGATATGCCCTAATCCTATTGCAGAATGACTATATTTTTAAGGTGAGGAAAAAAGTGAAATGAAGTCTGCAGGAAGTATACACAAAGAGCAGCAGAGCTGCAGATACCATGAGAAGTAGAAATATTGGTGACAGATGTTCTTTGCTTATTGGAGAGCCCTCACTCCAGACAGCAACTTCATCAACTCTATGACACTGCTTGTTCCCTCAAGCATATGACAGGCATCATAATGACTTTTGCAAATGTGCTCCACAGAGGGATGCTGTGAAATTGTAGCATCTCTTTCACCCAGTACCTTTACAACAGTCTTATAAATTCCTTTCTTTAATCCAGCCACCCAGCAGGACACAACTCTATTGAACAAGAAATTCTACACCATACCAAAAATTTTTAAAAGAAGACTGGACCCTGTTCCTATTAAGGCTGGATCATTTTAGCTTTTAGGCTTTTAGATATCTCTGCCGATCAGCCTATCAGCCTACTAGTCATTATAGTATAGAGAACGTAAAATATTTGTGGATATGTATGTAATATGCATGTATATACATATATAAAATTTGTATAA
The DNA here is from genome assembly GCF_000001405.40 of Homo sapiens. Taxonomy (NCBI): domain Eukaryota; kingdom Metazoa; phylum Chordata; class Mammalia; order Primates; family Hominidae; genus Homo; species Homo sapiens. Next base: position 221,407,137 of record NC_000001.11, on the reverse strand, counting down.
CTATGTATCATTAGTTTAATTCATCAAATTGATAAACTCTGATGAGCACTACCAATTCTTCAGACTATGGAGAGTTTGGATGGACCAAAGACATCTTTTCCCAGCTCAAAGAATCAAGATTGATGTTACAGGATTTCTGGGACAAGCCAGAGGAAGGCACTGAGTAAACCAGACTGTGAAACTGAAAGGATAAGAGAAGAAAACAAAACAAATCATATGTTTTAAGGCATGTTCAACTTGAATCTGTATCCTGGGTGAGCAACATCTACCAATGGTTATTCAAATGCATTTTTCAGTGGATTTCTGCTTCTAACTAAGATGGAATCTTAGCGACTGGATCTATTTTTCACCTCACATAAGCCAAATAAATGAATACATAGTCATGCCTACATATATGGCAAAATATATTAAATAGCAGCTTTCAGGCATTGGACATTAGGCAACAAAAGGCAATGAGTGATCCCTAACAGATGGTAAACAGAAAAAGGTGAGCCCTACGATTACCCCATCTTACTGCCTAGACAGAGTTTTCAGGTTGTAGCACAAGGATGGGAAAATCCAGAGAGAGTCCAGTGGCAATGATAAGTTAGAGAGATAACCTGTAAGTCCAGGGAAGGCACCTAGAGTTCATAGGCAGAGTACCAGAGAGAAGAGAGCTGTAGAGAGAGAGAGGAGGTTCTCCCATGAATCTTCAGCTGAGTACTGCCGAGTGTAAATGAGATAGAAAACTACCTGGGGGTGAAAGGAGGGGCACCCAAAAGTATTAGAGAAAATAATCCCAGCAATCACACAGAGGTAGAAATAGTTCATGTTCCCTCCAAGCAGAGTGGAAAACCTTATATCCTCTGAGCTATGGGATAGAATACTTAGAATGATTTTGCCTCAGTAAAGGGGCAAAATTAGCCCTAGACTAAAAACTCCTCTTATCCCAACTAACAAAGCTTAAAGTGAAAATCCTAAAGGGATAAACTACTTCCAAGAAGCTTATCTGCTGAACAAGTATCAATAAAGTAAAAGGATATAATCATGTAAAGAATGTTCTCTGACCGCAACAGAAGTGAATTAGAGCCAGGTGCAGTGGCTCACGCCTGTAATCCCAGCACATTGGGAGGCTGAGGTGGGTGGATCACCTGAGGTCAGGAGTTCAAGACCAGCCTGGCCAACATGGCGAAACCCCGTCTCTACTAAAAATACAAAAATTAGCCAGGTGTGGTGGGGCATGCCTCTAATCCCAGCTACTCAGAAGGCTGAGGCAGGAGAATTGCTTGAACCCAGAAGGCGGAGGTTGTAGTGAGCCGTGATGGGGCCACTGCACTCTAGCTGGGCTACAGAGGGAGACTCTGTCTCAAAAAAAAGAAGCAAATTAGAAATTAACTACAGAAATGGATATGGAAAATCTCTAAATATTTGGAAATTACATAACCCTCAAAATAATCCAAGAATCAAACACTCAAAGAAGTCAAAAGAAATAGAAATTAGTTTTAACTAAATGAAAATGAAAGTACAACAAACTAAACTGTGTGAGATGCCAATAAAACAGCGTTTAGAGGGGAATCTATATAGCATTTATTACATAAGAAGTGTCTCAAATCAATAACCTTGAGTTTCACCTTAAAAATTACAGAAAGAAAAACAAATTAAACCCAAAGCCAACAGAAAAAGGAAATAATCAAGGCTAGAGCAGAGATCAATAAAATTCACTTTCCATGTCACAAAAGATCAGACATTAAAAGCAGCTCAGTCCTGTGGGGATGTTGCTTGGAAATTCGGCCATGTGTAAAATGATTCTCACCAGCATTTAACAAGGAGGATTAAAAAGGAAATACAGGCCACTTGCCTAAGGAGGGGAAAGTACAAAGAGCAGAGAAGAGGGAACCAAGCATACTTGCTGGTTATCCACCCCAACAGAGACATTCTTCTTCTTCTTTGATAGGAGATGGTCAAGGGAGAAGTTCAGTTTGGGAAGAGAATGTATTCTCTGGAACTGTTATTTGAGGGTCAAAATCTATGTAACCCAACAGCTAAAATCCTTTCCAGTTCTTTTACTTTTCTTGGTCCCATTGCAATGATAAAATGAGAACCATGGACACAGCGCTTATTTTTAGTAATCCTATATGGCTAATGTTAATTCTCTTTACTCTTCATCTTTTAGATGACTTATCAAAATCAACCATCCTTTCTTCTTCCCATATACCTCCACTTCCAGATTTAGAACCTCAGATGAAAAATGGTAAAAGGATAACTTATAAAAGGAAATTATTTGCATAAAGTTACCAAACACATGTTTGGTAATAAATGGAAAGCAACCCTGTGTTCTAGCATATGTCCTGCCCCTGCAGTGGTAGTCCCCTTCCCTTCCCTTCCCTACCTAGGGCTCTGAGCAAACTCCCTCATGTCCTGTACACCAAGATGTTTCTGTCTTGGGCAATGGGGAAAAAGAAGTGGCTTTAATTTGGTCTTAGCTAAAACCTTGTGAGAGAGGCATTAGTATTAATCTCACTTTACCAATAAGAGGACTGAGTCTTAGAAAAGCAACTTGACCAATGGCACATAAAATAAGAGGAACTCAAACACAGGTTATCTGGCCAGATTTCATGCTGTTCTGCCACCCTACACAGGTTTTAAATGAGCTATGCTTTATCCTAAAACTCATTTTTTCATTAATTCTTTCTTTTGTTTATCCAATCGCTTATTCAACAGATGTTTATTGTAATTGGCAATGTCCCATTTTTCATTAAATGTTTTATAAAAATGTACGTTTGAATTTTAGAGGAACTGCCATATCATTTTGCAAAGTGGCTACACCAGTTTACATTCCCACTAGAAATGCACAAGGGTTCCAATTTCTCCTTATCCTTGGCAACACTTGTTATTTTCTGCCTTTGTTTTCCTCTGTTTGGGTTGGTTTGGTTTAATTTTTCATAATAGCCATCCTATGTGGTGTGAAATAGTATCACATTGTCATTTGGATTTGCATCTCCCTGTTGATCAGTAATGTTGAGCATCGTTTCATGTGCTTATTGGCTATTTATATATTTTCTTGGGAGAAATGTAGACTCAAGTCCTTTGCCCATTTTTAATTGGGTTTTTATTGTTGAGTTGTAGAAGTTCTTCATATATTCTGAATATTAATCCCTTATCAGATATATAATTTGAAAGTATTCCCTCTCATTCTGTGGGTTGTCTTTTTACTGTATTGATAGTATCCTTTGATGCACAAAGGTTTTTTATTTTAATCAAGTCCAATGTATCTACTTTTTTTAATTTTAAAATTTTTTTGCAGGTACATAGTAGTTGTATATATTTATGGGGTACGTGAGATGTTTTGATATAGGTATGCAATGTGAAATAAGCACATCATGGAGAATGGGGTATCCATATCCATCCCCTCAAGCACTTATCCTTTGAGTTACAAACAATCCAATTATACTCTTTATTTAAAAATGTACAATGAAGTTATTATTGGCTATTGTGCTATCAAATAGTAGGTTTTATTCATGCTTTTTAACTATTTTTTTCTACCCGTTAATCATCCTCACTTTCCCTTCTGCCCCCCACTACCCTTCCAAGTTTCTGGTAACCATCTTTCTACTCTTTATGTCCATGTGTTCAATTGTTTTAATTTTTAGATCCCACAAATAAGTGAGGAACATGTGACGTTTGTCTTTCTGTGCCTGGCTTATTTCACCTAACATAATGATCTCCAGTTCCATCCATGATGTTGCAAATTTCTGGATCTTATTCTTTTTTGTGGCTGAATAGTACTCCCTTGAGGATATGCATCACATTTTCTTTATTCATTTATTTGTTGAAGGACACTGAGGTTGCTTCCAAATCTTAGCTATTGTAAACAGTGCTGCAACAAACATAGGAGGGCAGGTATCTTTTTGATTTACTGATTTCCTTTCTTTAGGGTATATAGCCAGCAGTGGGATTTCTGAATATGGTAGCTCAAGTTGTAGTTTTTTAAGGAACCCCCAAACTATTCTCCATGCTGGTTGTACTAATTTACATTTCCACCACCAGCATACAAGGATTCCCTTTCTGAACATTCTCACCAGCATTTGTTATTGCCTGTCTTTTGGATATAAGCCATTTTAACTGGGGTGAGATGATATCTCATTGTAGGTTTTGTTTGCATTTCTCTGATGATCAATGACATTGAGCACATTTTCGTATGTCTGTTTGCCACTTGTGTGTCTTCTTTTGAGAAATCTCTATTCAAATCATCTGTTTATTTTTTGATCGGCTTATTATACTTTTTCTTGTGGAGTTATTTGAGCTCCTTATATAGTCTGATTATTAATCTCTTGTCAGATGGGTAGTTTGCAAATATTTTCTCCCATTCTATGGGTTGTCTCTTCACTTTCTTGATCATATTATTTGCTGTGCAGAAGCTTTTTAAACTTAATGTCATCTTATTTGTCCATTTTTGCTTTGGTTGCTTGTGCTTGTGGGGTATTGGTGAAGAAATCTTTGCCCAGGCCAATGTCCTAGAGATTTTCCTCTGACTGTTTCTTGTAGTAGTTTTATGATTTGATGTCTTAGATTTGTCTTTAATTCATTTTGGTGTGATTTTTTATATGGTGAGAGATAGAGGTCTAGTTTCATTCTTTTGCATATGGATATCCAGTTTTTCCATTACTATTTATTGAAAAGACTGTCTTTTCTCCAGGGTATGTTCTTGGCACCATTGTTGAAAATGAGTTCACTGTAGGTGTGTGGATTTGTTTCTGGGTTCTCTATTCTGTTCCACTGATCTATGTGTCTGTTTCTATGCCAGTACCATGTTGCTTTGGTTACTATAGGTCTGTAGTATAATTTGAAGTCAGGTAATGTGATTCCTCCACTTTTGTTCATTTTGCTTAGTGGTTCCATATATATTTTAGGATTGCTTTTTCTATTTCTGTGTAGAATGTCATTGGTATTTTGATAGAGATTGCATTGAATCTGCAGATTGCTTTGGGTAGTATGGGCATTTTAGCAATATTGATTCTTTCAATCCATGAACATGCAATTTTTTTTTATTTTTGGTGTCCTCTTCAATTTTTTTCATCAGTGTTTTACAGTTTTCATTACTTTCGTTACGTTCATTCCTAGGTATTTAATTTTATGTGTGCCTATTGTAAATGGGATTACTTTTTAATTTCTTTTTCACATTATTCACTATTGGCATATAGAAATGCTACTGATTTTTGTATGTTGATTTTGTATCCTGAATTTTTTATCACTAAACTATACTGAATATTTTATCAGTTCTATAGTTTTCCTGTGGAGTCATTGGGTTTTTCCAAACGTAAAATCATATTACCTGTAAATAAGGATAATTTGACTTTTTCCTTTCCAATTTGGATGCCCTTTATATCTCTCTCTAGTCTGCTCTAGTTAGGACTTCCATTACTAGGTTGAATAACAGTGGTGACAGTGGGCATCCTTGTCATGTTCCAGATCTTAGAGGAAAGGCTTTTGGGTTTTCCCCATTCAATATGATACCAGCTGTGGGTCTAACATATATGGCCTTTATTATGCTGAGGTACACTTCTATCCCCATTTTTTATGGTTTTTATCATGAAGGATACTGAATTTTATCAAATGCTTTTTCAGCATCAATTGAGATGGTCATATGGTGTTTATCTTTCATTATGTTGATATGCTGTATCACATTGACTGATTTGTGTATGTTGAACCATCCTTGCATCCCAGGGATAAACTGCACTTGTTTATGATGAATGATCTTTCTAATGTATTGTTGAATTTGGTTTGCCAGTATTTTTTTGAGAATTCTTGCATTAGTGTTTATCAGGGATACTGGCCTGTAGTTTTTTCTTTCTTTTTCTTTCTTTCTTTCTCTTTCTTTCTTTTTCTTCTTCTTCTTTCTTTTTTTCTTTCATGTGTCTTTATCTGCCTTTGGTATCAGGATAATAAGAGCCTTGTAGAATTAGTTTGGAAGTATTCCTTCCTCCTCTATTTTTCAGAATTGTTTGAGTAGAATTGATATTAATTCTTCTTTAAATGTTTGGTAGAATTCAGGAGTAAAGACATCAGGTCCCAGGCTTTTCTTTAGTGGGAGAATTTTTGTGACAGCTTTCATCTTGTCACTTGTTATTGGTCTGTTTAGGTTTTGGATTTCTTCCCAGTTCAATATTGGTGGGTTGTATGTATCTAGGAATTTGCCCATTTATTCTAGCTTTTCCAATTTATTGGCGTATAGCTGCTCATAGTAACCACTAATAATCTTTTGAATTTGTGCAATATCAGTTTTAATGTTTCCTTTTTTATGTCTGATTTTATTTATTTGGATCTTCTCTCTTTTTCTTTAGTAGTCTTGCTAAAGGCTTGACAATTTTGTTTAACTTTTCAAAAAACCAATGTCTTGTCTCATTGATATTTTGTATTTTTTTAAATTTCAATTATATCTTTTTCTGCTCTCATTCTTATTATTTTTTTCTTCTGCTAATTTGGGGTTTGGTTTGCTCTTGCTTTTCTAGTTCTTTAAGATGCATTTTTAAATTGTTCATTTAAAGTTTTTCATCTTCTTTGACATAGGCATGCATAGCTATAAACTTCCCTCTTACTGCTTTTTTGTATTACATAGATGTTGGTATGGTGTGATTCTATTATCATTTGTTTCAAGAAATTTTTCAGCTTTTTTCTTCATTTATTCATTGACCCACTAGTCATTCACTAGCATGTTGCTTAATTTTCATGTATTTGTATCATTTCCAAAATCCCTCCTATAAATTTCTAGTTTTATTCCACTGTAGTCAGAGAAGATACTTGATATTATTTCAAGTTTTTTGAGTTTTAAGACTTGTTTTGTAATCTAACATATGGTTTATCTTTGAGAATGATCCATGTGATGAGGAAAATAATGTGTATTGTGCAGCTCTTGTATGAAATATTCTGTAAATATCTATTAAATGCATTTGGTCTGAAGTGCAGATTAAGTTTGATGTTTCTTTGCGATTTTCTGTCTAGAAGATCTGTCCAATGCTGAAAGAAGGGTGTTGAAGTCTCCAGCTATTATTGTATTGGGGCCTATCTCTCTCTTTAGCTCTAATAATATTTCCTTTATATATCTGGGTGTTCCAGTGTTGTGTGCATATTTATTTACAAGTGTTATTTCCTCTGGCTGAATTGACCCCTTTATCATTATATAGTGACCTTCTTTGTCTCTTCTCAATGGTTTTGTCTTGAAATATATTTTATCCAATAGAATTATACCAACCCCTGATATTTTTTTGGGGGGTTTCCATTGGCATAGAATATCTTTTCTATTGCTTTATTTTCAGCCTATGTGTCTTTATAGGTGAAGTGTGTTTCTTGCAGGCAACAGATCAATGGGTCTTGTTTTTTTATTTATCCATTTAGCCAGCCTATGCCTTTTGATTGGAGGGTTTAGTCTATTTACATTCAATGTTATTATTGACAAATAAGGACTCACTCCTGCCATTTTGTTATTTGTTTTCTGGCTGCTTTATGGTCTTTTCTTCCTTCTTTCTTTCCTTCCTGTCTTCTTCTAGTGAAGGTGATTTTCTCTGCTGATAGGATTTAGTCTCTTGCTTTCAATTTTTTGTGTATCCATTGTATGTTTTTTTTTTTGAGGTTACCATGAGGCTTGCAAATACTATCTTATAACCCATTATTTCAACCTGATAACAACTTCACACTATTTGCAGGAACAAGCAAAAAGAAAACTAATAAAAACCCTATGCCTTAACTTTGTCTCCCCCCTTCATAACTTTTTCTTGTTTCTATTTATATATTTTTGTACCAACTATGTCTGAAATAGTTGTTGTAGTTCTTATTTTTGATTGGTTTATTGTTTAGTCTTTCTACTTAGGATAAGAGTAGTTTCCACACCACAGGTACAGGGTTATAATATTCTGTGTTTCTCTGTGTACTTAATATTAGCAGTGAGTTTTATACCTTCTGTTGATTATCTATTGCTTATATTTTTTTCTTTCTGATTGAAGTATTCAAGTTGGCATTTCTTATAGGATAGGCCTGGTGTTGACAAAATCTCTCATATTTTATTTATCTGGGAAAGCCTTTATTTCTCCTTCATGTTTGAAGGACATTTTCACCAGACATACTATTCTACAGTAAGAGTTATTTTCCTTCAGCATTTTAAATATGGCGTGTGACTCTCCCCTTGCCTGTAAGGTTTCCACTGAAAATCTGCTGCCAAATGTATTGGAGTTCCATCATATGTTATTTGTTTCTCTTCTCTTGCTGCTTTTAGGATCCTTTCTTTATCTTTGACCTTTGGGAGTTTGATTATTAAATGCTTTGAGATAGGCTTCTTTGAATTAAATCTGCTTGGTGTTCTATAACCTTCTTGGTTATAACCTACTTGGATATTGATATCTTTCTCTAGGTTTGTGAAGTTCTCTGTTATTATCCCTTTGAATACACTTTCTACCCTATCTCTTTCTCTACCTTCTCTTTGAGACCAATAACTCTTAGATTTCCTCTTTTGAGGCTATATTCTAGATCCTGTAGGCATGTTTTATTGTTTCTCTTTTTTTTCTTTTGTCTTTTCTGATTGTGTATTTTCAAACAGCCTGTCTTCAACCTCACTAATTCTTCCTTCTACTTGATTGATTCTGCTAAAGGACTGTGATTCATCCTTCAGTATGCCAACTGCATTTTTCAGTTCCAAAATTTCTGCTTGGTTCTTAATTATTTCAATCTCCTTGTTAAATTTACCTGATATAATTCTGAACTCCTTCTCTGTGTTATCTTGAATTACTTTGAGTTTCCTCGAAGTAGCTATTTTGAATTCTCTGTCTGAAAGGTCATGTATCTCTGTGTCTCCAGGATTGGTCCCTGGTGCCTTATTTAGTTCATTTGGTGAGATCATGTTTTCAGTTGGATGATGTTGATGCTTGTGGAAGTTTGTCAGTGTCTGGGCATTGAGGAATTAGGTATTTATTATAGTCTTCACTGTCTGGGTTTATTTGTAGTCATCCTTCTTGGGAAGGCTTTCCAGATATTTGAAAGGGCTTGAATATTGTGATCTAAGCTGTATCTGCTTTAGGAGGCACCCCAAACTTAGTAACACTATGGTTCTCACAGACTCATAGACGTACTGTCTTGATGGTCTTGGACCGGATCTGGAAGAATTCTCTGGATTGCCAGGCAGATTCCTCTTCCCTTACTTTCTCTCAAACATACAGAATCTATCTGTCTCTGTTCTGAGCCACCTAAAGCTGCAAGTAGAATAACACAAGCATCCCTGTGGCCCCCACCACTATGACTGCACCAGGTCAGACCTGAAGCCAGCACAGCATTAGGTCTCAGCCAAGGTCTGCTGTAACCACTTCCTGCCTGCTGTTCACTCAAGGCCCTGGGGCTCTACAATTCACTCAAGGCCCTGGGGCTCTACAATTGGCAGGTGTCAAAGTCAGCCAGGCCTGTGTCCTTCCCTTCAGGGCAGCAAGGTCCCCCCACTCGCCTCCGAGTGGGTCCAGAAGTACTGTCTGGGCGTCAGAAACTAGAGTCAAAAACCTTAGAAGTTTACCTGGTGTTTTATTTTATTGCAACTGAGCTGGCACCAAACCACAAGACACAGTCCTTCCCACTCTTCCCTTCCCTTCAAAGGCAGAAGAGCCTCACCCCACAGCCACTGCCAGCCCAGGCCACGAGGAGTTCTGCCAGACTACTGTTGATGTTCCCTTAAGACCCAAGGTTTCTTAAATCAGCTTGTCATGAATGCTACCTGGCCTGTGACTCACCCTTCAGGTCAGTGGACTTCCCTCTGGCCCAGGGCAGGACCAGAAATGCCATCTAAGAGTTAAGTCCTGGAATCAGGGACTCCAAGAGCCCATTTGGTGCTCTACTGCTCTGTGGCTATGCTGGTACCTAAGGTGCAAGACAAAGTCCCCTTTACTTTCCCGCCTGCTTTTCTCAAGCCAAAGGAATTTTTCCCCATAGCCACCACAGCTTGGAATGTGCTGAGTCTCACCTAAAGCCAGCAAGTCTCAGAGGCTCACTCAAGGCTCTCGACGTAGTACCTGAGTATCACTTCTTCTTATTCAGGGCCCAAGGGCTCTTCAGTCAGCAGATGATAAATGCTGCCAGGACTGGGTCTTTTCCTTCAAGGCAGCGGGTTTCCTTCTGGCCCAGGGTGTCTCTAGAAATGTCACCTGGGATCTAGGGCCTGGAAAAGAAGCCTCACAACTCTGACCAGTGCTCTATGCTACTGTGGCTGAATTGGTATTCTAGATGCAAAACAAAGTCCTCCCCACTCTTCCCTCTCCTCTCCTCAAGCAGAAGGAGTGGGTCTTTTTTGGAGCCTCCAGCTGTGCCACCTGGGGTTATGGGATGGATGATACCAGCACTCCCTTGGCTGCCCCAGCTGGCCTCTCAGTATGTTGTGTGCCCCCACTCCAGTCCACTGTCTGTAGGCCTGGTTCAGCACTATGAGTCATCTAAGATTGGTGGCCCTTGTGGCCTAGACTGCCTTTCAAGTTTACTTGAAGACACAGAGTGCTGTAGCCCTTGATGGTGAGGTTTGAAGGTACTCAAGTTTGAACTGCTGGGATCAGTGATTCCCTTCATCCTAGGGCTCCTTTAAATGCTCCCTTCGTGGGTGGGCATCCGCTGAGTTTGGTGAATTTGATCAGCTGTTTTTCTTTCTCCTCTAACAGGACAGTATGAGTTTAGTGCCTCACAACTGCTGTGTTCTCCCTCTCCCAGCACCTAGAGAAGCTCTCTGCATCACACCTCTGCTGCCAGGGTGGGGTAGGGGTGGCATCAGCCATTCAGGAGTGTATTTTCTATTTATTCAGCACCTCTTTCAGTGATACGAAGTCATAACCAGGTACTGTGAGTGTTCACCTGATTTTTGGTTTGTATGAAGGTGTTTTTTTCTGTGTAGATAGTTGTTAACTTGGTGTCTTTGGTGGGGATGTGGGGAGGGAAAGCAATCAGTGGAGCTTTGTATTCTACCATCTTACTCCACCTCTCCTATGTATGTTTTCTTTTGTTGCCCATGCTTTTGGTATGAGTGTGGTAAGATATGGTGGTTTTATGGGGAAGAGATGGACAAGGAGGAAGGGATATAGCATGTCAAAACACCAGGCAAATTCAAATTTTACAGTAGTCATTTTCATTTCAATATGTGCCTTAGTTTCTCTCATGGGTCATAGGGAACTGTCCATTGGTTGCCTCCCTACACAGGGGAGATCTTCTGCCTCCCGGGGCCTCTTCAGAGCTCTCTCTCTTCCCTTTCTCTCTGTCTCTCTCTGTCTCTCTGTCTCTCTGTCCCTCTCTCTCTCATTACATTCCAAAACACTTCCTTTCCTAGGCAGACAAGTTTAGCCATTTTTCTTGGAAGCCTTGACTATTGCCCACAGAGCATTCAATCCCCAGGGGCTCAGAAACTTATATTTACAAATGAAGAGAATTCCCTCCCTAAGAGAAATTGTGACGACTATTAAGATAATAAGTTTCCACATCCTTAAAGAGGACAAAATTGGGGCAAGGGAGAAGGCCAGAGAAAGACATCTTTGTTTTGGATATTGCAGCAGGATAGTAACATGCTGGAGGTCCGCAATGGCACAAAGATCACAGGAGAAGCATCCATGCCAGATTTGGAGGGTATTCTAGTCATCTGCATGGAAAAATATCTCTCCACACTTGCCACCAGAAAACAACAGCCATTTATTTGCTTACAATTCAGACAGAGCACAGTGGGGATAGCTCATCTCTACTCCGCAATTTCCAGGCATGAGCTAGGATGGCTGACCAGTAACAGCTGGCTGGGACAATTTAACAGAAGCCATATGGGTAAGTTCTCATTATTCTCTGACTTCTTTGGTTCTCCTCCATGTGGTGCTTCCTTCAGCTAGCTTGTGCTTCCTCACAATATGGTGATTCCAAGGGAGCGGAACTTATATGTCAGCTGATTTTTCAGAGATATAACATGTAACCTGCTAGTCTTCTTTAGGTTTGAGCTCAGGATTCTTAAAACATAATTCTTGTTTCATAGAAAACCACAAGAGGGGAGCAAATAGATTCTACCACTTGAGGGAGCGGGGGTTCTTCATAAAATGGAAGTAACATGGAAAAAGGCTTCAGGTAGACACTTCTGATTATAAAGGAGGAATGTCCCAGAATGGGAATCAGGAAGAAGCTTTCTTTCCAAGTTGCATCCAGTCTTCCACACTTAAATTCTTAAACTTTCATTCCTCAGTAGATACAAGACACATTCAATTCTCTTTTTGAGTCCTGAACCACCAGCAAACATCACCTTACCTGAAAGCATTGTGGCAATTGTTCTTATTCTCTCCAGTATCGTGTTGTCTCTGGTGCTGGGGACATCAGGCATTCCACTGTGGGTTCTGAAAATCTGGGGTGAGCTTTATTCATTTTGGCCTCAGCTCAGATTTTTTGGAAAAGTGTTCCTCAAGATCATGGACAGAACCAAGGGTTCCACTGTGGAAAACCTACACTGGGGATTTTCATTGTTCTCTTTAAATGTCTAAGCTGTTTCTTCAGATCTGTGACAGCTGCCAGCCAGGATGAGGGATGGAGCTCATGAGGTGGGATGTTTTTCCCTGTTTCATTGTGCTTTATTGTACATAACAAAGGATCTAGCCAGCTGCTGTGTGGAAGAGAGTAAGATGCTCAGAAAGCCCTCTTTCTTGGTCTGTTATGCGATTCTGAGAAAGGAAGCTCAGGCAAGATCAATACATCCTCCGTGTGGACGTCAAATGGCTTGTGACATTGGTTCTTCAGGGCTGTTTTTTTAAGGATATTCCAGTCTTATGAGTTTGACATGAATTTGGCTTGATGCCCTGACAGAATGCAATGTAGGCATAATTTGATCTTCCTGTAATTGTCTATTTAACTTGGCAATCCAGACTAATTTTTTCCTGTGAAGTGAGCCCAAGACGTCACTAGGACAGTGGTTGGGTTAATTAATGAGGCATAATAATGTGCATAATAAAAGTTTATGATGCGGGTTCTCTTCCCACTATTTTCCTCTCCTTCACATAGAGAATTTCTGGTCCCACTGGAATCTGTGAGTCACGGTTTGTTAAAGGAGTTTTTTCTTGTAAACAACAGTAAGGAGAAAATAATAACTTGAGAACCATCTGTTTGATTGAGTCCTTGACTTTTTTTTTTGTTACCATTTCCCCCCATTGCATGTTAAAGGAAGTAAATAGGAAAAAAAAATTCTAATTATATTACTGTTTACTGATTATTGGATAACTTTTGTTGTATTTATTTTAAATACCATTCTGATCCACACCCAAAGCCTTAATCATCTTTCTGCTTACTGCTCCTTCCTACTCTCTCTTCTTTTTCTTTTTAATATGGAACTAATTACTTTAAACACTATTCTCAAGCTTGTTCAAATCCTTACCGCTCAGTGGCACCAGGGATAGATGTGGGGATAATAGCTTTCTTTGGTATCAACAGTGACTTGGGGAAAAGAAGTGTTCTTACAAGCGCCAATGGCAACATCAGAGGACACAAGGCATAAAAGATGGCTTTAAGTCTTAGCAGTTTCACCTGGTATGGCTGAGTTTGCAGAAATCATTAAACATTCTTTTCTTATCTGAAACCGTAGATTCAACAACTTCAATTCTATAAGTAGTTAAGCACGAATAATGTATGCAGCAAGGACTGAGCTAGACCTGGACTTGATAATATGCATATTAACTTTGCCTATCATAAGGAATCAAGTGATAAGATCCAGTGAGAGAAAGTAGATGAAAGTTCTCTGTAGACTACAAAGCACTGCCTAAGTCTGAGATATTATTGACACTTTTATCACAGTAAAGCATCTGATAGTTGAATTCACCCACTTACGATTTCAGGGCCAGTTGGTTACCTTATCATCTGGAGTTCAGCAAGGAAATAATAGTGTACCAAGCAAAGCTTGATGTTTGCATTTCTATGCCTAATCCTTTCCCTGAGTGGAGAAATGGTGCCTCTATGTTAGGATCCCCCACGGATGCCATTTTGCTGCTGTCAATGAGCACATGATCTACTTCAGTTGAAAATTCCTTGACTTCACCACTCCAAAATTTTTCTAAAAACTAGTGCCATTCTTGAGCAAAGTCAAATTTTGTTGAAAACAACTTTTGTTAAAAAGAAAGCATAGGCCAGGTGCAGTGGCTCATGCCTGTAATCCCAACATTTTGGAAGGCCGAGGCGGATGGATCACGAGGTCAGGAGATTGAGACCATCCTGGCTAACACAGTGAAACTCCTTCTCTACTAAAAATACAAAAAATTAGCTGGGTGTGGTGGCACGTGCCTGTAGTCCCAGCTACTCAAGAGGCTGAGGCAGGAGAATCTCTTGAACCCAGGAGGTGGAGGTTGCAGTGAGACGAGATTGCACAACTCCACTCCAGCCTGGGCAATGGAGTGAGACTTCATTTCACAAAAAAAAAAAAAACAAAACCCTAAACACTGTGATCAACCTGGCACACTGTCACATTCCTGCTCTTGGCTCTCATTGCTACCAATGTTTGGAAGTTGAAATCTTATTAGAACAAAAGTTTTGGATCAAAATTGTGCATTCCATGTGAGTCATAGGTGATGAAGTCATAATCCAACTTCTAGCTTGCCCAACTTCTTGAAACTAGGCATATCAGGAAACAACAGTATTCATAAAAGGAAAGATTTAACCTGCCCTGCTCCTCACCCTCATCAATTAAGTCACTTTTATACATATGAATAGTAACACTATTAGCTGTTATCCTCTCATAGATCCATTTCCAATTTGGGAGGAGTTATGACAAATGTTTATATTGCTGCTTCCAAATAACCTTAGAAATACTCTCTGCACATAGTATTTGTAAATTATGGTTAATTGAAAAGAATTTATTTTGAGAATTAGTCAAGGAGTTAGAACTATCAAAGAAGAAAAAGTGGATGTCACTAAAAAATATCACCTGGAGAATGAAAAATTAGGGCTTAGTATCACTGTTCTAACTCAAAGTGCAGAGATGCTAATACACCAATAAAGACAGTGCCCATCTTCTAAAAGTTTACCATTTTAGACAACAGCAATCTGCATAAATATATGAAGGAAGTTGCTGGGGCTCCAAAAATAATACCCCAAAATGAAAGCCTCAGAAGCAAAAGTTTTTCTCTGACCTTCTCCTGCCCCCCTAACTCTCAGTCCCATTCTCTCCCAAGGTGAGAATCTGTAGAAACTAGAGAATTCTTTAGAAACTAGAAGCCCTCTTCTCTAAGGCAGGTCATAGAAACCAGAACCTCTTTTCCACAAAGCCAGCCATAAAACCTAAAAATATTGCTCTAACTTTCCCTCTATCTTTCTGCGTAAAAATTGACCATAAAGAAATTACCTGGGCTAACATTTTTGACTGTAGGTCATAAGATCCTCATTCCAGAGAGGCTTCTGCCCTATATCCAGAAGGAAGGAATGCATGCTCAGAGAGGCCAAGCAGAATCTAGACAGGCCTTGCTGGGTTTCCTCAGTCCATCTATTAGCATTACATCATACCCTTTTTTTCCATTCATATTTCTACATAGCTGTCTGCGGAATTTTGTTGAACCTAAGCATAAAAATGGACAATTTCCTCTGTATCTTTGGGTCTTCATCTAAAGGCTCCCATATATACACCTTAATCTGTATGCCTTTACTCTGATTCCTCTGCCTTTTGCAAGTTGACTTTTCAGCGAACCTTCAGAGGACGAAGGCGAACGTTCTTCCTTGGCCCCTACAAATCCAAAACTAATACAACAAGCATAGCTTAAACATTTAGGACAAATTTTGGCAGTGATGTGAGACAGGAAGAAAAAGATAGAAAGAGAGAGAGTTGGAATTGTGAACTGTTTAAGGAAATTACAGTTTGAGGCCCAGAAGGAGTCAAAGGTATATCAACTTCTAATCATTCAAAAAGGCATTTGAGGCATGATTTAATCAGTCTAGCTTTTTTTTCCCCATTGATGTCACAAAATTGGGCAAAACCATCCTGTTGGAGAAAACTTCAGTGTATAATTCAGTAGTCCAAATAAGTACTGAACACAAATTATTCAAAATAGAAGACAGTGAAAGCTAAATGCCATGTAAGTGGCTGCGCTGGATTAATCAAGGAAGGTTTTTAATGGAAGTAGTATTTGATGTGGGCCTGGGAGTCACTTTTCTAGGGCCATTTCCTTTATCTACTCTTTAAAATTTTTCTCTTCCTTGACTTGCTTCTATAACAAAAGTCCTAGCTATGCTTCCAGGAAAGAACTCAGTCCTTGAGATAGAACTGTCCTCTTTGTGACCTTGCTGGGGGTCCTATACAGATGGTTTCTCATGCACACAGCCTGTCCTCACAACACTCTCAGACCCCTCCCTGTCTTCTGCACTGGAGCCACATTCCCTTCTTTTATCTCCTTGGCCCTTTGAAGCCCTGGCCTCTCACATCAGCTCTGGATTCAGCTACATGTCCACTACTGTGGTGAACAACTACCCTTCCTTGTATCTACCCTCATCATACTCTCACCGTTGCACTCCCCTCTGCTAAGAGACCCCCTACCACTAGTATCTTCCTAATGGATCCACATCAGATAGTGTAGACTCAATCAAATCCTTATAGTCAGGGAAGAGTATTGATCCTTATCAGATGCACATGTGATCATTCTGTTATTAAATAATTTTTTCTGGAGCACTCACCATGCACTGGGCTCTGTTTTACTTATTAATAAGAGAAACAAAGCCCCCGCCTTTATGGAGATCATATATGAATAAGGGAAACATAATAAACAAGTAAACTCAAAATAAATCATTTTAAAAATTTATAATTAATTTTTAAAACTGCTAATATATCACATCTAATAACAACTTAATCTAATGAATGTTTTCTATGTGCATTTCTTCAGCACTTTGTGTGAATTATCTCATTTAATCTTTAGAATCCCATAAAATAGGGGCAATTATTATCCCCACTTTATAGGTGAGGAAACTAAAGCTCAGGGATGTAAAGAAACTTTCCCATGGTCCACAACTGCTAAATGTGGAGACCAGGATCTAACAACAGGCAGTCTGACTCTAGAGCCTGTACTTAGAACCCACCAGGTAAAGAAGGATGGTCTGGGAAGGGGTACATTTCAACTGAAACTCAATGAGGTATAACAGGTATAACAATGAGATATAGCTCTTGGTTCTTCTATTGTCAAGTGGTGGTGACTTCCGTGGCAATTGTATCCCCAAGGGAACTCCAAAATTTATAAACACGGAAACCCCTTCCCTCCTGCAAGTTTACTCAAACCTCTTATTCAGGTGGGATTAATGCTAAACTTAGAAACTCTCCAAATCTCAGTAGATCCCTTTTCATCAGAGCACAAGTCAAGACACTAGGCTTAAAGGGAAGCCCCAAGAGCCGCATCAAGGAAAGTTTCCTTTATCCCTTGCCTTCCCAGCAGGGCACAGAGGCAGCTACCACATGGCTTCTCTACCTGCTCTTTCTCTGGAAAGCAGTGAAAACCCAGTGTTTCCTCTGAATTTTATTTTTCCTTATTTACAAAGTTATATATGCTCATTACATCAACTTTGGAAAATGAAGAACAACACAAAGAGAAAAATTTCACTCAATGACAATTACCCCCAAAATCTTTATTCCCCTATTTCCATCCTTTATTTTTTCTATACAGGTTTTATTATGTATTGAGCTCATACTGCACATTTTACTTAACATTACATCACCTTCTAATACACATTTTCCCCATCTTATAGCACTTCTGAAAGCTGAATAATTTTCCATCATGTGGGTATATCACGATTTATGGATAATTCCCCCACCGTTGGACATTTAGATTGTTTTCAATGTCACACAAATAGAAACAATGATGAAACTGATATCTTGATGCATAAAGCTTTTGCTGTATTTAAGATTCATTCCTTGGGATAAATTCCCAAATTTAGAATTATCAGGTCAGAATGTATCAGTGCAGGGGCAGTTCCAAGATGGCCAAATAGGAATAGCTCCAGTCTACATCTTCCAGCATGAGCAACGCAGAAGACAAACGATTTCTGCATTTTCAACTGAGATACCAGGTTCATCTCACTGGGGACTGTCAGACAGTGGGTGCAGGACAGTGGGTGCAGCGCACCAAATGTGAGCCAAAGCAGGGCGAGGCATTGCCTCACCTGGGAAGTGCAAGGGGTCAGGGAATTCTCTTTCCTAGCCAAGGAAAGGGGTAACAGACGGCACCTAGAAAATTGGGTCACTCCCACCCTAATACTGCACTTTTCCAATGGTCTTAGCAAACAGCACACCAGGAGATTATATCCCTTGCATGGCTCAGAGGGTCCTACGCCCACGGAGCCTCACTCATTGCTAGCACAGCAGTCTGAGATCAAACTGCAAGGCAGCAGTGAGGCTGGAGGAGGGGCGCCCATCATTGCTGAGGCTTGAGTAGGTAAACAAAGCGGCTGGGAAGCTCAAACTGGGTGGAGCCCACCGCAGCTCAAGGAGGCCTGCCTGCCTCTGTAGACTCCACCTCTGGGGGCAGGGCACAGCCAAACAAAAGGCAGCAGAATCCTCTGCAGACTTAAATGTCGCTGTCTGACAGCCTTGAAGAGAGTAGTGGTTCCCCCAGCACACAGCTTGAGATCTGAGAATGGACAGACTACCTCCTCAAGTGGGTCCCTGATCCCCGAGTAGCCTAACTGGGAGGCACCCCCCAGTAGGAGCAGACTGACACCTCACATGGCCGGGCACTCCTCTGAGACAAAACTTCCAGAGGAATGATCAGGCAGCAACATTTGCTGTTCACCAGTATTTGCTGTTCTGCAGCCTCCGCTGCTGATACCCAGGCAAACAGGGTCTGGAGTGGACCTCCGGCAAACTCCAACAGACCTGCAGCTGAGGGTTCTGACTGTTAGAAGGAAAACTAACAAACAGAAAGGACATCCACACCAAAAACCCATCTGTACGTCAACATCATCAAAGACCAAAGGTAGATAAAACCACAAAGATGGGGAAAAAACAGAGCAGAAAACTGAAAATTCTAAAAATCAGAGCACCTCTCCTCCTCCAAAGGAACACAGCTCCTCACCAGCAATGGAACAAAGCTGGATGGAGAATGACTTTGACGAGTTGAGAGAAGAAGGCTTCAGACGATCAAACTTCTCCGAGCTAAAGGAGCAGTTTGAACCCATGGCAAAGAAGTTAAAAACCTTGAAAAAAGATCAGATGAATGGCTAACTAGAATAACCAATGCAGAGAAGTCCTTAAAGGACCTGATGGAGCTGAAAACCATGGCACGAGAACTACGCGACGAATGCACAAGCTTCAGTAGCTGATGCAATCAACTGGAAGAAAGGGTATCAGTGATGGAAGATCAAATGAATGAAATGAAGTGAGAAGAGAAGTTTAGAGAAAAAATAAAAAGAAATGAACAAAGCCTCCAAGAAATATGGGAATATGTGAAAAGACCAAATCTACATTTGATTGGTGTACCTGAAAGTGGCAGGGAGAATGGAACCAAGTTGGAAAACACTCTGCAGGATATTATCCAGGAGAACTTCCCCAATCTAGCAAGGCAGGCCAACATTCAAATTCAGGAAATACAGAGAACGCCACAAAGATACACCTCGAGAAGAGAAACTCCAAGACACATAATTGTCAGATTCACCAAAGCTGAAATGAAGGAAAAAATGTTAAGGGCAGCCAGAGAGAAAGGTCAGGTTACCCACAAAGGGAAGCCAATCAGACTAAAAGCTGATCTCTCGGCAGAAAATCTATAAGCCAGAAGAGAGTGGCGACCAATATTCAACATTCTTAAAGAAAAGAATTTTCAAACCAGAATGTCATATCCAGCCAAACTAAGCTTCATAAGTGAAGGAGAAATAAAATCCTTTACACACAAGCAAATGCTGAGAGATTTTGCCACCACCAGACCTGCCCTAAAAGAGCTCCTGAAGGAAGCACTAAACATGGAAAGGAACAACCAGTACCAGCCACTGCAAAAACATGCCAAATTGCAAAGACCATCAAGGCTAGGAAGGAACTGCAACAACTAACAAGCAAAATAACCAGCTAACATCATAATGACAGCATCAAATTCAAACATAACAATATTAACCTTAAATGTAAATGGGCTAAATGCTCCAATTAAAAGACACAGACTGGCAAATTGGACAAAGAGTCAAGACCTATCAGTGTGCTGTATTCAGGAAACCCATCTTACGTGCAGAAACACACACAGGCTCAAAATAAAGGAATGGAGGAAGATCTACCAAGCAAATGGAAAACAAAAAAAGGCAGGGGTTGCAATCCTAGTCTCCGATAAAACAGACTTTAAACCAACAAAGATCAAAAGAGACAAAGAAGGCCATTACATAATGGTAAAGGGATCAATTCAACAAGAAGAGCTAACTATCCTAAATATACATGCACCCAATACAGGAGCACCCAGATTCATAAAGCAAGCCCTTAGAGACCCACAAAGAGACTTAGACTCCCAAGCAATAATAATGGGAGACTTTAACACCCCATTGTAAACATTAGACAGATCAACGAGACAGAAAGTTAACAAGAATATCCAGGAATTGAACTCAGCTCTGCACCAAGTGGACCTAATAGACATCTATAGAACTCTCCACCCCAAATCAACAGAATATACATTCTTCTCAGCACCACACCGCACTTATTCCAAAATTGACCACATAGTTGGAAGTAAAGCACTCCTCAGCAAATGTAAAAGAACAGAAATTATAACAAACTGTCTCTCAAACCACAGTGCAATCAAACTAGAACTCAGAATTAAGAAACTCACTCAAAACCGCTCAACTACATGGAAACTGAACAACCTGCTCCTGAATGACTACTGGGTACATAACAAAATGAAGGCAGAAATAAAGATGTTCTTTGAAACCAATGAGAACAAAGACACAACATACCAGAATCTCTGGGACACATTTAAAGCAGTGTGTAGAGGAAAATTTATTGCACTAAATGCCCACAAGAGAAAGCAGGAAAGATCTAAAATTGACACCCTAACGTCACAATTAAAAGAATTAGAGAAGCAAGAGCAAACACATTCAAAAGCTAGCAGAAGGCAAGAAATAACTAAGATCAGAGCAGAACTGAAGGAGATAGAGACACAAAAACCCCTTCAAAAAATCAATGAATCCAGGAGCTGGTTTTTTGAAAAGATCAACAAAATTGATAGACCGCTAGCAAGACTAATAAAGAAGAAAAGAGAGAAGAATCAAATAGATAAATGATAAAATAAAAAATGATAAAGGAGATATCACCACCAATCCCACAGAAATACAAACTACCATCAGAGAATACTATAAACACCTTTAAGCAAATAAACTAGAAAATCTAGAAGAAATGGATAAATTCCTCGGCACATACACCGTCCCAAGACTAAACCAGGAAGAAGTTGAATCTCTGAATAGACCAATAACAGGCTCTGAAATTGAGGCAATAATTAATAGCTTAGCAACCAAAAAAAGTCCAGGACCAGACAGATTCACAGCCGAATTCTACCAGAGATACAAGGAGGAGCTGGTACCATTCCTTCTGAAACTATTCCAATCAATAGAAAAAGAGGGAATCCTCCCTAATTCATTTTATGAGGCCAGCATTTTCCTGATACCAAAGCCTGGCAGAGACACAACAAAAAAAGAGAATTTTAGACCAATATCCCTGATGAACATCGATGCAAAATCGTCAATAAAATACCGGCAAACCGAATCCAGCAGCACATCAAAAACTTATCCACCATGATCAGGTGGGCTTCATCCCTGGGATGCAAGGCTGGTTCAACATATGCAAATCAATAAACATAATCCAGCATATAAACAGAAACAATGACAAAAACCACATGATTATCTCAATAGATGCAGAAAAGGCCTTTGACAAAATTCAACAACCTTTCATGCTAAAAATTCTCAATAAATTAGGTATTGATGGGACATATCTCAAAATAATAAGAGCTATCTATGACAAACCCACAGCCAATATCATACTGAATGGGCAAAAACTGGAAGCATTCCCTTTGAAAACTGGCACAAGACAGGGATGCCCTCTCTCACCACTCCTATGCAACATAGTGTTGGAAGTTCTGGCTAGGGCAATCAGGCAGAAGGAAATAAAGGGTATTCAATTAGGAAAAGAGGAAGTCAAATTGTCCCTGTTTGCAGATGACATGATTGTATATCTAGAAAACCCCACTGTCTCAGCCCAAAATCGCCTTAAGCTGATAGGCAACTTCAGCAAAGTCTCAGGAAACAAAATCAATGTGCAAAAATCACAAGCATTCTTATACACCAATAACAGACAAACAAAGAGCCAAATCATGAGTGAACTCCCATTCACAATTGCTTCAAAGAGAATAAAATACCTAGGAATACAGCTTACAAGGGATGTGAAGACCTCTTCAAGGAGAACTACAAACCACTGCTTGACGAAATAAAAGAGGATACAAACAAATGGAAGAACATTCCATGCTAATGGGTAGGAAAAATCAATATCATGAAAATGGCCGTACTGCCCAAGGTAATTTATAGATTCAATGCCATCCCCATCAAGCTACCAATGACTTTCTTCACAGAATTGGAAAAAACTACTTTAAATTTCATATGGAACCAAAAAAGAGCCTGCATTGCCAAGACAATCCTAAGCCAAAAGAACAAAGCTGGAGGCATCACGCTACCTGACTTCAAACTATACTACAAGGCTATAGTAACCAAAACAGCATGGTACTGGTACCAAAACAGAGATATAGACCAATGGAACAGAACAGAGCCCTCAGAAATAATGCCACATATCTACAACTATCTGATCTTTGACAAACCTGACAAAAACAAGAAATGGGGAAAGGATTCCCTATTTAATAAATGGTGCTGGGAAAACTGGCTAGCCATATGTAGAAAGTTGAAACTGGATCCCTTCCTTACACCTTATACAAAAATCAATTCAAGATGGATTAAAGATTTAAATGTTAGACCTAAAACCATAAAAACCCTAGAAGACAACCTAGGCAATACCATTCAGGACATAGGCATAGGCAAGGACTTCATGTCTAAAACACCAAAAGCAATGGCAACAAAAGCCAAAATTGACAAATGGGATCTAATTAAACTAAAGAGTTTCTATATAGCAAAAGAAACTACCATTAGAGTGAACAGGCAACCTACACAATGGGAGAAAATTTTTGCAGTCTACTCATCTGACAAAGGGCTAATATCCAGAATCTACAAACAACTCAAACAAATTTACAAGAAAAAAACAAACAACCCCATCAAAAAGTGGGTGAAGGATATGAACAGACACTTCTCAAAAGAAGATATTTATGCAGCCAACAGACACATGAAAAACTGCTCATCATCACTGGCCATCAGAGAAATGCAAATCAAAACCACAATGAGATACCATCTCACACCAGTTAGAATGGTGATCATTAAAAAGTCAGGAAACAACAGGTGCTGGAGAGGATGTGGAGAAATAGGAACACTTTTACACTGTTGGTGGGACTGTAAACTAGTTCAACCATTGTGGAAGTCAGTGTGGCAATTCCTCAGGGATCTAGAACTAGAAATGCCATTTGACCCAGCCATCCTATTACTGGGTATATACCCAAAGGATTATAAATCATGCTGCTATAAAGACACATGCACACGTATGTTTACTGCAGCACTATTCACAATAGCAAAGACTTGGAACCAACCCAAATGTCCATCAATGATAGACTGGATTAAGAAAATGTGGCACATACACACCATGGAATACTATGCAGCCATAAAAAATGATGAGTTCATGTCTTTGTAGGGACATGGATGAAGCTGGAAACCATCATTCTCAGCAAACTATCGTAAGGACAAAAAACCAAACACCACATATTCTCACTCATAGGTGGGAATTCAACAATGAGAACACATGGACACAGGAAGGGGAACATCACACACTGGGGCCTGTTGTAGGGTAGGGGGAGGGGGGAGGGATAGCATTAGGAGATATACCTAATGTAAATGACAAGTTAATGGGTGCAGCACACCAACATGGTACATGTATACATATGTAACAAACCTGCACGTTGTGCACATGTACCCTAAAACTTAAATTATAGTAAAAAAAAAATTACTCTCCAGAAAAAAAAAAAACAAGAAAAACAAACAAACAAAAACGTATCAATGTAGTAAGCTTATTGATGCATATTGTTAAAATGCTTTCCAGGGAAATTATACAAATCCCAGAAGACTATATGACATTGTCAGCAAGACTGTGTCATTACTAGCACTGGACATTTAGACAGGGGACTGCAAAGCTCTGAAGAAAGTTTCCCCTGGTTTGTAATTTTCTATAGGCTCAGTCTTCCAGCACCTATCATAGAGTTTCATTTAGAGATCCTGGAGGTAAGCAGAAGGATGTTGGCTAAATCTCAACAGGGAGACTTGGTGAATGGTAGGGTCAGTCAATACAAGGAGTCTACACAAAAGGACATGGACCCCTGAAATTTGTAGAAATATGTAGATCCTAAATGAAGCCAAATAGAAAGCAAAAATATGCAACTAATGAAGAATACAATCAATAAAAAGTAAGTCCCTGTACTTATTTGTTTTCCCCCAAATAGTTTGTTGTTTTACCTTAGGATGATTTGACTCACTCTACCAGGTTGTATTCAGCTGTTTTCCATCCACAAATTCTTCCCTAAATATGTGTCTCCTCTGAGCCTGGACTTTGAGGAGAAGTGATTAAGCAGTAGGATGAGAAATGGTCTTGGGAATGAAGGCCTTTAGTCACTGCTGAAGATTCTCTTTAATGTGCTAATGCTCCACAGATCCAGGCAAGATATAGAAAAGGCTAGAAATAAAGAGCTATCTTCACCGAAGCAAACATCTTTATTTATTTTGCCCTTGGCCACAAGACAAGTTTATTTAATAACTACATAATGTATTATCAAGTCTGAGATTAAGGACACCTGAAAACATCTCTTTTGCTTGTTCTTTGAATTAGCCAAGGGCGAATCAGGGATTTTGCCAAACAAGGCAATGGAAAAAAAAAATCATCTACTGGGAAATAATAAGGTTTGGATGAGTCAAATTAAAACCATCCACTGTCCTCATAAATGATTTAGAAAATGAAATAAAATAGTTACCACTGCTTTGAGCCATGACGTGCTTTCAGAAAATTTAGAAGGCAAAATGCCTTAATCTTTCACCAGGGGAATCAGAGAGTGCTGGAGAAAAAGCAAGAACCAGTAAGACCTTGAAGAGAAGCAGAGAATCACACACCACACTGGCAGGAGAAGATGAATGCAAGGTTCTCTGACCCATCCTCCTGTCTCCAGAAATAACCAACTTCATGTAAGATAGGGAGTTCCCAACTAGTACTAGCTGGGGCATAATCACCCTAGCAAAGCTCCACCATGGGATGATAACTCTTTCCCTAGATCGAGGCCAGAAAGGAGGTTTTTGATTGAGGACTGCAGGCTGTTTGTCGCTAGGGTGGCCACATTCCTTGGGTTGAATTGGGCAGACTGTTTTAACTTTCAGTCCAGTGAAAATATGAAAATAGGTCATGTAATTATTTAAAAAGATTTTTCTTATGTCCCCATTTCATGGCCAGGTGCTATGAGGTTAAACCTGAATATTTGTAAAACCTTGATGAGTGGAGGTAAGGACAAAAGAAGTATTCAAAAACTGCCAGGAAAAAAACGCACCCTCTGTGACACTGAAGGTAGAAATAGGAATTCTGTGTAGGGTAGCCTCTTTAGTTACTTCAGTGAGTCCTCTTGATCAATTACATTTTCATTATCCTTGGTATTGACACTGGGCTTCAATAAAGTAATCTAAATGCAAATTTTTCCCATGACTATGCTGTATTTTGTTTAACAATGTGCCACAGAGAGGGGAAGCGTTCTTTAGAACACTCACCCGCGATGCTAGCTGGAGGTCTGGTATTTTGGTAGAGCACATCTGGGAACCCCAGACCCCAAAATGGCAATAAACTGAAAGTCAGTGTTGATGGAGAAGTGGGGAGAAAAGAGAGGTTTGAATAAGCCCAGAGATCGAACTGGGACAAGGATCAAACAAAAGAAGTCAAAGAAAATAGAAGCAATCCCTGACAGCTCGGGAAATTTGACATCGTGGGATTTCTGGACTTTTTCTGTTTAATTGTATTAGATTTTCATCTGAGACAATTTGTGGGAACATGGCAATATCTCCTAACGCAGATGCCATTGGCTCAGAATGCATAATAATTGAAGACCAATGTAACGTTTAAAGATAGTACTTGGCAAATCTTTAGGATATCCTTTGTATTTAATTGGAATCCCACTGAAAGGCAGTAGTGCTTTGAAAATGGATTGCTTAAGAAATCAAGAATTCTTTCCATAGGATTTTGTAGGTTTCATGCAGCATAAGTTTATAGGAATAATGATGATTTCATTATTTTATTTTACTAATTAGTATCAATATTTGTATCTCCTCACCTAATGGTTACTAAACTAGAATAAGACTAGCTTTATTTTAAATACTTGTATGATACAGACTGTCCACTAAGTCATACCATTCCTTCTCCAGCTGTCACCTTGACCTCCAATGGCAATGACATTTGCAATTTCAAAACATTCTAAACATTAGTTTAAGAGTGTGCATTATGTCTTTGTTTCAAACTTGAATTTCAGTTGTATACTTCATGCAAATTCATATCTCTAATATCATCTAATTATTCATTAATCTCCCAGAAAATAATTTTGTCAAATTCCCTCAGATACACTTTTCAAATCTGAAAAGCCCTAACTAAACCATAGTCACTTTTACAGCAGCATGTGCATGTATAAGGTAGAGTGGTGAATAGTGGAGGATTTTAAACTGAACAGACCTGGGTCCCAGTCTCAGCTCTACCATTTACAGGACGTGGACCTTGGGGACTTAGCTGACATCTGTGTCTCAGTTTCTACATCAAAAACATGAAGATAATGATAGTACCCATCTCATAGGCTTGCTCTGAAGAAAAAATAAGAAAGCCAATGTAGCTGGTCAGTGGCTGGCACATAGTCAATCTTCCCAAAAAGTTTGTTATTATTTTCTCATTTTGCATTTTTCCATCAGAGGATTCTGCTGGTTATTACTTTGTATTCAGTGTTTCAGCCACAGTGATACCCACTCTGTTCCCCTCAGCTTTCTGGCCTCTAAAGGACATAATTGAAGATCTTTTAGACTTTGTTGGTGGGTTTTGTTTTCATGTTTTAAGCTCCTGGGTAGATGTTACCTGACCTCTGGTTCCACAAAGAATTCTATCCAGGATCTGGCCACGGTAGTGTAATAGAATAACTGGTTCATGGTACAGAAGAAACTGCTGTAGTTTGATGAAAATCCAAGGAACCTGGTTAAGTGAAGCTTCTGCCACTCATTAGCTTCTTGAGCTTCAGTCCTTCCACTGTAAATCGGAAATAACAATACATATATCTAGAGGTTATTAATGAGAAAATTTGTGTAAAAGTACAAAATGCTATAGAGATGTAGGTGTTTATTATTCCCTACATATAATTCCTTTATTTATTAACCAGGACAGCCTTTTGCTGGTTCTGTTGTATAATATTAATGTAATTATATAATAATACGTTACATATTTAGCTTATTATGTGTCAGACTCAGAAATCTGTTTGTCACATGTGCCCAGTCAATTATTCCTCTTTGCAAATGCAGTCCCCTTGACTCCATTCCCACTCACCACATGTGGACAAATTGCTCTCAATATTGTAGCACACAATTATCTCTCCCCAATCTCAGTTCTACCACAATGCACAATGTAGTACTTAAGGCTACATTGCTTCCTATTTTATTTCATTTGTTCTTCTTTCCCTGGTCCACATCTGCTATCTTCTAGTTCTTATTTATCACTTCCATTCTCTAAAATGATAATGTTTCAAGTATGCTTTTCTATTTATAAAAGTCATTTGTTAATTCCATGTTAAGAAGAGCTGGATTCCTGGCTTCTCATGGTTGGAGTTATCACTCAAACAAGCAACCCTACTCATCCTCCGATTCTGCCCAACTCCAGTGTATCCAGGTTACACTACACTTGTACTTGTTTGTATGCATCAACTTGCATACCTGTCTTTTCCAAGAGGTAAGGCTCATGTTTTCTCATTAGATTCTATGTGAGTCACCCAACACAGAGAAGGAACCATTGCCAAATGTAACTGAGCCATTGAGCTATTCTCCTCTCCTTGGAGAAGAGAGTTTTGTTTTTAGAAACAAAAATTGTGAAAGCCATTTAAATAAACCAAAAAGATTACTGAATGCCTTTTCAATAGAAAACTAAGTGTTGCTTTTGTACCCTTGCAGGTCACCTCATTCTGTAAAGGTCTGCACTTTTCATTGTCTTTGAGCTACTTTCAACTCTGTAAGTTTTAGAAAACTGATATTTATGCAAATTATTCTAATTCATAGAAATGCAAGTGAATTTTGCCCAATGGAGGTACAACTGATGTAGCCTTGGGCCTGTGTAATAAGCCAATTTTGCATCTATTACACAAATTAATTTCAGTATCACTGATTGCCTATGTATGTGTCTGCTCCTGGGAGTCTCCTTTAAACAAGTTTTTGAACACCTTACTATTTCCCTCAATCATAAGTTAAATAAAATCTTTGACACATGTTCACTTTATGATTGTATGAAGGTCAGGATTTACATTTTTTTTCAAAAATAAATCATCATTTAACTTTAGACTTTCTTCCCATAGGTTAGTAATCCTAAGATCCCCAGCCCATCTTCAGGAGGCTCACTCTGGACGTGGTAGAGTCTCTTTATGTTGCCCTAAGTTTTAAACTTAGTTGACCTGTTTCTAAATCAGTTCTGCAAAAGCACCATGGGTGGAATTTGATTCTGCCTTCTTGAAATCATCAAAACTTAGCTGAATTCTGAACTTGTCATCTTCACATTTCCATTTTTGTCAGCCTGAAATATTCAGATAAGCATGCTTACTGCTTCTTCCATTGTCTTATTATCAGTATTTTTATGTTATATGACTTAATTAATACATCTAGGGAGGCCCAGAGCATCCAGTTCTATGGGAAGGAATCAGAAACTGGACAAATTTCAGTGAGGGAATTCCAGTAGAGAGTGACTGGTAGGGGAAGAAGAAAATCAGAGCGGGCTGGCCTGAAATCCTTGGCCCAGAGGGTTCACTGGAGTTTTGGCAGCTGGGGCCTGAAAGTGAGTACTCTTTTATTCATATAATTATAAATAAAATTATATGCCTGTCTTTCCAAATGGTCTGTTAATACCCATGAGAGTAGAAACTAAATTAATCTAGTTCACTGTTATATCCTCAGCATTTAACTCAGGGCTAGAACATATTAAGTGTTCAGTAAAACTTTACTAAATTAATAAATGAATAAGTAAAAGAAAGAAACAATGAATCAGATAATACAGATGATGGGACAACCAGGAATATCAATTTCCTGGGCAATTCAAAGGCTAACCATGACTTTGTAATCTGAGAGTTTCTTGGCTGTAACAGTTACTAGCTCCGTAGTCCTGGACGAGTCCTTCTTTTGAGCACTCATTACTTTGTATGCAGATGGGGGGACTGAACAGTGGAATGTCATTAGAGGCTACACATGACTAGATCATGATTTACAATGGTCAGTGGAGAATCATGAATAGATGAAGTGGAAGAAAGAAGGGACATGGTTCCTTCAGTTGAGAGAGTTAGAGTGTCAGTCATTCCGTATAAAGAAAGTTCTGGAGAAGGGTAGTAGAGCTGGGAAACCCGATTGGATGAATTAACAAGTTGAGATCCAGCTACACAAAGTAACAGACTAGAAGTTGTCCCTGAAATAAGGAGTTATTTTTAATATAGGAGTGCACTATTTTCTACCTGTTCTTGCAGTCTTAAAAATGTTCCTCCCAATACTTGGCTGGGGAATTAAATCACCCTGAGCACTTTCAACAATGTCTTCTATAATATTAGCACTAAATTACCTATGTAATTTTATCACTCACTACGACACCTACTGCATGACTTAATCTAATTGAACTTTTCACTGTTCCCAAACCTGCCTTGCATTTAGCCACTCATATACTTTTATCTGGGTTGACTTTTTGCCTGGAATATCTTCCCACACTTCCTGACCTGTTCAGCTACAGTACCCAGACATATTCATCAGCTGTAATGAAAACCCTTTCATGATTCCTTTCATTAAATCAGTCCCAATGATATACCATCCCCCCTCATTTTATCTATGAGTCAGATACAGCGTTTGATGTTTATCTCAGGGTACTATACATTACCATTATGTACTTATGGATTCCCCCCTCCCTAAGACAGAAAAAGGTCTTTGAGGGCAATGACCACCTTACTCACTTTTCTATTCCATGAAGTGCTAAAGGCCATTTTCTTATAATAGGAGGCTTTCAATAAAACCATCTCCAGTAAATGAATGGATTAATGAACAAATGGACATATCCAAACCATTTGCTGTAATTATCTACACCAGATGTTAAGGAGCAAATTTAGACCGTTACTAGAATTTCACAGATTGAAACAAACTTCAAAGTCCTTTTCTGAGGAAATTTATGCTCAAGATCCAGACTTTCTTGTTCCTGGGAGTTCAGCCATCTAGAGCTTCCTTAACATTTCCCCTTTTCTCTGTTTTACTGCTGCTAGTAAACATGCAACTCTTCAAAGACCTCGCATAGAGTCTTCAAGAGCTGTCCTCCTTACTGACCCTTACAGGCAAGGCTGCTGTACAGAGAATGTTCCAAAGGCATTGCACGCTCTGCTAACACCAGCGCCACATGTTCTGCACTGATGGATGGTGGCTTATAAAGTGCTGTAAAGAATTTTGGAAGGATAATATGAGAACCTTAAAGACGGGTTTTGTTTTTCAGGTCATATGATGAATTAATGAGGTTATTTCTCAGTAAGTTTATTTTTTTCAATAAGGTTATTTTAAAGGATTAAAATATTTAAAATAAAGAAGACAAACTATTTGCTTCTCCCCCTCAAAATAAAATGCTTTCAGTTGCTTTTTACGTCACTTTTAATTATAGTTGTGATTAGGACATGGAGGAGCGCCTGAACACTGAGAGGCCCTGTTACTGTGTAAGAGTGTACATGTGCTAACAGCATGCTGATAAAGTCAAGGAAATCTCCATAATTACTACAAATCAGGGTCCCACTAGCAATAGGACCACATCTTCAATTTTATTATCACATTTTTCCTTACTGACTTATAAATTGTCTACACCACAGGGGAGTTGTTTGCTTATATTTTTATTTGGTCTGCTTTGAACAATAGCCAGACTCGTGCTACGTCATACACTATTATGTCTGTTAGAGCTGCCACCTTAGCAAAATATGTCACCAAGAGTGTTTAGAAATGCAGGCAACATGTACAGGTGCCAAAATCTACTTGGAAAAGCCATCTACCTTCTTCTGCAGGGGTCTGACCTCCACTGCAGCCTCTTAGCAACACTCTCTCCTCTTCGTTCTATACCTAACTAGGGCAAATGTGTTGGCTCTCTGGTTTTTCAGGAGCCATGCCATGCAAGAAATAACCAATATGCAGGCTGCTGCAAGCTGTCTTCCTGATTTAGAAGACTCAGGGGGAAAACAAAAGCCATCTATAAAGGCCTTTTAATTTCTAGCATAAGCTTCAGCTTGAGTTGTAAAGTGTATCTCATTGGTCATCTTGGATCTGAAGTCCATTCCATTCCCTAAATTCATCAGTGTGTAACTGCCACAGCTGCTAGGACTTTGGCACCTGCAGGGTACCCCTGAGAGGGTCTCTGCAAGCAGACAAATTTATAGGCAGTAAGCCTAATGGCCAAAATTTCAAGATTTGTTTTTCAAATAAGTGCATGTTAAGTGGAAAAAAAATTTTACAATAACAATGAGCCAGAGAAAGTTTCATTGGCTAAGAGGAGCCTTATGAAAAATCTATCATACAACCTCTGATTTAGAAATGTAAAGAGAAACAGATTTACCCAGATTTTAAAAAGAGGGAGAAAGAATGAAATTTTTAATGAGTGTCATATCCATGTTCAAATCAAGGACTCCTTCCGCTGTAATGATTATTTCAAATGAAGGAACATTTCTTAATTTAGAGGCTAATCCTCAGACATTGCTTTGGAGGGAAGAACATTTCTTGGGTTTAGGTCACTTTGCTTTAAATCTCTGAGGACCATAAAACCAAGTGAAGGCAAGACTGGGCTAGAAATCAGCAGAGTTGAGTTCTGATCCACCTTCTGTTGATACTTTGCTTTGAGGTCCTCAATTTCTACTCTTCAGGCTACATTTGTCACTTGGGCAGGTGGTAGGTTGGTAGCCAGACCACAGATTGGTGCCAAGATCTGAGCTCTGTAGAGATGGGCATCCCAGCCATGGCTGTTGGCACAGAAGGAAGTGGGAGGGCCTACTACTCTAGACCACGCAAAGCACCCTCCCAATGTAGTCATTGAAAGCAGCACATAGGATGTCTTTGAGCGGTTCCTTCCAATAGTTTCCAAGGGTAAGAGGCCACCGTGCTCTTCTCCCTCTCCTCTACCCAAGTGTAAATGGCTGCTTATTTCACACACAAAAGCCCTCAAGGACAAATTTTACTGAAAAAAGTCAATAGGACCTGAAGATTTTTTTTTGTCTTGAAAATTTTATGTTAAAACGTCAGAATACATTATGGTGTCAAATGGAAATCCTAGCTGCATTTCTGTGAGAAAGCAGAATGTTGCAAAAACTTTTAGGTCTTACCTAGACCCTAGACCTAGATGCAAACCTAGGTTTCAAAGCTTGTTAAGTTCCACGTATATATTGCAAAATGCCAAGTAAACAATTATTAGCATCTCTAAATTCTTCACTGCATTCTTCATACAAATTCATATTTATATCTTTAATAAGCGAAAGATGTTCTAAGTTGCATGCCATGGAAGCATATTGCCATGCACTTTTTAGTTTGAGGCTATGCAGAATAGTGAAGAAAAGCAGGATAAAAAAACACAAGGAAACTGGAATCATGGTATCTGCTCTGCTATATCCAGCCAGGTCACCTTGAGCAAGTTTCTTAACCCCTTTAACCTCAGTTTCTTCATCTCTAAAGTGGCTTTATGTCCCTACTTATCTTGGAGGTTAAAGAAGATAATATAGGGTATCATGAAACACATATTACACATCCTATATGGAATTCTATAATAATGCCGACTCATCTTTTATACCCAGAATCTCTCTGAAAAGGCAGATTTAGTGAAAGATTCATTTCATGATTGAGTCTTGATCATTTTCATTGTGAAATAATGCACACAGAGCCATTCATTAGTGAACTCCTATGCCAGGTTTCTAGACATGCAACCTCTAAGTGATAAGCTTTTAATGAGCTCATTCTCATGTTTTTCTTAGTGCTTTATTACAGCAATATCCCCTCTCTTGTGGGTCCTCTTTCCTACCTCCAGTCTCCATCAGCCCCACAGAGGTCCCCATCTCTGAGCTGGTCATTCCTCAAGAGGCACAGGCCAGGTGTTTCGTTGGTGCTCTGCTTCTGCACCCTATGATGGGGTACAATGGCTAGCATCCCAGGGGATGTAGCTCAACTCAACCTAAAGTCAAGTCTAAAAGCTGTTGAAGTATCCTGTTTTATCACTGAAATGCAGGTAAGTTCTCCATGTGACTCCATAATATATCCTCATGTTTCAAAACATTATTTCAAAATGGAAAAAAAAAAACTTTGAGTAACATTGACTTTTTTTCAGTAAAATGAACCATATTTATGCTGTAGCTAACTTTTCCCTTCCTCCAACACATTTCTCACAACCTGAGAGTATCTTTCTTAAGAATTTATTCCCAAAATGTCCTTGCAGTTCCATAAGAACTTTTCAAGCTAAAATTCTAGGAAATGGTAAGGTAAGGAAAGGAGCAGCATATGTCAAAAGGGAAAATCCTTTTGACAACTTCAGACGACCTCTGACCAACTGAGCCCAGTCGCCATGCAGCTTGGCCCACAGACTCAGTCCAGCCACCTTGGGAGGATCTGCAGGCAGCTGTCCATTTTCCCCTGGCTATGAAGGAATAATTAATCCAGAACTTAGCATTCCATCTCTGAAATGTGGTTGTCCATCGAAAGATATGTTTCTGGTGTGGCTCTGCTCACTGATATGGGAGGAGGGCAGGGAAGTGCTGGGTAGAGAGGGGCAGGGTCCCTGGTGAGGGCTCCACCCTCGGGCCTGTGCCCACAGACCTAGGGGAGGACAGGACAGGCACTCCTGTTTTCACGCCCAAATGTTGCATTTTCCAAGACCACTCTGGCCCGCCATGCCCCCAATCCTGTGCCTATAAAAACCCTGAGACCCTAGTGGGCACATACACAAGCAGCTGGATGTTGAGAGGAACAGTGGAGCAGATGAGCACACTGACAGACACCAGCAGATGCCGGCAGGCCGTAAGCAACGGGGCGACATGAAATTCAGTCAGGGGCAGTTGGAGGAGAGTCTGGATGTTAGGCGGCCTGACTCCAGGGGAAGACCAACTGCCTACTCTGTCCCCCTTCTGGCCTCCCTTTCACCTGGCTGAGGGCTACCTCCACTCAATAAAACCTTGCACCTATCCTCCAAGCCCACATGTGATCTGATTTTTCTGGTACACCAAGGCAAGAAACTGGGATGGAGAAAGCCCTCTGCCTTTGCGATAAGGCAGAGGGTCTAATTGAGCTGATTAACACAAGCCACCTGCAGACAGCTGAACTGAAAGAGCACACAGTAACACATGTCCACTGGGGCTTTGGGAGCTGTAGACACTCAACCCTAGATGCTGCCTTGAGGACGGAGCCCACATTCCCCACAATTGGTCTGCCCGTCTGCATGATCCCCCTAGGGGTTTGAGCTGTGGGGCACCAAAGAAGCAAGCCACACTCCCATGGCACGCCCTGCAAGGGGGATTAGGGAATTTTTCCCATTTCAACAGTTGAGATTCCTGCATGAAACCCCAGCCTTTGCACAACGAATTCCTCTATTCTTCAGGTAGATACTGTAGGCTCACTAAATACACTATTGGTTAGAAGAGGGCCAAGACAGAAAGTGCTAAGGGCTGAGCCCTGCCTATTGCCATGGCAGAAAAATAGCATAATGTCCAACTGATGAGGGGTCACTTGTAGCCTCCTCACATTGAAAAAAAAAATACACCACATGTGCAATGTGAAGGCAGGCCTCCATCTCCCACTGAGGTACTGCAGACAGTGTCTGCCTGCACAATCCAT
Organism: Homo sapiens; assembly: GCF_000001405.40. Lineage (NCBI taxonomy): Eukaryota > Metazoa > Chordata > Mammalia > Primates > Hominidae > Homo > Homo sapiens. Next base: position 221,371,950 of record NC_000001.11, on the reverse strand, counting down.
CTCCAGGGAATGTGAGAGGGAGGCGGAGCAGAATGGGTAATGTGAAACATAAAAAAGTACAGCTGAGACAAAGAGTTGCAATTGCAAATGGCCCTTAACCAACACCAGGCCTCATCTGCTGTTAGTGTTTGAAGTCTGTAGACAGAGGCCTGTGCCATTCCCCACTAATTTCTCATGCTGGAGCTCATCAGCAGTGGAATGCAGAAAGACTAAGCCTCTGGCTCGGGTCTGCTGTCAAGGACGAAAATCAGGTCCCTGGGAAGGGGCCATGAATGCTCTGGGTGACCCAGCTGTCTCCCGGAACAAGAGATTCAAGAGATGATCAACAGTGGTGCCCACTCAGAAAAGGGCTGTGACTGCTTTGCTAGCCTGATAAAGGAAATGCACCTCAAGAGATGAAAAGGGAAAATAGTACATTACAGAGGAGGAACAATGAGGAGTTATAGCAGCAACTTCTCAGGGATAACCTCAGAGCTCAGAAGTAAAGGGGGGTTATTTGGGTCAACTGGGAGAAGCATGTAAGCTTGGTGTGAGATGGTACATTTGGTACATTCTTATCTTCCTTGTAGAGGCATCTGCATGCAGCCTGGTGTTTTCACAAAACAAAGGGCACTCTCCCGGGAAGGGGCCATCAGTCTGAACTCTGTCCTCCGTTGGTCAGATCATACCACCACCTGAAGTCCCTGATTCAGGTCATCCTGAAGTTACTGCTAATTAATATTACTATTTGGCTAAGGTTGGACCTGAGCTGGACCAATCCACCAAACCACAGATGCTCCTCAATCTCTTCTGCATGAAGTCTCGGGATCTCAGGAGCTACCCTTATTATTCATTCTTCAAGAACTCTCCGGTGTTTAGTACAATGTTATGGCACATTTAGATTTTCTTCTTGATGTGTTAACTACAGATTTACAAAGGATTTTCCTGTGTTCAGAATCAGAAAAAGAAATAACTAGGCAAATCTAGCAAAAATGTATGTGATATTTATTTCAAACCATCTAAACTTTACTTAAACCATCTGAATTATCAAATAAAATTGGGGATGAGAGTCCTTAATTTTTACCCATTATTTTATTCATTCAACATGTATTTCTTGAGCACCTACTATATGTCAATTCTGTTCTAGTTACATATCAATGCATGATTAGAAGCATATTTGTGTAAAGTGGTATGTTTCACAACAAGCAGCATCTCAGCTCATTTGTTATGAGCAATTCCCTACAAGTAATTTAGTATATTTGTATGTTCCAGACAACCCCACATCTCCTAAAGATAATTTAACAAATAATACATTTATTTCTAGGAATTGTGTCTACACTATTAATTAGTGACTTATTGTCCAGACAAGATGGTATAGGCTTGTCTCCTCTCCACTAAGTATAATTATCAACCTTGGAAATAATTTAAGAGGTGACCAAAAAAGAACCCTAAAAAGTAGAAATAGGAATTCAAACTGCTTAGGGATCCCAGTTCTGGAGGAATACACAGTGGCAGTACCTCCAACAAACCCACTTAGCAGAAGGTTACCCAGATTCCATGCTTCCTCATCCCCAACCTAGCAACAGAAGGTGGCTCAGGTAGACTTATTCATTTTCCATACTGAATGAGAATCCTGCCAACAATATAGGGCAAGCCTGGCAGCACTGTCAGGGGGATGGATCAGGAGCCTTACTGACAATAAGTGGCCTCAAGAAGCATTCTCCTCCTCTACTCAGAAACACCAAGCAGTAGGTAGAAGTAGAAGGAAAGGAGGAAGGTCAACAGCAAGGGAAATTCTGCCACAAGTGGCCTTGCCCAGGTAGCTTCTTCGTCCCCATAAGACTGAGGGGCCCCTATCCTCCTCCACCTAAAGACACCACGTGGTTAAGCAACTGTCAAGGTGGATCCAGCCACGACATGCACTCTGCATAAAAAAAACTCTATTTCACTGCTGGGCCTGAAAATATCCTCACCACTACGAGATACTAGACAGCCAGGGAGGACCTGCAAGGGGGATTCAGCTACAACATGTGGACAGGCCAAAAAGCTCCTTGGTCTCCCTATCTCCCTAGGCTTACAACTTGCCTCTCTTACTTAGAGACACCAGGTAGCCAGGCAGCACTATGAAGAGAAGTTTTCAGCAGAACGAATGGCCTAGACTGGGAAGCCTATTTCTCCCAGTGGGACTGATACTCCCTTCCCCACCTAGATTCAGGCAGCCTAGGATCCTTGCACCTCCTGAGCAAGGACCAATAGGAGTCTCACCTGCACCATATACACCAAGCAGAACAAAGTAGCATACCAAAAGTTCTAAAAAGAAATTTGTCATTGGAACCACAGCTCATGATAAAAGGCCAGGTTCTGCTGAACCTGAACAAGGAAACAGCCTGCTAAAATAAAAGATTTAAATAAGATCCAGAATTTCCTAACATTATAGCCAAAATGTTCAAGATACAATGGAAAATCACATGCTAAAATAAGAACCAGAAATATCACAACCTGAGTGTCAAAACACAATCAAATGATGCCAACACCAAGATGATAGAAATGTTAAAATTATCTGACAAGGACTTTAAAACAACCATTATAAAAATGCTTCAAAAAAATGAGGAATCAAAAAAATCATATTAAAAAAAGTTGAAAAATCCAAAACCACATGAAGATTATAGAACTAAAATACAGAATCATAGAAATTTTAATATTTGCCAGATGTATTCAATAGTAGAGTTGAGATGACAGAGGATAGAATTGGAGAACTTGAATATAGATCAATTTAATTTACCCAGTTTGAACAATAGAGAGAAAAAAGACTGGAAAAAAGGTGAATAGATCTTCAGGGACCTGTACAATAATAAAGTTCCAACAGTGGATATCCCAGAAGGTGAAGAGAAAGAGAATGGGCAGAAAGAGTATTTGAAGAAATAATATCTGAAAACTTGCCAAATTTGGTGAAAGACATAAATTTAAGAATCTGAACAAATTCAAAATAGGATAAACCCGAAGAAATTCACAACCAGAGATATAATAATTAAAGTTCTGGAAAGTAAATGCCAAGAGGAAAGTATTGAGATCATTTGGAAAGAAACAGTGTATTACCTAGAGGGAGAAAATAATTCAACGACAACAAATTTCTTCTCTGAAACCACAGAAGCCAAAAAAAGTGGAACCTTTTCCAAGTGATGAAAGAAAAGAACTGTCAACCACAAATTCTATGTTTAGAGAAACTATCTTGTAGGACTGAAGGGGCAATAAAGACATTTTCAGGAGATGGAAAACTAAAGGAGTTTGTCACTAGCTGACCTACCTTTAAATAATGGCTAAAGAAAGTTTTTCTTCTAACAGAAAGTAGGAATCTTGGTGAGTCATGATTGAAAAACAATGAAAAGAGCAGAAATATGAGTACATACCATGAAATTCTATAAAGCATACTTGACTGAAACAAAAAATGTAATACCACCTGATATTCAAGGCAATCACATTTTAAAGTGATAATATAAAGGAACATAAATGAAAGTAGGTTCCAAATTTTATTTGAAGTAAAAAAAAAAAGCTGGTATCAGTCGACTGTGACAAGTTGCATATGTATATTATAATAAATATAGCACTAAGAAAACTATAGAAAAAGAAACACATAAAAATACTAAAGAAATTAATATGGAATCCTGGAAAATATTCAAGTAGTCCATGAGAAGGCAAGAAAAGATAAACAGAAGGGCAAGAAATAGTGGAAACAAAGAGAAAACAAATAATAAAGTGACAGACTAAAATCAAACATATCAATAACTACCTTAAATGTAGATAGTCTAAATAGGTCAATTAAAAGGCAGAAATTGGCTACGTGAATTGAAATAAAGGACCCAATTATATGCTGTTTACAAGAAACTGACTTTAAATTTAACAATATAGATTGAATGTAAAAAAATTTTTATAACTAAACAGATATTAATCATATAAAAGCAGGAATTGCCTCATTAATATCAAAATATGATAAAGTTTACTTCAGAGAAAAGATTACTAGAAACACAGAGGAACATTATGTAATAATAAAAGAATCAATTCTTCAGGAAGAAAAAACTATCCAAGTATGTATGCATCAAACAATGGAGTGTCAAAATACATAAAGCAGATTCTGACAAAGCTGAAAGAAGAAAGAGACCAATCCATACTTATAATTGGGGACTTCAAAATTCACCTCTCAGCAACTGATAGAACTACTGGAGAAAAAATCAATAAGGATATAAAAGATTTTAACAGTACAATCAAGCAAGAGGATCGAATTCACATATATGAACCCTAACAACAGCAGAATACATCTTTTTTTTTCAAGTGAGTATTGTATATTCACAAAGATAAGCCATATCCTGGGCCGTAACATGAACCACAAATATTTTTAAAGAATTGAAACCATTTGAAATGTTTTCTCAGAACATAATGGAATAAAACTAAATGTTAGTAAGAGAAAGATAGCAGGAAAATCTCCAAATTTAAGATAAAATCCCAAAATAATAACTTAAGTGCCATTCTCAAAAAATTGAAAAAAGAGGCCACCAAAATAAATCAAAAGCAAGCAAAAAGAATAAAAACAGAAATTAATTTTAGATTTAAAATAGAAAAATAGGGGAAATCAATGAAACAAAAACTTGCTTTTCAAAAAGACCAATAAAATTGACAAATTTCTGGCAAAACTGATGAAAGAGAGGAAGAGAGGGAGAAAGAAAGGAAGATAGAGCTATGTTAACTAAAAAATGATTGACAAAAGGTCAAAAGAAATAGCATTTATTTCGCAAACAAAGAACTGCTATCTGGGTGCACTGAATCAGGGCAGCCCTAAGTAATGTCCCATAGGCAAGCACTGGAGCATTTTTTAATAGAGAATTTCCACACACATAAAAATTGGTCTTGGAGGCAGTTCATCTGATGGTCAGAAATACTAAATCACAAACCTATTCTGATGGGTTAATGAATTAGCATATTTCCAGCTGAGAGATATTGAAGGCCTGGGAATACTGACCTCAGCTGTTTACCAAGTCTGTTGGAAATTCTGTGGTTTGATGTTTAGCAGGTGTGAGTGCAATCCTTTCACAATCTCCTGATTCCACTTTAGAAAGCCTTGACCTTAGTTATTTCATTTTCTTTTACATTTCCCTCTATTGACAAAGATCTTTCTCCAGAAAGCAGATTAATTAGCAAGTCTAATTTTGTCCCTCATCACTGGGATGGATCTGTCCCAGGGATTCACGTCCCTCACTACGGGATCTTAAGGTCTAACAGATTGTAAGGCTAGACTGAGCCGTATTTGGTAACACAGAAGTTTTGCAAGGGGATTTCTAAAGCCTGCTTAGGTCCTGAAAAGTTTGTCAGATTGGATGTCTTTTCTAAATCATGGGCTTGACTGACCATGCTGAGCTTCTAAGCAACTGTAACTTTGGTAAAACTTTTATTTCTAAGTAAACTTGGGTAAGGAGTTACAGACATATCTTAAATATTACAATAGCAATAATAATCCTAATAGTGAGTAATAAAAGTTGAAGACTGGATTTTAGCAACATTTTGAGAGGGTGGTCAGCTGAAGAGATAAAAAAGCCAGCATTTTAACAATAAGCACTCTATTTAGATAATTAGCAAATGTGTGGATTTTTACAACCTGGTCTCTAATTTTGAAAAGTATTTATCCAAGTGTAACAGGAGGTATTGACTACAATGTAAACACCTCCTTGCTCAGCTAAGATATAATTCAAGAAAACTCTGTTGTGCAAGGGAGTAGAAGGTGTAAAACAAGACTATAGCAAAAGCAACATGTAAGAGACCAAGTATGTCAGGGATCCTAATCGTATACTGGCCTAGTCCAGAGGTCTTGTGTGAGAAGTCAACTTCGGCTATCATTTGCTTCACTTCAGGGTCAGTTTTAGCTTTTAGTCTTCGAGTGATTCTAAATTCCAGAAAAGAATAGGAGCTTTCCTTAAATAAGAAACATGAAGAGTCAACACCTTTCAGTTTGGCAGCACAGGGGTTGATAAAGAATACGTGATATAAGCCTTTTCATCAAGATAGAAATTCTTTTATAAATGCCTCTTTCAATAGACATCATGTGGCTGAAGACTGTGATGTTTGATGATGTCTTCATCTCCTGGGAGAGCAGTATGGAAAGATTGTTCTACTGAGGTATGATTTTGCCTACAGCCTGAATTTATTCCTTTACAATACTGGAGAATGTCTCCTTTAATCAATTAAATATCAAATGCAGAGAAAGCTAAATGCTAGATACTAGACCTTTGTCAGATGCATAGTTTACAAATATTTTCTCCCACTCTGTAGGTTGTCTGTTTACTCTGTTGATTGTTATTTGCTAAGTTTGATTAGATCCCATTTGTCAATTTTTGCTTCTGTTGCAATTGTTTTTGGCATCTTCATGAGGACTAAGCTCTGATTTTTTTATCTTGCCCAAATTCCTATCTAAGGGGTCTGGGGAGTCATGCCCTACAAAACATAAATTCTCATCAGATGGGTTTTATTTAACTCTACATATCGTTACTTACTTTCCAATCTGACTCTGGCATAGCATTATGTGACAAGAAAGAAAATAAAAATATTTTACCCTGAAACATGTTTCTCTGCCATATCTTGAAATGGCCCTGCAAAGCCATCCTTTGTGGGGGAAAATCTCCATCTGTAAAGAATCTCTATTAACATAGCTAGATCTTTTTCTTCCAGGCCCTCCCAATCCTGAAGAGATTAATTAAAAGTCTGGCACCTTTTAAAGATCTGAATAGGAAACATTTGTCATCTGTTGTCTCTAAGAGCAGCCACTTTAAGACTTCAAAAGAACCTTGGTCTCCACAATTTTTATCTTAACCTGAACACTTCCTTTCTATCAATCACAGATCTTTAGACAAACTCAGCCGTCAACCAGAAAATGTTTAAATTTACCTTTAGCCTGGAAGCCCCCCACCCCACTCCCCTTCACCCCCTACTTTGAGTTGTCCTGCCTTTCTGAGCCAAACCAATGTATATCTTAAATATATTTGATGTCTCATGCTTTCCTAAAATATATAAAACCAAGCTGTACCCTGATCACCCTTGGGCACACATTCTCAGGACCTCCTGAGTGAGGGCTGTGTCACGGGCCATGGTCACTTATATTTGGCTCAGAATAAATTCCTTCGAATATTTTACAGAGTTTGACTCTCTTCGTTGACACTCATCATAAAATCTTTGCCAGTTTCTATGTTCAGAATGGTATGTCTTAGGTTGTCTTCCAGGGATTTGTGATTTCAGGTTTTACATTTAATTCTTAAATTCATCTTAAGTTTATTTTTGTATATGGTGTAAGGAAGGAATCCAGTTTCAATCTTTTGCATATGGCTAACCAGTTATCCCAGCATCATTTATTAAATAGAAAGTCCTTTCCACATTGCTTGTTTTTGTCAACTTTTTCGAAGATCAGATGGTTGTAGATCAGAAGGTTGAAGATCAGATTGGTCTATGTGTCTGTTTTTGTACTAGTACCATGTCATTTTAGTTATTGTAGCCCTGTAGTATAGTTTGCAGTTGGGTAGCATGATGCCTCCAGCTTCATTCTTTTTGCTTAGGATTGCCTTGGCTATTCGGGTTCTTTTTGGGTTTCATAATATGAATTTTAAAATAGTTTTTTTTTTTTTTTTTTTAGTTCTGTGAAGAATGTCATTGTTAGTTTGATAAGAATAGCATTGAATCTGTAAATTGCTTTGGGCAGTGTTGCTGTTTTGATGATATTGAGTCTTCCTATACATGAGCATGAAATGTTTTTCCATTTGTTTGTGTCATCTCTGATTTCCTTGAGCAGTGCTTTGTAATCCTCTTTGTAGAGATATTTCACCTCCCTGGTTAGCTGCATCCCTAGGTATTTTCTTCTTTTTGTGGCAATTGTTAATGGAATTGTGTTCTCAGTTTGGCTCTTGGTTTTGCTGCTATTAGTTTACAGGAAAGCTACTAATGTTTGTACACCAGTTTTATATCCTGAAACTTTGCAGAAGTTGTTTATCAGCTTAAGGAGCTTTGGGGCCAAGACTATGAGGTTTTCTAAATATAGAATTGTATCATCTGCAAATAGGGATAGTTTGACTTCCTCTCTTCCTATTTGGAACTTCAACAAATATATAAGAAACAAACAAACAACCCCATTAAAAAGTGGGCAAAGAATATAAACATTTTTCAAAAGAAGACATACATGTGGACAATAAGTACATGAGAAAAAGTTCAAGACAGCTACTTCTGCTGTGTGATCAGTCAAGTTGTTTTCTTAGCCTTATCAGATTCCAATTTTGAGTGCCCAGAAATTTTGATTATGGTAAAGGCAGAGAGAAGTTAAATTGAATTGAATAAATTATTGACAAAAGTTTCTTTTTCAATTTGATTTTCCCTGGAGGTTAAAATCCTATTTATTTCCAAAGCATACTAAAATCATCAACAACCTAAAGGCATAAAAGCTATTGGTGTAAATATCTGCAATTTTACCTTTCACCAGAATACAAGACCTGGTTAAGTCATAAAATTCTGCTGTTGAACCAAAGTAGTCTTTGGTAGTGGAGCTGCTTCAACTACTTCCAAAACGGTGGCAATAGCATACTCAGCATGATATTTTCTGTCATACATGATCCATTAGTAAATAATGAAACTTCTGCATCTGTTATAGGGATTTCCTGTAAATCATCTGTAGGTTTTGGTAACTGATAAGTTAGATTTAGATAGTCATGAGGTGACTCATCATCAAGTAGAGGAAGGATAGTTGCTGGATTAAGATTATTGCAGTGGGCAAAATAATAAGAGAAGTCAACAGCAAGATTTCATAAGTGACTCTGCTTACAGAAAAAAATGTTGAGTGTGACGATAGTTGAGTAAAGCTTCTGCAACATGAGGAATATAGATAGAGAGAAGACAGTACATGACTATGTCTTCTGTAGATTTAGTTAAAGCCACAGTGGCTGATATAGCTTTCATGCAGGGAAGGAGTCCCTTAGCTACTGAATCTAATTGCTGGCTATAATAGCCAAAATGTCTGTGTCAATCTCCATGTTTTTGGGTAAAGACCCCCAACACATTTACTTCTCTTTCATATACAAAAAGGATGAAGGGGAGTTGATAATTGGGGTGCCATAAGGCAAGGGTACCTGGAAGATATTTGTTTAATTGATAGAAGGCTATATGGACATTCTGTCTTCAGTCCAGGGGATCTGGTTTATTAAATTCCAAAAGGACATACTAGGGTTGAGCTATCAAAAGAAAATTAGGTATTCAGTTTTGACAGTACTCTGCCAGGCCCCCAAACCCTCATAATTGTCTCTTCGTAGGAGGTTGAAGAAAGTTTAAAATGCCTTTAAGTATGTATGGTTCCAAGAAAAGTTCTTGGTTTGATACTGTGTCCTAAATATTTGACATGGGCCTGGGTAAATTGGAGCTTGGCTCTGGAAAATTTGTGGCTTTTTTTCTGCTAGAAGTTTAAGGAGGTGAACACTTCAAGCTCACAAGATTTTTAGAAGAGGAACAAAGAAGGAGGTCATCAACATACTGCAATAGAGTCGATCCTTGGAGGAAAGACATGTCTGTTAAATCTGCCTTCAGTATCTGTGAAAAGTAAGAGGGGTTTTCAGTATACCCTTAAAGCATTCCTGTGCAGGTGTATTGTTGTTGTCTTTCCCACATGAAGGTAAATAAGAATTGACTCTCAAGAGTCACGAGAATGCTTAATAAATCAGTACAAAGATCTATCCCTGTTAAAAATTTACTCTCTGCAGGATGGAAGTCAGGAAGAGGGTATGAGGATTTGGAATGACAAAGTGTCAAATAATGACAATGTTAATGGCTCTTAGATCTTGTATAAATCCCCATCCTTTTCCAATGAGGTTTTTTTACAGAAAGGTTAGACTTATTACAATGGCTACTGCAAGGCACTATAAGATTCTTTGCTTTATATTATTTTATAATTTGTTTAATTCCTATAAGAACTACAGGGTTTAGGGAATATTGTGTGATATTAGAAAGCAGCTTGTTTTAGTCAATTTAAATTTTTATCATAGGAGTTGAGTGAATTCATCCAATGTCTGATGTAGATTTAGCTCAAAGTTCCTCAGGAATCTCTTTTAAAAAGAACTGAACTCTCAGCATTTTTGTTGTTTAAGTTAAAAGCGAAAATGGGCAAAGGTATTGAAGAATTCTCACTGTTGTTTGTCAAAGCAGGGGTTGAGTTAATTTTAAGAACTATCTCCCCCATTTGGGAAAAAGAAAGGCAGCATGACATTTTTCTGAGAAGTCCTTTCCAAGTGAGTGAAGTAGGGCTGACAAAACTAATAAAAAAAGAATGACTATCCCAGAGAAGACCTAATTTAAAAAGCAGAAGTAAAAATTTGTTAATGGTTAAAAGTGTACTAGAAATTTCCACCATCTTCATTTTTTCACTACTCCAAGGAAGGGGCAGCTTGAGGCCGGTGGGGCAAAGCACAGAATAGGTTCCTCCAGTTTTGACAAGCACAGTGAGACCCTGCTTTCCAATCATTAGGGGAGTTTCACCCAAATGATTAAGAAGCAAGATGAGAAAGATCCCCTGTGTTTCCTTGGTGCACCTTCGGTCCATAAGAAATAAAGAGGACAGTTTATTAAGAGGTCATTTAGCATGTTTTAATTGTATATAACTTTTTCCCAATGTCTAGGTTTTTTGTAGTAGTATCAGATTCTTTGAAGATTTGGTTATATGGCAGTAAACTGGCACATTTTATTATAATAGGTAGAAAGTTGTTGATGCTGTAATGTCATTATTTTCTTTGCCCTTGCTTTATTGTCTTCAAAATTGTTCAGGCTGATTAGCTGGCCAGGTTAACTGAATTGGAGGTAGACATTATTTCCTAATTAAGTTGACCCAGTTTAACTAGAATTGCAAAATTTTCATCTAAGCCATGTAGAAACAGAATTGAAAGTGATTTTGATAGATTCAGCATCTAATGGTAGTACAAAATTTACTTGGAAATGATTTAAGTTTATTGTAATAATCATGTACTATCTCACCTTCCTTTTAGGTACAGGCTTGAATCCCCAGTCTACTGGTTTAGGGAATGTTGAAGGAATGGCTCAGTATAAAGCACTAGCTCTTTCTTGGGGTTCCTCCCAATCAAAAGGCATATTCCATTGGAGGTTCATTCTAGGGTTGTTTCAGCCTGCTTTTGCCGTCCAATATTGTGCCCGATCTTCATCAGTAAGCATAGGTGTTAATTGTTAAAAGTTAGAGAAACCAGGTTTATAATTTTAGGTGAAAATTTGAAAGCAAGTCTGTGAGAATCCTTAGTAACCTTGAGGAACTTTATAGCTATAGCCCTAAGCTTGGCTTTTGTCCAGGGTGTATAGGAAGTGTGTAAGAATGTACCCTAATTATTTGGACAGAACTTGAATGGGTGAATTTGAACAGGTTTAGCAGAAACAGGGGAATTAAAGGAAGCTTTGGAGGCTGAAGAGTAGAACGGAAGTTTAGCAATTATAGGATATAGAGACTGGGGAGGAGAAGGAATCAGGGAAAAAGAGTCAGGGGAAGATGGTCGGACATACTGGCCCACAACTGTAATCTCAATACTTTGGAGGGCTGAGGTGAGGGGATCACTTGAGCCCAAGAGTTGGAGAGCAGCCTAGGCAACATAGTGAGACCTCATCTCTACAAAAAATTTAAAAATTAGCCAGGCACACACCTGTAGTTCCAGCTACTTGGGGGGAGGCTGAGGTGGGAGGATCTCTTGAGCTAGGAGGTAAGGCTGCAGTGAGCTGTGATCACACCACTGCACTCCAGCATGCATGCTAAAGACCCTGTCTCATAAAAAAAAAAAAAAAAAAAAAAAATCAGGGGAAAAAATCTCAGCCTGGAGGGCTTTTTTTTCTCTTCCAATTTTTTATTAGCCTTTGTGAGTTTAGAGGCTGTGTTTTGAAGAAAGGCAATTTTAGAGCCCTGAATGTGTTTGGATACCTAAAAACGCCAATTAAAATATGCACCCTAATCTGGTTGTTTTGTTTTAGAATTATGATCTGCAAATTTAGTTAGGAGAAAACCTAGTGTTGATATATCAAAGGAATCAATTTGGCTGTTGTAACTCTAAAGAATCTTTTGTACAGAAGGCCCACTGCTTTAGATAAATACAAATGGAGGGCTCATAACTTTTGAACACACAGTCAGGTGAAGCCTCAGGAGGGAAATAATCATTATGAGGTTTAGAATTTTAAAATTCCATACTTATAAAAATAATACTAACCAATAGGAAAACTCCTAATGAATGGAGAAAACTCTCACACAGGCTAAAAGCCATTGCCAGCACAAATGGAACAACCATCCCCAAATTTCCAAAAAAGATGTAACGTCAACCAAAGAGAGGGAAGTCAGAGCCCAGGAAAACTTACAGGCAAGTATTCCCATATTCTAAGGAGGCAGAGAGCACATGGGATAAATATGTGGTCTTTCAAAACTGGCTGCTTTTACTTAGCACTAGATTAGTGGTGCCTAAACTGGGGACTGGTAGAGAGTGGGGATTGTCTTAGTCCATTAATGCTGCTATAACAAAATACCCTAGAGTAGGTAATTTATAAATAATATAAACTTGTTTCTCACAGTTCTGGAGGCTGAGACATCCAAGATCAAGGTACCAGCAGATTTGATGTCTGGTGAGGGCTGCTCTCTCGCTTTCAAAATAGCACTTTCTTCCTGCAGCCTGCAAAGGGGACAAATGCTGTGTCCTCACATAATAGAAGGTTAAAGGGTAAAAAGGGCCTAGCTAGTCCCCTCCAGTCCTTTCATCAGGGCATTAATCTCATCCATGAGGGTGGAGACCTCATGATCTAATTACCTCCTAAAGGCCCCATCTCCTTATACTGTGGCACTAGGGATTAAATATCTATGAATTTGGAGGGGATACAAACATGCCACCTATACCAGGGAGTGACTCCTCATGTCTACAGGGTTTCTTTGGGGGATGACGAAAATGTTTGAAACTTAGATTATGGTGACTGTTGGACAATTCTGTGAACATACTAAAAACCATCGTATTATACATTTTACATTTTAAATCTTATGTCATGAAATTATATCTCAGTAGAGATACTTAAAAATCCACACACTATGACCAAGTAGGATTGATTCCAGATATGCCAGTCTAATTTAATATTCAAATATCAAACAAAATAATCCACCATATCAATAGGCTAAGGAAGAAAAGTCAAATAATCATATCAATTGACAGAGGAAAGGCATTTGACAAAATCCAATACTCATTCACGATAAAAAAAAACTACTTAGGAATAAAGGAAAATTTGTTTAATTTGATAGCATTTGTAAAAATCTTAGAGCTAACATCATACTTAATGGTGAAAGACTGAATGTATTTCCCCTAAAATAGGGAACAAGGCAAGGATGTCTACTCTCGCTGCTTTTATTCATCATAATACTGGGAACTATAGATACTGCAATAAAACTCAAAGAAGAAATTAAAAGTATACAAATAGGAAATGAAGAAATGAAAGTCTCTATTAGCAGATGTTACCATTGTTTATGTAGAAAGTCTCCAGGAATGTACAAAAAAAGAACTTCTAGAACTAGTAAGTGAGTTCAGCAAGGTCCTTGGATAAAAGATCAACCTGTAAAAATCAATTACATTTCTATAAACTAACAATGACCATGCAGAAACCAAAATTTAAAATAATACCTCTTACAACTGCCCCAAAGAAAATGGAGTTGCTTAGGTATAAACATAAAAAAGTATAAGATCTATATGCTAAAAATTACAAAGAGCCAATGAAAGAAATTAAAGAGCTAAATGAATGGAAGACATACAGAAGTCCCCCTTATTCACAAGGGAGACATTCCAAGACCCCCAGTAGATGCTTGATACTACAGATAGTCATGCCTAATCCAGATCTCCCATCCTGCTTCTAACTCACACATGTACCGGCACAAAAACCATAATATGAACGCTGAGGCCTTCCCTGATATTTAAGGGCTGACTGGTCAGTATTTTTATGACAAGAAAGAAGAATGGAAAAAGATATCAAGCAATCTCCTTAGACATAAGAGAAACATCATAATTTGGGTTGAATGATGCAGTAAATGTAGTGACCCCTCTTTCCATCCTCAATCAAATTAGTGAGAACTTCTGACCAGGATTAGGGGACGCCTGAAGAAGAGGTTCCCTGTAGTGACGATGAGAACTATCATATCACAAGAACCATTTAAGTTTCTGATGCACAGTCCTCTATCTGAAACTCTTGTAAGCAAATGTGTTTCAGAATTCAAAATTTTTTTAGAGGGTAGATATGTAATACAGTCTATACACTGAATATTTTGGAATACTCTGATCAGGGACTGGAGTAGGACCCCTAATTCAACACATGAAAATTTCTATAGCATGTGTGGTGGTCACATTAAGAGGGATAAATAAAAACTACAAGTAGTCTCATATTAAATCAGATCAGGTGGTGTTACCAAATGAATCTAACACACATTAAAAAAACTTGATTATCAGACTATTTTAAATGGTGGATAACAGGCTGTGCTTCTGCCTGTATGTGATGCAAGAGACATTCACAGGTATGCAGTCCTGTCCATAAGGCTCCTATAACTCTCCAATATCAGTAGGGCAAACTACACCACCAAGAAGGAACTGTATTATCAAGTAACTCATTTTATTTGCTCATCCAAAGTCAATACACTCTTCACAAAACTATACAATGCTTAGAACAAAACCTAACAGAAATTCTGCATAATCTGAGATTGGACAAAAAGTTAGAAATGGCAGCAGAAACATGACCCATAAAGTAAAATGGGATTTGATTAAAATTAAAAACTTTCGCGCTGCTAGATCACCGTCAAGGGAATAAAAAGACAAGCCACAGTCTAGGGGTAAATATTTTTAAATTTCATACAAAACAGAGAACTTTAAATCCAGATTACATAACAAACTCTCAAAATCCAATAATAAGGAATCAACCCAATTAAAAATGAGCAAATAACTTAAGCAGATACTTCACCAAAGATGACACATATTCCCCCTACCCCTCTTACCTGTGGGGAGTAAGTTCTAAGCCCCCTAGTGGATGCCTAATACTGCGATAGTACTGAACCCTATATGCACTAAGATTTTTCCTATATATACCTACCTATGATAAAGTTTAATTTATAAAGCAGCACAATAAGAGATTAACAACAACAATAATAAAATAGAGCAATTTTAACAATGTACTTTAATTACAAAGTCATGTGAATGTGATTTCTCTCTTAAAATACCTTTTTGTAGGCCGGGCATGGTGGCTCACGCCTGTAATCCCAGCACTTTGGGAGGCCGAGGCGGGTGGATCATGAGGTCAGGAGATCGAGGCCATCCTGGCTAACACGGTGAAACCCTGTCTCTACTAAAAAATACACACACACAAAAAAAAATTATCCGGGCATGGCGGCGGAAGCCTGTAGTCCCAGCTACTCGGGAGGCTGAGGCAGGAGAATGGAATGAACCCGGGAGGTGGAGCTTGCAGTGAGCCGAGATAGCGCCACTGCACTCCAGCCTGGGCGACAGAGCGAGATTCCGTCTCAAAAAACAAACAAACAAAAAAAAACTTTTTGTATAGTACTCACCTATTTTGGGGTTATGGTTGACTGCATGTAACTGAAATCACGAATAAGGGGCGATTACTGTACTCTGTTCATGCTTTGGAAGCCTCAATGTAGTGAATATGTCAATTCTACCCAAACTGATATATAGGTTTAATGTAATTCCTACCAAAATCCCAGCAAGCTTTATGTAGTCACTGTCCAACTTGTTTTGAATTTATGTGAAAAGGCACAGTCCTTAGAATAGCTAAAACAATCTTGAAAAAGAATGAAGTATGAGGAATCACTCTTTCCAATATAAAGGACTATTTTATAGCTACAGTAATTAAGATACTATGATATTGGCAGAATGATAGACACATTCACCAATAGAACAGGATAGAACACCCAGAAATAGAACTACAATATTCCTAATTGTTTTTTGACAAAAGTGCAAAAGCACTGCAATGGAGGAAGGGATAAATGTTTTAACAAGTGGTATAAATGGTGCTGGAGCAATTAGATAGCTATAGGTTAAAAAACAAGCAAACAAAAATTCTCAAACTAAACCTCACATATAAAAATGAAGTTGAAATGGATCATGGATTTAAATGTAGAATGTAAAACTATAAAAGATTTAGAAAAATAAACATAGAATAAAATCTAGGGGTATGTACAGATTTCTTAGACTTGACACCCAAGCATTAGATGAAAAAAATTAATAAATTGGGCCTCATAAAAATTTGGACTTTTGCTTAGTGAAAGACCCTTTATAATATTTATTTTTTAGAGACGATGTCTCACTATGTTGCCCAATCTGGAGTGCAGTGGCTATTCAAAGACACGATCATAGTGCACTGCAGCCTTGAACTCCTGGCTCAAGATATCCCACCTCAGCTTCCTGAGCAGTTGGGACTATAGGCATGTGCCACTGCGCTAGACCTTTAGAGTCTCTTTTAAGAGTATGAAAATACAAATTACAGGCAGGGATAAAATATTTGCAAACTACATATTTGCCAAAGAGTAAGGTCTAGACTGTAGAATAAACTTTCAAAATAAATAGTCAGAAAACCCAAAAGTCTTTGAAAATGTGGAAGAAAATGAACAGATATTTCACTAATAAGGATTTAGAAATGGCAAATGAGTACATGTAAGGAAAACCAAGATCGTTAGCTACCAAGAAAATGCAAATTAAAACCACAAATTTTACCCATCATAATGGCTAAAATTAAAAATAGTAATAATACCAAATGCTGGTGAGGATGAGGAGAAACTGAATAGCTCATACGCTGCCAGTGAGAATGGTATAGACATTCTGGGAAACCCTTTGGCCATTTACCAAACTTCAATTTTCAAGATCGTTTCAAAGTACATTAAATATCAATCCAGAGGTAGACTGACAAAGTCTTGGTCAAAAATAACTGCATTTGCACATGTGCATTTGACAAATTAGAATAGAGTATCAACATAGAGGAAGAAAATAATTGTAATAAAATGAAGTTGTCGCTAGAGCTTCTTGCGTATTGTTTTCAAAATATCAAGGAAATGTAGGAAATATAGGAAAGAATGCTATTCTTCCCTATGCCAAAATAAAAGTCGATATTCTGCTTTTAATAATGCAATGTAATTTACTTTATGGAATTAAGAGTCAAAGGGAAAGAAGACATTGAACAACTAGTAATTGTGGGACATAAAAGAAGCAATGAATTATTGTAATAAAGTACATTATTTGGGGTGTAATTCACTATATAGTCCTATTAATATAACTCTAGTAAGTACAAAGTAGGAATGAATTAATGAGCAGAGAAACAATTGACGAATGACAGCAGAAGAGCACTTACAACCAAAAAACAATAGTGAATATAAATTTACATTACCAAATCATCTTTTAATTACTCAAGTTATTTTTTTAAAGTAATTTTAAAAGTTAATGAAAATATTTCTCCTACGCAATTTAATAAATATTCAATAAAATATTAAACACTGTCTTACTTCAATATATAGAACCTTTACTTGCAGACATCATGTATATCCAAACATGAAACTTTTCACCCTCCTTGAAATCACTCAGACTGCACAAACAGGACAGACTCAGGTCAATGAGAATAAGCATCAAATTCTTTTTATTAATAGTAAAAACAGGATATTCATCTTTGTGGATTCACAGAATTTTTTTGAATAAATTGTGCATAGTCCATCAGGAAGGCAGGAAAGTAGGAAAGAAGGCAGGAAGGAAGGCAGGAAGGAAGGTAGGAAGGTAGGCAGGAAGCAAGGCAGGAAAGAGGGAAGGAAGGAAGATAATCTTCTAGATTATTCAAGAAATGGAAGAAGATGTTATGATTCCAAGTATCCCACTGTACAATATATTTCAATTCAGAACACTCTGACAAAGATCATCATTACCATCATCTTCTCACTTAACAGAAATATGTATGAGACAAAGACAAAGACCTTACTGTGAGTTATGGTGCTTTCACTAGAAAAGGTTTTGCTGATGCGTATATTTTTTAATTGTCTTTTAGTGCCCTGATATGTTTTGACTGTGTCCCCACCCAAATCTCATCTTGAGTTGTAGTTCCCATAATCCCCACATGTCATGGGAGGGACCCAGTAGGAGGTAATTGAATCATGTGGATCGTTACACTCATGCTGTTCTTGTGATAGTGAGTGAGTTCTCACATATCTGTTGGTTTTCCCCTTTTGCTTGGCACTTCTTGCTGCCGCCATGTGAAGAAGGACAGGTTTGTTTATCCTTCTGCCATGATTGTAAGTTTCCTGAGGCCTCCCCAGCAATGCTGAACTATGAGTCCATTAAACCTCTTTCCTTTATAAATTACCCAGTCTCAGGTACGTCTTTATTAGCAGCATGTGAACGGACTAATACATGCCCCATAGGTAGGCAGCATGTCTTTATGAAATGGGAGAAACAAATTTTTGAAAAAGACACTGGGAAAGGAAATCCCACTTGAAGCTCCATAAGCAGGCATGATCTCAGGTGGTTCTATTTTAGGAAAGCATTCACATGGAAGTTGAGAATCTACCCAGAGACTATCACTTTGTCTTTGGCAGCAATTTACAGTCAATCACCTACTCAGTGAGATGAATAAAATAATGAAATGAAGGTGTCAATACTAACATATGGACAGCTGATTTTAGTTCCATAATATCTCTACCAGGAACACTTACATTTTAATAATAGATCATGCATTTTAAATGGTTTTATTTCATCTGCATCTAGGTGTCTTGAGGAGTTATTTTGGGGTAGGTAGATTATCACACTTTCTTTAAAACTGTGCTCCATTTAATATGTAAAACCAGTAAGGGTTATTAGCATTGAATATGTCTATTACACCTAACTCATGTCTTTAAATTATAGGCCCACATTTTTAAGAAAGTGAAATTTGTTTCTCTCAGTAACACTCATCAGAAAAGATAACATATATTTTATTATTAGCAGGTTCACATGTGTCTTTTTTTCATCAAAGATAGTAAAAAGCAGAATAGATGGTAATTATGAAGAGCTTAAAAGTATAATTCACTGTATTAGAGATGACAAAATACATATGTAAGTGATATAAAATAGTAGAAATAAATTATTAAATGATAAAGTATACCAAATAAATGATCAGTCTTCTACTTGTCTACCCACCATCCCTCAAAAAATATTTTTTCTTGATATCACAGAGAACAAATAACTGGTTGAATGATTAAGTTTCTCACGTTTCAGCTCTGTTATCTTCAAAAATCTGGAGAGAAATTCAAGGATGGATACTCTAAGACTTGAAGCTCTGTATTAGTCAGCTTCAAACACAATATATTTACTTAAGTATATATTTATTAACTGTGTCCTAAAAGGCATATGAGTATGAGACAATATCAAAATCCCTCGTCTACAAATCAACAACAAAAAACTCAATTAACAAGTAGGCAAAGGGCTTGAATAGACACTTCCCCAAAGAAATACAAATGGCCAATAAGCAGAAGAAAAGATGCTCGGCATCATTAGTAATTAGGGAAATGCATATCAAAACCATAGTGGGATATCACTTCAAAATCATTAGAATGCTACGATTTAAAAAGACAAATAACAAGTGTTGGTAAGGATATAGAGAAATTGAAACCTGTGTGCATTGCTGGTATGAAAGTAAAAAAAGGCACAGCCACTAAGGAATAGCTTGGTAGTTCCCCAAAAAGTTAAATAGAATCACTATATGATCCATTAATTCAACTCCTACATATATATATATATGTACCAATAAATGAAAGCAGGGACTCAGATTCATGTACACCAATGTTCATAGCAGCATTATTCACAAAAGCCAAAAAATGGAAGCAACCCAAATGTCCATTGACAGATGAATGGAAAAGCAAAATCTGTTTATCTATCTATCTATCATCTATCTATCTATAAAATATACAACAGAATATTATTAATCCTTAAAAATGAATAAAATTCAGATACATACTACAACATGGATGAACTTTGAAGACATTATGCTAAGTGATATAAGACTGACATGAAAGAATAAAACTGTATGATTCTCTTATCCAAGGTGGGTAGAATAGGCAAATTTATAGAGACAGAAAGCAGAATATGTTAACAGGGTCTGGGGAACGAGGAAACAAGGAGTGTGTTTTTTAACGTGTACAGAGTTTCTGTTGGGATAATGAAAACGTTCTGGAAATGGATCGTGGTGTGGTTGCACAACATTGTGAGGGTACTTAATGCCATTCAACTGTACACTTAAAAATAGCTAAAACAGTTAAGTTTTATGTTACATGCATTTTGCCACAATAAAAAAAAAAAGAAGAAAAACCACCACAATGAGATGCCGCTATACGCCTACTAGAATGGTTACATTTTCAGAGACTGAAAATAGCAAGTGTTGGTGAAGATGAGGAACAAATGGAACTACTAACAGAAGGGTGAATCACCAAAACCATTTTATAAAACAGTTTGATAATATCATATAAAGTCAAATATTTTCTTACTTCTCTTAAGTATTTACCAAAGAGAAATAAAAAAAGTCTAAAGACTTATAAAAATTGTTGATAGCAGCATTATTCTTAATAGCCCCAAACTGAAAATAACCCATATGTCCATCAACCGATGAACAGATATATCCCCATTGCATGGAAATTACACAACAATAAAAAGGAACAGAAATATTACTATATGCCACAAGATGGTGAATCTTAATTATGCTGAATTTAGAAATCCAGACAAAAAGGAATGCATACTGTATGATTTCATTTATATGTAATTTTTAAAAATAAGAAAGCAAATTTCAGTGGCAGAAGGGCAGATCGGTGGTTGCTTGGGTTGAAAATCAGGGTAGATGTTGAATGCGGGAGGAGGGAACTTTTTGAAGTGATGGGCCTGTTCTACATCTTAATTGTGGTTGTTGTTAGAAAACTGTATAAAAATTCCAAAATTCACTAAACTGTACATTTACCAAAAAAAGTCATTCACCTTTCTCCTGCGCTGTGGTAAGAACCCTGGACTCCAGCACTCCACTGCTCCCATCCCCACAAAGCCCTAGGGAGGGCAGGGACAATGCTTGGGTTTGCCCATTTGCTGTGCTCAATCTTCTAGCCTTTGTGGTTTTCCCTAATTGCTTATAGTATTTCTCTGAGTCCTATGATTTGAATTTTTTTGCCACTCCCCCATCCCCAAATTCATGTGTTAAAACCTAATTTCCAGTGGGATGGTATTAGGAAGTGGGGCCTTTGGGAGGTGATTAAGTCATGAGAACTCCACTCTCATGAATGAAATTGGTGCCCTTTGAAAAGAGGCCTTGCTTTTTTCACCACGTGAGGACACACCTAAAAGGTGTCTTCTATGAACCAGGAAAGGGGCCTGAACCAGACATTGAGTCTTCTGGCACCTTGATCTTGGACTTCCAAGCCTCCAGGAGTGTGAGCAATAAATTTCTGTTGTTTTAAAGATACCCAGTCTATGATACTATGTTACAGCAGCCTGAAACTTGCACTTTTAAACAAACATAGCAATCACAAATCTATCCTCTGACTTCTGGCTTTAGCTTCTGCTTCAGTACACCCTCTCCTCCCAAACTCCGCTACTGCTTCTTCAAAAACACTTGGGCAAGGCAAACCACTTTGCCCACAGCCTACTCCCAATTCCATAACCATTATGTAATTTCTGTCATCAGTGTTTTTAACTAAGTTCTGAGCACATTCCTCAGCTGTGCTTAACAACAAATGGAAAATGGCTTTTAATTCCTTTGTATCAAACTTATATAACAAAGTGCAAGTTGGGGACCCAAGTAAAAGTAGAAAGGCCAGAGAAATAAAGAAAAGGTCATAATGTAAAATTATATGAAGCAATATATTATCCACTGCAGCATAAGCCCTAATACTTCTTTAGAGGACAGCCATAATAAACAACACTCTCCCTGAAGAACTGCAACACCTGCTACTGATTTTTTTTCTTCCTTTAAATTGGAAATCATTGGTGGAATTCTACAAACAGAAGAGGACTCAGGCTATTGCTTTTAGACAGCTGGGAAATGTGCTTTCAAGATGTCCGTGAGCACCCAGATGGTAGTCTGAGCCCAGAGATGGATGGAGAAGGAAGATCAAGAAAGACAGACAAAAAACAGTAACAGAGAAGGACAGAGACAGCAAGAAACCTGGAAAGATGGAGGGAGAGAGAGATTAAAATCCAGATTCAATTTCTCATGGCAACCTGAGCCATTTGCTTTGCTGGTTCTCTAAGCACCGCTTCCATATTTTGGATTTAATAAAGCCGCAGTAAGACTTTTGCCCCAACCACCTTTTTGTGCTTAATTGTTAAGCTCATATACAATGGGAAGGAAATAGAATCCATATGTTTCTACTCATTTATACTTAAATCATCCAAATATGGTGTTGTAACCCCAATTTGTCATTCACAGAAACTTTGGAGACTTAAATTTTTGGAGGCCTGTCCCAATTCTCCACTCTTTTGTGGTCCTCAAGTAAATACATATATTTGAATTCAAGAGTTTGAGAGATTTATAAGAAATTCCAAAATAAAATTTTCCTCCCTTTGTTGGTTTTCCTCCAACCTCACTGAATTGTCTCAGATTTTTTTTTGCTGGCTCTTCTTCTTCTACTCAAACTCTTAAGTTGGACTGCTCGAGGACTCAGCCATCAGCCTTTCTTGTTTAGCTCCACTGTCTACCCAGGGATCACTTTCAGGCCCATGGCTTTCCCCGCCATTCATATTAACATCAAACTTATATCTCTGGTGCTCATTTTACACCTGCGCTTCCATATGGACACCCTGATTCCTTTTTTATATTAACACTTAGAAGTCATGCAACGATCTCAAATTTAACTTTCCAAAATGAAACAGGTGGTACCATTTTTGCTTTCTCTTTTCTCCTGTGCTGTGGTAAGAACCCTGGACTCCAGGGTTATAGACTCACCTCTTGTGAGTCTATCACAATTTCAAAATAAGAAATTATGCTGAAAAAATGAATCTTTGACTTCTGCTTACCTGAAACATATTCTTCCCCCAATCTTTTCCATTTCAGCAAAAGGCACAAACTTTATCAGTTGCATCTGAAAAAAAGAAGTTATTCTGGTTCTCTCCCTTTTCCCCACTATCCTCATCCAGACATCAGCAAATTCTGTTGGCTCTACCTTGCATTTGTCTACTTCCCTCCATTATCACCAGCACAGTCCTAGTGTATGTCATCATTGTAAAGAATAAGAAGAGTTATCATATATGAAGAAAGATAATGTGAGCAAAATATTTTTCCCTCATCCTGTAGGGATGGCAAAGCTGTGCCTCACTAATTTGTAATTAAGGACAGTGGTCTTACAGGTCTCCAAGTTTTAATCACAGTCCATTCATGTTCTCATTACAAGCTACATCTCAATATTTGTTTACTTGTTCAATTGTTCTCTTATTTGTCTTTGTCCTTGGAAGGGCTACAGCCCCTGCAGGACATGAACTGGCACAGAATGAGATGAGGAGTGCTACACCAGAGACGTAAACACTAGATTGTGTCAGCCAGAGGAGGGGTTACTCAGTTTGCAGAAGACTCGTGAAGCTGTTTGGTAGAGGTTACATTTCAACTCAGCCTAGAATAAAGTGGACATTGCTCCAGAAAGATAGGGTGAAAGAATCATCCAATCTAAAGAAACACCTTTGACAAAGGACTGGAGATGTGAAATAACATTGTATGCATGAGGAAAGAGGAAAACTTCTAGTGGGGGAAAATATAGGGCTATTTCTCTTTTTACACAAAATAGGTGGCCAGGTATACCACCTAAAATACTCTCCACTGGGAGGACTCTCTGTTGCCACTCTTTCAGGCTCATCCTTGAAAGGGGCTACAACACAGCAGGTGTCCATATTTCATTCACAACAACCTGTCTAACTTGATCTATTCCATACGACCTAGGTACATTTTTTCCTCTTCAGTCAGGAAACTCCCATGAGGTCATAGGTGTTGACTTGAAAGAAAAGCACACAAGAGAACTCGTGAGTGCCTTCTGGACCTGCTCAGGCCTCATCCTACATGTGAAATGTCCATCACATGACTAACTGTTGCTGTATCCAGCCAAATTCATGGGAATTGACAGTTTTTAGCACTTTTTAAAAACATGAGTCTAGATGAGTATAGATAAAGAAAGGTTCACAGACTAAGCCCAGCAATGCTAAAATACTTAAAAATTAGGGAAATGGAGAAGATTCAGCAAAGGCGACTGAGAAGAATGGTTCAGGGAGTAGGAAGAGAATCAAGAAAGACTGGCTCCTCAGATGTCAATGAAAGAAAACTTTAAAAAACCAGGAGTGATAAACTGAGTTAAATGGCACTGATATATTAAGGAAGGTTAAGGTTGGGAATTGACGGTTAGATTTAGTAATGCGGTGCTCACTAATGGTCTTAACAAGAGTACCTTTTTTTGGAGGTTTGGGGCAGAAACCTGACTAGAGAGTATGTTTAAGAGAAGGTATGAGAAGAATTAGAAGCAGCAACTTTTGACAACTCTTTCTACTAGAGTCTCTCTAAAGAAGAGCAAGAAGATAGTGTTGGTAATAGCTGTTAAGTTATATAATTTCATGTTCTCTCCTCTCCCTTCCCCTTGCTGAAAAAGTATCTTCCATACCCCAGTGCCTAACAATTTCCATTTAGATATATTCCTTTGAGTAAGCATTGCCTTTTTTAGATATTTACTTTATATTGCAAGTATGTCTAGAAGGGAGTAATTAATTCATTAAGCTCCTGATACCTTCAAGGCTTTGTAGGGTGGTGGATAGAGCACAAGCTTTGAAATCAGACAGAACCCACAGCTCTAAGACTTGGGATATATTATATTAACTCAGATTTTATTTTTTCAACTATAATATCAATCATAAAAATCTATAAAGCAAATAATATTACTCTTACCAGATTCTTTAATTTTCTTTACAGTAGAAGACACAGGGTTACATTAGATCTGAGATATTAGAGAAACAGTCTTTGAGGGGAGGGGAATTGTGTTTGGTGTGTTACAGTTCCCTTAAGAAGTAAATCCTTATACAACCCTCAGGGCACCAAGTAAAAGAGGGCACCATCTCTGGAAAAAAACCTAAATCCCTTGACCTAACCCTCCGTTCATGGACATCAACTTTTCCTGTGCCTAGGACAGTGCCTGCTACATATTAAGAGTTAATAAATGTTGAATAAAGAAGTGAAAAAATGAACATTCTCCCTTTTCATCCTAACCTTGCCCACCTGTCTTCTTGTTCATAGTTTAGCAAACAGATTTTCCATTCTATCCTCCATCCTTAGACGACAGTAAATCAGCCTTCTCCCAGTTTCATTCTGCCCACATGCTCCTTCTGGGTATCAGGTTTTCTAGTCTGTAAGGCTGCAACTGGGAAACTGTGGCTATATCTACCTCTTTGAGAATTTTGTCATGGGCAGACCCTGCTTACATCATCAATTATAATGTGACTATTTGCTATTTGTATATTGATATATGTGAATTTATAAAGAGAATATAGAAAAAATTTCTGTAATAAATAGAAAACGTGTCTTTTTATTTTTACTTATTTCTTTATTTTTTCAGACAGGGTCTTGCTCAGGCTGGAGTGCAGTGGTGCGATCTGGGCTCACTGCAACCTCTGCCTACTGGGCTCAAGTGATCCTCCTGCCTGAGTCTCCTGAGTAGCTGGGACTACAGGCATGCACCACCATGCTCAGCTAATTTTTTTATTTTTTTATGGATACAGGATATAAGACCATTAGTGAGCACCACATTACTAAATCTAACCATCAATTCCCAACCTTAACCTTCCTTAATGTATCACTTTGTAGCCCAGGCAGGACTTGAACTCCTGAGCTCAAGTGATCTGGCTGCCTTGGCCTCCCAAAGTGCTGGGATTGCAGGTGTGAGCCACCGCACCCAGCCTAAAAAAACATATTTTTAAAGGCCACTTGTTTGTATCTCCATTAATCCTTTTGACCCTTTTTGGTCTATCTTTTGGTAAGGGAAGCAAAGTAGAAGTAAATTCTTTATTAATTTTACCTCTTCCTTTTTCTCTCTAAAATTAGGAAGTCAGAATAGAGCTCACAGAAAATGTGATTTAGGGTTAACTTTTGATACTATCATATGTCATTTGGCAAGCTCCTGGGCTGAATGTACTGGATGGGGACAATTTACTCCTTTATTTTCATAAAAAGAAATCAATTCCGTGTGTTCCTTTTAGGGAGCTTTCTGTGTATGGTATCTGTGTGATTAACAACACATACTGTCAAGTTCTGTTGATGCCACTTGTAAATTGTCCAATTCAACCTGATTTTAAGTCTTCCTGGATTTGTTTGGTGGTTGGGTAATCATTTGACTACTGATGTATTCCACAATCAGCCCCAATTCAAGTTCCCTCCAAACCCCCAGCTTAGTTAATGAAGCTGACTCTTCAGTGCTGTTGACTTCTTAAACCAGTTTATCTCCCAGTGTGCTCTGAAGTGCCCATCCAATGTCCTGTCTCTGGCCCAATGCCATATTTTACTTTACTATGACACTAGAAGACAAACAAGAATAAAAGATTATTTATTCTGCATCTTTGTATCCACAACCCTTTGCATACTGTCACATAGATGCATGAGCACGTAGAGGCACTCAATGATGCTTGTCAAATATTACACATGAACAAGTTTGCATAAAAATGCTAGCTTTTTTTCTCATCATCTTGCTGAGCAGCAAGCTAATGTGTCCCTTTGAATGCTAAAAATGTCTTAATATGGTGAATGGTTGTTGGTGAAGAAGAATTAGGCAAGTTAGACAATAAATAATTGGAAGTCACATCTGGACCCTCCTGACAACTTCAAACACTATTCTTAGAAAATAATAGATTTTATAACTTCCTGATCTGATTGCAATAGGGAATGGGAAAGAGTATGGATTTCATTGAGTCATTCACCACCATTTACTAAATTTCCATTCATTTCAAACCCCTGAGTCATTTCAGTCCCTGAGATGGACCTACATGTTCTTCCCTGTCCTTCTGGGTTAGGAAAGCTCTGGCAGTGTGTGGATGGGGGTGGCCACAGACATCCCTTGCACACATGCTCATTGGGCTTCCCAAACAGGCTGTGGAGGTCTGCTCTATTGTTTCTACATGGAACAGATGCTAGTGGAATCTTTCAAATGTATATATTCAGCTGAAGCTGGATTTAACCTTTTTGCTCATATCGTGGCAAAGGCAACTGAACAGAAAAGGCTGGATTTTCATTTTGTGAAGTTAAATCTGGACCTGCTCCATTATTGTACAGAGCATACGCAAGTAGTTCAGAACAAGAAAGGCATAACTTGCATTAGGATCTGTGTTCCCTAGATCCTTCTGAGCAGGGGAGAAGGCTCTCAGGGCAATGTCCTGCACAGACACAAAGAACATTGTCTGTGCCACTCAAATGGTCAGTACAGAACCTCTAATTATGATTACCAGAGTGAACAAGCAGATACCTAGATAGATGTGAGACATCTGCCTAAATGATCAACATTAACATCAACTGATGTCTGTTCTTGCCACTGTATTGATGTTATTACAAGATGAAATCTCTCTGCATCAGCCTAATTCCAATCCAACTCAGAAATACCTGTGTTGCACAGAAGTTTCCACGTATGTAACATTATGTTTTTATTTTTTTAATATCTATGTTAAAAGTGTAAAAGGGACATGATTAAATTCTTTATATTATACCTCTTGCTTATTAAAATGACCAAATGATTTATAGTCAGATCATGTGGTTACAGCTTGGATAATAATTTATATTGAATAATAATAATACATATGATATGCTCTGCGCTTGACAAACTCCCCCTTGAAACCCCCACAAATATGTCTGCCTGGCAATATTTAATCCATCTTTTGTTTCCCAGCTCAGGAATTTTATCTCTTTATAATCCTATTGCACTGTGTGCTTAGCAGTACTAAATATATTACCTCATGCAATTATAATCATTTATTTACATTTCTAGCTCCCCACTGTACTTCCAATTCCTTGAGAGCAGAGTGTGCTCTCTACCAATTTTCCAATTTGTGTTACATATCTTTGTATTGCCAATCGCACAATGCCACACTGATGCATGAGCGCAGCCTCTAGTAGAGTTCCTGGCACACACACAAAAATTACTCCAGCATAAAGATTTGCTAAGTTTGCAATGTACTTTTATGTACTTTATCTCAATTCATACTCACAACGATCCTGTGAGGCAGGCATTTTCATCCCCCCTTAAGACCTGAGGAAATTAAGGCTTAGAAAGATTAGGTGATTGGGACAAATGTGCACAGTTAATAAATGCCATAAATTTAATGCTAGCCAAAATCTTCCAAATGCCAAATCCCATATTATTTCCAGTGTGCCACAGTTGCCTTTTGAGATGTCATTTCTCTCTCAACTGAGGAAATGACCATTATCACCATTTTCTAGGTCAACAAAAGCAAATCCTAAAACTCTGCCAGGTAATTCAGTTCTCATCTCTGGCAGCAACAGGAACCAAGAATAGGAAACCAGTATTACTATTTTGCCTCATAGCCAATTCCCATGCATGTAATGAGCACCATGTGTTCCCTGATCAACTAAGCCTGTGAATAAGATGAACATGGACAAATATACCAGTCTAAACCCCCCTCACAGTTGGCAGTAACAGGACTTGGCATTGTGCTGGACATAAAAGAAGTGCTTTTAGGAAATGTTATTTTCTTTTTCTTTTTCCCCAATACACTTATACCAATCATATGTTTAAGATGACATTTTGATTTCATGGCATACACATTCTCCTGTCCTCATCCCACTGACTCCACTTTCATATTCTTTCTATCTTGGCACAATTGTGCAAAAGGATCCTCACCCTGAATTTCAAAACCTTTGCAACTAGCTTCTGAACTCCTTCAGTTTTGGTTTGGAACTGGGCTGTACAACAAGGACATAATTAAATTCCTTGGTTGAGAGATTCTGAAGGGAACACTTAGAGGCTCTGAAATATTCAGGGCACAGGCAGAATTGTTTTCATCTGAACCACCTGAGATCCTTCCAGAGTAAGTCAGAACTCCCTGGGATCCTCTGGAGCTCCTGGGCCCATTTGAGTCCACTCCTAACCTCAACCTCCTCAGCCTTTCAGTAGTTCCTGGCACCTGTCTTCTATGGTTCCATCTCGAATTTCAGTGATCACAGAGTGCTTGTTTTGTACCAACCTGCATAACGGCCCAAAGGACTCAGCACCAATCACTTCTAAGATAGTCAACAAGAAAAAAAGGCACTGCATATTCTCACTAACATTCATATTAAAGCAAAAAGTTGTCTCACATCTGTCTTGTTGAGTTCCATTTTAAAAATTAGACATTGACTCTCTTCTATATCTGAAGAATTGATTTGGCTTTGGGATCAGAAAATTGTCAATGAAATTTGAGATATGATATTCAAATTATAAGAGCCTTGAGAAAATAATTAGTTTTTTGCAATGAGAATGTAATAAAAATTGGCAAAGATTAGCCAGAGTCTAGAAAAAGAAAAAGCCAAGGAATAATAAGTGCCCAACCTTAAGAAAGAACAAGAGGTCATCCTGATCACGATGCCATGTTTTGCCAAAAACATTTAGAGAAAAGACTTTGAAGGAGTCCTAGAATCTAGTAGAAGTTTTATCATTTCAAAAATGGAAAGATTTGACAATTGACCAATAATGAGAATGACAGACAAAGAGAGAAGAAAGCTAAGAAGTGTTTGGGGGCTTTCCACCAAAATAGCTTAAAGGTAATGTGAGTTAGAATAACATTATAATACCTCTAAATATTTTGAAAAGAATGAATACTTCATTATACATAGTGTACAGGGGCATCTGGCCTTGCCTCCTTGGCTGCTTTGGAAACTTATTGTCCTAGATCATGAGGATGTCCTTGTTGAGCTCTGTTACCCAGAAGGCTGCTTATTAAGATTACTGGTCCTAAGTGGTACTGAACTCCCAGAATAAAATGAGAGTTCTTTCCTTCCCAATAGTTAAGGAATAAATGTCCAACACCAAAGGATTCAGCAGATTTGTCTCAGTCAGTACCTGCTAAAGTTTCAACGAATGTTCATTGAATGACTGAAGGACTGAATGAATGCAGAAGGACAAGAAATCCTGATCCCGCTTATAGGAGATAGTTCTCTGCCTTAGGATAAAGAGTTTAACTAGCTGGTGACTGGATACTGATCATCACTGCAATTAATACCTAATTTTAGTTTTCAGTTACCTTCGTCACATGCATATTTGTGCTAGACAGCAAATACCTCAATAGTAGAGATTGCTTCTGTTCCATCCAACAACATTTACCTGGCCCCGCCTATGATACAGTCACTGTGCTAGTCACTGGTAATCCAAAAGTTTATCTTTTTTTTTTTTTTTAGACGAGTCTCGCTCTGTCGCCCAGGCTGCAGTACAGTGGCACAATCTCGGCTCACTGCAAGCTCCACCTCCCAGGTTCATGCCATTCTCCTACCTCAGCCTCCCAAGTAGCTGGGACTACAGGCACCCGCCACCACGCCCAGCTAATTTTTTGTACTTTTAGTAGAGACAGGGTTTCACTGTGTTAGCCAGGACGGTCTCGATCTCCTGACCTCGTGATCCACCCGTCTCAGCCTCCCAAAGTGCTGGGATTACAGGCGTGAGTCACTGCGCCTGGCCCAAAAGTTTATCTTTATACTCACTACATTTTAATGAGTAGACAGACAGAATATCATAATAGAAGTAAATTTTATAACAACAACAGGAGACCTGTACAAGGCACATCAAAGGAGAAATTTTTAGATTATCATCTCATGTGGTTTGGTTTCTTTTGTGCCTAGCAATGGAATTTAATAAATGTTTGATAAATCAATGAATAGATAAATGAATCAGTGTTGAATTTGAACAAGCCACATATTCATACAAATATGGCTAGGTTGGTTTTTCTTGAGGAATGTTGGAGACTTTCATCAAAGAAGAGGTCAATTCAGAGTACTGAAGTCCTACCCTAGTCCATTACCCATGTTTCAGGGTAGAAGGCAGCACATCATTCTCTCCTAGGACCCCAAGGTGGCAAGGTAGGGAAGACTTCTCCTCAAAGGAACCTGGAGGCTCATCACAGCCTTACCTCCAGGGAAGGAAGCAAAATTTGAATCTGTCCTGGAGAATCCTCTGCCTTTCAGGACTCTGGGTGGCACAAGGAGAACAATATTCATTTTTCAGAAGCTCTACTAGGTAATGTGCCCTCCCTTGATGAAAACCATGCTTTGGGAACCACCAGAAAATTATAGGAGCCCACAAAAGTAAGTGTGGAGCCTAGAGTCTGACTTTGGTAAATATGCCATTTACATCATCTAACTGCGGGATGGCAGGGTGAGCACTGATCAGAACAGTGACTCTTCACATTTCCCAGCACCTCTTAATGAACTCTAGCAGATATCCCAGGGTACAGTCACTCTCTCCCCACATTCCTTTTCTGAAATTGTTAAATCAATGCCACATCAATAAAACAATATGGAAATATGAGCTCAGAAAATCACTGGTGAGCTAACAATCGTTCCCACTCCCGGAACTATAATAGGATCTAGACAACTAAGTTGGCTCTAAGTAACTATGCTGGACTACAGCCTTCTTGTGTGCAACCTGCAACAATGCTTTTACCTTCTTCTACTCACTCACAGCCTGACTCCCATCTTTGATACCTTTTATAGCCCCACTGGTTTTAGAAACTATCACATTTCTCTTTGGATCTGTGAACTTCTGTTCTGCTCTCAGTTTTTATCCCTGCTTGCTTGCACAGTTTTGGTGGCCTGTCCTTCCTCCACCTTTACCAACCTCTGTCTTGCCCTAAAACTTGGAGAGAAGGCCTGAGACACCAGGAACCACATAAATGCTTCTATAGTATTCTATGGGCAGAACCCAGGAGCCCAGTCATGATGCTCCCTGAACAATCAGTACATACTCCAAGGAGAAGGACCTGGGTTCAACTCCCAAATGAATTAGTAACAGTGTAACCTTGTCAATCTTGTTGAGCTACAAGGTTCTTGTGTGTAAAATAGTAATTATGTAGTAATAATATTAGGCCCAAAGGACCTCTGTAACGCACAAAATAGAAAGATGTATGAATATGCTTCATAAGCAGTATTCATTGCTATTTGGTACTCTGACCACCTCAAAATGAAGCTTATGAAAAAAAAAAACATCTGCAAGTCTGGTCTTCGTAGGGGAGAGCTGGTCTTGGTAGTAGAATGTCCCTCACTTGATATTTGGTGAATTAAAGTGAGATTAAAATGGACAAGCTGGGCAGAATAATTACACTTACATTGAGACATGATTTCTATGGGGCAAACTGGGAGAAAATATTGTTAGAAAAACTAAGCAAAACTTCTAGATTAACCTCCAAAGGAAAGAGCAGAGTTGCAAACTGTGATTAGAGCACAACTACAGACCAGTGACACCCCCAACCTGTAGGGCTAGAAACAGAGATCGCGGAAGCATGATCTCTTCAGACCCATTTATATACACAGTATAGACACACTAACGCTGAGATGCCAAAAGCTGTGTGTTGAAGGAAGAGTGAGTACTAAATATCAGGAAAACACATGCGATGCAGAGATTAAGTGGCATGGGTTGGGTTTGGAGGCGCCAGCTTCCAAATGAGCACCTGTGCTCATCATGCCTGGCTGCAGCCAGCCCTGTCATTCATCAATTTCAAGAGGACTAGATTCAACACTAACTTGAAAAAAGAATTAATGTGATGATCTTGCTGCCGATGAAAGTAATACATGGGCAGTTCTGAACCATTTCATCTAAATTTGCCACTATTAAATTCACATGTGCAACAAAGCAGTTGGAGCCTCATATCAGTTACAACATATGGATTCTGGAAAGTGAGAGCATGGCAAAAGGTAGAGGTGGGGCGTTAATTGTAAATGTGCTTTGCGTGCAGCCCCAAGTCATCAAGATGGAATATTTCCCCATTGGGAATGTGTACATAAATGCACAGACACACACACACATGCACACAAACACATACACACACCTTTAAACACATAAACTCTCTTTTGCTTCCCTCCCGCTTCAAAACATAAGATGTTAAATAAAGAAAAAAAGAAAGAATTAATTAATTTGCATATTTGACCTCTCTTTTCAGAAAGAATGTATCAAAGCAATATTTTTTTCCTGTTGCCTACTTGGTTTAAAATTTTCAAGCAGTGTTATGGGAGGAAAAAACTCTAAACACGAAATGAGAGATTTCATTTTGATAATGGTTACATACCAAATACACGAAAACTTGGATGCTTAAATACCGTCCATTAGTTCAGTTTAGACTTTTGCTAATGTTTTCCCTAGATTTTCTCCACCAGAAAATTGTTCTTGGTGATTGACAATATTTTCATGAAGTCTGAAAGCATATACTTATCCCACAGTAAGAAAGAGGGCTAAATTTGATGTTTGACAAAAAGACCATCCCTATGCAAAAGATCAAATGGTTTCCAAGTTATCAGGCTCCTGACCAAGAGTTGTCAGAAAATAACTTTGTTGAGAATTCCGGGTGGAATCATGTTCATGTCACTGAAATTGAGATCAAAAAAGACTCTGAATTTGGTTATTGGTATTATTATATATCTTAGTTTCTCAGCCTCAGACAAAAAAAGAAAAGACATTATCATATGGGCTGGAACACCTTCTAAATCTAATACTTTTATGTAACCATAAAATATCAGTATTATTAACAATGAGAAACATTATTATGAATGCTTAAAATTCTCCAAATATCATGCTTTCATTTTTACATACATTATCTCTTTGAATCTTCATACTAAATCAATAAAGTAAACATAATTAGCAGCATCTTACAGATGAGAAAAATTAGGCTGTTAAGAGACTTTGTTGTGGCCACAAGGCTAGCAAATAACAAGAGGTAAAATTTAATGCACAAATTTTGAACCTCAAAGCCTATGTTCTTAAATACTACATGGTTCCACCAATAAATGTGTTTGCTAATGACTTACAGTCAATTGTACATAACATACAAACAACAAAAAATAGAAGTGAGAGGAGGGCTGAGTTGTAGTTGTGTCAAGGGCCCCACGATCCATTTAGTTCCATGAGTCCATGATGGCAGCCAGCTGTGAGCTGGACATGAAGGAGTTTCACTTCCAGTATCTGAGTATAAAACCCTGGGAAGGACACAAGCCAGAGGAGCAAAAGGCACCAATAGTTTGGAAACATGCACCTTATTTAGAGTCAGCCTTTTCTTCTGGTGGGACTTCCCCTGGCTTGGAGTTACTTCCACTGAGCACTCAAGATGGGATCACACTCTGATGATGCTTGTCCCAGATTCCAGAATTGCCACGATCTGCTCCCATGTATTGATCCCAGCAAGCTTAATACTCAAGGCATAAAAGCTTTGACTTCACTAACTAAGCCAGCATTTCTCCTAAGAGGCTGGATGGATGCTTTGATATTGAATGAAAATATCTGCATTTCATAATTGTACAAAGGCAAAAGAGTGATGGATAAAGATGGAATCTAAACACAAATATTTAAATATCTCAAGCTTGTATTTGTAACAATGATGCTATCAGCATACGGTTTGTGTGTTTATGCTTTGGAGGGAAGCAGGCAGGAAAACAGTGCCTTTTCTTCGGAGGGCAGGATAGTATCATCATTGTACTGCATCCTGAGGCTACTAGCATTCATTGGAGAAATATTGAGGCACAGGCACAGAGAGAGGCTGAAGAATAAAATGGTTACAACCAGTTTGTGCTAACCCCCAGCCCCCTAGCTTGTTGATGGAAAAATCAGCCAAATGACTCTCTGTTGACCTAGTCTTTGAGAGGAAGGTATTAGGTGGCAGTTATTCCTAAAAAGAGGTCACTATTAAAGACGACAAAAAGCAGCTGGTAGAGTCATTAACCACGGTGGTTTCAAAGCTTTGGTATTAATATAAAACGTAGTGCTTGTTTTAAACGTAACCCAGAATTCTAGAAAAGACTAAGAGACTAAACAGTCTCTGCAGATGTAAGAAAGTCTTATTTGAGAAGATACGTAATCACATATAAGGATAGTTTTTACTTTTTAAAACTGTCAGCTGAGAAGCTCACAAAAAACCTCAGAGCAGCTGATGGCAGGTAAGTCTGATTATTTCCCTGCAACAGAGAGAGAAACTGAGGCCTGGAACTCTACAAAAACTGTCTCCGAAACTCTTGGTGA
The DNA here is from genome assembly GCF_000001405.40 of Homo sapiens. Classification (NCBI taxonomy): domain Eukaryota; kingdom Metazoa; phylum Chordata; class Mammalia; order Primates; family Hominidae; genus Homo; species Homo sapiens. The sequence goes on along the minus strand of NC_000001.11, from coordinate 221,336,687 downwards.
CAGAAGATGTTTCTGCAAATGGGTACTGCATGACACATAGGGCCCGGGGCACCTTAAAGAGAGAATCTTGATTTTTTTGAAAATGAAGGTAAATTAAAAATAAAACATATTCTTTTTGTAGAACATGAAGTAACTTTTGAATTCAGTTTATATGTTAAATGGCCCCAGTTTATATGTTGAACAGCCCCCAGGGGCAGTGCCATTGAAGGGGCTGGCTCAGGGTGGCCGGTCATTCTGACATTGTTCCCAGTTCTCCAGTATTGACCGTATCAGGAGAAAGGTTTTCACTTTCTCTTGGATCCTGACATCAGGGGGGAAAAATGCAGTGTCATAGAAAAAAAAAAAAAGTAAAGATCAGCAGACAAGAGGAAAAGTAACTGGTGAGTTTTGGATTTAGAAAAGTTTTGGATTCATCTGTTTATGAGGAGGAAAAGAGGCCAAGAAAAGGCAGCAATTTGTCCATGTGCTTAATTAGTGAGTGGCAGTGGCAGTAACCTGGTCTGCTGAGCTCCCTGGACTCCCTGATCCCAGCTCAAAATAGTTTCCAGTTTTCATCTGCCAGTTGCTTCGGAGGCTTTTCTAAGGAAGACAGTTCATAAAATGACCCAGAATTCATCCTCCTTAGGTGATAGGATCATTACTCCTTATACACCCCCTAGGTCTCAGCCTATGAACAAACACTTGTTTGTTTCTCTGTCTACCCTGTTCCAAACCACCGAACTGGATTTTGCCAACAAGAAGAGCTGTTTCCTGTGCCTGCCCCTGAGAGCTGATGGCTTCCCAGAGATGCCTCACAGTCCTGCGCAGACAGAGAGAATGCAGAAGGCAAGTCTCCTGGGGCCACTTGTGGACTCACGGTTTATAACTTCTTGGTTTTTTTATTGTTGTTGTTTTTTAAAGTCCTAACCCTTAGGCCACTGGCTAACTGATTTATCTTCCCTGGGCAGTGCTTGCCAGAGAGCGGTCACTATGGCCAGAAAGGGGAGGGGCTGTGTCTAAACTGGAATGTTGGAGGTTTTTAACATTTTATCTCTGTCACTCCCTACTGTAATCTCCATCTAACCGCAAAAATGTGGTAGCTTTGATCCACTGATGCTATCTTTCTCTATGTCCCCATACCCTTTCAGGAAGGAGCCTTCAATTCTCCAGACTGAGCTGCAGTACAACCTCAATACTCACCATAGTGAATTTCTCAGTCTTTTTCTCTTTGCTCCATGAAAGCACCCTGAATCTGAGATCTGGTTCAAAGGCTTTCTCCATTCAATCACTACTGGCTGATTAGGCAATGGCAATTTGAGCAATCTCTCTCTCTCTCTCTCACACACACACACACAGACACACACACACACACACACCAGTTTTCCACCACCAAAGGTCTCTTTTGTACAGAACAGTGACTCATTGTTGTGACAGTTTCTGCATCACTAAATGGAAACAATTGTAAGACATCCTCATCTTCCCAGGGCATGAGCTGCTTCAAAAACAGAGAAGCACAAAAGAAAATATTTGTATCTGGCAGTTTTTGCCATTCAGTCACCTGCTTTCCTACTTGGGTTCAGGAGCTGGCTTGATTCCTGCTGTCACCATGCTGGTTATGTGACTCCACTGTCTCCAAGAGACTCCCTTGATGGGGAACATGATTTTGCAACAACCATCCCTTGCGCTTTCTCCTCTTTTCTGGATGGAAATGAAGCATTGCTACCCTATGGCTTAAAGCAGGAGTCCCCGTCCCCAAATGCCACAGACCTGTACCAGTCAGTAGCCTGTTAGGAATCGGGCCATACAGAGGAGGTGAGTGGAAGGCGAGGAAACATTACCGCCTGAGGTTCGCCTCCTGTCAGATCAGCCACGGCATTAGATTTTCGTAAGAACGCGAACCCTATTGTGAACTGCGCATGCCAGGGATCTAGGTCACGTGCTTCTTACGAGACTCTAATGCCTGAGGACCTGAGGTGGAACAGTTTCATCCCGAAACCATCCCCCACCCAACCTCATCCATGGAAAAAATTGTCTTCAATAAAATCGATCCCTGGTACCAAAAAGGTTGGGGACCACTGGCTGAAAGAATTTAGACTAGGGGCTGCCAGTCCATGTTAACATGTGTTTAGTTTCCCCTCGGATGACTGCCCAATAAACTACCTGAGTGCCCTAGAAATCATAGTTACAGAGGCTCAAGGGTGATGACAATGTTCCAAGTCTCCATCTGTCCCCTTTAGTTCATTCAAGAAGTCTTTTCCCTAATGAGAAGAAAATGCTTTTTAAAAAAAGAAATAATTGCTACAAACCTGTAGCACACCAGCCTTAGGACATATTAGAGAAAACCTCCCCCATTGCTGGAGAGCTGGTTCTCAAATCTTAGCTGTTTATCCAAATACTTGACATCGACTTCCTCTTGGAATGTACTCTATCTCAAAGAGGAAGAAGAAATACACCAGTTTGTTGCTTATAAGTTGGCAGGAAAAGGCCTGCACATGATAAGCTTGGACTTCTATTTTAAGGCTTTATTTTTCCAAATAAATCCATATATACAAGGGTTTTGGAACCGAAATAGTCACTGAAAAGTTACACTTCATTGCCTGTTTGGCTGAAGCCAAGGCTAAAGTTCTCTGGAATGGGTTTTGGTAAGGCGGATTTCAGGTCGCAGTAAAAAAAACAAACCACAACAAAAACCTTTTCTCCCTATGTCTTGTCTTCCTCTAAAGCTGGCAAAGGATCCTCCACACGCAAGATCAGAGGACGTCCCAGATCATCTTTTCTTTGTGGATACTGCAGGTCTACGTGAAATAGTGTGTTTTTGCGGGGTGCTGTCCCTTAGGACAAGTGAAGGGCTGATGAGAAAGGAAACTGCGTGAGGTATCACAAAGCCATCCATGGGGCAGCCTATGAAAGTATGTTCACACGGAGGGAAAATATCAGTGTTCATATATCCCTTTTAGTGCTGCCTTCCCTTTTCCACTCCCACACCACCCCCAAAACATTTTAAAAAGTTAGTTTTGGAAGACTGACTTTGTCTTATTCTAAAATGTGTGCACAGTAACAGAAGTGAGAAAGTCATTCCAGTCTTCATCTAGTCACCTGAGTCACAACTTTAATGCAGCTTCTTTTTGTTCCTCAATCTTTGATTACATAATCATTTGCAAAAATACACTCCTGAAATGAAATCACAGTTAGCCTTGCATTTTGGAGTAGTATTAGAATTAAGACTTGCCATCAAAGAGGTTGCCATCTAGAATGTTTATTCTCTTTACTGTGCCCCAGGGGTTTTACATGCATTTGCAACTTTATTTTTATTTTATCCTACAGGAAAAAAGGCTCAGAGTGAATGGCTATTAGCCTAAGGTTACTCAGCTAGTGATATAGGAGTTAAGAAGAAATTATTTAGGCAGATAGTGAGGGTACTGGAGTCCTCAGAAAGGTTTTCCTTTTAATGAAAAGCAGCCCCAAAATCATTTTCTTTTCTAACAAAGAGCAGCCTGTAAAATCGAGCTGCAGACATAGACAAGCAAGCTAGAAGCTTGCACAGGCGAATGCCTGCAGTTGTGCCAACAGGAAAAGGCTACCTGGAACTAGGCATGTTCAAAATGGCAGCTCTGTCTTCTCTTCTCTTTGCCAGCCAGGTGTACAGTAAGGAGCAGACAACATGGCACTGGCCAAGTGGAAAGGCTGTTTGCATAATAAGATTACGATGGGGTGGCCTGCCTTCCCTGTGTGCTACGTAAACATCACACCTGATCCAACCAATCTGCAGGCCCTACATAAATCAGACACCGCCTCCTCCAGCCTGCCTATAAAATCTGGTACACTCCACGTGGGCCAGAAGTCCCATTTGGATGCCCCTCTCTTTCGCAAGAGAGAGAGCTGTTCTCCTTTCTCTTTCTTTTGCCTATTACATTCCGCTCCTAAAGTCACTTCTCATGTATGTCCACGTCCTTAATCTTCTTGATGCAAGACAATGAACCCGGGTATTTACCCCAGACAACAACACCACTTCACTAGGAGTTAAAAGAACTTGAAATGCAAATTCATGGTCATCTGGTTCCAAAGCCCATATTAACAAAATTTTTTTAATTGTGATAAAATACACATAACATAAAGTTGACCGTGTTAACTGTTTTTAAATGTACAGTCCAGTAGTGTTAAGTACATTCACATTGTTGGGCAATCCTTCTTCAGAACTTTTTAAGTTTCCCAAACTGAAGCTCTGCGTCTATTAAGAACAACTCTTTCTTCCAATCCCCAGCTGTTGGCAACTATCATTCTACTTTCTGTCTTTATGCATTTAATAATTCTACGTACCTCATATAAATGAAATCAAATGGTATTTGTAACTGGCTTATTTCACTTAGCATAATATCCTCAAGATTCAGTCATATTGTTATATGTGTCATAAATTGCATTTGTAATATCACAAACTACACCTTGATATATTGTCTACTGATTAGCATGGATTTATAATTATTTTTATGCTTTGCCTTCTACATTCTATAAAAGAATAAAAAGTTGAGTTAAAAACCAAAATTATAATAATGAAAGTTTTTACATTTGCCCATATTTTTACCTTCGCTAGAAAATTTTATATGGCCTAGCATCCATTCATTTTAACTTAAGGGATTCTCTTTCACATTCCTTACAGAACAGGTCTAGTAGTAATGAATTTCCTCAGCATTTTTTTAAATCTGGGAAGTTTTAATTCTTTGCTTTTGAAGGACAGTATTGCTGGATATAGAATTCTTAGTCACAACTTTTTTTTTCTTTCAGCATTTTAAATATATTATCTCACTACTTTTTTATTTGCAAGGTTTTTGCTGAGAAATCTGCTGATAGTGTTATTGAGGACACATTGTATAGCTATTTTTCCATTTCTGTTTTCAAGATTTCCTTTGTCTTTGATTTCTCACAGTTGACTATATTTTAGTTGGATCTCTTTGGATTATCATACTTGGAGTTTGTTGAGCTTCTTGTATTTGTAGATTCATGTCTTTTCTCAAATTTGGGCAGTTTGGGGTCATTATTTCTCCAAACACAGTAGTTTACCATCACCCACAGTTTCACTTTCCACAGTTTCCATTGCCAATGGTCAACAGCAGTTTGAAAATATTAAATGAAAATTCCAGAAATAAGCAATTTATAAGTTTAAATCACATGCCATACTGAGCAGTATGATGAAATCTTGTGCTATCCTGCTCTGTTCTACCTAGGACATGAATCATCCCTCTGTCTAGGATATCTACACTGTATATACTACCTGCCTGTTAGTCATTTAGTAGCCATCTCAGTTATCAGATTGACTGTCATGGTATCACAGTGCTTTTGTTCAAGCAACTCTTAGTTTACTTAACAAAGTCCCCAAAGTGTAATATAGGTAATGCTGGAAATTTGGGTATGCCAAAAAAAAAATGTTCATGGAGTGCTTCCTTTAAGTAAAAAGTTGAAAATTCTTGACACAAGGAAGGAAAAAAATTATGCGAGGTTTCTAAGATCTACAGTAAAAGTAAATCTATCCATGAAATTGTGATGGAAGAAAAAGAAATTTGTAAGTAGTACATATAGGGTTTGATACTATATTTGGGATGTTGGAACATACCCAATTGATAAAAGAGGACTACTGTAAGTTCTCTGTTCTTTGTTTCTCTCTTCTCCTAAAACTTCATAATGAGTATATTGGTTCATTTGGTAGTATCCCATAGTCTTTCAGTCTCTGTTTACTTTTCTTCATTCATTTTTCTATTGGCACCTTAGCCTCAATAATTTTAAATGATCTCTCTTTAACGTTAAGGATTTTTTTTCTGCCTATTCAAGTCTGCCATTAAAACATTAGGCTGGATGCGGTGGCTCACGCCTGCAATCCCAGATTTTTGGGAGGCTGAGGTGGGTGGATAACTTGAGGTCAGGAGTTCAAGACCAGCCTGACTAACATGGTGAAACCCCATCTCCACTAAAAATACAAAAATTAGCCAGGTGTGGTGGCATGCACCTGTAGTCCCAGCTACTCGGGAGGCTAAGGCAGGAGAATCACTTGAACCCAGCAGGTGGAGGTTGCAGTGAGCCGATATCACACCACTGCACTCCAGCCTGGGCAACCAAGGGAGACTCTGTCTAAAAAAAAAATACACCGTAGTAAATGTTTGAATTCAGTTATCGTGTTTTTCAGCTCCAGAATTAATTTCTGTTAGGTTCTTTTTTATAACTTTTATCTCTGTTTTGCTTTGTTTTGAGACAGGGTCTCACTCTGTAGCATAGGCTGGAGTGCAGTGGCACAATCTTAGCTTACTGCAGCCTCAACTTCCCTGGCATCAGGTAACCTTCCCACCTCAGCCCTACTAGTAGCTGGGACTAGAGGTGCACACCATCATGCCCAGCTAATTTTTGATTTTTAATAGAGGCAGGGTTTTGCTATATTACCCAGGCTGGTCTCTAACTCTTGGGCTCAAATAGTCCTCCCACCTCAACTTCCTGAAGTACTGGGATTATAGGCATGAGCTACCAGGTCTGACTAATTTCCATTTCCTTGTGAATATGTGCATTTTGTTCATGTATCTTTTTTATGATTTTCTTTACTTATCTGCCTGTGTTCTTCTTTGGCTCATATTTAAGAATATAAGCATATTTAAGACAGTTGTTTTAAAGTCTTTGCCAAGGAAGTCTGAAAACTGTGTTTCTTTAGGGTTAGTTTCTGGAGATTTATTTGGCTCTTTGAATGTGCCGTGCTTACCTATTTCTTTATATGCTTTGTGGTCTTTTTTATTGAAACTTGGGCATGAAAAAAAAAAAAACAGTCACTTCTCCCAATCTTTGTGGACTTGCTCCATGCAAAAGAAGACTTTTGCTATTTGGCCTAGCATGAAGGCCCAAGGTCGTCTCAGGTCTTTTCTGGGGATGTCTTTCCTGGGCCTATGTGTGTGCTTCCTTCCCCACCCTGCCCTTTTTTCCCCCACCATATGCCTTAAAATTTCTTAATTTCTCTATAAGTCTCACATTTGCTTCTTCTCAGGGCCTTATGTCCTATTATATTCCTCTGTTTGTATTCTCTTGCCCCAGGTACCCAGTTCCCCTGCAGCTCTCACTACTGCTTTCAGCAGTCCCTAAACTGATATACAAACTATGCCATTATTCTCATCAACACTCCAAGTTAAATGAAACTGAACCCAGTCCCTTGAGCTGCTTCCAGAAACATCAGAACGTTGTAAACAAGTTCCACTATTTTTCTTCCATTCTGAGGGACGAACCAGGAATTGGGTAACTTTCTCCCAACTACTCTGCTCTGCACCCAACAGTAGATAGAGCCAAGATGAGCAACAATGCCATGGAATTCTCTACCAGGTTGAATGTAGCTTTTACTAGATTAGGCATTTGCTGACTTCCTGCAGATTTTTAACTGGTTTCTAGCATTCTCATAAAGCTATGTTGGTCCATATGTTGCTCTTTACTTGGTGGTTCCATGAGGGAGTAAGGCTCCCTTACTTGTCCACAACCCTGCTGATATCACTCTTAAAGTCTGTATTTCTTAACTATACCATATCCTTCCCATCTGAAGATGAGACAGTCACACACAAAAAAGAACCATTTAAGCAAGTGTACAATTAAGTAAAAAATCATGAGCACAGATTGAAGATGAGGGAAATGATTAAAGCTAGAATAGCAAAAGTAAACTTCATGGAAGAAAGGAGAAATTGGACTGAGTTTTACATACACACACACACACACACACAGAGAGAGAGAGAGAGAGAGAACAGGACAAATTTTCGTTGTTGAGAGTCTTCCATAAAAGAAGAAATCTTGAATCTCCAGGTCCTTCTAAAACCATTATGAAACATTTTCATAAAATCCAAAAATGAGGAAAAGGAAATTAGTCTCATCATAATAAAGGGTGAGAACAATTTGTTTTTTATTATTATTATAATTATTATTATTTAGACTGACAGTTGGCATCTAGAAGTAAGCTCTAGGGTCTTTAGAGTCTTTAGTACCTGTAGGGGACATAGACGTTTTGAAAACCCATCGCTCACCAAACAAGAGGCTCTGTGATTAGAGAGGCATGAATGGCTGAACTATTTCTTAAGAAGGATCACATTTTTTAGATGAAAGTCAAACTTACATTTGGAATCTGAGATCCTGCTGTGGTTGAGGTTTAACAGCTAGTTTGAAAGCCTTGTTTTTTACTTCATACTGTTTGTAATTGTTCTATTTTCCAGATGTTTATTCTTAGAGCATTTCCCACAAAAGTAGGAGAACTCCTTTTGAAAACCTGGATGGCTCAGACCCCTTTGGGCCAGATATTTTAGACTAAACTAAATAAAACTGGGAAGAAAAAGATGCTTGAATGTGTTTGAAAATTCTGAAGACATACTCTACACAAAAGCAACAAAGGCGGGACCAGGAAACAAAGTATTAAGTTCGTATTCCCCCATTAGCTTACCACCTGTTCTGTCTGATCGTTAACTCAGCACAGAGAGGGGAAAAGGCTAATCTGTAGCACATTTTTTATCAACAAACTTGTACAAAACCCTGCCTAATTATCCCATTGAACTTGTGTCCTCCCAATCGAAGGCTGTTTTCCAGCCTGGCTGACAGCCAACTGCAGCAAGCTGGTGTCCATAAGCATGGCTAATGACAGCCCACTTTCAATCCAGGAGCACTATAATTGCCCAGAACAGTTTACAGATCCATTATTTTATGACCATATTTCAGAAGGACTGGTTGGAGGTTGACAGAGTAGGATTCCTGGTAATGCAGTATATGGGACTGGCATCACTTTGGACCCCAGATCATTTTCTGGTTTAAAAAAAAAAACAAAAAAAAACTAATTTCCCCCAAAATAGCTGCTTTCCTGACAAAAGTCTTTCAAGAAGCTGTGGTAATAGGAAGGCAATGTGAGGCAACAAGAGGAGCACTGGACAGGATGTCAGAGCCCTTGTTCAACCCCTCACCAGCCCTATACAACCTGGGCAAGCCCCCAAATCATGGAGCTCAGAATCTCATCTACTTCCAGACCTACAGTTCTGTAGGATGCTGTTCTCCTTATTAGGAACTTACTGCGTTGACACACCACAAACATGTATTGCCAAATCCATATGCACTGGAGACTGATCTCAATTCTCAGGCTATAACTTTAAATAAAATAAAGTCCCTACCCCTCATGGATCTTATAATCTCATAATAGGCATACAATAAATAATGTAATGTCAAAAATTATAATATAATTAGTGCTGTGAAAAAAATGAAGCTGAGGGGAGAGTATGGAAAGAGGATAGGGCTGCTATGTTATACAGAGCCATCTATGAGGGACATTTTTCAGAGGCAATATTTGAGCAGAGGTCCTATTAAGGGAGAGCAGAAGTCATGTGTATATATAAAGCTAGGGTCCTCAAACTGAGGGAACTATTAGATATACAAGGTGTAACAAAGGGCTCAGTGTGGTTGGAACACAATGATCAAAGAAAATGGTAGGATATGAGAACATAGAGGAAAAAGGTATAACCTACAGGATCTTATAGGAGATGGGGGTTACTGACGAATTTCAGTAAAAAGTAAAAAGATGGGGGTTTCCTTGAATGGGGAAATTCCACAATCTTCTCTGGGATGTGAAGTTTCACTCTGGCTGCTCTGCAGGCACATGGGGAGGCAAGAGTAGAAGAGAGAGACCAGGAGGTCTGGCTGTGTGAGGATTCCCAGTGAGATGTGATGGGGCTTGTACCATGGTCATCACTTTGGAGATGGCGAAACAACACTCAAAATAAATGATGCCAAAAGCCACGGGAAATTGTTCCTATTATTCCATGTAGCCAGGTTTTACACAGTCTCTCCCTGTCTTAGGTTTAAAAGCATTCATGTCATGGTAAAAGGTTTGTCATTTGACTATTATCAGATGTATGTCTCATCTTCTCCTCCTGGTTTTTATAGAGCTACTAAGTGAATTACCACACTTTATGACCCCTGTTACCTATTGTAATGGTCACTTACCTTTTTGGTTTTTCCCCAGCTGCTGCTATTCTACTTGGAGGAGGATGGCAGGGTAATATGATGATTATAAGTCCCAAGACTAGAGTGAGGTCAGTCAGATTGACTATTATTACTAAGTCAAAGGCCGGGCACGGTGGCTCATATCTGTAATCCCAGCACTTTGAGAGGCCAAAGTAGGATGGTCGCTTGAGCCCAGGAGCTCAAGACCAGCCTAGGCAACAAAGCAAGACCCCATCTCTATAAGAAATTTGAAAAATTAGCCAGGCGCGGTGGTGCACACCTGTAGTTCCAGCTATTCAAAAGGCTGAGGCAGGAGGATCCTTTGAGCCCTGGATTTCGAGGTTGCAATGAGCTATTATTGCACCACTGTGCTCCAGCCTGGGTGACAGAGGAAGACCCTGCCTTAAAAAAAAAACAAAAAAAAAGTGAAAAAGTAACAGATTTTGGTAATGTTGCAGAGAAAAGAGAATGCTTATATATTGTTGGTGAGAATGCAGACTAGTTCAGCTACTGTGGAAAGATGTTTGGAGATTTTTCCAAGAACTTAAAACAGAACTACTATTCAACCCAGCAATCCTATTACTGGGTACACACCCAGAGGAACATAAATCATTCTACCAAAATGACACATGCACTCGTATAGTCATTGTAGCACTATTCACAATAGCAAAAACATGCAATCAACCTAAATGCCCATCAATGGTGGATTAGATAAAGAAAATATGGTACATATACACCACGGAATACTAAGCAGCCATAAAAAAAGAATGAAATCACTTCCTTTCTAGCAACATGGATGTAGCTGGAGGCCATTATCCAAAGCCAATTAATGCTGGAACAGAAAATCAAATACCACAGGTTCTCACTTATAAGTGGGAGCTAAATATTGAGTACATATGGATATAAAGAAAGGAAGAGTAAATACTGGGGACTACTAGATGGGGGAAGGAGGGAGAGAGGCAAGGATTACAAAAAACTACCTATTGCATACTATGCTCACTACCTGAGTGACCAGGATGATCATGCGGGTGATTTGGGATCATCCATATCCCAAATCTCAGCGTCATGCAATTTACCCATGTAACAAACTTTCACATGTACCCCTGAACCTAAAACAAAAGGTGAAATTCAAAAAAAGAAGACTAGGTAAGAAAGCCTGGGTTCAAGTCCCAATTCTGACACTGGGTCACCTTGGACAAGTTACTCAACCTCTCTGTGCTTCAATTTCCTCATTTGTAAATTAGATATTATAGTACTATCCTCTTGCTAGGTTTTTGTTGTGAGAATTAAATCAAATAATATATGTAAAAGCCTTAGAACAGTCTCTAGAACACAGTACGTACTCAACAGCTATGATATTCACAAAATGAATGATTCTTCTCCCTCCCAAAGTCAGATTCTGGTCTATCCAATCTTAGAGGATAGTTTTACAAAGATGCCCAAACCTCTCTCCTGAGTTGCAGCTAAGAACCTAGAGTAAACGTGACTTAATTTTCCCAACACACCAAGTAAGTAATCCTTCCAGATATAGCCTTGAAGTTGAGGGACTACAACACACAAAAATTTGATTTCCTTTGGTATCCATCAGAAATCCATCCTTCACTAATAAACATAGATTCACATTTCTCAAGGGAAGTCCCAGGACAGTAAGACCATCTTACTGTAGAATGTGAGTAAGATTTTGAACAATAGCCATTCTCTGATAAAATAAATGTAGAATACTGAGTTAAACAAAGCTAAAGAAGTTTATTTTTCAAGAGATTTCTTAAAGCCTTTAATATCTAATGTGTATTGTAACTAAGTGCATAGAGGGGAGCCACTGTGTATATGTGGCACTTTATAAACTTGTAGGCTCATGGAAATATTTTTTAAAGCAATACTGTACTAATACTTTTGGAACACACTTAGAAAATGGTTGTATCAATTACATAAAGCTTATCTTCAGCCTGTGCCACTTTGGGATATAATTAATTTTAAAAGTTAATTGTGTTTGCTCTGCCAAAAAAAAAACCTATAATAAAATACTATATAAAAGTATTTAGTAACTGTAAAGTATACTTATTGTTGTTATTAGCTCTCTCAGATTTTGATGGATGCCTCCCGATTCTAATCCTTCAATAGAGCAGGAGTTACTCATGTTCATTCTATCTAAATCTTTTATCCTTCATTATATTTTCTATTTCCCAATAGGCTGCTTTGTCACCTAGGCTGGAGGGCAGTGGCGCCATCTCGGCTCACTATAGCCTCCGCCTCCCAGGCTCACGTGATCCTCCCACCTCAGCCTCCCAAGTAGCTGGGATTACAGGCATGTGCCATCATGCCTGGCTAATTTTTAAAAATGTCTGTACAGAGGAAGTCTCACTATATCCTAAGTCTCCCAAAGTGCTGGGATTACCAGCATGAGCCATTGTGCCAGACAGTTTTGATTTCATGTCCTAAGGCAACATCCTTTTCTAAATTCTTCCCATTCGTATACTAACGATAGTTTTCTTCTTGGCAACTTTCTCCAGTTTCCCTGTCCCTGTCCTAATGCAATGGTGATCACAGGTACAGACTGTGATCTGGACCAGGGGTGTTATCAGCTCAGTTCAGCATATTGTACTCTTCTCAAGGAGATGTTTTACGGGATTTTTTAACTGTAGCCCTGTATTGAGCTGATTTCCTCAAGAATAGTTTTACAAAGATGCCCAAACCTCTCTCCTGAGTTGGAGCTGAGAACCCAGGGCTAACCTTACTTAATTTTCCCAGATGCATGTGACCATATACATATGGTTGATAATGGCTTGCCATTTCACAGGAAAAATACATTTTATGGCCAAATGGATCTTGATCTTAGCAGAGTCACTACTCTGTGCTGTTTGTCACAGGTCAAAAAGGACAGTACACATAAATTGTAAAATGTGCAAATGACCCTTTGTCAGTAAAACAGAAACAACACAAGGTACCTGTCCTATTAAAGACAGGTCAGTCCCAGCCATTCCACAGGGAAAAAAAAAGGTACTGTTTCACATTTAAGCTTTCATCTCATTATATCAGGATATATTTATGTTCTCTTTGACAATCTAGCTTTACAACAATACTTATTCACAAATATTTGTGTGGTCTAAATGCTGGATATGCATCTAGATAAACCTGAAGTATACATACACATGGGGTCTATCGTATCACAATAGCATATTTAATTAATTATTTGAAAGCTTCACTTTTTCTAATATCCATTCTATCCATTGCTATTGGTCCTTAAAATATTCAAGAAAACAAATCCATTAGATGTGAGGGGAGCCACTGATTCTTCTGGTGTCTATTCTAAACAAGCTCTTCTCTCTAAATTCCTACCCACTTAAGGCCCTAAAGTATAAAGAATAATAACTTCTAACAGAAACAACAATCACACACACACACACACATACACACACATACACACACAAAATCCTGTTCCAGGCTTATAGATGTAGCTTGGAACATCCCAGATCTAGGAAGAAAATATGGCTCTATCTCTTTCTCCTGCTTCAAAAGGTCATGAACCCAATGGTCTGCTGAGTCTTTTCTTCATAAAATTTGCATCTCTCAAAATGTCAGGATTCCTTAAAAATTATCCCCAAAAATGAAATCATTGAGATAGGAATAGCACTTGGTAGTCACAGGAGAATGAAAAAACCCAAACAATGACTCTAAAACAAGAACCATGGAAAGAAACTACAGGATAACAGAAAACCCAAAATAAGGGAGAGAAAAAATCCAAAACCCCCATCAGAGTGACATGTTTATGACTCTCTCTGGGAAACCCACATAAGGAAGAAAGGGGTTGGTAACTGAAGGTCCCTGAAATCCCCTCCTTTTCGAAAACACCAAATAATGATTCTATGCTCTAATTTAAAAAACACCCATAAAATAAGAATGCTGGGTGGTCACAGGAGAAGTGGTTAAATATCAAGCAGCAATTTCACAAAAAATTTTGCTACAAGGACAAAAGGAGCCCGGGCTGTAAGACACTAACAGACAGGCACTAAGCTGGTTGAAACTGGCTAGCTCCAACATGGCGTTGAAATTGACCTATGCCCTACCCTAGACCTAATTATAGGCTCATCTCCATACGAAATCACACAACCACCAGGGCCAGATCCGAGCATGCCCATATTTAGTATAAAAATGGGTGGCACCTCAATTCTAAGAAATCTCCACTTTTTTTCTTAAAAACCTCATGATTATTTTACCCCCTAATTAGAAGAGCCCATAAAATTAGAAATCCAAACTCTATTGGGTGCAACTTACTCTCCTGAGTACACCCCCACTGCCACTCTTGACTGTGTACTTTGGCTTTGCAATACCAGCTTTTTGCTTTTTGCTTCATTCTGACTTTTCCCTGAATTCTTTCTCATGGCTGAAGCTGGGGTCTCACGAGCATCCAGAGACCCACCTCAGCCCTCTTAAGGCAAGATCATGAGGGCAAGGCAGAACCTTGCCATAAAATAGGAAGTTTCCTAAGGGAACCTTCAATTTTTCTCCAGAAAAGAGAAACACAAAGTACAGGTGACCCAACATTTGAGACTTAATGCTCTTAGTCACTTCACCCTAGTCAACCATCACTTAGAGATACCAACCTTCAGAAAGACATTCAGATGAGAATAAGGTATTGTATCCTCAGCTCTTGGGGTATTCACATTCTCACTGAAAATAAGCTCCTATTAATATTTACTAACATAAGGTAACAACAGTAGTGTAAAATTAGTAAAGCCCAGAATAAGTGCTACTGAAATTCAGAGAAATCCCAAGAACTAGGAAGATGTAAGAGTCCTTTGAGGCTGAGCCTCCCCCTGCCATTCTCTGTTGCATCCTGCCAGGTTCCAGGTAACCTGAATGAGTTACCACAGTGCTGTAGAGCTGTCTTCTACACTGAGGTGGCTGCTGGGAGACAGGAGAGGGAAACAAAATAAGTGGAAGATAAAATCCTTGTCTCAAAGAGACTTTGGGAGGCCAAGGCAGGTGGATCACCTGAGGTCAAGAGTTTGAGACCAGCCTGGCCAACATGGTGAAACCCCGTCTCTACTAAAAAAACAAAAATTAGCTGGGCGTGGTGGTGCACACTTGTAATCCCAGCTACTAGGGAGGCTAGGGCAGGAGAATTGCTTGAACCCTGGAGGCAAAGGTTGCAGTGAGTCAAGATGGCACCACTGCACTCCAGCCTGGGTGACAGAGCAAGACTCTATCTCAAAAATAAATAAATAAATAAATAAATAAATAAAAATAAAAGTGTGTGCTTGGGTGGTGAGGATAGGGCTAATGAGCAAACCCCTAAAAGTTTAGATTGTTTATTGATCTGGAAAAAAAAATAGAAACATTTCATTTTCAAAATGTTGAACCATCAGCTCTATCATGCCAATATGCAAATAGATAAGAAGCACAAATGTGATTTGATATCCGTCTAATGTCTCTGCTCCTTGGGTTAATGTGAGTAGCACCAACCACTTCTTGTGCCTCTAAGTACTGGACTCATTTTCAAGCATATTTCCCCCTGGTGATCCCAAGGCTAGAGTTAAACCAAAAGCAAATCTCTCCTTGCAGCATACTAGTGATAAATTGATAATTTCCCTGGCTATTATCTAGTCAAGTTAAATTTAAATTCAAGCTAACCCAGTTTTAACATTCTCAAGAGTAACACCAAGCCAAATGACAGCAAGCAGCCTTTTTCTAAAGTGCATCAGACACTCAAATGCCAAAATCACAAGCTTAAATGTACCACTGAGTATAGAAAAGCCTGCAAAACACATTAAGATCCCAAAGATCTTCTGAGATATTTTCTCTCTTTCCTAATATCTTTAACCAGTATTTCTACAAGAAGTTTGGGGTAGTGCAAAAGGTGTCACTTTTCCTTATAACCTATCTTTTTCCTATGGTTTAATTCCCTATTGATTCTGTTGAAATCATAATAAATTTACCGATGAAATACTTAGATACTTCAAGGAACTTTTTAAGATATATCATTAGAGGGTACCATAAGGAATTGGGAGGTGAAATATTATTTTCAATGATGATTTCTTCAACTTTTTTCAAAACTCAGATGGCTTAGTAAAAACAAATATTTTCAAGAAATGTGTCTTTAGTTCTTTCTATTTCAAAATATCCACCCATGAAATGATCTCTTTGGTCTCAACTATGCTGGGGTTACAGCGACTATAGTAAAACTCCAGGAGTTATGTACTGTACATAATAAAACTGATAGTTTATTAAGTTTAATAATAAAGCTATGGACAAAACAAAGGCTAACATATTAGGGAGGTAAACCCTTCTGACCCAGGCTATAACTTTATAGATTTTCAGCATCTGCAGATAGTTATGCAGGATTTTACTATCTCCAGTTCAATATAGTCTTCCGATTAAAAGCCTACTTACTGCTTATCTGGTTATTCTTTTATTAGCTTACAGTCAGCATGTGTCACAGAATGCAATTTAGTTAGACACCTTGTCTAGAAGCAGATGGGAAGAATGCTTTGAAAAGATGAAAAGTTATTCACTTAAAAATATAAAGAAGAAAACTGAGAAGCCAAGGGGAGTCATGATCCTCTGAGAACTTTGGCTGTGGGAGAAATCTATCCCTTGAGTGGGGGATCTGTCCTCTGCATTATGAACAAGCTCTTCAATCATGTTCCACTGAGGCTAAGGAGAGAGGTGCAACAGGAATAAAGCAATGTCTGACCCCCAGGCGTTCATATTGCATGCTGGAATTTGGTCAGTCATGCCCCAGTATTTCTACATTGGTCCTTTCTTCCAGTGTTCCCTGCTGCACACTGAGGGATGAAATGAGGGAGCTTCTGAGGTGTGATGGGAGAGTCAACACAGTAAGACCACACATGTGGATAATAGAGAAATGAGCATGTGTGTTAAGGTAACTGTATTATCAGGGCTCTCCAGAGAGACAGAACCAATAGGCAATAGATAGATAAGAGGTGATTTATTAGGGAAATTAGCTCACATGATTATGGAGGCTGAGAAGTGCCATGACAGGCAGTTTGCAAGCTAAAGACCCTGGGATGCTGGTATCATGGCTTAGTCCAAGTCCAATAGCCTCAGAACCAGAAAAGCCAGAAGGCCTCAGAATCCAGGGGGCTGCTGGTGTAAGTCATGGAGTCCAAAATCCAGACAGCCTGGAGAGTTCTGATGTCTAAGACAGGAGAAGTGTGTATTTCAGCTCCAGGAAAGAGAGGAAATCGTCTTTTTTGTTGTATCTTGGCCCCCAGCTAACTGGACCATGCATGCCCACATTGAGGGCAGATCTTTCCCACTGAGTCCACTGACTCACATGCCAATTGCTAATTGCTAGGAACACCCTTACAAATACGCCTAGAAGTAATCCTTACCAGTTCTTTAAGTAATCCTTAATCCAGTTAAATTGACACCTAAAATTAACCATCACAAGTCTACCCCTTGTCAACTTGGCACCCATATGCAGTTCCTTAAACCATGCTTCATCTCCATATAATCATAATAGTAAGGTATCAGTTCTGCCTAACGTGATCCAACTAACCTATGTACAAACAAAACACACTAATCTCTTCTTCCCCTAAGGAAAAGTCCTTGTGTGATGTTTATGCTTCCCCTGCTATCCTATAATGTAAATACTATGAAGCAAAATTAACAATACTTAAATACTGACATAGGTCAATAAATTTTATGTTACATAGTAAAAAAATTAGAGAGGAACAAGAAAATATATTTATTTGTGTATATATACATATTCTTAAAGTAGGGAAGAAATACTCATGACAATCACAGTCTTCATTTCTGTGACTGGTCATGTGGTCACAGCTACCTTCTTCCACTACCCAGTCTGCATTCCCTTTACCTTCAGCAAGCACCTCAGCTGATCAAGGTTTGTTACATGGCTGGGAGACCCAAGCCTTTATTCCTGAAGGGTCTGAGTCATTCGTTCTGCTTGGGTTGGGTTGTTGTAATTTCCCATTGACTTTAATCACAGAACATGGTAATAATGCAAGATACCCCAAGGGAGCTCCTGTATTCCAGACATACTCTTCCTTACCTCCATTGTTGGGTAGAGGTCCAACTTCCCCATTGGAAGTCGGGATTGATCACCCCAGCCAACACTGAAACTGTCTCCTTAGCTCGTTGGCATAAAAAGGCCAAAGAGGCTGGGTGGCAGTCTTAACTTTCAGTTCAATGGACTCATCATTGTGTCTCCTGGAGGAAATAATCTTCCTTCTGAAACTAAGACCTCTAGGCCAGCAGAACATAAAATCATAGAAACAGATGGCAAAAATTTTGCTGGTGGATTTCTAGCAGGTAATGGTCAGTGGTGCTCCTCCCATTTTGGTGCCACTCCCATCTTTTGATTCCTAGACCCATGAATTCTAGCTATGGGGGAAATAATACTGTATGTTGAATGCTGATCCAGGGCATATGCAGCCTTCTGAAGAGCCTTGTTCTAACCCTGCAAAGTATTGTCACTTAGCTCATGCTGTAACTGTAACTTCAAAGGGCCATTCCATAATTCCAGCAAGTCAGCTACTTCAGGATGATGGAGAACATAACAAAACTAGTGAATTCCATGACCATGAGCCCATTGTCACACTTCTTTGGCTGTGAATTGAGTTTCCTGGTCAGAAGCAATGCTGAGTGGAATACCGTGATTAGTGAATAGGCATTTTGTGAGTTCACGGATGGTAGTTTTGGCAGGAGCATTGCATACAAGAAAGGCAAATCCACATCTGGAGTAAATGTCTATTCCAGTAGGGATAAACCACTTCCCATCTATGATGGAACTAGTCCAGTGTAATCAATCTGCCTTCAGGTAGCCAGTTGATCACCCCAGAGAATAGCGCCATACAGAGGGCTCAGTGTTGGTCTCTGCTGCTGGTAGATAAAGCACTCAATGGTGACTGCAGTCAGGTTGGTGTTAGTGAGTAGAAGTCCATGTTGCTGAGCCTATGCATAACCTCCATCCTTGTTACCATGGCAACTTTGTGCATAAGCCCATTGGCCAACGAGGGGGTGGCTGAGGAAAGTGGCTGACTGGTATCCACACGTTGGGTTATCATACCCACCTGATTATTAAAGTTTTCCTCTTGTGAGTTTACCCTTTGGTGAGTATTCATTCACATGAGAAACAAATATATTCACATCTTTTACCCCTCATGGAGGTCTATACACATGTATCTTCCCCAGATTTCTTTACCACCGATTTTCCTATTATGTTCCTTCTAAGTCCCATCTGGCCAAACCATTGGCTACAGCCCATGGATCAGTATATAATCACACATCTGGCCATTTCTCTTTCCAAGCAAAGTGCATAACAAAGTACATTGCCAAAGCTCTGCCCATTGGGAAAATTTCCCTTGACCACTGTCCTTCAGGGATGTTCTAGGAAGGGACTATGGTCCTGCAGCTCTCCATTTTCAGCTGGTGCCTTCATATTGTGCAGAGCCATCTATAAATCAGTCCACAGTCTTCTTTTCCTCTTCCTCACGAGGCCATAGGTGCAGGCTGGGAGAGGGAAGGCAGGGTGGCAGGAGTAGGAACCAAGGGTATTTGGGCCACTTCTTCATGCGACTTACTTGTGCCTTCAAGACCTGCTCAGATCTGATCATATATATACCATTTCCACTTGAAGATGGAGTGCTGCTGTCCATGTTCAACTTTATGGCTTGGGGGGTCAGGTAACACCCAGAAATAATACTTCACCAGTTCTCTAGGTAATCCTTAAGCCAGTCAAGCTGACACCTAAAATTTACCATCACAGTAACTTACAAGGACAAGAGCAAAATGGATGGTTAGTTAAAAGGCACTCTGCAACAGGCTTGGAGATTGTGACTTTATGTGGATGAGAAGGCAGGCATGGGACATAGGGAAGGTGGAAGCAGCTGAAGTGAAATGAACTGAGGGTCTCTTGTCACATTTTTAGTGTTCATTTAAAACAAATGTTGAGTTGGGAAGGACCCCAAAGGGTGATATTGTTTATCTCCAAAATTCTAGGAGTGCTGACGGCATACTAGGCTGATGCAATAGCATGACAGTGTTACAAAAAATCTTTCCATGAATGATACTGGGTTTGTTGGTTTTGGGGGGTGAGTTGTTTGCAAGTAACTGTTACATGGAAATACTTTTAAACAAACAAGAACTGATTTTTATGTACCAGCTACACCTAAAACATTGCTTTTAGGTTGCACAACCAGTATTTTGAAAGGCAAGCAAATATTCAGCCAAGTTTTGTATCCACTTTCATGGAAATATTTTTAGTCTGTGGGTGAATAAGTGAGGCAATGACTACTATAGAATCTTGAGAGGCATCATATTTCTGTTTTGCCTGAAGAAAAAGGAGAGACTATTTAAATATAGTAATAATATATTTATATAGTATCTCACAGGTAATAAAGCACAATTTACATTTATTATTAAACAATCAGCCCTTAGAGCCGAACACTGACCCATTTTACAGAAAAGAAAAACGGAAATTCAGGTGAGTTACATATGCATGAGCATTATTGTTTTTATAAAATCATAAAGTTTTTAAGCTAAGGAAATTTAGCATTAGGTACAGGGAGAAATTTTGCTGTCATGTAACCTCACCAAAGGCCACAGCCAATCCTGCAGGAAGCTCTGCTGAAGCTGAAATGGCCCTGGAGAATTGTCCCAGTTGGGATGCAGGGGTACTGGCCTTTGAACCCCTACATGGAACTCACTGATAACCCTGTCCTCTTAATCATGGGCCTCATGCACCTGTAAGTGACAGAACACAAATGCACATGGCAATAAGCTATTGTGACACCATCCTACCTTACCTTGAGTATCTGTTTTCTTTGAACGGGGTAGAAATGTGGATCATTGCTTGTGTTTAAAAGTATTTTTATTTTGTGGGCAACTTTGATGAGTAAAGATAAGTTAATTCATTATTTGCAGCTACAGTAAAATATGTGCCAGGAAAAGCACATGCTCCATTATTTATTAGAAGTTCCAAAATTCCCTTTATTACCAGGAAACATTTGTTCTTGACCAAGTGTGAGCAAACTCTTAGCATGGAGGGGTGGGGACAATGCACTGATGTTTAAAAAGACATCTGTTGTTTTTCACCACCCACCATCCACTCCCCCTTTTTCTGGTACTGGTGCCCAGTCTTTCCTCCAGGAGCAAATCTTCCCGTCATTCCTTGTCATATGGTCCATCCCAGTGTCCTTCCCTTCCCCCAGCTATGGACACAGCACAAGCAATCTAAGCCAGGCTAGCCATCTCTCTCTCCGGGGAATTTAAATCTAGAGACCAGTGAGCAAAGGGTTGGAGCTGATTCATCTTATTGGTGGTTGCCCAAATAAACATTCCATTAGTTTCTTCGGTCTAAATACAGTGTTCCTGACCTTTCTGAAGCCTAAGTGTTTAACATTCTCATTGATTCTCTAAGAGATTCTGTACCCTGCTAATGCCTTGCTTTTTCTTCCTTAATTTAACCAAGATTAGTTTGTACTGCATGCACCCAAGACAGTAGCTAGTAAAAGGACTAGATTCTTTTAATCAACTAATGTTTTCTTTAATGCTATGGCATTGGAAAATATACTTGCTTTTAGTGAAGTGAAGAAACACAGAACCTTATGTGTGATTTTCTTATCTGGAAGATTTTATAAGTAAGGCTGAAGTGAGAGACCAAAAATACAGGACAGCACTACTAAACCTGTGAGTTAAAGCATGTTGTAACTATAACATTATTTTATTTTAAACAACTCAGGAATTTGGATTTTTTCTACAGGGTTTCTTTTTCTTTTCTTACACCTAGAAAAAAACCTGTAGATTAACTGATATCTGATTAAAAATGTCCTCACACTCTTACAATAGTGATATTTAGTGCATGAATTTTAATTGTTTCCAGATTGGTCTACTGAGTTGGAATTCTAAAGAGATTTTTTTTTTCTATTAGTAAGGGACAACTTTTCCCAGTATGTCATGTTTGCTTGCATCCTGCTGTGAATTGTTTAGTAAGCATAAGAAGCATTTTATCTCCGACAAGGTAGGTTGTGGAGGAAAGTTTCAACAACGAAATGATATTTCCAAACCCTTAACCTGGAATAAAACTCAATTCAATAATTCTTTATTGAGCATCTACTATGTGAAACTTGACATACTAACTTCTTTAGGTAGTTTTAAGGTTAATAAGAGAAAGTCCTGCTTTACAGAACCTTGCAAGATGCATATGAAAAGTCAAGACTGTTAGACAAAATATGGCAGGTAAATAAGTATGGGCTTCATGAAAGAGGAAGCATTTGAGTTAGGACTTGATGGATAAGTAGGATATCAGCAGATAAAGAAAAAGGATTGGAAATTCTAGAAATAAGGAATAAAATGAAGAATTACACAGTGTTGGAAAATCCAGTTGTCTGGATTATCTGGTGCATACAGGAAAGTGATGATCTACAAAGTTGCAAAAGTAAATTGGCATCGTCTTAAAGAGGGTCTTAAATGCCTGAGTGATGCTCCTGGATATATTCCTTCTTTCAGTAAGACAGGGGTGTTCACAAGAGTCTACTTAAACAATTGATTCTAGCTCCCTGGTGGTGGAAGCTGGCCCACAGGAAATAAATCAACCCCTTTGTCACCACATACAAAAATTAATTTGAGATACATCATAGGCCTAAATGTAAGAGTTAAAACTATAAAGCTTCTAGAATAAGAAAACATAGGTGTTTCTTCATGATCTTGGAGTAAGCAATGATTTTTTTAGACAAGGCACAAAGAGTATTAACCATAAAAACATTAAACAATTAAACTTTATTATAATTAAAAACTTGCTAATCAAAAGGCATCATTAAAAATGAACATCAAGCTGCAGATCTGTAGAGAGTACTAGCGATTCATATTTCTGACCATTGACTTTTATCCAGATTACATAAATAATTTCTACAATTCAATAACATAAAGGACAATAAAACATGAGTAAAAGTCTTGGGCTGACATTTTACAAGAGAAGACATACAAATGGACAATTAGTATATGAAAAGTTTCTCAACCCCATTAAAAAGTGGGCAAAGAATACAAACATACACTTTTTAAAAGAAGACATACATGTAGCCAACAGGCATATAAAAAATCCTCAACATCATTAATTATTAGAGAAATGCAAATCAAAACCACAATGAGATACCATCTTATACCAATCAGAATGGCTATTATTAAAAAGTCAAAAAGTAACAGATGCCGGAGAGGCTGCAAAGAAAAGGGAACACTTACACACTTTAGGTGAGAGTGTAAATTAGTTCAGTCATTGTGGAAAGCAGTGTGGCAATTCCTCAAAGAACTAAAAATTGAACTACCATTTGCCCCAGCAATCCCATGTTTGGGTATATACTCAAAGGAACATAAATGGTACTACCATAAAGACACATGCACGTACATGTTCATTGCAGCACTATTCAAAATAACAAACACATGGAATCAGCCTAAATGCCCATCATGGTAGACTGGACAAAGAAAATGTGGTATATATAGACCATGGAATGCTATGCAGTCATAAGAAAAGGAGATCATGTCCTTTGCAGCAACATGGACAGAGCTGGAGACCATTATCCTAAGCAAAGTAACACAGGAACAGAAAACCAAATGCAACATGTTCTCACTTATAAGTAAGGGCTAAACAATGAAAACACATAGATGCAAAGAGGGGAACAATAGACACTGAGGCTTCCTTGAAGAGTGGAGTGTAGGAGGAGGAAGAGGTTCAGAAAAAAAATACCTATCAGAGCTTATTACTTGAGTGACCAAATAATTTGTACATTAACCCCCATGACATAAGTTTACCTATATAGCAAAACCTGCATATGTACCCCTGAACCTAAAATAAAAGTTAAGAAAAAAGTTACCCACCACTTTTAATCATTAGGAAAATACAAGTCAAATCCACAAGAAGATAAGGCATGCCTATTAAACATGGCTGCAATTGGAAAGACCAACAGCACCAAAAGTTGGGAAGGCTGTGTAGAAACTGGAACTCCCATCCATAGCTGGTATGGGTGCAGAATGGTACAGAAACTTTAGAAAATAACTTAGCAGTCCCCTCACACAGAGTTAAAAGCATACCTACCCTGTGACTCATCAATTACACCCTTAAATATTTATCTAAAACAAATGAAAACATATATTTATAAAAAGATATATAGAAAGATGTTAATAGCATCTTTATTTACAATAACAAAAAACTGGACATAACCCACCAGAGGAATGGCTAAACAAAATTGTGGTATATAAAGTGAAATCCTACTCAGCAATTAAAAAAGAAAGAACTATCTCAGTAAGTATCAGGCTTTTTGGTCTCAGGTCCACTTTCCACTCTAAAATAATTGAGGACTTTAGAAGAGTTTTTCTTATGTGGCTTATGGCTATCAATATTTACCATATTCAAATTAAAATGGAATTAGAAAATATTCATTTATTCACTTAAAAATAATAATAATCCTATTACACATTAACATCAGTGAAACATTTTGATGGAAATAGCTATATTTGTTAAAACAAAGACATTTAGTGAGAAAAGTGATATTCCCTTACTTTGGGGGAATCTCTTCAATGTTTAGCTTAAAAAGAGGTATTTGGAATCTCATATCTGCTTCTTCAATCTGTTGTGATATCATACTTCATGTAACTTTAGGAAAATAATCCTGTATACTCATGAAAAAGTAAGAATGAATTAATTGGTTAATTATAAAAATACTTTTGAGCTCATGGACACCCTGGAAGGGTCCTGGAGACTCTCAGGTGTTTGCTTTGGGAGTCACTAAGCTATTACTATACACACAACATGGATGACTTTCAAAAACATTTTGAGCAATGGAAACCAGACAAAAAAATACAGTATTATTCCATTTACATAAAGTTTTAGACTAGGCAGAGCTAATTTATGGTGACATAACTCAGAACAGCTTTGGCCTAATGGCAGGTGGGAATAGACTGGAAGAGGAAATGAGAGAACTCTATAGAAATGTTCCATATCTTGACTTGGATGGAGGTTACACCAGTGTGAACACTGATTGATTCTATGTTTGATTAAAACATATGACTGTATGTTGGGTGCGGTGGCTCACGCCTGTAACCCCAGCACTTTGGGAGGTCGAGGTGGGCAGATCACTTGAGGTCAGGAGTTCAAGACAAGACTGGACAACATGGTGAAACCCCTTCTGTACTAAAAATACAAAAATTAGCCAGGCATTGTGGCATATGCCTATAATCCCAGCTACTCTAGAGCCTGAAGCAAGAGAACTGCTTGAACCCAGGAGGCAGAGGTTGCAATGAGCTGAGATCACGCCACTGCACTCCAGCCTGGGTGACAGAGTAAGTGAGACTCTGTCTCAAAAAAAAAAAAATACATCTGTACACTTAAAAGTTGTATATTTCACTGTAAATTTCATCTCAATTTTTAAAAATCAAGATAAAACTAAAATACTGGATAATGATAGAATATAAGTTGAGTGAATATGTGATTGGAGTTAAAATGTTTCTAAAGTCTCCTAGAATGAAAGTAAAGCTATTTAATTAATCTTATCAGCTTTAAAGTTAAGTATGCATGTCAAAATTTCTAATTGTTTAAAGAATAGAAGTAAAGAGTATAACTTTCAAAATAACAGCAGGGGAAGAATGGAACTGGTGGCTGACTAGTGAGAAAGAAGATGGCATATTTGCAGGCTCTCAATCTCCATAGATTCAAAATTAGCAAGATAACAGAGGAAGGGAGAGGAGAGCAGAAATTTAGAAAACAAATTGGACGAAGGAAATACAAAATAATGTGGTAGAAATTACCTAATTGTGGCACAATGACATGGGTTTGGCCCATGTCATTTCTTAACCAGATGTTACATTCATTTGTATGAACTTACACGTTTCACTTAATTTCCCTTGTGAAATAGAGTTTGAACAAATTGGACCTCTAAGTTTTATCCAGTTAACTCAGGGCCCAATCTGGATAAATTCTTACTTAAAAAAGATAAAAATCACCACATAGACAAATATCTATAATTATAATGTATATTAAAACATTTATCCTTATGAAACTCAAATTTCCTTTTCTTTCTTCAAGATGTAAACTCCGAAGTTCCTGGTTTGTCTGGGATTCCTTAGAGTACTAAATATTCGGCTTGAAAATGCTTTCAACTGATAGGAGAGATCCTCACATTAACACTCATTTAAGAACCAGATAAATAAATCCTCCACTTCCTTCAGCTCACTCCGTGTCTGGGTCTGTCAGTACCCCTCCTCCCTGGACCTCTTTCCTAGTTTTTGCCTCATTAACAGATTCATTTGATACTTTCTCTGGGAATTTGCCACCTTTGTTGGGTGACGGGGCAAACAGCTTATGAGTCCTGCCTCCCTCCCAGATGGCACATACTGGATGGTGTTACTGAGCCACTCAGCTCCCTGGAGGACCCTGATAGATGCTTAATTAGCGTGTTAGCGGAAAGACTGCAAGCACTCCCAGATGGTATCAGGAAGTTAAATGAGTGCTCACCTTTCAAGGCAAACCAGGGAAAGAGAAATGGATCCCTAAAGGCAATTCAAAGTGTTTCTTACTTAAAGTGTTTGTTAATAGCTCTATGAATTTTTACTGGATTTTTCTTTTTGGTTACTTCTTTATTACAAAGAAAATGCATGTGCATCAGGGAATCACAATGCAGTACTACATGAAGAGACCAAACATTTAATTTCCTTTTTATTTGTCTTTCTGGGACAACATCGTTCAGTCCTTCATGTGTGTTTTCCTACAGAACAGATTTACAACTGGGGTTGCTGAGAGGTTCCCTAGGGAGCAGTTGTTTCCAGAGAGCACTCCAGGGAACACTGTAAACTACTAGTGAGTCCCTTTGCCTGGGTGGTCAATATCCAGTGGGATTAATTACTATAAATTCTGGTATACCCCATGCAGTTCAAGATTAATACCACCTAATCAGTATCTCATTGATAGAAGAGATAGGCATCCCATTCATTCTGTTAAGAGTCTTAGTGGTGACCCACTAGAGGCAGGTGGCCCAACAAGTCTTTCCTCCCAACAAAAATAAACTCTAAACCCAAAAGACTTAAGTACCAGTGCTTTCAACAACAGCAGGATATCTGTGTTAAGCCAAAGTATGAGTAAAATCTGTAATTTAACAATAGATGGATGCTT